>NC_000008.11:58427265-59052265 GCF_000001405.40 Homo sapiens | reverse complement strand
TTTTGGCATGATTGTAAGTTTAATTGTAGGAAAACATTTAAACATATAAAATAATGTTATAATGATACTTTAATGTGTTCCCATTACATATTTAAAATATAGCATCCTTGTTTCTGTATAAAAGTAGGTAAGAGAAAAGTGTTATGGATGATTCCTCATATATTCGGATCTCATCCAAAACAGAATTTTCTTTGTAAGCTTTGTCTTATGTAGGATCATATCCTTTAGCTTTATTTCTCATCATATATAAATTCTTAACAGGGATATGATTCCAAAAGAAAAGACAAAGTAGAGAGTCAAAACTTCGGGCAAACACATATCCTGATAAGGAAAATTGATTTAGGATCATTCAGATGTGCTCATTATATTGACTCACTAAATAGAGCTGATAAACTTCTCCATTTAATTTTTTAATAGAGACAAACCTGAAATCAGGGCAGTATTGGGAGTCTAAATACCAATTCAACTTTTTCCATCATCTGCATCATTTTATTACTTCAGTGAGAAGTGTAAACACTCAGTCCCCATCCAACAGGTATTTTTAAAGCATCTGCTGGATGCCCAGATTGTTTACGAAAGTTTTAAAATTTTAGAGTAGATTTTCTTTATTTGTTTGCTAAGACTTAGGTTGCATAGAGACATGGATATTTACAAGGACATTTGTCTTAGTCTTTGTGTGACCAGTTTCTAGTGTGGTGTCTTTCATATAATAGACTCCCATAAATGTTAGATGATGAATAATTGATCTTCAATGCAAAGAATGATGTAATGACTTTATCAGAATTACTGTAAAGATTTCTGGCGCAATTTTAAACTAAAATGAAAATTTTGTTTGTTTTTAAAGTTATCTGTTCTACTTGTATCCTGGAGATACCGCAACGTCCATGACTATTTGAGATATCTGACATAATCTCGAAGGTTTTAGGGATTGTTCTAGACTTATTCATTGTCCTTGATATTTTCTTAAACCCATATACTGCTTTTACCTACACAGTAAGTAAAGAAAACCACATCCTTATCAGATAGTGGGAAATCTGTTTCTTCTCTAAGGGACCAAATCTGCCTCATTTTCTTCAGTTTAATATCCTAGTAAGTATGAAGGGTTATTTTCTAGACTATAATTGCCATCTATATGTTGATGTCCTATGTTCGGGGTATGCCATCAGCAGCCCTTCATTTTGTGTTCTGGAAGTCATCTAAAATCAACCTAGTTCAGCTCAGCTGATATTTTTATGCCATAGAGCATGTGAGAATATGTACATTTGTCTCAGTCTTCATATGACCAGTTTCTAGCATGGCACCTCTCATAAAATAGACTCTCATAAATGTTAGATGATGAATAATTGATCTTCAAAGCAAAGAATGATTTAATGACTTTATCAGGATTACTGCAGAGATTTCTATATTGGTGAAATACTGCAGAATGCAATGAGAGCTTTTTCACTTTTGTTCTTACAGATATTTCACATAAAAAACAAAAACAATTCAGTTCTGTCAAAATGAGATTACAAAGGATGAAAAAATACTTAGCACACACACCAAATGTTAGGTGATGCAAATGTGAGATCCAGAAGGTCATCTTGAGCTTCTCTTGACCCTGAGAACATATTTAGGTGTTTGTATTAGTACAAGGAATTAGGATGAAGTGAAAGTATGGACTTTTCCTCCTTATGTTGATGCTTTAAAATTTACCGTAGAGTTCAATAAAACTAGTATTAACATTATATTAGAAAAAAATTTCAATAAAATATTACATAATTTTGATTCTACTTAATTCATTAATCTGATGGCTCTTTAAGTACTAGATCAAAGAAATAAAACGTGTTGAGTATTGAGTTAATGGCATATGTGGAGTTTCATTCTGGCTTATCGTTTCTAATATTTGAGTAGTCATGTGTGGTTCATGCAGCACTTTCACAAATGCTATTCTAACAACAATCCTGGAAGGGAGAATAAAACTTTGCTTGGAGTTTCAGCTCCAAGTCTAGCTGCTTTGTCAACTTGGAGCTGTTGCTTCATTGTATCTGCTTTCCTTGTGCACTGGTGTTAATTCTGACTGGATAATAAACTTTGACAATAGAACAAAAGTTGCAATAAATTGTCACAATGCGTGAAATTCCAAGCTCTCCTATATTTAGCACAAGGCTTAGGAGTGCAGTGATAGAAAATGCACAAGGGAATAGGTTACTGCAAAGCAACCTCACTTGAAAAGAATCTGGGGATCGATACCAGGCTTATAAAATTGTTCATGTCAGGCAACCCCTGGATATGTTTTATTGCTTTTATTAGTGTGACTATATAATACAAGAACATATACTTCTGTGCTTTTAATTTTCAAAGCCTGCTTAGTATAGAAACCCCCGCCACTCCACTCTTCTCTCTTCTTTGACTACATTCCAAAAGAGAGGCGAACTTTCTAAATACTCATATTTCAAACAGATTCACTTTCTTTTGGGAAACTATAAAGCACTCTGTGATCCATAGAAGTGGTTTAACTCAGGAGTTCATAAAGGTATCAGTAGCCAGCAGAAATGCTCTTCTACCTGAGTGTTTGAAAACCATTGTTTAAAATCCTATTGAAATCTTTTTACAAGGGATTTAAAATAATTTATAGATTAGAAAAAATGGAGAGCTGGGCAGGTTCACCATACTGCTGTTTTCAGCTGGCTGAATAATTGCTTAGCTATTGGTCTACTTTGGTTGTCTTATTCAATGAAGAATGTTCGAAAAAAAATCCAGTTTCTAATATTTAATACTTTGATGTATTGTAGATATGATCATTAACACATTGGTTTTAATCTATATTAAAAAATACAACAAGATATTGAAGTTCTAGATCTTTTCAGCCCAGTATGTTGATTAAAAAATGTATTTTATCTAGTTTGTTAAAAAGAACAGAAGATAAAACTTTAGGGTCTTTGTGATCCAACGAAGAGGAGAGTTTATTGATCAGCCACTTAATTATCATTGATTTTTGGGGTGACCACATAGTTGCCAAGTGAAGTCTGAGTAGCATTTGTTAGCAATTGAATGATTAATTAACTGATTTTTTGGTCCCTAAGTTGAAAGAGCAAACTGACTTATATTATGGATTTAAATATAGTTCAGATGTTTTAAGCGTGCATGTTTTCTTATATCACCAGCTGTTTGTTTTTTTCATTTTCATTACCGGGCCAAATAATAATGGATAGATAAAATGATTTGCTTATACTGTCATTGAAAATGAGTCAGTGGAATAGATTGCAAACTAGCTGAAAAGAGCTCATGACTAATTTTAAATGTCTTTGAGTAAATTTGAACATTTTTTCGAAAATACATTTTTATTTTCAATAACCATATTTCATATATTAATATCTCTTATGCTTATACATACTTATATAAACATAAATAGTGTTTTACATGATATAAATACAAATTGCTTTTAATGGATGATGTAACTTAAAATATAATATTTCTGGCATGCTTGATGTGATGGATACCCCATTTACCCGATGTGAATATTATGCATTGCATGCCAGTATCAAAATATCTCATGTAACTCATAAATATACAAATCTCCTGTGCACCCACAAAAATAAGAAATTAATTAAAAATGTATCTGGGAAGAATTAAAATTAGCCATAGGTTTCTCCCACCCTTTATTTTTTGGCTCAATTCATTCCCGATAATATAAAAAATGAGAACATTTCCAAGAAAACTTCCTCTGTTGCCTTCTTTTTGGGGGAAGGTCTATTAACTTGAAGCCAGAAGACCAGAAATTTTGCTCTGTTATTTATATGTTTTATGCTTTTTGGGTGAGTTTTCTAACTGTCTGATGTTTCAATGTCTTCACAGATAAAAAAGGGGGAATTATCTATTATGTTCTAATGTGGAGCTTTCATGGAACTGTTCATGGATGTGCAGACTCAGGGAGGTACCTGAAGATTCAGACAGAGAGTGATTGCTGAACACAATCTAATAGTTTGGTTAACCCAGCAGCTTCCTGGTTATTGCTACAGATAATGGTCAAGAACAGAATTTGTCAGTTACCTTTAGAACTGAAAGCTGCCAGGATATAAAGATATTTTCTTTGCTGATTTTGAGAATTTCTTATTCTGAGGCGCTGAGTAGCTCTGCATGGGGCCTTTGGGATCATGGCCATTTTGATCTTGAGAACAAGACAGAATATTACTTTTTACTTTCAGGAAAACCGTATTTGTTTTTTTGTAAAGTGATTATTCCACTTCAGATATGTCCTGAAGGTACATTACTATAATAATAATCAAGGACTGCTAACAATCATACACTATTGAATATGTTTCTATTCTGAGTATCATTCCAAATTGAGGCTGGATGTTTTTACATCCATGTGAAATGCAAGAACTTATATTGCAATAATTTTTTCCTGTTAGACATAAATATTCTTTATTCATAATGCAAAGACAGAAATTTTAATTTTCTGATAATGTTGTTTGTAATTGAATTCTGTGATGTTTTGAAATTAGCTTATATGGTGTTTTTAAGCCCCTTCTGTCTTTGAAATTCTCCAAGCCAGCATACTGTCATATTCCTGTAGTCCCAGCTACTAGGGAGGCTGAGGGTGAAGGATGGCTTGAGGCCAGTAATTTGAGGCTCTAGTGTGCTATGATGGCGCCTGTGAATAGCTACTGAACTCCAGCCGGGACAACATAGTGGAACCCCGTCTCTAGGAAAAAAAAAAAATCTCTGATGAGTCTCTAAGGGCTCTATTTGCAGAACAATTCAGCCGGGCGCGGTGGCTCACGCCTGTCCCAGCACTTTGGGAGGCCGAGGCGGGCGGATCACGAGGTCAGGAGATCGAGACCATCCTGGCTAACAAGGTGAAACCCCGTCTCTACTAAAAAATAAAAAAATAAAAAAAAAATTAGCTGGGCGTGGTGGCGGGCGCCTGTAGTCCCAGCTACTTGGGAGGCTGAGGCAGGAGAATGGCATGAACCCAGGAGGTGGAGCTTGCAGTGAGCCGAGATCGTGCCACTGCACTCCAGCCTGGGCGACAGAGCGAGACTCCGTCTCAAAAAAAAAAAAAAAAAAAAAAAAAAAAAAACAATTCTTGGTGGAATTGTTCAATAAAAACTAACCTGTTGCATGTAATTAGTTTGCACAGTGAGTGCAGGTAGGTACTGCTGCTAGCTGTGAGCAGAAACACAGGAAAGCTGGAGCGCTTGCTTCTTCCCTTTCTCCATGGACACATTCTCCACTAGCCTGGCCTATGCCATAGTGCAGAGCATTATTACCAGTGAATAGACATGGAATATATGCTTTGCATATGCAGTTTTTAAAACATGTCACTGCGTGGTGGATGATGATTCAGTTTACTTAGACTGCATGTCCAGAGTGTCCTTTTTCTTTTCCTTTTTTCTTTTCTTTTTTTTTTTTTTTTTTTTTTTTTGAGACATAGTCTCACTCTGTCTCCCAGGCTGGAGTGCAGTGGCACAATCTTGGCTTACTGCAACCTCTGCCTCCCAGGTTCAAGCGAATTCTCATGCCTCAGCCTCCCAAGTAGCTGAGACTACAGGTGCGTGCCACCACGCCCAGCTAATTTTTGTATTTTTAGTAGAGGTGGAGTTTCACCATGTTGGCCAGGCTGGTCTTGAACTCTGGACTTCAAATGATCCACCCACTTTGGCCTCTCAAAGTGCTGGGATTATAGGCATGAGCCACCACCCCCGGCCTAGAGTGTTATTTTCTAACAGGAAAATGGTGTTTGTTCTTTCAGTGCCACAATTGTTCCCTATTTGTAAATTATGAACCCTTTGCAATCCTGATTTTCATTAACACCTAGGTTATTATTTAGTTCTCTGAAATTGGAGCTTGCCAATAAGATCCTCAGGACTGAAAGTGTTAATGCAGCTTGGGCACTGGGAGAATTTGGTTGTGTTGAAATAAATAATGAATAACAGGGATTTTTAAATCCCCATTAAATATTTAATTTATAGAAAGCTTCTGCAGTGCCATTATTAATTCTTAGTTGAGTGTTTTAAACTTTTTTATTGTATGTATATTGAATATAAAATGGCCTGGCACATGGTAGGCTCTCCATAAATATGGAATTTATGTTATTATAGTTTTGGTGGTTATTGTCCAATGAATGATTGAATGAAAACATGCAACATGGAGGGTAAAAATCATCAGCTAGCAGCAGGTCTCTGTAACTGTTATAGTTTCCTAAAAGTCATTACACACAGAGCCCTTAAACCCAGGGGACGGCAGTCACCTCTGAGCGCAAACACAGGCACTATTTGTGATTGCAGGAGAAGGGCAATATCACCAACTTAGCCCAGAACACATTGAGTGACTTTGTTGGTGCCACAGCTGGAGCCTTGTTTCACTTCTAACATTCTGGTAAAGTCACTCTGAAGTCAAGGGCAAAAGAAGCTCTTCAAATATTTTGGCCTCATTCCATGATAATCACAGGTACTCTGCCAGCAGTTTTGTTTTTGAGTCCTATAAAAGTCAGCTTCTACTAAATTATTACTTAATCCTTTCCTAAGTTAGAAGAGACCACTAGTTTTTTCAGGCAGGAGAGGAGTAGAATGAAGCACAGGACCCCAGAATTTTGCTTATCTGGTTTGGATGTTTTGAGCATGCATTGGGTTTGCCTCCCAATGGGTTGGGACTCATTTTAACTTGAGAGATGTTTGAGGGGCCGAAAATGCTCCAGAATTTGTCGTGACCTTGCTGTATTCTACAGACCAAACTACTATGCATCTAGACTGTACCATTATTCAAATAACAACCACGGGAAGGAAATAGAATCCTGGCTATTAAACATCAAACATGATTTCTTTGCGTCTCAGCAGCAGAATTATTTTTGCACCAGTTACAAGACTTGCCTATGAATTATTTAAAAAATAAAATCTTGAGCTCTGAGGCATTTTTGAAAAATCTTTTATTACCACCATCACATAAACATAGAAAAGAACAGATGTGTGCTATCAAAGGTGAAACTCTCTTTCATATTTGAAAAGAAATACAGTGCAGTTGCTTCTAAATATAGCTCGTTTAAATAATAAGAAAAATGTGATGTGTCTGCAGGTAATGAAGGACGTAAAAATTAAGAAAGGAGAATCATGGGAAAGTAGAAAAGAACAGGTAAATAGTTGAAAAAAAGAATGAAATTGTCTAGGAAGAAAAAGTCTAATTTTCACCCAAGAAAGGCTGGAAAATAATAACAATTACATTATTTTATTACATTAGAACAATTCTGTACAAGGTGAGTGTGCACTATTTTTGCTTAGAGAAATGATATGTGTAGGTTAAATGGAATGATAGCCTCAGTGCCCTAAGGCATTCCACGACTAATACTTCAATTCAAAATGAATTTTTGAAAGCAGTAAAACATGTGTGTAGCCGATTATTCATATGATTAATCTGTTGGTTTTTCCTTTTATGCTTTCTTGTGTTTGATAAGGAGTTGTTTATAATATTTTTCCCTTGAAGGGGACATTTAAGTGAGTGATGCCATTCATCCTTAAAATACATTGTTCAACTTTTGTCCAGTCTTTACGCAGGTGTGAAGAGGAAATGGGTTACATTTTGAAAGAGCCTTGGTGGAGAATCTTAAAACCCTCTATTTTAACACAATAAAAAAAGAGATTTAGATTTTTTTAAAATCATGTATGTTAGGTGAAGGAAGCATCTATTTCTGGGGAAATAAGCTAATTTACTTTAAATCATAAAAATTTCTTTTACAGAAAACTCTCTGAAATGCTTTGAATATAAAATGTTATAAATATTCTGTTGTCTCCTCCAGGATTTTGGAGGCATCATCGTAGCCTGTGGAAATGTGGATGGGGATTCAACTCTCTGTAGTCAGCAAGGGACAGGTGGGAAATCTTGTTTTTGAAGAAGAGTGCACTTGTAGTAGCAAGCTACCACAGTCAACTTTCACCTCTGCCAAATGTGTGATTGGCTTAAGCTACTTATATTTTCAAATCTGTTAATTATTCACAGTTTTGGCAGAGCTGTTGCTTCACACAGTGTTGGTGGCTGTCGTCCACCTTTTTTTTTTTTTTTTGATGAGTGCCATGAAAGGGAAAATGGAATTTTTTTTCCTTCTGAAGCCTTTAAGGATACCACCATAGCTTTTCTGAACAAGAAACAATTTCACAGTTTTATTATGGAATGGGTGCTAACCTCCCAGCATAATTCTGTGGTTTTTAAGTGTTACACCAGAGCTGGCTCAGAGAAATAGCTATATACAGAGAATTTGGTGGGTTCCAAAAGAGAAAAAGGAACAGAAAAAAGGAAGAGTACATTTTGTGGTTGCAAGACTTATGGTTTAGGGGACCTCTTGGGGTTCAGTGCCATTCAAAGGCAGGAAGTATCCATTCATAAGTCTTGGTCCCTCTCTACTGTATTTGGTATCATAATTTAAATGAATTCAGGGCTGAATGCCAGCATCAATCAGTTCCACATGTTTGATCAAATCTCTATTCCTGCCTACGTAGTCCTTTCAAAAGGCACGCTGTACTGGAAGCATGATAGCACTACTCGGGGCTACCCATCCATCTCGCATTTCTGGCTAGTGAAGGAAGTCATGAAGTTGCCTCCATGCTCTATAATGAATACAATTTCAGGAATTTCTAGCTCCAAAGAAGTGATACTCCTTTTAACACTACACAGTTGACCCGAGAGTATTGCCATTGTTTGAAACACTATGGAACACCTTTTCTATAACCGTCTATAGAGAAAGGATCTATGAGACATGATATGCATGAACATTAGTTTAGCTATATAGTTTATTATATAGAGTCAGTCTGTTACTCAATAGATTACCTATTTTATTAAGTTCTGATTTTTTCCTATAATTTATTTTGAAAATATTCAAACATATTAATTATATAATAATAAATAAAAATACTTAAAAATAAATAATAAACATTCAAACATAATTTAAAATAAAGCTAGATTCTACCATAACATTTTGCTGTACTTTAACACATATCTAGTTGACTTTTTGATAGTTTCTCCAATTTCATTTACTGGAAAAATAAAGTTTACACACAGACACACACAGATGCACACACACACACACACACACACAGAAAAGAAAGTAGGTAATTTCAAAACAAGAGTTTTGAGATAAATATGGATCCAGTTGAATACTTTAAGATAGAGTAGAAAGGTGATTACCGGAGGCTGGGGGCTGGAAGTAGAGGATGGGGAGTTTTGGTTAAAGGGTACAAAGTTTCAGCTAGACAGAGGAATAAGTTTTTTGAGATCTATTCTACAACATGGTGACTATATTAATAATAATGTACTGTGTATTTCTCAATTGTTGAGAATACATTTAAGATGTTCTCATCACGAAAAATGCTATGTGAGGTGACTAATATGTTGATCAACTTGATCAGTCATTCCACATTGTATATGATAACATCACATTGTACCCCATAAATACATACAATTATAAATTACTAATTTACAATATAAAAGAACACTCTCAAGATAACTTTAGTGCCTTAAAAAGGACTAGTTAATACCCATGTTAAAGTTCTGGTATACAATATTTACTTAAAAATTAGCTATATTACTTTAGAGTCACACTTCATTTATGGCTTCAGCTATATGATGACTTTACAAATAAGATTAGATGTAGACATCTAGAAACATGGAACTAAATTACAAGCTATGTTATAAGAACTAGGTGTATGGACTTGACAATCAGCAAAGATGAATTTGTGGAGAACCTGTTGTGTGATACTTTAGATCCTCCCATGCTTTTGCATAATAATAAAAATGCAAATAGTTCCTATAAAGAAGTAAATTATTCTCAGTTGTTCCTCCCTTGTTAAGATTATGGATTAATATACAAAGGTGGTATCTGACAAAAACGGAGCATATTTATCTTTAAAATGCTAAAGTTCCCTCTGGCTGTAAAAGTCTTTGATTCAGTAAGCTCTGAAATGGCGTTCTGACTTCAGTATTAAGTAGTCATATTTGAAGGATATTAATGTAGATGTGAATGAGAGGAAATGCTGTTTGGTTGAAGAACTTCTGATTCTTGACAGGCAATACTCAGGGCTCCTTGACATGCAGTGCAAACACCCATGAATATCAGATTCCCGTAATCTTGGATTTTTTTGGCTCGTAACCCTTTACTATGTAGCGATCAGAATGCTTTAATACTTGGACACTATTTGTATTTTATTAGAAACCCCTTTGGTTGTAGTACAAGTGTTCCCAATTAAAGGGAGTACGCTATATGGAGAAAAGAAAACTAGGGAGAATTTTCTTTTCAGTTGCATTTGATCTGGCAATATTTTAAGGAATTCTATGGGCACATTAATGCAAGGAAAACTTACATAACGTACATAACATAACTCAGGAATTATAAATCAACAGATTAAGAGAAAATTTTAGAATTTTAAATGTAGAAGAGATCTCAGAGAGACTCTTTCACTCCTCCTCATTTTACATACAACATGATGGTGGTAGACAGTGTTGATTTCATCGACTTGCCTAAATTAACTCTTGTAATAACGGGCAGATCCAAGACAAGAATTCAAGACCTTTAACTTCGATGCCTATTGTTTTCCTACCATATGTCAGATATTCTGACACTAGCGTTTTTAACTGTGATTTATAGCTAAAGGCACTGGGGCACAAAGATGAAGAACTTGCTGGAGTTTATACAGCTAGTGAGTGGTCAAGCTAGGATTTGATTCAGGTTGGCTGGTGCTAGCCTCCATGCTTCTAAACACAAAGTAGAATTGCTATGAGTGAATGAATGAATGAATGAATGAATGTGCTGTGAGGACAGAAAGGAGCTGTAGCTCACCGGAGTTTGCAAAGACATAGAGGTTGAGATTAAATAATGAGTACACATTTTGAAGGGGAAAAATGGTAAACAGCATCATAGGAACAGGTCACGGACTCCTGCCTGATGAGTTTGGGGACACTGATGCCCCTGAGTGAGGCTCAGGATGGGGGAGTGAAAGAAGGTGCCAGAGCAACACAGTTTGGTTCAGATGGTAACAGTGGGGTGTGCCACATTAAGAAATTTGAAATCAACCCATCAATTAAATAGAGAAAGGGAGGAAAACAATGTACATTTAATACCTATTAAATGAAAATACTTATGAAATGGAAATAAAGCACCCGATGCCAGCTCCTTTAATGTTTTACACATGTACACACACACACACACACACACACACACACACACACACGGAGTCCCTTTTATGAAGTGCCTCCTGCTGATGGTCAAAGGTCTCCCTGCCAGTGAGTGATGGGAGCACAGGATTGTGACAGGTCCCAACTGATGCTAAAGCTTATTTTGACCTCACCTGGTTCCTGAGGGCCAATGGAGGCTTTGAAGCAAGGGTGTGTCCTGCTCACAGTTTTTTGTTTTGTTTTCAGCCAAGGAGCCAGGAGCCAGGAAGAAAGGACCAGTGAGGGGAGTGGGAGGGTCAGAGAGGCGGGGCCATCCCAAGCCCAGAGGCAGCACCAGCTCCTAAGGCAGTGAGTAGCTTGGGGCTCTAAAGGCAGTTCTGATTTGATTCTTCCTGAACTACCCTTGGACTTTCTAGTCAAAGTGTGCTTTGGTCGTGCTGTGCAGATGTGGCCCTGGTGACTCAGCAGTGCTGTATAATTGGGTCTATTGCACTTCAGTAGTTGGCTAGGGCATGAGGTTGATCCCTCTGTGAGCAGGTTTTGGTCTTGTTGACAGTTATACACTCAAATGGTTTGTTTATTTAACTAATGATTAGTGCCTTTAGCACAGAATATTAGCACTCAAATTAGTGTTTGTTGAGCTTGACAAAATGCCCATGATTGGCAGGGTGGGAGGTTACTGCTGTACCTAATTTGAGGGGCTCAATAGTTGCTGCTGATGGTCTAAGATAGCAAATTCCATCTCTGAATTTTCTGAGATGGAAGGAAATTGATGCTTCTTTTTTTTTTTTTTTTTTTTTTGAGACGGAGTCTCGCTCTGTCGCCCAGGCTGGAGTGCAGTGGCGGGATCTCGGCTCACTGCAAGCTCCGCCTCCCGGGTTCCCGCCATTCTCCTGCCTCAGCCTCCCAAGTAGCTGGGACTACAGGCGCCCGCCACTACGCCCGGCTAATTTTTTGTATTTTTAGTAGAGACGGGGTTTCACCGTTTTACCCGGGATGGTCTCGATCTCCTGACCTCGTGATCCGCCCGCCTCGGCCTCCCAAAGTGCTGGGATTACAGGCGTGAGCCGCCGCGCCCGGCCGATGCTTCTTAGAATACAGTTTTTATTAAATTATTTTTCACATTTGAAATTCTCCGTGAATTTCTGTTAAGCAAGGAACATTGGAATTATTATATTTTTAATGAGTATAACATTTTGTGAGTAAATCAAACTCAAATGTTAATTATGAAGTGTTAATTCAATAAATAATGTGTTGTTTCTTCAAGCTCGTACTTAAAAAAAATTATTTAAATTAGCTCTCCTCTGTCCAAAACCAGAAAGTAAATACATAAAGCTTTTCTATTTTTGCTGGATATTTTTCTGAAGGTAAAAACAAGCCTCTTTCAATAATTTACAGAAATGTTTAGGATTCTTTAATGTTTAGCCTGAAGGGGAAATTAGTGAGATGCCAGAGTGAAGTAGTTAGGGTAATGATAAGAGAGTAATGAGAAAAAAATGGACAATGGAAGGACATTATCCTGTCGGAAGGATAATGAGAGGGAATAAGAGATGAACAGAGGAGGGAGCATTCATGAAAATCAGCTGGGAAATGCATTGAGCATAGGGAAATAATGAAGATGTAAACAAAAATCCTAGAATTTTTACTCCTTCAGCTGTCTGCTTGTTCACTACCAAGGGAAGTGTGGAGCACTGCTGAACAGTGAGCAATCCAAAGCAACCGTGGTAAAGAATAGGAAGGAAAGGAAGTGTAACAATAGTTATTTCCACTTCATACACAGTTTTTAGATTCATTAGAAGATTGGAAAATATTTGATAATTGTTGCTTTCAGTCATAAAGGTATGTGAACAATACACTTGCAATTCATATCAAATCCATTTGATGAAGGTTGGTTGAGTTTGACATTCTTTGCTTAATCGGGCTGGCTCAGACTTTTTTAGATAAGTCCACTAATGAATGATTGATGTGAATTGACATAATGTAGGATTACCACAGTGTGGTTCGTAAGTGACTTCAGTGTATTTGGGAATATTGTTTTAATTCTAAAGCGGGGTAGGGAGGTCAGAGGTCATTTAGCCCAACTGTCATTTGGTAGATGAAGAAAACAAAATCCTGGAGAATCTAAGTGCCTTTGCCTGAGGCCAAAGCTGGTGTGGAGCTGTCTAAGAATTACTGGCATTCCCCGAGTCCAGTGAGATTTCATCACATCACACTGCTCCCGCATCGCGGGGCAGGCTGCAGGAGAGCAGGACGCTGTCCCTTTTTGCTGCCATTTTATCAGTCAACTTGCTGACTTCAAAACGGAGCTAACCCAAGGGAAAATAAGTACACATTATTTTTTAAAAAGTCAAAAGTGCCCAAGATGGCAGAAGCCAGTGCTGTGGGGGTAGTGCACCAGCCCAAGAGCCAAGCGTCCTGTCTCCAGGGTTCCTGTTAATTAGCGAGCCTGGGGAGATAGCAAATCTCATCGAATCCAGGTTTCTACCAACTTGAAAATTCTAATATAATTTCATGGGTGCCAAGGAGAACCTGAACTTTTAAGGACATTTGTGGTTTATGCCTTATCAAAATGAGGAAAAGTAAGTAGTATAATCTCTCTGAAACAGCTACTGTTGTTATTGAAAAATGATACTATTGGCTGAAAATCTCAGATGGAATGTGAGAAAAATGTTGATGTGTCAGCTCTACATAAGAAAGGAGATATCACAAGCAAAGAACAAATTTCTGATTATAATAAAACCAAACCAAACCTAACTGTGTTGCTGCTGCTATTTAATTGTCATCTGCCTTACTAGTCTTGTATAGGCATTTATTTGATTCATGAAAGTTTAGAAAACTCCCACCTCAACTTTGTGTTCGGGTAGCCATAAATTATGAAAGGAACTTAGTTTCTTTCTTTATAGAAAAATGATATGTTAACTGTTATGACAGATCGAAATGTAATATTTTAAAGGCTTCAGTTAAAATAAATTGCCTGAGTTTACCATTTTAACTATGGCATATGATTAAAGTAGATACACATAAAATTCATGTTGGATACCTAATTCAGGATTTAATTAGTGTCACTGTCAGGAAATTCTTCCACAGGGAAGTCTGGCATTTCAAAAGTCATAGAGACACTAGATGTTCTCTAAAACTGTCTTGGAGCCCTCTGATTTTATTATTGTCCTGTGTAATGTTACTATTTCATGATACTTTTTCAACATTAACACAAAATAGATGAACACACACATTTGATGTTTTTTCAGGATCTTAAGAAAGGAAGGGTGGCTTGTTTGGATAATAGCTGAAGAAGAAAAAGTACAAATTTTTTTTTTTTTTTTTTTTTGAGATGGAGTCTCGCTCTGTTGCCCAGGCTGGAGTGCAATGGCATGGTCTCGGCTCACTGCAACCTCCGCCTCCCAGGTGCAAGCAATTCTCCTGCTTCAGCCCCCCAAGTAGCTAGGATTACAGGTGCCTGCCACCACGGCCGGCTAATTTTTGTATTTTTAGGAGAGATGAGGTTTCACCATGTTGGCCAGGCTGGTTTCAGACTCCTGACCGTGTGATCTGCCCACTTTGGCTTCCCAAAGGGCTGGGATTACAGAAAATTCTGAATTAACAAAGAGAATGAAGAAATATGTAGACCCAAAGAGGAGAAAAAGCAGTTTTATTTTGTTTTTATTGTTTTAAGTACAGAATTGCGAGTACTATAACATAGCCCTAACAGTTCACAGGAGGAACATGAGAGTAAGTAGACTGACAATCTGACTCTACTTTGAATTTTACCAGGACCTTAAGAAAGAGAGAAGCAGGGAAGTGGGCAGTTGAGACAAAATTCAAAAATATATTTAAAAAGTTAGACATTCAGGAAACATCCAAAAGGAAATATACCAACATTTGATAATGTGTGAAAAAACAAGCAAGGATGTAATCAAACAGAGAGGGCCAAGATAAAGAAGGAAAAGTGAAAAAAAAAAAAAGGAGCTTGGAAACATTGGAGCTTCTGATAGTTGGGTTTTAACCTTTCAATACAAACGCCATCTGGATTCACAAGGTAGGATATTTCTGACAGATGAGAAAATGACTGAATAATATCCCAAAAAAGCCCATGTAGTCAAACTATGAGCAGCTCTTGACACGCATTCCAGGTCATATAAGGAATTGCCAGATATTAATCCAGAAAGACCATTGTTTTGAAGGCCTCTTCATGAAGGGGAGAAATGCATGAAGGCTAAGGAAGGATTAGACACACACGGGGTCTATGTTTTTGTAAAAGACAGAAAGATGACTTTCTATCTTATTATCTGCAAAAATAAAGCAATCTGTTTGTCACAGACCTTATTAAGACAAATAACATCATAGTCACACACATACACACATACCCCAAATGTATGAAGAATCAGTGAGATCAGTGTTAAGACCAGTAATGAATAAAACAATTTCATCTATAAACACTGATACTATAGAAAAAGATGGATGAATTACCTAATACATCTGAATGTAACTTAGTTTGATTGATTGATGGTATTTTCATGGATAATTTCAGGAGGAGCCTCACCATTACACATAGATTAACTGTTGGGTAGAGGGTTTGGACATAGGTGTGTTTAGGATGTCTACAATTTTAACTCTCTGGTGAGACTAACAAGGTCCTGAAATTGTTAAAAATTCAAAAGAATTTTCAATAAAATGCAGGATAAGACACAGTAGAGATAACACAGTCTCCCCTCATTGAGTGAGACAAGAGGCCGTTGCAGGGATGAGAGGCCAGAGTCTCTGGGCCTCTCTCACTGTTCTTTGAAATGTCATCTGCAGTCCATCTCTGGCAAACGATATAGTTTCCAAAGGGGATCAGCTATTCTTCATGCCTTTAGATACTGCATTTCCTTCCCAAGAGTAAAGAACGTCCCACACCCGTCCTTTTCACCTCATTGCTCTTATTCATACTTAAATATTCAACTCAAAGAGCACCTCCTCCTGGAAGCTTTTCTAATATCCCCTACCCACTACCTAAGTCTGACCTGCTTTTCTTTTCCTGAGCTTCGAGAATACTCTGAATACAACTGCTAGGGGAACAACTATATGTGCTGATGAGAGGCAAATGCTGGAGTTAGTGCCTGGGCCAGCAGGACAGTTTGACCTCTTGAAGCTGTGTGGTCAAGGGGAGTTACATGACTTCTCTGGGCCATTTCCTCCTCTGTAAAGTGAGGATAATAGTAACCACCTCATAGTGCTGTCACAATAGCTTAAATGAGTTCACATATGTGAACAATTAGAACAGTGCCCTCTGGCTGGCACATGGTAACCACTGTAAGTGTGAGCTGTCATTGTCCTTCTTTGCACCATCATTGTTTCATCATCATTATTGTTATTATGATTATTTCTCTATGATCACTGATCTAAAAAGAAAAATTATTTTCAGGACATTTTTGGCTTTGCAGCCTGAGTGTCTAGCACCCTCAGCACACAATATTTTTCACTAAATGTTTTGTTGAGTAAATAAATAACTGATAAAAAAAATTGAGTGGTTATTTATAGGCTCTGAGAGATTAGATGTTAGCAATGAAATGCATGGCTTCTGTTTGTTTGCTTAAGCAAATATTAAAAATTGGTGTCGGGCGTCGATGCACTTGTAGTCCCCAGTTACTTTGGAGGCTGACACAGAGGATCGTTTGAGCCCAGGAGTTGGAGGCTGCAGTGAGCTGTGATTGCCTCTGTGACTAGCCACTGTGTTCTAGCCTGGACAACACAGTAAGATCCTGTCTCTGAAAAATAAGGAATGGAAGGTAGACATAATTTGGGAATTACTGTTTTGCTGTAGTCACCATAACTTGCATTAAATTATTGGCTCTAATTTTCATCTACACACATTTATGTTGCTTAGCAATAAAATCTGTTGTTTTATTGGATTAAGTTTATGGATTTATGTTTTTATGGATAGTAATTTAGTATTTTTTCCAGCTGAAATCTAGTTAGACAAATTTAGTACCAGAGTAGGCTAATGAGCATGGTAACATTCTGTGAAAGTGGCACTCAAGATAAACTGGGGTGGTTGCGGTGCAGTTAGAAAGACAGGTGTGCTGCCCCATTCCCTGTGGCTTTCCTTCCGCCCACACCTGGGAGGATCAGAGCACCTCCAGAGCGTCTCCTCCCAGGGCCCTGCTCTTCCCCTCTTTCCACCTTCCCTTCCACTTCCTGACCTTGAGACTTTGAGCTGGTTCTTAACTTCTGTGTGTCTCAATTTGCTCACTTATAAAATGGGGATGATACTCATTCCTACCCCGTAGGGTTGCTGTGTGGACAAAATGAGCTTCTTTGCAAGGCCTTTGAATGGCACCTGGCACATAATGAGAGCCGTGTAGGTATTTGTTCTAATTATTATTGCCTTTTCTTTCTCTAACTTGCCATTTTCTTCCCTTACTCTCAAACATCCAAATGCAAAAGGGGATGATGGTGAGCTGGTGAGGTGAAGGTGAGATGCTGCTTAGAAATTCACCTTGGGTTTTCTTGAGTGAGGGTGCAGAGAACTCTTCAGCTGTCTTCCAGGGCTTTCCTGCTCAACACTGGACTTGGACGAAAGCATCAGACAGACAGGACCAAGCCATTCTGTTTTCATTTTAAAGGAGATAGGAAGTTGTGTCAAGTGTCACCTTTCACTGGTAATCCATTTTAAGCATTGGATATTGCTCTTCGTGGGGGTGGAGGTGGGGGACAGGGTGGGGATAGGGAAGGATATCTGGATAAGGCTATATTCTCCAGTTGAGCTGGGAGTAGATGCCTAACCTCACCCCCTCGCTCTTGCGTCAGCGCTGGCATTTGGGTAGCAGTTTGTGTAGTAATTATCATAGAGATTACTTTAAAATAGGACTGGCATAGATTTCAATCTTATCTGGTAACGGTTAACTTATTAATGATCGTTTGGGACTGTTGGCAGCTGTTCTATCTTTAAACTGTGAGACAGATACAATCTCTCAAACTGCACGGGATAAGCAATTGGATGGGAGACCAGGAAGAGCTCCTCGATATTGCAGGAAGGGTTTTCAAGAAGTCAGCCTCCGTCAGTCTGATGGGAACTCGTTGGGGAGGATACCTGGAAGGTCCCTTTATGGATGGTGCATGTGCAAGGCAAAATCTTGGCCACTTGCAGATTTTTGTTTGGGTACATTTTCTTTCAGTGTGCTTCCCTGAAGATTCCAAGGACTTTCAGTCTGAAAGGGCAGGAGCAGCTAAGAAATTACTGTCAGTGTCTATGTTGAGGCCGCCCTATCTGCTAAGGTCACAGGAGCAGCCCCACATGTTCTTGCTACCAGAAAACACATTCTCTAGAATAGATCACTCAAGAGGTTAGGCTGTGAACACAGTCTTTAAATACATTCCAGTGTGGGCTCTGTCGGAAATAGTTCCCTTCCCCTGACGTGATGGAGAGATTGGATATATAATATGGTTTGCCCCAATTCGACTAAGACCACTTTTCTTGGTGATAGACTGTCCTAACTCATACCTTAGCAAACATTTACATTTATGTCTGGAATAAATTCTAGCTGATCCCTCCTTTCTTGTAATAGTGGCGACTGGGCATCGACCTTTTTATTATTGTGGAAAAATTCACATAATATGAAATTTACCATTTAAACCATTTTTCAGTGTGCAGGTGCAGTGGCATTAAGTACTTTCACACTGTTGTGCAACCATCCACCACCACTCATCTCCTCAAAGTTTTCATCATCCCCAACTGAAATTCTGCATCCTCTGGTATCTCCCCATTCTTCCCTCTGCCAGCAACTTGTAACCACTGTAGACAGTTCATTTTTAGCATGTGTTTTTCACTGAGTGCCTACTGTGTGCTAGGGGCACCAGCCTGGCAATAGAATGGTGAGTGAGCCTTCTAGGATCTCATAGGAGGAGTGTCAAAGAATTTGGGGACCATGTTTTAAATCCTGTCCAACTCACAATGGGAGAGTCATGCTCTGGAATTAAGAGGAGTATGGGCATAGCCAAGTTTTGGCCACGAGGAGAGGCTTCTTAAGAGAGATATCCAAATTGAATCTTAACTTCTCTTAGCCTTGGTTTCTTTTTTTCTTTCTTGTTTTCTTTTCTTTTCTTTTTTTTTTTTTGAGTTGGAGTTTCACTCTGTGGCCCAGGATGGAGTGCAATGGCACAATCTTGGCTCACTGCAACAATCTCTGCCTCCCAGGTCCAAGCAATTCTCCTGCCTAAGCCTCCAAGTAGCTGGGATTACAGGTGCCTGCCATCACGTCCAGCTAATTTTTTGTAGTTTTAGTAGAGACAGGGCTTCACCATGTTTGCCAGGATGGTCTCTTAAGAAACCTCAAGAGATCTACCCACCTCAAGAGATCTGGCCTCAAGAGATCTACCTGCCTCAGCCTCCCAAAGTGCTGGGATTACAGGCGTGAGCCACTGTGCCCAGCAGTTTCTTATTATATAAAATTGAGATAACATTGACCTTAGAGGGTATCCATGAGCTTTAAGTGAAATGGTGTAATTGAAGCACCTAACACATTGCCTGGACTCACAAAGCAATCCTAAATGTCAGAGTTTCATTATTATTAAAGAAAGGGCAGGCATTAGCCAGAGGTATAGGTGAAGAAGGAGGAATGCAATTGGAGGTGATGGCATGGGCAGAAGTTCCAAGGCACCAGACTGCGGGGTGTCCTCTGAAGACTGCAAAGAAGGAGCTGTCACAAAACTGAAAACAATGTTTGTTGGTGGAGTCATTAATAATAGTGAATATGAAAGAAATTATTCAATGTGTCATTAATATAATAGTAAATATTAAAATTTTAAGTAACATTGGACATTATTTCTGTTATTTGATTTTACTGTGTCACAGCTCCACTATAAACTTAAAGTGGCCGTAAGAGAACTCTAGACTTTTTCCTTAAACTGTTCTTTCCCCAGTATTTCCATCCTAGTTACTTAGGGCTACATCCTTAAGGTCATCTTGAATCTCACATCACTTCTCCTTCACTCCCATATTGGGTCCATCTCTTCCTCTCCATTTCTGATATTCCTGCTCTAGCCAAACCATGAGTGCAGCTCGTATGGATTGCTTTAGAGGCTTTCTAACTAGTCTCCTTGATTTTCCACTTACTCCCCTACCATCCCTTTTTCACCCAGAAGATAGAGAGAGAAAACATTAAGCATTAAGTCAGATGATGCCACTGATTCACATACAAATCTTTAGTTTCTTTTCATTGAACTGAGGGGGAAAATCCAATTTCTCTTTATGTACTCAAGACCATGCATTTTCCAGACCTTTTCCATCTCTCCAATCTCATTTTGTATTTTTCTCTGGTTTATTTATTAGTTTATTTTTAATGTCCTTCACATAGGCCAAACTTATTCCCACCTCAGGGTCACAGCCCAACCTGCTCGCTCAGTCTGGAACAATCTTCCTTGAAGCTAGCTTGTTGTCATTCAATTCTCAGCTTAAATGTCACCTCCTCAGAGAGGCCTTCCTTGATTGCCCAGTCTAAAACATCTTCACTATTCAATCTCAATCCTTACATCTTGCTTTGCTTTCTTCATAGATCTGTG
This sequence comes from Homo sapiens, assembly GCF_000001405.40. NCBI lineage: Eukaryota > Metazoa > Chordata > Mammalia > Primates > Hominidae > Homo > Homo sapiens. The sequence goes on along the minus strand of NC_000008.11, from coordinate 59,031,589 downwards.
TGCTTGGAAGTTTTCCCATTTGTTGGTTGACCTTGTTTGCCTCTCCCCACTAGAATTTAAGCTCCTTGAGAGCAGGGATATACATGCCCCATCTTTTTGTTCCCTAATTTATACCCAATGATTAGAACAGCGCCTGGAACATAGCGTGTGCTCAGTTAAGTATTGGCCAAATACTTAAGCACATGAATCTTATATAAAATCAATAAATGGTTGATGTATGCCCAGTTGGTGTGAAACATAGGCACCTGCAATGGGCACTGGGATGAGAAACTTGTACATCTTGTCCTAGAAGTTTTCAAGCTCAATGAAGTAACCAACACATAAACAATTTCAATGTGCCATTAGTTGAGACTAATGAAATATCAGAACTTTAAGTGTGAGTTATTATTTTCTATAATGCCTTAATCTAATCCCCTTCCTCCAATCTAATTCATCTCTTCCTTGTTCTTTTCACACCTATGGTCTTTCTTGCTCACCTGTCATACCCAACTGGAATGTGTCATACCAACTGGGCTCCAAAGTGGAAAATTGCTTATACTTCTTTGTACCCCCAATAATTTTTTCTCTGCATATGGCAAATACATCTTAGTTGATAATTGTATTGATTGACTAACAATTAATATGAATGTGATACTTCATATCAAATGTTTAGATGTGTTTTTGCCATGAAATTCTGATGTATGATGTTTCTGACACAATGACTCAGTATGTGGATAGAAAAGCTTTATAGAAAAAATGAGAGGAAATTCTGATTCCCATTGAAAACACACACAGGTAATGCCTACTTTTCCAAAAGTTAACAGAGGAAATCCTTGTGGCCATAGTGTAAACATTGTAAATAAGCAGTCTGTTATCAATCATGTTTTATTACCGTTGGAACATGTTGAATGCTTTGATAATGACCTCGGGAGCCAGTAGCCTCAGTAACCTAGATGTTACCAAGGAACTCTAGAACAGCTCAAAGCCTAAAACATTGACCTTCAACCTGCCTGGAAGCAGATGGAACACTTTGTGAACAACTGGCCATGTGTAAATGTTAACCTGTTTACTTAGTGACGTTAGAAGCAGCAAACGAGCGCGTATGCTTATGTTTTTCCATTTCGTAGAGCTTCAGTGGCTTTTGTTAAGAAAAGTTCTTCAAATATTAAATAAAAGGCTGGGAAATATTAGATTCATTAGCAATGTACAACTTACTACCATTACTTTAGCAGCAACTGTGCAGTGCGCTTAAGAGAAGTAACATTAACAAACATTACTTATTTCTGTGGTTGTCAACATTTAATTAAACAGGGCCCCTACATCTTAAGATGTCACTGTTTTGTATATGTGCAATAAAAGGTTTAAATTAAAATACTGTACAATTAGTTTGCATAGAAAAATGACTTTTGCAGACCTCTACAATAGACAGTTTAGAGAAATAAGCATTTTGTGTTTAAATTGTGCTCCTTAGTATTTTAAACAGATGGCAATGGCTTTCCTCTTGATTATAACTTTGAGGCATGCTTTACTAAATGGAATCAGCGGGGTTCATTAAGGTCCCATTTGATGTATCAGTATTATAAAAATACCATGTTAATTATCCTCAAACGTTGCAAGTTACCTCCATTTTCCTGCAATCAGAAGATGAGAGAAACCCTGTGAAGCAAATTAGTCCTAATTGAAAGAGGACTGATTAATATTTAAATAAGGCATTGTGTGAGGGATTCTGCCATGAGAAAAATAGGCTGAACATCTGAATTAATTGCATAGCAGGTTAAATTAAATTTCATATAATGGGTTGGAAGATGAGTTGGCACAGTGCTTTAGCAGTGAGCACAATGGCTGAAATACCAGTCTTTTCTTTCACTCTTGGCTGGATTCCATCGAGGTCCTTGTAGCCATTACCTCTTTGTTGTCTCTTTCAATGCAAACAAAGGTACTAACAGAAAATTGCTACCACATTTTAAAAAATGTTAATCCTTTTTGGGAGACAGCACCTGTCTACATTTTCTCCATTTCTCTTCCACCTTGTCTGTAAAATTGGGAAACATTAGTATCTTTTTCCTTGCCAGGTTTAATGAGGATTGATGTCATAAAATGCTAATGGCTGGAATATAGTTAGAATTGTGCTATTAGTGGGTTATCACTGTCTGACATTTTCACTGCACAGGAGCATGCATGTGGAGCCTGTTTAAAGTGATTGGGTTACTTAAGGGTCCCTGTTAGGGATATTTAATCCAACATAAATTACTTATGCACTTTGTTAGTGTTCAAAGGAAGAGTGTCACGTTGTACATGCTGGCAGTTTTCCAGTCAAGAGCTGTTAATTACTGTACAGCGACTGAATACATTTTGTGGCAGTGGAAGTCATGGGGATGGGGGGTGGGTGGGGACTATATCTATATTCCATCTAACTAAAAATGAATAAATGAGAGTGTATAGGAAAAGAAATAGACTGAAGTCATTTTTGCCCTTAGGAATTATAGTGCCATTTGTTTTCATTTTGAAAATAAAAACAAATGACAGTACGATTTCCTCCGAGGGAAAGTACTTTAGTTGTAAAGTATTTCTGTCCCAAAACGAGCAATTATCTATTTGTATGCTGATGAAAACCAAATAAATTTCCTGAAGCCTCAATTCAGAATTTTACAACTTTGTGAACCTCAAGGTTTGCTAAGTTATTGACTAATCAAGCCAAAAACTATAGCAATGATAAAAACAATTGAAAAAATATTTTACAGCTACCATAATGTTTCTAAAATTACCTGTTTACAAACTTAGGTAGATCAGCAATTGTCTTTTTAATGTAACTTTGAAGGATCGAGCAGACTTTGTTCATATTAAAACTATGAAATCTGCTATTGTTTGAAAACCTAAGTGGGAAAAAGAAAAGTTCTTTCAAAAAGTCTATTTTTCTGCTTTGAGTAACATTGCAGCCAAGTCAAGGAGCTGACGTAATCTATGTTCCTGAGTGTGCACCCCAGGTGTTATTTAGAAAAGTGTTCATAGGCAATATCTATATATGTATGTATGTATGTATGTATGTATGCATGTATCTATCTATCTAAATATCTATCTAGATATATGTTTATATCTGTCTATATATTAGATCTTCCCAATACTCTCCATTTGCCAAAATAGCCTGAAGCATATATTATGAATTTCTTTGCAAACAATTCATTTTTGATGTCTAAGAAACTATAAAATATATGGCTTCTAAGCCTTTGTAAAATAACCCCTTTTCTGAATTATGGCTCCAAATGAGGAACGTTTCATTTTTGTAGCTCGTATTATAGCCATTGGTTTTAAATTAAGACTTGGAAATATGTGCCTAGCATATTTATAAACTTCCTTTCGAAGGAAAAAAAAAAGTTCGTTCTTATTGAGGAATGATAAGTTAGGCACAACTGGGTCAAACACATGCTGCTATTTTAATAACAGAATTAAAATGTTTTGATTAGCAATATTAAAAAGAATTACTTATTAAGGGGAGCTCACTGCTATTTTATACAAATTCGTGGTAACAGATACAAATTCATGCAGTTAGTTCTAATGCTTAGTATATCATCTATTAATGAATTCATGCTTCGAAAGATTTCAAAGATGTTTCTTCTTTGAACACAGAGTTGTAAGACTTGATGTTAGGGAGTTGATTCCTAATAATTCACATGGGATATCAGTGAAATACAAAACCTGGCTAAATTTAACCAGCTAACAACCATGTGAATGAAGAGCAGTAGGTCACAGTTTTGCAAGAAAGGACCTATTACCATGTTCAAATATATAGAAGTCTATATTCATCTCTTGATGAGGATCATATGTGTACCGGCAACTCCTCTAAGGCTAATGGGAGTTCATCAGAAATATCATTTGTGCACTTCTGGGCAATGGACCAATCTCATGAGTAGATTGTGAGTGATGAGACTATTTCAATGAAGTCCGTAAAAAATCAGATTGGGCAAAGGTAATAATTCCTTCATAATTGGCTTAATGATGAGAGGAAACATGAAAAGATATAAATCTGTACAACAAATCAAGAATGTTTTAGAAAGGTACTTAGACTCAAACCAGTTGGTGCTGTCAAACAGAAAGACTGGTTTTAAAAAGAAAACATTTTCATGTTTTAAATCATCTTTCATTGAAAAATTTAAAAAAAAAAACCTTGTTCCTATGACATAAGGACCCATTTCATGTGACTAACACAGAAACAAAGACAATAAATTGCAAAAATGTCTGCAAATCTCGAAGATCACACTTTTTTTAAATCTGAAGTGTAATTGGAGGATACTTTCGTGGTCTGTAATTCTAGCATCTCTTAGGTAGACAGATATTTCTGCCTGCTGGAGATGTTATATGCTTTTATAAAATTTGGAACCTTCTTTGTAAGCAAGTGTTTTACTAACCAGTAGTGTTCCAGGGCCTAGAACTAGATAATCTGGACATAACTTTAGCATTAAACCAGAAACCAGAAACATTTCCTTTGTAGATTGCACCCAGTCTGTTTCTCTAGCAGGTGGTAGCTTTCATGGTGAGACCACGAATAAAGGGATGCAAAGGTGCAAACAGGGAACTAGCCAATGGAATTTTGGTAATCACGAAAGCCTTCAGCAGTCACCTTCCACCTCTTCTTCACTCCCCCTTCTCCATTGCTTCCCTCACTCCTTCTGGACTAATCACAGGGACACTGGTTTGGTTTTTTTTTTTTTTTTCCTTTCTCTCTCTTTCTCTTTAAAGAATTCTATAAATGTATTAAATTGTCTCATGCTCTTATGAAAATTTTGCATTCAAATATTTGGTGCTCCTGGGGCAAGACAGGCAGAAAATTGTCATTTGTTAAATACTGCAACTTCAGTAGGTGGAGCATATTTCTTTTGGATGACTTGAAACTTTAAGAAGTTAAATGATAGAATCACTCTGTGCAGTACATGGTACCTGAATGTCACTCAAATGGCAAGTGCTGTTAATAGCATTTCTCAGTGTCCAAGGGTTACAGGCTTATGGGACTGACAATAATAGTGGATTCTAGATCCTGTAAGCTTTCTTATCCAAATTCAGATTGCTAAAGGAAAATAGCTCATTTATCAGATTGAAAGAAATCCTTGGAGAGTCTATAGCACAATGCTGTGAAGTACATGCACGTGTAGTCCAGAAAAGTGATCAATCTCATCCCTGTGCCCTGCCTCCTTTTTTAGTTGTTTTAAAAAAATGAGATGTTTGTACTCATGGCCCACCAAGTTCCATTCTTCTATTGCTTTTCTTACACATTCCTCTCAGGCCTTCCTATTGGTCCATGACTTTGCTAGTTACTAAAACCTGTCCTCTAAGATGCCAGCAGCACTCTGAAGTAGGTCATCACAGTGACATGGGACCATGGACCGTCCTAGAAAGAGGACAGATCCAAAGTGTACACGGTTATTGTGCAGTTTCAATATTGACTCCACTGGGGCTCATTTAGTGTGTTCAATGAATGACTGAAAGAAAAAAAAAACATAAAATTAAGTGAAACAAATCTAGAACCCGTCAATGCCCTTGAATGAGCGCAGATAGAGCATATAAACTTGGTCTCATTTTTTTGCCACTCTTGAAACTTGCACCTCGATAAAGCTGTAGTCCTGTGTGTTTACACTCACGTGGTGCATTGCTTACAACCAGTTCAATTCTATTCAGTCACCCTTTTTGAGTACTGACTCCAAGACTGGAACTCCGTTAGTTCTGGAGGTAGAATCAGAGTGAGGCAAGGTCCTGGTCCTTGATGAGTCCCCTACATGGGGAAGGCAGTCCTATGAACACTGGATGCTGCTTCAGTATGAGAAGTGCAGTGACAATGATGAGGATGAAATTGGAGGGGAATGCAGGTAAGCGAACCATCTGCCTGGGGAAACAGGAGCTGGAGAGCCATTGAGAAGGTGACCTCTGAGTTGGGCCTTGAAGAAGAAAGTCACCAGGCCGATTGAGAGACTAGGGGGAGAAGGCAGAGAGGTGGGAAGATCACTGGATGTTCGCCAGCGGTGTGATCAGTAGGTGTGTTTAAAATGTGGCATTTATCAGGTTAGAATGGCTATAGAGAAGGCTAGAAGTGTAGGTTGGGATCCCTTTATGCTTGAAGGTCCTATGTGCCTGGCTAAGAACGTAAACTTTGCTGCTTACTTTATGTGTAGTCCTACCTTCCCGATTGGATAATGGTGAGCCTCCGTGGAGGGTGGACTGGCCTCAGTCTCATATTGGATGTACAGTAGGTATTTAACAAGTCTCTAGTGAATTAAATAAACAGCTGGTGAATTTATTGATTGAATGAACTTACCATTTCTTTCTTTTTGCATAAAACACCCCCACACAGACATATTATAATGAAGTCCCACTCGAGAAATAGCATAGAATCAGGGAATTTCATCCTGAGAGGGACCTTTAGGATCCTCTGGCCCAGATTATCAATCTTGCAGATGCGTACTGAGTGGCTCGCCCAAGGCTGCAGTACTAGGGGCTGTCAGGGCTGAAGCCTGGGCCTTCTGAGTCCAAGTTAACTGTACTTTACACTCTACCGTTTACCTACTAAGATTTTCTGAAATGCCGCTTTGTGGTAGAAATATGGAGATTGAACTTTCTTAAAGCATAAAGGGATTTCTGTGGCTACTATATATCATTTTCTGTTAATAGTTGATATTTAAAAACACTTCACTATGATCTTTAATAATCCTATTAATTAAAAACTTTGCCAAATTTGACTGGCTTTGGAATTGACATTTACTTTAATAATTTTACTTTTAAAAGAAAATGAATCTTGGCTATGTTGTCACTGTAAATTGTATGGGATAATCACACGGCCGCTTTTCCAGAGCTCAGACACTTTTTTTTTTCTTTTTCGGGGGTAAAGACAAGCACACAGAAGTTAGTTTTTAAAAAGTAGCAGCCAGAAGAGATATAATTCAGATTATCTGAAACTCACATCCTATACACAGCCTAGCTGGGTTAGTGATAAGATTTCCTAGACCACTGCATTTAGCAGCAGCAAATTATAAAGAGGGCTGCTGGCTACCATGTCAGGCCGCTAGCTGAACACAAAAACGTGACAGCCTGACAGGTATGTAGGATCTGGACGAACTGTTTTTAAAATACCTACTCTTAAGAATTTAAGAAGCATAAAGGCCTGGGGCCATTTTCTTTGACACTTAGTAGCTACTGAGAATATCTTCTTTTATGGAAAATTATAGTAATTAATGTTCCAACCCAAAATTCTGATTTATCAAGAAAAAGGAAGCTATAAGCTTTTTAGTAAAGCGTTGATTACACAATTCACTTTAGAAATATTTTTATCTAAAATTGTTCAAATGCTGTGAAATATTTATTTCTAAACTATAAGCGAAAATAGCTATCCAGACAGTTTATCTCTTAATATCAACAAGCACATACTGAATACTTCTCATATGTCAGGCACTAGGTGATTACACAGATTCAGAGGTCTGAGGCTTGCCATCAAGAAGTTTATAATCCAGTGCGAGAGAGAGAAAGACACAGATTCAGAGAAGGACTTCCCCAGGATGTTCTATTAATATACAGCTATTTCTTTTTCTTTTCTTTATATTGCCTTTTCTTTTCATTACCTTTATTGAGCTTAAGTATGCTCTTGATTGTAGTGAAAACTATAAACTCTTTTCTTCCATGTGCCCAACTTGGAATTCTCTTCTCTGATTTTCCCATAACTTAACTGAAGTGAGAACTTTGGGGAGTTCAAGCACTGTTTCACTTATTTCCTTTTTCAAGCTCAAGCTTTGTGACCAACAGATGACTATAATCATTTTAGGGTATGACATTTTTTTAGAAGGACAGGAACCCGTTTATCTGGCACAACACTCTGTGTTGGAGTCAGTATTACTATTCCCATTTTGTAGGTGAGAAAAGAAAGATTCAGAGAAGTGAAATGCATTTACTTGATTTCACACAGCAAATAAGTTGGGTTGGCATTTAGCAATAGTCTCTATTCCAAGAAGGTAAATCTTAGTGACCTTCCATGTCATTAGAACAGTCAAAACTTCTCAACTATGGAAAAATAATAGGGTCCTTTATTTGTAATGTAGTGGAAAGAGCCATAGACTGAGTCTCCTATGATGAGTTGTGTTACTAAGTGGTGGTGGGATTTCGAGCAGATGACTTAACTTCTCAGAGTTGCCTTCTCCAACTGTAAAATTCAGAGACTGACCAGATAAAATATGTATTGTAAAATCTGTTATGTGATTCTCAAATATTGAAAATTAGAGTCATAGAGTACCTTCAGGTATTTTCACAGCTCATGAGAGTGTGAAAGGTGCATGCAACACTCTTGTAAAGATTAGGGATTATCATAGTAACAGGCACAGGTTGGACATTAACTGTGTACTAAACTGGATTCATAAATTATTCTCAAAATGATATGAAGTGCACTGAACACACATAAGCTAAGCTATAGGCTCAAAAGTCTTCTTATAAACCTTCAGTTTCTCAGCGAGATTGGTCCTCAAAGCAGGTTTGCTGCACATCATTGGTCTGAACTTCAAAAATTGCAGAGTGGAAGTCATACACCACTGAGATTTTCATAATTTAAATGTGACTGTTTATGAAAGGAGTTAGAGCTCATAATAGTAACTGGTTTCTAGCCATTTGAGAATGGTGTGTGTGCTTTTCATAGAAGCTTTTCACCTTTCACCTCCCACTGGAGTAGTGAAGGTCTCAATTCCAAACTGTAAGCTGGGTTTTGCTGTCATCCTTCAAGACAGCATTTGTCTAGGCAAAGTGAGCCAACGGTCAAGACCACCACAGGCACTGTTCAGATATACTGGCCTTTCATTCCTAGCTCCTGATTGCTCACCTGTCTATTTCTAGTTGTGAATCATCCATTATCACTTTTAAATCCCATATTCAAGATCTGCTTCCACCTAGACATCTTAGATGAGCCTTTCTTCACTATGAGTTTACCAGTTGCTACGTTTTAAGAAGCAGAAATAATTTAAGCAAAAGCAAATCAATCATCCTGTAATCTGAAAAGTAAGATCACACAATTTACAATTTATGCATGTATCGAGGCAGTGTGAGGTAAAGGAAAAAGCAAGAATTACGGAGCTGAATGTGCATGGGTTTAAATCCCGTTGGCTGTTAGCTGTGTGGAATTAGGGAAGGTACATGACCTCTTTCATTTCTTCATTTGTAAATGGGGTCTAGAAAGCCGGTGTTATAGAGTTGTGTGGTTTAAATGACAGTGTACATAAAGCTCTCACATAGAACATGTCGGAGTCTTTGGTTGGGTTTTCTACACTGATCCTCCCCCTCCATTAGTGAGATAATTGTGGGTGACTGAAATGAAAATGAATGAGTTTAAAGACTGGGAACATGCCAATGAAATTCACAAAACTCACCAAACTTAAGTTTAACTCCATTTCACTATATGATTAGAGTTTCTAAATCATAGTTAAAATATTCAGTCTAATTTAGAAAATCTAAATTGATATCATGATGGTTCATAAACACCTTCTGCATTTAATCAGGGGTGCAACTTAAATTTCCTAATTAAAAATGGTGACACTTTAGAGGGAGGTAAGTGACAAATGGTTTCTGTAATAATCCCTTCATAGGAAATGTGAGCTATTTTGTAACAAAAAATAACATTACATGTAGACTTCAAAAATTTCTCACATACAGACTGACTAAATGATGATTTGGGTGATTTTTCTCCTTTCTCTTCTGTTATAGATCCACAAGGAAATATTGTAGCTTTTATCACCTAATAAAATTTAATAGAAAGTTTCAGGAAAAGTTAATAAAAAGATGGTATGAATCCAGGTGTGACGGTTGGAATTTCAATCATGATTTTGATTCTCTGCATATATTTGAAGGAAAATCAAAATGGTATATACCAGTTTATGGTAATTTTTAAGAGGTGCCTACAACAGGAGTCACCTTGTTTTAGAGAACTATTTCACTATTCGAGAAAACCAATCTATTTTTGTATTTTGGATATGTTCCAAATTGTAGGTCCTGTAGAGACTTTCCTTTCTGGAGGATTACCTGCTCAGTTAAGAAACAGTGTCAGATTTATATCTATCTCTATCTCTATCTATATATATCTGACATTGTATATATGTGCATATATATATATATATATTTTTTTTTTTTTTTTTTTGCTTGTAGAAAAACCTGTTGCCTGGCAAAATTTAACAAGTGACCTTTTTTCCTGACAACAGATGGCAGTATTTTCAGGGACAATAGCCATGTATTTATTAGCTACCAGAGAATCTCATACTACATTTCTTTCTCCAACCTCCCCCTCCTGCTTCCCCACTTCCCTAATCAGGAGCTAGTGTGCACAGGAGAGCTTGGTTAGCACTTTGACTTCATGCAATTTTTTTTTAATAGAAAAAAAAAGGCTGGAATGAATTATCCCTTTGTTAAAAAGTTTTAAGTTTTAGATACATTTTCTGCTGTTACATTGGTTTAGAGAAATTAAATTTTACAACTCTTTTTTTTTTTTTTTTTTTGAGACAGGGTCTGGCTCTGTCACACAGGCTGGAGTGCAGTGGCATGATCACAGCTGACTGTAGCTTCAAACTCCCAAATGATTCCCTGGCCTCAGCCTCCTGAGTAGCTGGGACTACAGGCATGTACCACCATGCCTGGCTGATTCTTTTTTATTTTTTGTAGAGACACAGTATCACTATGTTGCTCAGGCTGGAACTCTATTCCTTTAATAAAAGGAAAAGCTTCTTTTGTACATAGGAATGATTACTATTGCCTAAACTATATTCTATAGATACAACTTTAAGTAAACTTGATAACTATCAAAATGCATTTTTATTTACAATGGGAAGTTTACTATACTTATAAAGGGTATGGTAATGTAAAAGTATGGTACATAATGTAATGGTATGTGCACGTATAAATGGTAAATAATGTAGTGGTATGCACATGGTATGTAAAGGCAACGTAAAAGCATGATCATGCAATGTAAAAGTATGATAATACTTTTACATGACACTTAAAAAGAAATTGTAAGATGTCTGATGATATGCCTGTTCATACAGGCACATGGCATTTTAGGACTTTGACAGGAGCTATATCTTAAATACTGTATCGCATTCCTGTAGCACTTGATTGTGCATTATAGTTGTGGGCATGGAGAAACATTGATTCTGAGCTGGGCTGGAAAGTAGAGTGAGTTTTGGACATGCAGAGAGGATAAAGAAAAGCATTCTCAGCAAAGAGTAGCAGTAGAAGTCCTCACAGCGGGTGGGACATCATGGAAATGACAAATATTAATAGTTGAGCTTATCCTAAGTGAAATGATTGGAAGATGGGGTTGTACCAAATTGTGAAGATCCTTGAATGACTCTGTGGGCCTGCAGTTTTCACATTAAAAACAAGAACTCTGTCCTTTCCTGTAAATACTTGAGTGGAAGCCCAGTATGGTTTATGAAACAAATACTTTCTATAGTGGTTTTGAAGCCTATTCCTGAAAACATTTCCACAAAATTTGTAGTACTGTACTATCTTCCGAGCTAAGGTTGAAAACTAGCATTGTAGAAACAACTCATAGGCAAGGCATAAATTCATTCATTTATTTGTTCATTCATTTTACAAGCTGAGTACCTACTATGTGCCATGCAGTTGTAAGTATATAGTATTTCATATTTAATCTTGAAGAGTGAACTATGTATGATTCATTTGAGAGATGCAGCTGAGTTCCATCAGGAGAAAAATATTTTGCAAAGCAAATCAACTTCTAAGTGTTACATGGCCGAATTGTAGAATATATGAAATACACTGCTCACCGAGTGAAATGATAATCTGTAATGATTCCAAAGTAGAAACACACACATATTATGCATACTCTCATTCCATTTTATATGGTCAAATATAAATATCATATATATGGCTACACACACAGAAAATATTCATCTGTTGTTCTAAATGATTTGTATCTATATGAAATGACAAGAGTAAACCCATTAAATTATATTTTTGTTTTACTTACAAATATATTCTTAATATTTTGTCAATTGAGACACAAATTAAATTTCATTTTTGGCTAGGCAATCATTTTTGTGTTCTCTTCAACTTTCGACACTAGTTTGTGTCTGCTGTGTAAAAAGTAGAATGGCTGTCCTATTTCTGTCTGTTTCCATTACACTATTCTTTCTGTGCCACATTCTCTTTCTCTCTGTGCCTAGTGGGACATTAAAGGTTCTGTAATTATTTTGATAAGATCAGGATTGTGGATTTTTTTGGTTCCACTTAGTTATTTGCTAATAATCTGGCTTTAATGCTGAAGGCTAACCAATTTCTTATTTAACAATGCATGTTTAAAACATGATACCCTGAAGAATACTATGTTTACTAGTCTGTAGTCTATCAATTATCTAAATTATGTAATTATCCCTCAATTTTAGGAAACATGCTATATAATGTTTAAATTTTGTACACTAAAGAAAGCAAATGAATGTTGAGTATTAACGAAAGTAAATGATGTATCCTGGTGAGAAAATTAATCAGGATCTACCTATGAAAAAAATTTTATAAAATAGGGATTATCAAACAATACAAAATCTTATACTCAGAAACTAAAATGGGATAACAATAGTGATTACCCAGGCTACAAGGCTTAACAATGAAAACAGAACTCTTAGACATCTAAGGAACTGTCCTGGCAAGTTAAATCATTGAGAATCAACCATGAGCTAGGCTAACCATAATAATCCATATCTTTAAAAATTACAATTATTCTGTTCTCAGTCCTGGGTAGTCATAGTGGGATTGTTGAGGCTATTCCCTAAAATTTAGGGGTTTTTTTAATCAGCAAGAAAGGCATTAACTATGAATATATTGCTAAAATCAAGAAGAAAAGTTCAAACTTTCAGGTCCACAGTTGTTGAACTCACCCTGGGGAGTCCACAGTAAGCCTCAAGCCAGTGTTGGTTCTGGGTTCTGCAGGAGGAGTGAAGAAACTCCGGAACACCCCAGAGAGTAAAATGGTGGGAAAGCACGTGGGGTATATGGATTTAGAATCCTTCCGTGTGACTCGGAACCCCTGGGAAATCTTGCAATAGAGACATTCATTGACTTGTTTAACCTTGCATGTCCCAACTTACTTAATCTATTGGAGCGTGACATACTATCCATACTGTGGAACCGACTTTGGGAAACGCTATTCTGGAATCTTCCTGATATTGAAATAAAACTTGAGAGCTCCTCTGTGTTGCTAAGCCCAACTGCCAGGGCAAAAGGTAGGGGACAAAAGGGAGAGGAATTCTCCAGAGCCTTCCCAGTTCCCTGTTCCCACTGACACACCCATTTCAGATATTTTCTTTCTCACCTGGGTTCTTGTCCACAAAAATGTCAAGTCTGCCCCTGAGAAGATGGTGTAAAACTACCATACTATGACAACAAATATAAAATAGGACTGTCGATTTCCTTAAAACCTTACCATTTCAATGGCTGAAAATATTTTGTTGAACAGTGGCACATTATGAATCTACTCAGTCTTTGCTTGGAATTTATGGTCCTAAATAAAAGTAAAAATTAGATTACTCATAAAAATATAAAAAATAAAGCCTTTATGCAACAGGGAGTAAAAAACAGTGCTTTGTATCTATCGTTTGCCATTGGGGTTGTTGGTATAATGGAGAATGTACACTCTCTCTTTCTCTTTTTGACTAGAACACATCAATGTAAGCAGTTGAGGGAGACGGAAACCAACTGTTTTTCCATTCACCTTATTATTGAGCTGTGGTTATAGAACTTCCTTTTTTGTTATCAAAAGATCTGAACTAAAGCTTCAGTTATGCAGGGAGAAAGAGTTAACATTTAAAAGTGTAGAAAAATAGCTCTAGACACCTGTTCCGAGTTTGTAATATAATACTCAGAATAATATTACCTGGTGAATTGCAGTTAAAAACTGGTGTAAGAAGCATGGCTTATTATACTGTCTATCACATATTCAACGTAATTGTTCTTGTTTATTCCTTTTACTTAAGTTTTAAAAACATGTTTCTTCTAAGAGATCTAGCACCTAACAGGTGTCTAATAATGGAATATCTCTATGAAAATTATCTCAAATTTATCCTCAGCAAAGGACAAACAAGTCATTCAATACTAGTTTAAGACAGACCTTGAAGCATTATAATTAACCAGCAAAGCACACTTGTTAAGCTGTTTCCCTCCAGGGGATGATACCGTGCCTCAGGTACCATTTTGAAGGATATTGTAGAGAGCTGAAGAAGTTAGTGAAAAATACTCTCTGATGCACAATGCCATTTAAAAAAATAAAGAAAAAGAAATCAAAGCATAATTTACATAGACAGGGTCTCTCCAAATTTCATTTACATATAGAATGTTTAAACAATATTATGAATTTCTAAACAGTGCTACAGTATGATAAGTAGCATATGTTTATTACAGCTAACTAAAGGTCTACTTGCGGAATGTTAGTAATACCAGCCTTAGAATTGTTTAGATAAGCTAGACGATGTCCTCGCAGCCTGGTGGAGGCAGCATGCCTCCCAGAGGTGAAACGTGGACTCTTCAAGGAGGAAGGATGCCATCTGTCCCCCTGGAAGAGTTCATGGCTATAAACAGTGAAGGAGCAATGTAGACATCTTCAGCCAGAAGTTATTAACCTTCATGCTAGAGGAGGTGATAGATAATATTGGGATTGGGAGGCTGACCCAGAAGCTCTGCTAGGCGCACACTCTACAAAGCTATAAAAGTCATAAGTAGAAATATTTTATCAAAAACTCAGTATCTTAGGACAGGTAAAGCAAATGGAATGGAATCATATGGTAAAAAATAATTTATTCATATCTATTAAGCTTATTTTGTTACATAAGCTTAAATGGCCTTTTCCTCTGCAGCTAGTTTGGATCCATTTGAATATAATACATGCCTTGTGACATTGCTTGCATTTTTGCTTTGTGATTTTGATCAAATGCAGAAAGAGAACCAAGGCATTCCTAATACAGAAATAGAATCTTTATTGGTTGAGGTCACATGATAAATAAATAGCAGTTTTACATGGTAATATTTATTTGAATATACTGCTGCATCTATTATGAGCATAAGTGCTTATAGAATCATTTACTGACATTCATTTTTAGTTGAGCCATAGTTAGCAGTAGTGGTGTTTCTGTAATTGACATTTAACACTTGAATATATTTAATACAATGTATACTAATTGTGTTTGCCCAGATTAATGAGTCACAATTTTAAACAGGGAAAATTAAATTGATACTTTAATTAAGTGGATCACTCCAGTTTTGGGGGGAAAGTGAGTTATGTAAATAAAAATACTTCATAAAATAAATGGTTTATTTTGTCCTGGTTATTAAAAAATACCTGTTTTTATTATTTTTAACTGGTAGCAATTGAATAAGTGATGCTTGTTTTTGAATTCTTATGTATACCCCGGCATCCAGTATAATTCCTTGCACACAGTAGGCATTTAAATATTGATTATAAAAAATGATTTTTTTTAAGAAGAGAAGACCAATTTAGTGACTACATTTTACTAAAAATTGAAGTCATAAATATGGATTTCTTTAAACTAATTTGTTATTTAGGTCATCAATATTAAACAGTCTGAAAATCGCCTGCTAGAGATTATCATTTAAGAGCATAAAACTGAAAGCTGGGGGAAAAAAGATTAGTGGTACCCAAGTATTTTCTGTATTATCTTTAATGCCAACATTTAAAGAGTAACAGCAATAGAAACATCTCAAATGACTAACCATTAAAGCTTAGCCTCACCATGACAAAATTTGCATGTTCTGGTACTTCTATGAGCACATTATCACTGTATGTGTTACATTAAAAGAGCTGATTTTTTATTGTTTTCCTAGCTTTCATTTCACATTTTTGCAATCATCTTTATACTGTTTGTTTTTATTTCAGGGTTAGTCAGCTATTTATTTCATTAGTATCAAGCAAAGCAAACCAATAGATAAAGCACTGTCTTTTTTATCTATGTCTTTTATAATCATTTCTTTTTTAAGTAATAAATTTACATTTTATAATCGTAATTACGAAATTGCAAATGAAATCAGTTCTAGAAAGATTAATTCAGTCGTGCTCACAGCTGTGAAGATTGTGGAAATAAATATCATTTTGCAATAATGTATTCTTGACAAAGGGCATAACAAAAGAATGATTTCTATTCAGAGATAGTGGGTATATTTATTTTGCATGTTGGGGGAGGGGAATTCAGCTCTAGCTTTTCGACCCTGACCTAGTTTTGTAGCTGCTTATTATTCAGCTATATGTTTGAGAAATCTCTGTAATTTAATTTGGCATCCTCTTCTGCATGTCTGCACCTAGCAGTAGGGGCTCATGATATTAGCAGTGTCCCGTGCTGAATCGTATTTATTTTAAAATATCCTAATGCACTCATAACTCAGAAAGAAAGTGTTAATTGTTACCAGGGAACTGCCTGATTACAGACTGGCTGTCCCGTCCAGGGCTCTGCCATAATTAGTAACCACTGTTGACATTTAGATTTAAATTGAATTTCCTTCTAATTAAACCCAGAGGGGGTTGATCCTCTCAGATGTACAGGTTAATAAAATTAGTCAGAAACTGTTAAACAGTAAGCTGAATTCTCCAAGAGAGCTGTCCCAATGTATTGTTAAGAATTCTGTAATTAATATTAAAGGCATTCATTAAATTTGAATTGTCTTTTTCTGCTTTGAGTTGCATATGGTTTTGTAGCGGTTATTTCTTTAATTAGGCCTGTTTCCTTTGATAACCATAGTATTACTAATTTCTCTCATGTTTGTAAATTTAGCATTATAAATACCATTCCTCCATTCCATTCTGCTATGCATAATTCACACCACCATTATTCTAGGAGTGCCCAATGAATAATAATAAATGCTAAAAATAAATACAGTAGTGGAATGACATTTTGGTACTCCAGATGACTCTTAACTGCTCTCTATTTATCACTGTCCTTGCAACAAAGATATTTAAGCTTTAAAGCAGGTCGTCAGCATTTTCCTCAGTATATTTTTCCATCCACTCTTCACAAGTTTTGATATAACAGTAGCTTGGATTTGGATTGCTTTGTCTGCCGATAGGAAGCTTTCCAGTTCTAGCTACTTTGTAGATTCTGCATATCAAGATAGGCTTTGATTCCTCCTCCCTTCCAGGGACTTGGGGAAAATAAAAAAAGCTCAACACTCAGTATGAAAACAGATGACAGGAAAAATTTAAATGATCAGTCATGAGAGATAAAGAGAATTTGGTAATTTTACGAGGAGGCGTCCAATGTGAACCCATTGATAGCATCTGGATTTAAAGGAACTTTTGTGAAGCACAGCTTTAGCTGCTGTTATCAGTGCTTTATTTCTGAACTCATTTATTAATTTCTTACGTACCCCACAGGATAATAGCATATTGTCAACTTCACCATGGTACAAAAGTCTTGTTTTCAATATACTGATAATAGTTTTATATGTTAATTCTTAATAAATAGCACTCTTTAAAGATGCTGGATGATTACAGTGTCTTTTAAACTTTATTCATTTCTAAAACAATGACTATTTCCTCTCCCTGTCCCCCTTACCCCTTATGAAAATGTCTAGTCCACAGAACTAGTCACTTGGGATAATGGGTTTTAGAAATAAATGCATACAGGATTTGGCAAGGTGCTTTATTTAATGTTATACTTACTCCTCAAAAGAGGGACATGATTATTCTGTAAAGTGCTTCTTAATTTTCTAACCAAAATAAACAGAAGGAAACAACATGACTTGATTTTTCTTGCTGAGTCTACTTAACTGAATTGAATTAAATAAAAGTGTTTCTATCACAATTGAGTTCAGATGGGGAAATTTGGGGCAGAATATGCTTAGCCTATGATTAATGATGCCTCATAGAAACCTATTTGATGGCCAGGTGCGCTGGCTCACGCCTGTAATCCCAGCACTTTGGGAGGCCGGAGCGGGCGGATCACGAGGCCAGGAGTTCAAGACCTGCCTGGCCAACGTAGTGCAACCCTGTCTCTACTAAAAATACAAAAATAAGCTGGGCATGGTGGCTCGTGGCTGTAGTTCCAGCTACTCGGGAGGCTGAGGCAGGAGAATTGTTTGAACTTGGGAGGCGGAGGTTGTAGTGAGCCGAGATCGCGCCACTGCACTCCAGCTTGGGCAACAGAGGCAGACTTCGTCTCAAGAAAAAAAAAAAAGGCCTATCTGATAGTTGGAACTTAAAGCCTACAGAGTTTTAAATTATCAAATGATAACTTTAAGATAATCTGAAGCCTCATACTTTATGTTTTTATAGCTAGAATATGTTACATTATTGATGACAGCGTAGGTGTAGTAACATCCAGAATAAGATGTTGCTGAACAGTTGTATCAGACTCTGAAATCTAGGATGAAAGCAATGTCCAGGAACCGGGGATGTAATATGCAGATAAACAAGAGCAGTTTTATGATAGTGTGGTCTCACCTAGTGGCCTGCTGGAAATCCAAGAATTGAGAAAACATTGCTCTGCCAATAGTTCTATGAAGGAATAGGTAAAAATGAGTGAATAGTTGTGAACACAAGCACTGACAGCAATAGAATTGCTGGATAATTAAAAAGACTGTATATCATGGCATTAACCACTAGTTTGATTTATTTGTCACCAGTGTTTCCTGACTCAGTTTATTTTAGGGCTTTTTTTTTTTTTTTTAACCTATGGGAACAAATGTGGGTGGGGAAAGAGTACGCTGTCTGGGAACAGGAGGTGTCTGCTGGCCAGCTGAGAAACTAGGGCTGTCATTTTAGTCTGTGTCTCAGTTTCTTTCTTGGTAAAGTTGAAAGATGGTGAGTCCCCTTCTTACCTCACTGCAATTGTCACTTTTGAAGTCAAAGAGAAAGTGAGGTGTTTGTAAAAAGGTGATTTTCTAAAAAATGTGCTATTTTATTAATTAAAGATAAAATTATGAGGATTAATGTGAACTTATTTCTTAGTTTTTATACCATTAGTTATAATTCCAGAAGCCTTTTCTAGAGACAAAACAATATCCTGATTCTGGCTTTAAGATTGAGTATTAATTATTTTCTTTTTTCAAGAAAAAAAATTGTGATCTCATGTGAGGTATGGGGTTTAGGCCTGAGGCTTCTGCCAGCTGTGCACAAAGCATGGGGTCAGGTCAGGTTCTCTGTGGTCCCTCTCGTGGCAGGCTAAGTCTCAAGTCACATTTCCCAAACTCTCCACTCCCTTGGGCCTCTCTGGTTGAGTTGCTCCCCAACACCCCCTCGTGGTATTCCCAGTGCACCTCAAACTTATTGCTGAAATGTCCATTTATTGAGTTCCTCCATCCTTTCTACAAACATATCATCTGACTGTGGTTCTAAACTAATAATCAAAGGTCCTCCAATTGCCTTATCTCCAAATATTAGATTGGTGATTGGCTTAAATCACCATTAAATTCCTAATCCTTAGGTGGGATTCCAGGTCATTTATGCATTTTTACTTATAGCCACATCAAAGAGACAAAAGGCTGGTCACATTTTTTTGAGAGGATACAAGGGTGACAGGGAGAAGGAGGATGCAATGCCTCCAGGGTGGTCTTGCCTGACCCGGAAATGATTTGAACATAAAAAGGTCAGGTCAGGCCATGTTGTAACTGAGCTTCTGTCCCCTTGAACTTGTGTGTCAAGCCTCGTCTTGACCTTTAATGAATTCCTCTCTGTAGCATTTCTGTCCCCATGATGTGGCATTGGGGTTGCACTTCAAGTAATAGTGGTTTGCAAGAAAAAGCAGGCAGGAGAGACATTAAGATGTGTTGGCTATTACAGTGTACCAGGCAATAGGATAGGCACTTCTGC
The DNA here is from genome assembly GCF_000001405.40 of Homo sapiens. NCBI lineage: Eukaryota > Metazoa > Chordata > Mammalia > Primates > Hominidae > Homo > Homo sapiens. The sequence goes on along the minus strand of NC_000008.11, from coordinate 59,011,779 downwards.
ATCTAATCTCACCTCATCTTCCATTAAACTCAGAAGAAAGGTGGTTATTATTATTATTATCATCACTATTACTATTACTCCCATTTTACAAACTAGGAAACTAACAGGAAGAGAGGAGAGAGGTTAAATACCTTGATCAAAGTTACAGACAGTAAGTGGTAGAGGTTACTTACCCTGCAGCCAAAGTTAGCCTAATTTGAAAAAAAGATAGGAAGAACAAATATCAATATTACTAAAGAGATTGCTGGACACTTGAAAAAGCATTTGCTGAGTTTTGCAACTGAGACTGCCATGTTCAGGAGGCTTAGGCCTCTCTCAAAAAACAAACATAGAAATGGAAACAATTCTTTCTTCTTTCCAGAGCTTTTCGGTTAGAGAGTGAGCCTGGCATGCTGGTTTCTGCAGCCTTTCCTGGGTAGGGCTGCATCTTGGAGGGCAGGGATCTTCCACACAGAAAAGCTGCTCATTGTGCTTAGGAGATAGAGTAGAAATAAATAGGATTTTCCTCCAAGAGAAAGAGGTTTTGATGGATTGAAATCACATTGGTGGCAGACTAATCCTTGGTCTCTTTGTTACCTTGGCTTTTGTTAAACAATGTCCAGTTACTACCTGTATCTTTATGTTCTTTAGATAAATTATGTGTAATTGTCATTTCCGACATGTTCCATGAGCCAAATGAAAAGGGATCTAAAAATACAATATATCTGAAATTAACCTCATGGTTTTTCCATGAGTTCTTTCTTTATCCAGGCAAACTTCTTTTCCCAGAGGTGCTGACTTTATTTCATTTCCCAAAGCAAGGATGGGAAACAGCCTTGCTTACTATTCCGACTGTTATGACTGTGATTCAGCTATGCAGATAGGCACACATACCGGGCAACCTGAGCCATATCACAGAAGCTAATGGAGGTGACATACATAATGATGCTTTGTCAAAAACCCTGCTGCTCTTTTAAATTAACTCCAATTTGTTTTTAATAGGAGTTGTGTCTCTAGGAGAAATATATTTGTGTTCTCTTATTGCAGAAAAAGTGGATAATAGCACTTAACTCATTAGAAAGCATTGTCAAACTCATTATCCTAGTGATCCTCATGATAACACTATGTGGTAGGTATTATTATCCCAGTTTTGTTGAAAAGGGATGTAAAGACTGAGACCCAGAAGGTTAAATGGCTTTTATAATCTCATACAATGATCAGGTGATACATCTAGGGTCACAATCCTGTCAAAACCCATTGCACTGGAGCGGAATCCAGCATGATTACGGCAGGCAGAGAGGTAACTAAATAAGACCTTTGCCATTTTGCATTTCAATTTTCGTTGGCCTCGTCACTCTTAAAATCGTATGCAATATTCTAATATGATCTTGTCAGCACTCACACATAAATACTTCAGCTCTCTGAATTTTTAAATTCTTTCATAATGGTTTTTCTAAAAATATAGTAATAATAGTAATAGTCATAATAATTGCTAATATGAACTACTTGTTAGGTAACTTATAAAGCATTTTACTCACACTGTATCATTTAATATTTGCAGTGATCTAAGATTAAGTATGCTTTGTATCCTCATTTTATTCATGAAAAAATCAGGCTTCCAGATTTTAAGTATCTGGCCCAATATTTAACATCTGGTTGTGGAAGAGGTAGGAACCTATACTCGTGAATTCTACACTATTTGGTATCTTAGATATAAACTTTGAAGATCATCTTAAAGTCAAGAGTGATAATTTTGATAGAAACTCTATAGTGCCCCAGTCTTTCAAACCAAACTAAAACTCCAAATTTAAATAAGACATTCTATTCTCCTTCCATGTTTATTTCAAAACTGGATTTCAGGTTACTTCCAGCTGGCCAGATTTCTTAATATATTTTTATTTACATATCTCTTGTTAGTTTCACATCTCCCTTTGCTGGTGCAATGCTGCAAATGAGATTAAATGGTAGCACAAAGTGCAAAACTAGGAGTTGCTAACTTTTTATTGGATTGCTTTGAGGTGGTGGGCTGAGCTTGTGGTAGAAAGAAAGGAAACAAAAAGAGAAGTACCTCAAAGGGAAAAATAAAACATAGAATGTGGAAGAGAGAAACAGGGTGGAAAGGAGAGGATGGCCGGGCGTGGTGGCTCAAGCCTGTAATCTCAGCATTTTGGGAGTCGTGGTGAGCTTATCACTTGAGGTCAGGAGTTCGAGACCAGCCTGGCCAACATGGTAAAACCCTGTCTCTACTAAAAGTACAAAAATTAGCCAGGTGTGGAGGCACACTTCTGTAGTCCCAGCTACTCAGGAGGCTGAGGCAGGAGAAACGCTTGAACCCGGGAGGCGGAGGTTGCAGTGAGCCGAGATGGCACCACTGCACTCCAGCCTGGGTGATAGAGTGAGACTCTGTCAAAAAAAAGAAAGAAAGAAAGAGAGAAAGAGAGAAAGAAAGGAGGGAAGGAAAGGAAGGAAGGAAGGAAAGAAGGAAAGAAGGAAAGAGAGGAGACTGAAGGGCCAAGGAGGGCATACAATGGAAGATGAGAGCTGTGCTCCCGGGAGGCTTGTACTCATCAAGAAAGAAAGGAGAAAGAGGGGGAAGAAAAGAAAAAAAAAGAATAAAGAAAGGAGAGATGAAGGAATAAAGGAAAAAAAGTAGAAAGGAAAGAAGGAGAAGGGAGAGAAGAAAGTAGGATGGAGAAAGAAAGGGAGGGAGGAAGAGAGGGAAGGAAACAGGAAAGGAAGAAAGGAAGGAAAAATGGAAAGAGGGAGGAAAAGAAGGAATGAGGGGACAGATAAAGCACTTGATGGATGGAGGGAATTTAAACCAAAAGAAAGAACTACAGTATCATATCTATTGAAATCTTCCTGGTCCCACAGCTCCCTGCCTTCAGGCTCCCTATCGAAAAAAGTGGTTTATAGCTTTAAATCAAGGGTAACTGCTGATTTGTAGTGTGCCAAATTCTGCTAAGAAATTAGCTTACTGGTGGCCATCTCTGAGGTTATCTTTATAGCCTGACAGGAAGATTTGCCAGTGGGTTTTCTGATGGAAAATGCCACAGACAGCCACCATGAGAAATCCAGCAGCCATTGAGGAGGCCGCAACATTGAGACTTCTCGGGGAAAAGTGTCACCGCCATTGAACCCTGCAGGACGTATGACTGGTCATTACGTCTCATGTGATTTCCAGACCAATGACTCATGGGGGGAGTCATGGGGGGGAGGTGAGCTTCTGTGCGGAAAGACCCACTCTCAGGTGATGGCTTAGCAGTCTCTGTGTGGCCTGCCACGTGGACCTCCGGTCCTTTCCAGGCTTGGAGAAGGCCTGGCAGACAACAGCAAGTGAGCAGCCCAGCAGACCCTCCCACAGGGCTCGGTTTGAGTGAGCATAGATTGCTTCCCCTTCATTGAAAGGTAAGTACATACGATGGAACTCCCACTGTTTCTTATTTATTCTTTATCCATTAATAATCTTGTCATACAAGCAGTGATTTAAAGCTGTACAATTTCTTCAAGATATTTTATTCTACTACTAAATTAGCCTCAAAATGTGGATAATTAAGATAACTTGTAAATCTGGATATAGCTTAGTCCTGTCATCCAAGCAAACACACAGATCATTTGGGCAGTCTTTTACCAACTGACCTGAGGGAAATGGCAATCATTCCAAGAAAAACTGTTTTCATTTGATGAAAGAAACTGATGAGTGGAAGAAAATAATTTTAATCTACAAAAATGAAAAGAATGTGTAGCATAGTTCATTTTGAATGTCAAAACTATCATGACTTCAAATTTAAATGTAACAGAGGTGAAACAGGTCAAAGATATGTACATGGAAAAATATTCATGTTAAATTTGAAAGTAACTAAGGTCTTCTTAAGAAAGAAATCTATTCCTCAATCAGGTTATCAGTGCCATCATTGGTTACCTTCTGGCTCTTAGACAAACTTCCCCAAAGTTGACTGTCCCATGTTGTTGGAAGTTGTAAGAATTAATATTACCTGTGTAGTTTAATATCTCTAGAGAATATTTAAATAACACCAGCATATGATATAATTTCATGGACAGAATCATTCATAATATTTACCTAAAAGTGCCAAACACTACTTTTATTTATTTACCTATGTATTTTTTTATTTCCCCCCCAACATTACTCCAGAAAGGATTGGAAACAGCTCCATTGTTGATTCAACAATAGATTTCCTTCTTACTGAAATTGTGATTTGGTAGTAAACAAGTTACTCAGATACCATTATTCAAAATGTCTTCATTGATTTCCATCCTGAGCTGAATGTTGTGGATCCCTTCATATTTTTTTTCTGAAAATAGGCCTTTGATTTACAGTTAGATATACTGTTCTTAAACTCCAGTAACTAGTGAAAGTTACACACATTGCCTTCCCCTGGACACTTCAAAGTCCACAAACTGCTGCTTAGCAGTGCCATTTCTCATTTTTTACCTGCCAATTTTAGACATATTCCCAGAGTTAAATTAATTTTTCCAGAAAGAAGAATTTCATTAAACTATGTCAAATGACATAAAGTATAGTAAAAAGAAAGTTTGCATAACTGAAGAAAAAAAAAAAGATGACAGCCCCTTATTTTCCAGCAGAGCTGTGGTGACACCGACAGCTCTGAGAGCTGTGGAGAAGTAATAGCTTGTTTTGTGGGCACTGGGAAAAGGAAAAAGTCCTGGAAATACACTATTGTTAGGCACAGATGATATGCCAAGGAACTTCTAGCTTCTCTTAAACTTTGCAGACAAGGATTTTGTTGCCCAATTTCAACAGGATTCAATCCATCAACAAGTGTGTACGAAGTGTATGCCTCCATTCAGCATTATTCTTTATGGAAGTTAAGAAAAGAAGGAAATCTTTCCATTCTAGAGTTAGGATGCTTCTGGGAGGAACTGGAACTTGAACATTAGAAGAGACCTACATCAAAATGGGCTTAACTTTTCTCCAGGAGTCATTTTTTGGTCTGGATGTCTGTGCACAAAAAGATCCCATTTATTTTCTAAATGTTGGTTAAATGGTTACAATTAGCTCTTTAATGTTAGTACCTCAAGAAGCAAAGGCCAGTGGTGTACCTAAGGCCAAAGTTAGATATTATCTTTAAAGAAGGTTGCTGGTATTGCTGTCAGTATTACTAATATTTAGTAAAAGTTCCTAGAGGATTAGATATATATTAGGTCCTTTGTGAGAAACATAAAGATTAGAAAAGACTGCACTTCTGTCCTTGATAAAATTGTGATCCAGTAGTCCTTGACCATGGTGGTAGAATTACAGGATTGAAACAGATCAGAAACATAAACATGTACCTAATTACAACTTTCTCTTCTCCTACCTCTCCTCCTCCTCCTCTTCCTTCCCCAGTGCAAACATCCATCACAATAGCACAGCAGCTACTTTTCCAAGCGAGAAAATAAACCTATCAAGGCATAGCATTACTGTAAAAGCCAGTGGCAGAACCCAGTGCGTTAGTGAAACAGCATCCCAGTTTTTCTGAAACTGTTTTTCTTTTGTTCTTTGTTAAGAACCTTACAGTGTATCTTCCTGTGTATGTGTGCAAAGACCACAGGCTTAGGAGTTATATGTAAAACATCTTCTCTTACTAAATAAAAGCACAGACACAATGAATCTAAAACATAAATGTTCAGAGAATATTTGTTTTCTGACAAGTGAAAGTGAAGTACATTGCATCTCTTATTTGAACATTAGAAGATCTGACATCTATATAAAACCTATCCTTAAGCAAGAGCATGTGGCAGGGAGTGCTGTACATGATCCTGTGTGCACATCTGGGAAACTGAGGCATGGACAGCAGCCAAGGGCCGTGCGTAAAATGATCTGACAAGTACAGACCCTGGAGCATGCTGCTCTACTAATAAAAAGATTTGAGAAAGAAAATGCATCAGAACTGCTAAACTAATGGCTTTAAATCCAGCCAGGACAGCAGTTCTCTTTCAGCTTCAGCCAAGGGGCTGGTGGGTACCAGGAGACTAGGCTTTCAGCTTCACTGCAGTAGAGTGGAGAAAAATAAAAGACACTGTGTTTCAGTTCCAAGAAGGTTGTCAATGAGCAAATCTATCATTCTAGAAACCAACTTGATTAGCAGGTCTTTCCTTATTGTTTAATGCTCATTAAAAAAAATAAAGTTAAACTTTTGGTGATTAATGGTTGTACATGTAGTGAATTTTGCTAGAAAACTATGTTGTTAAATTTTATGGTGATAACTCTTACTCTTTAAAATTGTTAATGTGCTACTATTTTAACAAATGTAACAGTGTGATAAGTAAAATCCCTCTTTATGTATATAGAATCCCATTTGTCAGCAGTTACTAATTTAGAGAAAGTGAATAGACCTCCCTTTTAGCTCTATTTAGTATTTAGTATATTTTAACAAATGATACTTTAGTTGTAATACTTGTAATCATTTTCAAAAACTACTTACAATAATGATATTTTCAGGGCCGGGCGCAGTGGCTCACTCCTGTAATCCCAGCACTTTGGGAGGCCGAGGCAGGTGGATCACAAGGTCAGGAGATGAAGACCATCCTGGCTAACACGGTGAAACCCCGTCTCTACTAAAAATACAAAAAATTAGCCAGGCTTGGTGGCGGGCACCTGTAGTCCCAGCTACTTGGGAGGCTGAGGCAGGAGAATGGCGTGAACCCGGGAGGCAGAGCTTGCAGTGAGCCGAGATCGTGCCACTGCACTCTAGCCTGGGCGACAGAGCGAGAGTCTGTCTCAAAAAAAAAAAAGAAAATGATATTTTCAAGTTTAAATTACATAAAATAAATTTCTGAATATATTTACATGCTAGCATTATTTGCAAAAATGAAATAAAAATGTAATCACACATATTCCAGATATAGGCTACTACTAAGTTGGATTGATTCCAGTGCTGGGATGTGCGAACAGGCATTGTTAATTACTAGGGCCACAAAAAAGTATTATGTTTTGTTATAGTAACAATGATAAAAAATGACCCAAGATTAATAATAGTTACTATTTACTATGTTGTTTAGTGTAGATGTCTAAGCACTGTATTAGGTAGTTACGTTGTCTCATTTAGTCTTTACAGCTGCCCCTGTGTGATTGATTTTTCATCCATTTTTCAGATATGTTACCTGAATCTCAGAGGTTAAATAATTGGCTGGAATTTTTATAGTTAATAAGTGGTGGAAGCTGGAATCCTACACAAAGGCTATGTTCTTACTAGTCTTAATTTAAATCGAATAAAACCTTTTTTCCATAGAATATAGATCCCTAATTATTATAATGCATGCAATCACTAATGTGTACTTTACTAAATGTAAATTTTGTGTATGGATTAGTGCATATGTTAGCCCTTAGAATGATGGCTAAAAGCTAACCAACCACAAAAATTGAGATAGTGTGTTGTGGCTATTACTAAAAGTCACTTCAGTAGGGGAAAAGATAAAGCTATAGAAAATTGCTACTGACTGGAGTCAAACTACACTAGTTGCTTACAATTGATTGTGTGTTGTTCAACCACAAAGATAAATTAGAACATGGAATACTGCAATAGAAAAGTGGTTTAGATGTCACAGAGACCGTATGACTATTTTTATCTCTCAGCTGTATAAACCATAGCTTACAGTGGCTGAAATGACATTGAACTGTTTTTCTCTTTGATGATTTACAGGCTGTATAGTGCATTTGTAAGAGCAGATGTCACATTTCATGTATTTGAAAGTGTCAACTCTGCTGACTTATGTCTGAAGATTCTGCTCTTGAATCAATAGAATGTAGTGATTTCCATTTCTTAAAAGTGATTTCCCCAACATCATAAAAAACACATAGTGAATATTGGTCATTATAATGCTGCAGTTAAACTCTTACTTTTTGGTCTTGTATTTTACATACTTCATACTGTTGATCATTATTTTGTGAAATCTGACTGGAACAAATAGGGAAGCTTCTAGCGAGCTGACCATGTTTGTGCTTAAACAAATTAAAAAATGTTTGCATTTCATCCCAGACATAGCTGTCCAAAGTCTAAGATGGATTGAGCAAAGGAAAATACATCAAGGTTTTCATAATAAAAAATGATTCCCAGAAAGTCCACATATACTTTATTCATCCCATATTTCAAATTGATTTTCATTTTACCATTTAGGGTGCAGTTACTGGTAGTCCCATCTTTTAAAAAGTCAAATTTGCATTTAAATAGAAACTGTTTCAATCATTTAACATCCGAAAATCCGAACATTTTATTCATTCCTTTTCCCCCCGTCTTTCACTGTTGAAAAAAAGTCTTGTGTTGTACTTTTCCACAATCCTCGTGAATCCTGAACTTCCATAAAAACTGTAGCGCCCTCTTCCTTATGTCACTCGTTAAAATCCCATCGCTAATAGATCTCTGGGAATAGGCCAGGATCAGGTGAGAATGGAGGATGCAGCGTGTAATAAACTGTAACAGCTGACAAGTCATAGTAACACAATATTTTCTTGAATCGCACCTGAAAAAAGAAAACATTTCAATGAATATAACTCATACATAAGTAACTAAATAGAAAAAAGGCATTGAAAATAATACCGCGCAAGTTGTTCTGCTTAAAAAATATTGAAATACTTTTTATTACCCAGTAACTAACAGTATAACAAGTTTCATGAAAAAGGGTCAATGTGTAAAAATAGTTTGAAGTTTGGTCTGACTTTTGTCTATTTAAAATGAATCAACAAAGCTTTTTACTTTTAGAAGAAGATGAAACCAAAGGTCAGTTTTATCAAAATGAAATTGGCTCAGAGGCCTCAAGTTAAAAATATAAAAACATATTGAAACACAGGTTTCAATATAACACAGGCTTCAATGTAAAGAAATGGAATTCCCTTCACCAGCATTTATAAGCATCTATATACCCCTTGTGTTTCACCTGAGGCACCATTTCCAACAATTTAAGAACATCAAGAAATGGCTCTAGTTGACTTGAACTGTAGTGCATTCATTCTGTAACTAAACTGCTTTAACGTTAATGACTAATTTATTCCCTATCAGAAATATTATTTCATGATATTTGTCTTATTGACCATTTATGCCTTTTACTTATAAAATATAAGAAAAATCATTATAACTATTTTTTACCTAGTGACATATACATGCTAAATGGTTAGAAGGTCTTTTACAATGTTGTTCATTTTATATGCCTGATTTTTTTTGTTTGTTTTTTTTTTGTTGTTGTTGTTGTTTTGAGACGGAGTCTTGCTGTGTTGCCCAGGCTGGAGTGCAGTGGCGCGATCTCGCTCACTGCAAGCTCCGCCTCCCGGGTTCACGCCATTCTCCTGCCTCAGCCTCCCGAGGAGCAGGGACTACAGGCGCCTGCCACCACGCTCCGCTAATTTTTTGTATTTTTAGTAGAGACGGGGTTTCACCGTGTTAGCCAGGATGGTCTCCATCTCCTGACCTCGTGATCCGCCCTCCTCGGCCTCCCAAAGTGCTGGGATTACAGGCGTGAGCCACTGTGCCCGGCCCTATGTCTGCATTTTTTTTTTAAAGAAAAGTATTTCCTGCCAGCCGTGGTGGCTCACACCTGTAATCCCAGCACTTTGGGAGGCCGAGGTGGGCAGATCACCCTAGGTCAGGAGTTTAAAACCAGCCTTACCAACATGGTGAAACCCCGTCTCTACTAAAACTACAAAATTAGCCAGCATGGTGGCAGGCGCCTGTAATCCCAGCTACTGGGGAGGCTGACAGCAGGATAATTACTTGAATTTGGGAGGCGGAGGTTGCAGTGAGTCGACATTGTGCCGTTGCACCCCAGCCTGGGCAACAAGAGTGAAACTCCGTCTCAAAAAAAAAAAAAAAAAAAAAAGTACTTCTGTATTTTAAATTGTGCCATTGTCTCCTTGACAATAGAGAGATACTTTTACTGATAAAGGGAAAGATGTCACAGCCCAGTTATTTATAAGACATTTCTCCTATGACTATTTTATTACTTATTTTTTCTGGTCTCTTTTGATTTGTTTTTTTCTTTGTTTTGCAACTTACAGTGCAACTATCATTTTGTCATCTGATTGACCTTATAGTTATTTCTTACTTCTTGAATATGATAAAAATTTCAACAAGAGCAGACCAAAGTTACCCAAAATAATAGTATTTTTAAAATCTTTTTGCATTTTGTTCCACGAATGCATTCTTAACTCTAGAGGTCCTTATCTTCTTTATCTTCAAGCTCAGGATGGTTTTTGAAACTCACAGTTTCAACTTGTGAGCATCCCTGTGTGCTTACATAACTGAGTAAGACACAAAATACCATGTACTCAATTATCCTCAGTCTTCTCAGTTCACATCCCCTCAAAACTGATGACTGATTGCTGTGAGTTGCTAGAATCACTTTTCCCATCATGAGATATTTGCCTGTTTCTGAGTGAATTTTTTAGGGTGTGAGTGGGAGGTATGTGTTAGTAGGAAGTAAGGGAGATTGAACCACAAATACTTAACGCCATGTAAGTCAGCAAAATTATTGGGAGAAAATTAGAAGAGGACAGATGACAATTGTGAGGTGGCTGTTGTCACCTCTTTGATGTATCAGCATCATAATCTATATCTGAAAAACCATAAACTTGATTATCCATCTAAACCCAGCTAACCTGAGAAAAGTTCTTCCTGCCACATTGGCAGGGAGTAAATGGAGACAAAGAGTAATCTTAGTTCTTGTAGGTATTTCGCAGACTTACTTCTGCTTGAGAGACTATTACAGAGATTTCTACTGTGCAAAGACTACTATAATTACCAATTGTTCTAAGCTTGCTATCATAATTCTTTTATGAGTCCATATTATTTCTAGTTGGAGACACTAGATAGAATAGTGGGAAGATAGTAAATCAGAGATACAATTGAGATAAGAAAGCACCTTTAAATTTCATAACTGAATTGCCTGGCTTAAATTTAATTCTTGAACTGTTTATTTATTTTCTTTAATGTCCTGGATTTTTATTATGAGAGTCATGATATGTGACAGAAGATTCATTTGCAGTGGGTTTGATCTCTTTAATGTGTATGCGTGTATATTTTTGATCACTGATATAGTATTGCTGTACAAATAGCAAACATTACAGAAGTTTTCAATTCTCAATTTTTCTTTATGGCTATACTAAAAGATTCATGGCAGCACTGACCTGGAGCAAGTTACCTACTGAGTAACAATAATACTAAATGATTTGAGTCAAGTTAATTATACATACTGGTAGTGAAATTAAAAGATTTTCAAGCCAAACTGAGCCTGAATAAACAAGACAATTATACTATTCAGTTGATTTCAAAGATGAGTATAATGAAAATTTGGGGGTCAGTTATAAATCTGTCAGCTAGGACAATAACTAATTGCATTTTTCTATAGCATCCAGCTCATTTTTTTCCCAATGAACTTTAAATAATATTCATCTAGCCTCTAGCACCTCTTTTATATATACTGGGTATTCCCATAGTGTCTTCACTATAATTATTATTTTTAGAGTGTATAACCATAGCCACAATTTTCCTTTCTTATCACTTTCTCTTCAATATCACTTCTCCCTTGCTGCCAATCAATTTGATTAAGCTTTATTTTATAACCCCTTCAGCTATTATCTGTAAGAACTGAATATACACATCTATTCTTTTTATTTCCTCCAAAGGATTTCCTCCTCTTTTACCCTGTACATAGTAGATTTCTTTAGATCAAATTCTACCCCTAAAAAGACATGATGTATTTTAAAAGGGTACCTGATTATATTTTTTAAAATAATGCATATTACTACTAGCATTTTGACTAAATATCCAGTGTCCTAATTTATCTTGGTCCTCCCGTCTTGATTTCTGTGCTTGCAGAATTCCAGTGAAAAATAATTTTATATTATTTAAAGTTTTAGATCTGAATTTAAAAACCAAAACCAGCCCCTCTTGTGTCTACTATGTAAATTCCTATGTGGATCATACAAAATACCTTAGCTATCTCTTCTTCCACTCATGATGTGATAGAAACTCATTCAAGTTAATAAACCTAATTTTCTCTAGAAATTCCCCAGAGTCTCATTGTGAATCTGACTTGATAGCTCCCCATACCTCTTCCTAAAAAATAGAGATCGCCGTGCCACTCCGTCCAGTGGTTTGCTCTGCCTGTCTTTGTCACACATAGAGTTCTGCTATAGCAACTCATGAAAGGATCTGTCTTCTGTACCAGCATCCTACCTCAAAGTGATCAAACCTCTATGCATTTAATTCATATTTCATATTTCATATCAAAATATGCCCTCAGTAGTCACTGACCCCAGCAGTTCCACACCTCCCACCTCGTTTCAGGGCCTACAGTATTTCTACAATAGTCTTGACAACCCTTTCAACCCTTGTATTTAGTTTTCAGAAACTTTGTTGACTTCTTAGTTTCTTTTTTTTTTCTCCTTTGACTTACTATACCATGCAGGGATTTAAAGTCCTTTTTCAGGTCATAGTGCTTTAATTTATTGGTTTTTTTTTCCTGAAATTGTTTACTGAAATTCTAAAGATCACAGATTTCAGCTTTCATTTGTTTTTGTATTTCTTTCATCAGGTTCCTTTTTAATGAACTGGCCATTTGTATTGTCTTTAAGTCAATTATTTCTCAATCATATCTATAATCTCAAAAGCACAAATATTTTGTTTCTTCCTTTGCACTAGTCTGGCTACTAAGAAGAAGTGCGAAAAACTATAACCAAAAAACAATTTGCATTTAATTTCTTTCCAGTTATTGGGACTTTCAGTTACTTTTGGAAACTCTTTTCACTAAAACAAATGTTTTAATTTTAAAGTAAACATTTTGGTTATAAACATGATGCCAAAGAAAGCATTTGGTAGTTCTAGGAAGTAACAGATTGAACTGAATTAATAAAATGAATTAGTAACTGGTGATTTTGGAGTGTGTTCTCTTGGAAAAATTCAGAGAGTTTAGGAAACTCAATGTTTTGCACTCATACCTGTCCTATTGTTTGAGATTAAGTTCACCCTTTGGACTTTCATACTCAAAATAGGAAGACTATCTGAATCAATTATTCAGTTAGCAGAATCTTTGTAGGCAGTGAATATTTATCTTTTGTTTCTAATTGTTTGTGGACCAGATATACCTTCTAGGCTGCTCCTGATTAAGAAAACATTTTCCAAATCTTACCATACATATATAAATTTATTATATATATAAAATATATTATTATATAAATTTATTACATAAATTTATTACATATAAATTTATTATATATACATTTATTACATAAATTTATTATATATAAATTTATATATATATATATATATATATATATATATATATATATATATATACTTTTGAGATGGAGTCTGGCTCTATCACCTAGGCTGGAGTGCAGTGGCATGATCTTGGCTCACTGCAACCTCTGCCTCCTGGTTGCAAGCGATTTTCCTGTCTCAGCCTCCAGAGTAGCTAGTATCACAGGTGCATGCCACCGAACCTGGCTAATTTTCATATTTTTAGTAGAGGTGGGGTTTCACCATGTTGGCCAGGCTGGTCTCAAACTCCTGAGCTCAAGTGATCCACCCACCTCAGCCTCCCAAAGTGCTGGGATTACAGGCGTGAGCCACCACACCCGGCTACCATATTTTTTTTTGAATTAAGGCTAATCTTCTTTCTCATATTAAATATGCATATACTCACCACTGATTATCTGACATTAACATGAGAAAAATATTACATCTGATATGCAAGTCTGAGCATTTATGTAATTATTAATGGGTTAAAAAAGCAGTTTCCAGGCCGAGGCGGGCGGATCACGAGGTCAGGAGATCGAGACCATCCTGGCTAACATGGTGAAAACCCGTCTCTACTAAAAATACAAAAAATTAGCCAGGCATGGTGGCGGGCACCTGTAGTGCCAGCTACTCGGGAGGCTGAGGCAGGAGAATGGCGTGAACCCAGGAGGCGGAGCTTGCAGTGAGCCAAGATCGCGCCACTGCACTCCAGCCTGGGCGACAGAGGGAGACTCCGTCTCAAAAAAAACAAAACAAAACAAAAACAAAAAGCGGTTTCCAAATGTATAATCCTACTATAAATAATATATAAATTTAAATGTATTCTTTATGGAGAGGCAAAAGTAAGTTATTAAGAGAATATTGGTTTCATTATCCATTGGCTGTGACTCTGAACCTTTATTTAAGATATGCCCCATGCCCAGCAAGATTTTGTCAAATAGTGATCTGCAAACACAATACATGAATGGGACAAAGGAATAACTAACTTAGTGACACTGACCACCCAGGCGCACTTGGCAGGCTGATGAATATAGTTGTTCCACTTGCACAGGGTGGGAATCTATGGCTCTGAAGCCTTGAGGCCTAGGAAAAGGTTTCAGAAGCCAAAGACTCGTCAAAGTCATAGGGCCACAGAACCAAAATGTGCAGTTCCTAGACGCAAGTGCACGTAAATAGTTTCAAAGTTTGTTCAACTCAACTACTGGCCTAAGTCTTCATCCACTGGTCTCCAGTCTTGCTTTCCTCTTGCTTATTTCTAAATTGCTCACATCTTCACGATAACTTTCACAGTAAGCCCCCACCTGTTCTAGTTGTCATCAAATCTATTTGTGAATACTCACCTTTCCTCATAGACTGCTACAGCTTTCTGATGTCTACCTGAGAGTATTTGGAGGAAAAGGCAGTGTCTCCCTTAGGTGTGTTTTGTGTTGGAGATAGCCTTACCTTGGTATTTTTTGTAAGATCTCTTTCAGAGTGTGCTATCAGAGAGGTTAGTGAGTCTGGTTCTGGTTACTAGTTTGAACATGTGAGTGTCATATAGTGGTGCATTTCTAAAACTACTTAGGTAGGAAATCAACCACAACAGCTATGCGAGTCTGAAACAAACCTCTAGAGGAAGGTCTCCAATAGAGGAGGCTGAAATGGGGACTGTCTTGGCAACCATTGCATAACTGGCTACACCCCTAGCTAATTCCAGAAAACCCAGTGACATCATCGATGGAAACTCAAGGATCATGGTCTTTTCAAAGGAAACTGGTGTGACTATTGCATTGTTGCTGTTTTAATTAAATGAAGAATAGTTTTCTAATGGGCATAAATGTGGCTAGAAATTGCCGATAAAAAGTATTTGTCTATAAATATTTTTCATAGCATATTTTTCTCTAAGTAGGGCTCACTGATATAATTTAGTACAAAAAGTACCAAAACTATCAAAACAACATAAAGGTACAGGAAAAGGTATTGCCTTATTAAGGGACACAAAGAAAAAGATAAAGTTATAGGAAAGGGGCATTGGCCTCATTTATTTTTTCATTCATTATTAAATTACTTGGTTACTTATTTGCTTGCCTCATTAGAACCAGCCTTTTTCCAGAAAGGACTTAAAAGAAAGGCAATTGATTGTAATCTAATCTGTGTGCAGGATTGGAACCTTGATGATTCTGAGATAGGGGTTTGATGCTTCTCTGAAATGAGACTTTAGGAAGAGAAGACCCTTAAAATTGGACTTAGAAATTGTATCTGGACCCAGCCATGTCTGCCCTAGTCACTTCATGATCTCAGTCTCTGCTTTGCTTCCTAGTGTGGGGAAAACATTGTGAAGTCTTCCTTGTGGAGACTAATTAAACAATACATGTATAGAAAGTTTGAACTCTGAAATATGTTTCATACATGCAAAGCATTTTCAGGGAAGAGTGTGTTTCTTCACATTCTCCAGGACTAAAAAGAGAGTGGAAATATGCTTGTCAGAAAGAGTAAAACTGCTATAAAAATTACAATGTTCAAACTGGACGAAGAATAGATTTCCATATTTATTGAGTAAGGGGAGAGCAGGCCTGGAAACGGAGGGAATACCAACTAGATGAAATGTGGCATCTGGGACAAGTAAATTAAAATGATTCCCAGCCCCAGGAAAAACCCACTAAAAACAACTGCTTTTTACTCTATCTCATTACTGAGTGAGTCACCTCAGTTTTGAAATGGCACAAAGTAATCGAAATGATATTTTACCTGTTGGTAAGGATTCATTCAAGCAAGTACATCAGTCACTGAGGTACAAAATGCTAAAGTATATTTTTCATGATGGAAAAGACGACCAGCATATGAAGGGATGGATCTGATTTCTCTCCCCCAATTCATATTTTTATAACACAAAATAAACACATTTATTTTTCCATTTTGGAGGTAATCACTTTTGTGTGTATTTCTCACTTTATTGTTCAAATCATGCTTTTTCAGTTGTCTGTGTTATCCAGAGGGGTAGAGAGATCTTGATAAACAGTGCCTGTGTGCTCCATGCATTAGCTCAATTTGATATAAATAATAAGTAACATTCATGGTGACATGAAAATGAAATAAGATGATTGTCATTTTGCAATCTCTGTTCTGCTTTTTAGGGCATTGTAGTTCATTGAGTGTTTGCAGTTTGCTCTCTTAAGAATAAAATCAAAAGAAATTTGGGATTCCTAAGCAGAAATTCAGAAAACGGTTTTGTCTTTGGGAAACTGAAATAGAAGTTTCATCTTTGGGAAGTAAAGGAGCTACTTGTTGGTATTTAGCTTATGAAATACAAAACAAAAAAACCAAATCACATTAGGGGCTAAATTGGGATTTGTAATAAATGCTATACTCCAAGACCTTTATCTCCATTATAGCAATTATTCCTCAAGTGAGATTTAAATAAAGTTAGTGGCAGAAGATATTGGTGGTGGTGATATTGGTGATGAAAAGTAAAAATTTTAAATAAGCTTTGCTTATTACATATACAGAAATAAGGACATGTTCATTGACACTGATGAGCTCATAGTCTAATAGGGCAGACTGCTGCGTGAACACTTTATTGACACTTAGTGTGATATACACAATGATGTAAGATGGATGATACATGGAAGGAAGGCATCACGATATGGAAGAGGATAGACCATGAGAAGGAAGTTGACTGAAGTGAACAGAAAGCTAATAGGGTGCCGTCAGCATTTCGAGTCTTCAGAGCAGTAGGCCGCATCCCACCCTGTCAGGTTAGCTGTTCCGACATGACCTTGAATGTGTTGGGTTGCCTGTGTGGGAATGGGAGTCAGGTGAAGTGGGGAGATGGGCCAACAGCTTTCTTTGAAACAACCAAGTTTCAGGCCATCTCTGAAAGAGTAGGAAAATATTTTAGATGTTCTGTTTGATTTAATATATATTTAAAATTTTATGGCATTACTTTATATGTATCCTGTTATCTTTATAACACAATTCTGTCATAGAACTTCTGCCATTGGGTATCATTAGGAAATTACCAGTCATTCAGGACAGAAATTTAGCATTCTGGACAGTAGAACTTTCTACCTCATGGACTTGGAGTTTCCGACAGGTCTAAAGAGATTTAGTCCTTTCTTTAAAAAAAAAAAATACACACACATGCGCGCGCGCACACACACACACACACACACACACACACTTGGCATTTTGAAAGCTATAAACTAAATAGGGATATATGACCTTACTGATTTTTTTTCCTTAATGGAAATACGTGTGTGTTCTAGTCATTCTCATTATGCAAGTTTGAATGGATTCATCTATATTTTCCTCTTCACAACACTCAGTGATCATTTCTCTGAGTCCGTCTCCTCTCTGTCATTGCTACACCACTCCATGCAGACTTTTCTAGACTAAAGTCAATACATTACTGACAAACAATCATTTCATATGAGTCTTCACGGAACGACTGGCAAAGAAAGAAGGCTATTTCCAGTTGTCCACTCTTGCACTTTCTGGCTGTTTTAGACCTGGCTCAGGTCTCTAGAAACTCTTGATGAATACTGGCAAGAATATGTCGTGGATCTAGGTGAAAATAGACTGTGTTCTATTTTTGGAAATTTTTCCCACAGGTAGACCAATTCACAACGTCTTTATGCTGCCATGGCAACTGGCCACTCAGCCATTCGGGGAATGCTTTTCTCTGTATTCTGAACAAGGTATGGCAAGATGCCTTTTCCCCTTAGGTCCCCTTAGGAAGATGATGGAATTGCCAGAACCTCTACAGTAAACTGAGAATGCAATCCATATAAAAGGATAAAACTAATGACTCAAGAGTAAAGGTCTGTCATCTTAATTTTAAAGGAATAGTCAGGTTTTCCCTCCCTCCCTGCCCTTGATCTCATTCAGAGACTGGAAAGTTGAAAGGCATGGTAGAAGTGAAATGTTATTTCATCCTAGAGCTCCATCAGGTCTTACCTCTGGGTGTTATTACTGTTTTCATTTTCTCTTAGAAGAAAACTCTGATTTCAACTTTTCTTAAATGTGTTCATTATTTTTCCATAGAAATCTCTGCAGTTCCTGTACCATGTAGATGAGAAGGACTTTTCCCAGTCTGGCGCAATGATTCCTAGACTAGGCTTTGGAACGGCCTGTGCTTACTTGACAGGTTCATCCTTCTGCCATTCCTGGTGAAACTTTATAGCATCAACTTTATTAATATCCATCAATGTCAGTGAGCCTCTTGAAAAGGGTCCAGCCATAAATATCCCTTGGCCATACACCCCCATCTTTCCAAATAAAATCTAACCTTAAATCTAATCTTAATTAAAACAGTATATTTGCTATGAAAGTGTAGCTTGAAGACAATGACTTTAGACCTCTCTTATGTAGAGATTCTGGAGTCCTCATTGCTAGGAAACCCTTCACTGTTCTGTCCATCCCCAGAACAGGACGGTTACTCTTCCCAGTTCAGGTTCCAATCTGTCAGCTTAGTTCCTGTTCTCTGTCTTGGTGGCAAGCCAATTCTCAAGCCACCGATAGAAAGAGATATTGGGCCTTCCCTGAGCCCAGTGACTGAGCCATTACTGGACATGGGTCCCACGTTCTCTCACTCCCTCTGTTCTCTGACTTTTTTCTTTACTTGGGTATCCAGGGAGAGCTCATCCTAACCTCCAGTGCTGGGATTTCACAAAATGAAAATACCTTAAATATGCAACAGTGTTAGCAAATGAACAGCAACAGAGAAAAATCATTTCTTCCCCTTTTTTATCTCCATCTTCAAACTTTAATTTGTAAGTAAAGAAGAGAATTGATGTGAAAAATGTTTAAGTGACAAGAGTTCTGTACAGTTGGCTTCAAAAAAAAGTTAGGCAATGCTTAATTCTAAAAATGCAATTTTTCCTTAGCAGAAAGATTTTGTAACTTACATAAGCACGATTGATTAAGATATGGTGTATTTTTTTTCGTGAGAGGAGACTACTGCTGTTCTCTATAGAAGGCTAATTAGTGCCAAAGATTTTTAACGTAAGTTCAGAAGTTGACAGAGTATAGCTGACCATGAATCCATACAGAAGAAAGAAGGAGTTGGGCTGCCCAAAGCAAAAAATAATGTTGGGCACCTAAAACGTGCATGTGGTTTTAAAAGAAAAGTTCATTTGGAAATATCTGGATAGGAGGAAGCAGACATCCTGTGCCTATATAAGGAAAAAAAAATAAATCTGTACATTATTATTTCCATTTTTGAAATCATTGATGCATTTCTACGTGCAGCAAGCATTTGTGTGCCTTGACTGACCAAGACATAAGGGGGGAAGATCACGTGGCTGCCTGGTGCCTGTCAGTTAACCACTAAGCAGCTCGCCCATTAGAATTCTTGTAGACTTAGACCTCTGTGTTTTAAGTTCTTTCTCAGTTGCAGCCTCTGCTTATTCCCCTTCGTCTTGCTTTCATTTCATTTCAGAAAACAACTATTTTTACATAAACTACAAAGTCATAGCCAGCAGCATGTGCAGCAGAGACAGATAGCCTGAGGTTGCCCAGGGACTTTTCATTTTATCTTTGCGCAGACCTAGCACTGCCTGCCAGGTAAAACTAGTGTAACGAGGGCTCCGGCGTCTCCACCACGCGTCAGCCCTGCCGAGGCCAAGATGAGCACGCTGATAACGCGGGCTGCCTGACAGCCAGGGGAGATTCTGTAAATCATGCTGCTCCCATTGATTACAGTCGGGAAGAGCATTAACCCTCCTTCACCCCAAGATACGCTGTCTCCACAAGTGTTTGTAACATCAACATGTTACGGGAGCTTTTGGAAGATGAATTCATTGCTAGAGAGAAGACCCCTTCGCAAAATAAAGAAATGCCAACAAGCCTGAGTATTGTCTAGCACATTTCTTTGAAACCATTTTTAAAGTCACAAGTTTCATTTTTGTTTCATATCACCAGGGGCAGAGAGCTGCTTTGAAATCCATTGATTTCAGTCTGAGTGGTGTTGAACATTTTTAAAAAGGCTATTGGAGAAGATACACTTTTTAAAGGAGAAGACAGGCTTTTTAACTAGCTTTTATGGTCCAGAAAAAGTTCTGAGGACCTAAGCGATCCGGCCGATTGTTCTAGGTAACAGTTTCCTCCTGGAACTTACTATAGTTTCCCTTTCAATTAATCTGCTATACATTTTGGGTCTGTTTAGGCACTGTTGAGTTTTCTTAGGTAGTACTGTCACTTTGGAAAATCAGACTTCTAGTGCTCGAGGGAGAAAGTGAGTCACTCTTTCTAGCTTGAAGACCAATCCTTAATTTTCTTCTTAATCCTGTCCTAAATGAGCAGATCCCTTCAGCTTCACTAAATAGGATAATTTGAATTGCACAGTTAGGAGCTATTTTTATCGTCACCACAATGTGTGTTTGTCAGCACATTTTTCTGGTTGTTTACCCACCATGGGGTGTTGGGACCATGGGGTAGTGGTGACAATGTCGACTCTGGGACCTTCTGCCTGAGTTTGAGCCTAGCTGTACACTTCCTTTCTGCCTCAATTTTCTTCATCTGTAAAATATATTATTCTTATGAGGCTTACGAGGATTAATTAACATAGGCAAAGCACTTAGAAGAGTGCTCAATTTTGTAAGTGCTCAATACACGTTAGATTTAAAACAAAATGAAACCTCTGGACAAAGGAACTGTTTTTGAGGAGCTAAAGGTGATAAAATACAGCATTTGCTCTGAAGGAAATGGACAAGGGACACATTTAGCCTAACTGTGGCCCACATTGTGGGAGCAGAAGATGGAAGGATGCCCTCAGCACCTAGGTAGGTGAGTGCCTGCCCCAATTCTGTTGTCACAGGCTGACCTGCTGACCAGCACAGAGATTCCTGACAATGGGTTGCACATGCATGCAAACCTGCAGACCTCTGGGATGCTTGCTGCGGACTCCCTCATCCCAACCCTCTCCCCTTCTCTCCTGTTCCACATTAATTCTGCACTGTAGAATTTTGGTGTTGATGGTGGTTACCAATAGCAACTTCAGTATCCTTCAAGTATGATATGTAGAGGAAACCTTGTTGGGAAAACAGAGGAGTGCTTTCTCTCCTCTGTTTAAGTTTCTTTTGGTTGCAAGCAACAGAAACCAACTCTGGCTAGCTCTAGCCAAAAATAATAATAAAAAATAAATAAATAAATAAATAAAAATAAATAAATGAATAACAGAAACAAAAAAAGAAGCTTTACTAGAAGGATATTAGAGTATTTCATGCTATCCAGGGATTGAAAAAACAAGTCTCAGCAGGACAATTGAACCTTGAGGCCACCATATCATGGTTAAAAGCATGGATTCTAGAGTCAAATCCCATCTGAATTTCTATCCCAGCTCCTTACCTTGCTATCTGTGTGATCACAGGCCAATTCTTTACCTGCTCTGTGCCTCAGTTTTGCCATCTGAAGAATGGTGATTGATAATACCCACCTTATAGTGTGGTTATGTGAATTAAAAGAGGTAGTATTTGAAAGAGCTTGGGACAGTGGGATATAGTAAATATTGCATGAAGCCTGGTTAAATTAGAAGTGTGGGCAATCTTGCACCCTCCCAGAGGAGCACAACCATTGCTGGGATACAGCACTGAGGACTTTGTGTCTCTGGAGTGATTCCGATTGACCCAACCTGTGTCTGACCTCAATTATGGATCAAGATGATGTTGGTTGTCATGAGGTGTGAATAGGGCTTCTTTGGGCCAGTCTGCCAACTGGAGCCAGGTGACAGGAGAAAGTGTCCTGAGCGAAGGCTTTGGTTTTGAGCCTCTCAGTCATACTGGGCTGTCACTCTTTTTAGTTCAAAAGGAAGAGTGGTCATAGAACATTTCATTTGAAAATAGCTTATATTAATAACTAACACATTGTCAAATACAGCTAATTGGAGGACACTTAATTTTTTCTGCAGAAATACCAAGTCTCTTAAAACTCTAATATTTGAAAGGCTTAATGAGATGCAAGTGAAATAGCATATGGTCTTTTGCTAACAGTAAAGGAAAAACAATTACTCAAGCAGACATGTAGCTCTTAGTTAATGGGAACAAAGCAAGGCAAAAATGTGTAAAGCTGTTAAAAAATACACCAAATACTGGGCACATCACCGGACAGAGGAATGCACCCTTCTCTCATGGATACTCTGCATCTCAACATCCGGTTGATCTCCTGGAAGATACAGGCTTATGGTAAAAAGGACACTTTATAACACCATGCACTAAACATAGCTAAAAGAGTTTATGTTTTCTAAAGTTTTTTTTTTTTTGAGATAGAGTCTCGCTCTGTCACCCAGGCTGGAGTGCAGTGGCGTGATCTCGGCTCCCTGCCACCTCCACCTCATAGGTTCAAGCGATTCTCCTGCCTCAGCCTCCCAAGTAGCTGGGATTACAGGTGCATGCCACCACACCCGGCTGATTTTTGTGTTTGTAGTAGAAGACAGAGTTTTGCCATGTTCGCCAGGCTGGTTTCGAACTCCTGACCTCAGGTGATCCACCTGCCTCGGCCCCCCACAGTGCTGGGATTACAGGCATGAGCCACCGCACCCAGCCTAAAGTTTTGTAATAGTGAGATAATCTCTGCCAGGTTCTTGGAGGAGAAAAATTTTATTATTTCATTAATACTTGTCAAAAATCTAGTGAGCAAGCAAGGGAATAAATGACTTCCTTGTTGTCTTGGGAGTTTTGCCCTCTGCCTCTTTCTCCAAGTCTCACAGTTGCAGAAGAGGACCAACTACCTGACCATTGGTTTGGCTCTAGGCATGTACACCATAAGTCAAATAAGTCTGGGAAATACTGCATGAAATAACACACCTCACTTCAACTCAGATTTCCTGTGCACATTGGCATATTGGAGGTTGAGAAGTCCTGTAGTAAGCTTTATTATTATTACATTATTATTTCCAGTTATTTTCTCAGACTTTCCAAAGCTTGTTGGCCTATTGAGCCCATTTTATCAGAATAACTCTTAATATCCAAAACCCTTATTTTTGTGAGTCATAGTTTGAGAATTGCCCATCTTGATTAACAAATGTGACTTGTTAATAACACTTTTTAATCTGTCCTAGTTTCATCATGACTTAGCTCAGGGGTTGGCATCATTTTCCTGTAAAGGACCGACTAGTAAATGCTTTTGGTTTTGCAGGCCAGATAGTTGATGTGGCAAATATTCAACTCCGCCATTGTATCAGGGAACGGCTATAGACATACAGAAATGAAAGAACATGGCTGTTTTGCCCCAAAACTATGTTTATAAAAGCAGACAGCAGACCAGATTTGGCCTGTGACCATTAGTTTATGGACCCTAACTTAGATGAATAGACCCATTAATAAAACCTATTTTTATCTGCCGAAATCTGTGCTTTTTTGGCAGCCTTGTTCATTCTTTTGAGTTTTTAAGAGTTGTGTCCTTTCAGTCTTTGCAATGGTGAAATTGTGACCTTAGTTCATCATTTACAGTTACAGGTGACTGTTCATCCAATGTTTACTTTATAGATAGTATTTTTTCATCTGAAGTTTGCATTTACCTGCTGTTATTAATCAAACTGCAAAATGGTAATGGACTCACTTAGACCCTGGGAGTCAGAAGACCTGGATTGGATTCCTGTATTACTTTCAACTAGTTATGTCATTTAGGCCAGCTTCTTTTCTCAGAGCCTTAATTTCCATATCTTTCAAAGGAAATGCTTCAGAAGAAGTCCCCACCAACCCTTGGGAGTGGGGAACCACCCAGAGTGTGCATGAGATGAGAGGTGAATCTGCCAACCTCACTTCCAGTGCCTCTGAGTGCCTCTGTGAGCCTGGTGCAGGACTGACCAGGATCCTGCTGGTTAAAGAAACTTACTAAGTATCCCACAGTTAGGTGCTAAACACCAGGCACTACTTCATCTGGCCCCAGCCTGGAGGCCTTAGCTGTCAAGGATAATTCTGACTTTTCATGTCGTTGACCTTAAAACTGATTGAGAACTGAGTTCCAGTGGTCTACTCCTCCCCAGATTTTCAAAGACTCTTCCGGCTCCAATCAGAATTAGTACTTCCATTTATTTTATATTCTACTTTTTCACTCTTCATCGGTTTATAATGTACCTTCAAAGTTGGTACTTGTGCCATCTATATTACAAACGAAGGGCTAACTTAATGAATGCAAATTCTACTCCATGTCTTGACCAAAACCAAAAAAAAGATGCAGAAAAGGTTTATTTCCTAGCACGCCATTTCTCTGAGGGAGTGGCATCTGTTGTCCCTGCATTTGGCCACCTGCATTTGCTTCCTTTCTCCTCACAGTGCTGGGGGGAAGGCCAGTGTGTGACAATTGGCATTCTGTTACTCCATGTCCCTGAAAGGCAAGTGCCTCCTTGGTTTGGTCTTCAAATGCATCTGGAACACTAAGGGAAAATCGTGTCGTTATGCAAATTTAGGGATTTTCTAGAGTCAAATAACTACCCCCAATTTCTGCCTTAGGCACTAACTGGAGAGTCTCATTGCTAAAGAAAACGAATCTCTTCTGGACTGCAGCCTGTCCACAACTTCTCCAAACGTGTGCAAATATACCGATGCTAAGCTCTAGGCCTCTTAAAGAAGGTAATGAAATTCAGACTAGGCGTTTCTAATTTAGGCTTTACTCTCCTTTCCATGTTAACACCTAGGCCTCACTTCTCCACAGCAGGATGAGACAGGACAGAAGCCCAAAGGCTGCAGGAAGCTTGCTTCTCTCTTTTTTCTTATTCAGCCCTTTTTCTGTCTTAATGTGTCCTTTGTCTCTGTACTCAAGTCAGCCAGTGAGTGTATCATTTATCGGCTAATAAGTTGTCTGACAAGATAGCCACTTTGTACCTAATTGTTCAGTTTATTTATGTATTATTGATGAGCCCAGACTTGAACTCTGATTCCCTTGGAGGCTGCTTGATAAATCTCTTGGCTAATCCTAAAACACTGAATTACCTGCTGGAGCACAATACGTGACATTGCTTTTACTTTGTATTCCTAAAAGGCCCTGGATATACATTTCAATGTCTGGGTTTAACAGTAAGAAATAAAATAGGATACATAATTCAAATTGCTCTTTGAGCTTAAATTAAAAAAGATATAAAACACATCCCTCCAATCACTTCCTGACTCTGGAGGTTTATTCGATCCACGTTGCTTAGAGTTACTTTGAACTGCATGAACTCAGTACCAGGCTGTAATCTTACTTGCTTTTCCGTGGCTTCAGTTTCAACCAATGGAATTGCATACCATTGCAAACTGAATTTGCGGACTGGGAGTCTGTATTCTATTTCTAAATCCTGTAGTAGTTTTCAGTAGCTACCATGAGACACCAGCACTCAGCTCTAAGTACCCTGAAGGTTTTCCTCATCTTTTGCAATGCCTCCTGTGATTAGTGGAACCATGAGTACTTCCCTAAGTGCCCTCTCTGTCCTGTCTGTTTCTCCATCAGTAAATTTAAGTGACGACCTTAAGTACTATGTTTTAAAAGAGTAGTGAGGATTTTTAAATGAGTTTATGAAAGTGCACTCAGACTAGAACATGCCATTTAGTATTGTAAGGATTAATATTTGAACAATAATCAGAGCACATAAATTATAGATCAACACTGATAATTTTTTGCTCATTATGAGATTTATTACTATTGATGGACCCTTATAAGGCCCTTGGTGCTCTTGCAAGTTGAAGAAATGGAGGTTTTAAAAATGGGAGGTTTCTTGCAAATTTCCAATTTGTCCATACCTGGAAAAGCCCAAAGTGTAGGGAATCATTTCATAAGACATTAGGACACCATTAACCAATTCATGGAAATACAAGAAGAAAGAGATTTGTGTTCAGCTGATCATTTACTACTGAAGCAGATATTTGTCAGAAAATGTATACCAGTCCTGCCTTTGTTTAACATTTTGATATTTTGTTAAATTTTTAAATTTTAAAAACTGTGGCAAAATACACATAACATAAAATTTACCATCCTAACCACTTTAAGTGTGCAATTCAGTGTATTACATATATTCACACTGTTGTGTAACCAATCTCCAGTACATGTTTCATCTTGCAAAACTGAAAGTCAAACAATGACTCCCCATTCCCTTTTCTACCTCCTAGCCCCTGACAACTGCCATTCTACTTTCTGTCTGTATAAATATTGACTACTCTAGGTGCCTCATGCAAGTGGAATCATACAGTATTTGTCTTTTATTTTTTATTTTCTGTATCTGGCTTATTTCACTTATCATAGTGTTCTCAAGGTTCATCCAAGTTGTAGCATGTGTTAGAATTTCCTTTTGAAGACTGAATAATATTCCCTTGTGTATATATGCTACCTTTTGTTTATCCACTCATCAGTTGTTGGATATTTGAGTTGCTTCCACCTTTTGGCTGTTGTGAATAATGCCACTATGGACATGAGTATGATATATATATGTATATTATATAGATAGAAGATATAGATATATATCTATATAGACTATGGACATGAGTATAATATATATGTATATTATATAGATAGTTATAACATATATAGATAGAAGATATATATCTATATAATATATAGATGTCCATAGTCAAATATGGACCATAGTTATGTCCATAGTCTATATAGACTCAGTTTTCAATTCTTTTGATTATATACCCAGAGGTTAAATTACTAGGTCATATGGTAATTCTGTTTAATTTTTTGAGAAACTGCCATCGTGTTTTCTACAGCCAGTTGCACCATCTTACATGCCCACCAATAATGCACAGGGTTCCAATTTCTCCACATCCTTATTTTCTGGGATTTTTTTAGTCAATTTTTTTTTTTTTTTTTTTTTTTTGAGACGGAGTCTTGCTCTGTCGCCCAGGCTGGAGTGCAGTGGCGCGGTCTTGGCTCCCTGCAAGCTCCGCCTCCCGGGTTCACGCCATTCTCCGGCCTCAGCCTCCCGAGTAGCTGGGACTACAGACGCCCGCCACCACACCCAGCTAATTATTTTTTGGATTTTTAGTAGAGACGGGGTTTCACTGTGGTGTCGATCTCCTGACCTTGTGATCTGCCCGCCTCGGCCTCCCAAAGTGCTGGGATTACGGGCGTGAGCCACCGCGCCCGTCCTTTTTAGTCAATTTTTATGATAGCCATCCTAACAGGTGTGAAGGGGTATCTCCTTGTGGTTATGATTTCTATTTCCCTAACAATTAGTGGTGTTGAACATCTTTTCATGTGCTATTGGCCATTTACACATCTTCTTTGGAGATGCATCTGTCCAAGGTCTTTACCCATTTTCTAATCAGGTTGTTTGTTTTTGTTGTTGATTTGTTGGCTTTCTTTATATATCCTGAATATTAACCCTTTATCAGATATATATGATTTACAAATATTTTCTCCTATTCTGTGGGTTGCCCTTTCATTCTGTTGTGTCCTTTAATGCATATAAAGTTTTAATGTCGATTTAGCCCCATTTATCTATTTTCTCTTTTGTTCCCTGTGTTCTTGGAGTCACACCAGAGAAATCATTGCCAAATCCAATATCGTAAAGCTTTTATCCATCAGATGGGTTTTTGACATTTGTTTAAAAAATATGGTACTAAAATATAATTTATCTTGACTAGTCAGTCCTTTACCTTAAGTTTTTCTCCTCAGGCAAATATGCCTCACCCTAGTACAGGCTCTGGATGTCAGGGACACATATGGAATAAACCAAGTCATTCATTTGCAGTGAAGGGAGCTTTTCAACCTACAGGCCAAATTGCTTCCATGTGTACATTGCAAACCCAAGTGGGAAATTTCTGAAATATATTCACTGCATCTGATCTTGATGCACTACAGTGTTGGGCTTATCCAACACTTTTTACAGATGAACCTCTACAGGGCAAAAGGGAGGTGATTATTTCATCAGAGAATACACTCAAAAACATACACTGGAGTGAGAATAAAGGGGCACTGAGAAAAATGTCACCAAAATTGATTTGACATTCTAAGGTGGATGGCTTAATTATTTTTATTCATTTGATATTTATTTGTATGGAGTTCTACAGATTTTCAGCAATTGGTTTTAACAACCATCGTAGATGTGTATAAGTTTGGCAATATCATGATCTCACTTTTACATATGAAGAACTTGAAGGTCAGAAAACTTGTCTCTTTATTCAGATTTCTGTAGCATTTAAGAGGTAGAACATGGATTTGAGCCTAGAAGCTTTAACTCGATGCCAGGGGTTCTTTAAGTGTGGTTGCTGGACCAGCAGCATCAACATTACCTGAGACATGCAAATTCTCAGGCCCCTTTGCTGACCTACTGACTCAAACACATGGGGACAGTCCAGTAGTCTGTGTATTAACAAGCCTCCTAGGAGATTGCTGCATGTCATGTGTGGAAACCACCATTCTACACAATGATGTGTGTATAGGCACTGAACTAGACTCAAGTCCACAGTGTCTGCTGTCAGTGAGTTCATAAGCTAGTAGCTAAAGTACATACATGTGCAAATATTTCAGGCAGACAGTGAAACTGATGTAGGAGTAATACTAATGGAGAATTTTCTGATTCAAAGGAGGGATAAATACCACTCTGGTTTGAGAATCAGGAAAGGCTGCAGAAGAAGGATGGTTAAAATTTGGATATTTGGAGATAAAGTATGACATCACCAGCCAGAGGGACCATATGAATAAATGCAGAGAGGAGGGAATGGTGATGTCACAGGGCATGCAGAGCACATTGGTTTGGCTTCACTGAGCAGACAGCAGATGTCAGAAAGCTTTGGATATCAGAATAAGAAGGATCCATTTTGTTCAATTGTCAATGAGAAGCCAGGGCATATTTTTGAGGAGGGGAGAGCTATGATCAAGGCTATAACTTAAGGACATTATTTTCAGAGTTATATTGAATGGATTGCATTGAGAGGAAGCAGGGGATAGAAGAGATCAGTTAAATGATAATGGCAACAATCTGGACAAAAGGTGAGAAGACCATAGATTGGGATTGAACTGGTGGGAACAGGTGTTTGAGATCTGTAATGTGCAGGACTTGGGATGCAAAGAATAGAGAAGGATTCATAAGATACTTAAATTAGAAGCTTCAGTGACTAAGGAGTGTGAGTCATGCCATCAGTAAAGATAGAGGACCAGTTTTAGAGGGAAGAAGAGTTGAGCCTTGAACACAATCAACTTGAGATTCTGATAGGCGTCTTTGATGAAGATGTCCAGCAGGGCATAAGAATGAAAAGATGGAGATAGGCAGAGTAATCCTCCCCGAAAAGATATTTGAGATCTTCTCTGTAGAAGGGCGCTCATTCCCAAGAAGAGGGTGTGTACGCCATTCCTCTGGGGAGCACTCAGGAGTAAGGAAAGGGGTGTGGGGGCATAGGAGAGCCTGTCTTGAAGACTAGGATGAAATAAAAGGCTGAGAGATCCAAGTGGGAAGGGCTGGCTGTCAGTTCTGAATGAGGGAAAGAGAATGAGTATAAGGAGAGGAGAAGACAGCACGCAACTTCAAGAGATCAAGGGGCAAGTGAGTGGTTAGAAGTGCATGCAGAGGCATACCAAGTTACTTTGAGAAGTTCTGTGGTAATGGAAAGGAGAGAGAGAAATTAGTAACTTCAGTGGGTGGTTGAGTACAGAGAAGAGCTATTGGTTGATTGTTTGGGTTTCATTTTGTTTTGTTTTGTTTGTAAGGATAAAGGAGAATTTGAGCCTTTTTGTAGGCTTAAGGGGGTGATGAAAGATGAGAAATGACAGATGGGGCAAGTTACCAGGAGGGATACAGTTGAGAGTCCAAGGGAAGGATTATTCTTAAGAATGGAGAAAAATCTATCTCTGAAGCCAAAAAGAAAGAAGGAAGAAAGAGTTCAGTTTCCAACAAAAATTTGGAGATGAAGAGGAGGAGAATTAAGGGAGTTTGTTCGGGTGGACTTTTCTGTGCAGTAAGAGAAAAGGTGATCATTAGAGAAGGTGGTAAGGGATTGAGTATTAGAAGATCAGAAAAAATGTTTGGAAGAGGTGAGGTGGAAAATGTGATGGAAACTCAACGGAAAAGATGAGCAGTAAAACTAGGGCCTAGATAACACAGAAAACATTATTGTATAGTGGAATTAATCAGATAAATTTCATGATTATTTCTGGCAATATTATGTGATTTTGAAGCAGGGACTAAAGAAAGTGAGAGAGTGGGACTTCCCCAGGCCAGGCGAAGGGTAAGGCAGATGGAGGGAAATGAAAAAAAAGAAAACCATCAAAGATGTCAAAATAAAGAGGCTTGTAGAAAAAGCTTGCTTGAAGTGATGAATTCTGAAATCTAGTCTACATCTTCTTGGAGACAGTGGAACGACGACTAGAGAGAGGTAGAGGGATTAAAGGTAATTGGGAAGGAAGATGGAAGACTCAAGAGAATTAAAGAATGGAAGTTGTGGGAGGGTAGGAAGTTCTAATCAGAGCCAGAAATTTTGCAATTTGACATCCACAGAGTTCAGTTCTATGTGGTAACTAGTTCACATTACTACCAGTGCCTACAGGAAGTCGAACTGCAGTCATTAGTTAAAACTGAAGCAACAACAAGAAAATGAAGCTAATTTGGAAAAGATCTGCAAGAGAAATATAAAAATCAGGAAAGGCAATAAACAGAGAGAATAAAGTTGGAGGTGACCTAGAAAATAAGAGATAACAACAGTTAGGAGAGAGAAAATGTGGAATAAGCAGATGATGTAGACTCCAAAGAGGAATTAATTGAGAATGGCAGTGGAATGATGCTCTGGCAGGAACGAGTTCTCACCTCTACCTCTTGACCAGTGAGATGGGTGAGTGGGAAGGATTATCTACACTGGAAAGGTGGAAACACCTTCAAAAAAGGTTTAAGTTTTATTTAGAATTAGGAAAGAGTGGGTAGATTTGAAGAAGGGCAGATCCAAATGAATTGGGCCACATTAGCAGTTCTAAGACCTTAGAGGGCAGGGACCACATTGCCTTGGTTTTTTTCTTTCCCCTTCCACTTTGTAGGAATATGCCTGGAACATGAGGGTGGTAACACAAAAATGCTGAATTAATTAGTCAATCAATGAATACACTTAAAAAATATTCAGGCAATGAGGTAATAAGAGTGGGGAAAGGGATACCTATTCTTAGTTTGTACTTGATTTTAAAGAAAAAGGTTGAAGGAAACAAAGTTTACGAGTAGGTTCAAGACACTGTGTAAACAGAAGAGTAAATCTTAGTTTTTTTTTTCAGAGTACACCTTCCAGTATTGGACAGATCACTGATAGCCACCACAGGGCGATGAGAGAACAGGCCAAGCGGCAGCTCCCAGGAGACAGCTGATGAGGTCTCTGTAGCTACTGTGTTAGAGAACAGTCCATACAGTGGGAGAGGGGAGAGAAGATGGGCTCTCCCTCTATCAGATTGTCTCTCTTTCTTTCTCATATTTCTCTGTTCTTGTTCTCAGGCTTTACAACTCAAGAAGCTAATGCTATTGATTTAATAAGGCTGGCCCATCTTTTTAAAATGTAACAGCTGTATTAAGCTATCTAATTACCATGAAATTCCCCTGTGTTAAATGGCCAATTAAATGATTTTTTATTAAATTTACAGAGCTATGCAACCATCTCCCAAATCCATTTTTAGAACATTTTCATCATCCCCAAAAGGTCCTTCCTGGATCTTTTAAATGATAAAGTTAATGTAAAGATAATAGTTGCATTTGTTGAGTGCTTACTATAGTCTGAGCTCTATCTTACGCAGTTTGTATGTACCAACTTTCTATGCTCACAATGACCCATGAGATAGGCACTATTGTCTCCCCATTTTACAGAGAGAAAAAGTGAGGCATTGGTCACATACATAGTAAGAGGTAGAGTCAAGATTTGAACTCAGCACACTGGCTCCAAAGCTGCTGCTTTTAGCTACCATGTTGTATTGCTTTTAATATATACTGGACATTTGAGAAACAAGACAAAAATCATCATGAGAATCTATATCTCTCTCTGTTTCCCTTTATATCATCAATATGGAGTGAGAAATATAGCTTGAATGCAAAAATATCCATATATTTACATATATTTCCCTTAAGCAGCTGATTCTGGAAATATTGAAAAATTACGAATAATTTTATACAGAACAGAATGAAGTTGCAGTCTTGGCAGTTATCTGGTTAACAAATTAGATCACTGAGACAAAAAGAATTCTATTTGTTGGTTTGAAATATCTGGTAAGGCCGGACAGCCATCCACATTCATCAAATTAACAGGATAATTGCCAAGTGTCTACTCTCCTTTGTTCTGTATCAACATAGCCTGAAACACAAATGGAATTTTCATCCAAATGATATAAATTTAGTTACTTGCAAACATTCCTGGTCACTAACCTAGAAAGACTATTGGGGATATTTGGAAATGTTCCCAGAAATTCAGTTTGAGTATGGAACAGCACAAGAAGTATAATTGTGGCATTGCCTCTTTATGAAATCAACTACTGACATTTTAATCCATGTAAAATCCTGTATCTACTTACAGATATTTCTGGAAAGGTATCATGTCAAATAAGCAGAGCATTAAATAGGCATATCATTTTCTGTAACCCTTCCCTAATGTTAATTTAAGAAAAATCCAATTAATACTCAGTATGGTAGGGACTACAAGTAGGATTTTAGGCTACAGGCTCTATTTTTAGCAATAGCATTTTTCGGAGGTAGATACAGGCAGCATTGGCTGAAAAGAATCCTCTTAGCATTAATTGTGTCCACAAAAAATACTTTAAAAAATTAAAAACCACAAGCATAGCTCCTTTTCTGTATGACACTACAGTGGTGGATACATGTCATTGTACATTTGTTGGAATCCATAAAATGAACAATACCAACAGGGAACCCTAATTAATGTAAACTACAGACTGTGGGTGATAATGATGTATCAGTGTAGCTTCATCAGTTGTAACAAATGGACCACCATGTTTATAGTGGGGGAGGTAGTGTGTGTGGAGATAGGAGATATATGGGAACTCTGTACATTTTGCTCAGTTTTGCTGTGTACCTAAAGCTGCTCTTAAAGTGTAGATTTTTTAAAAAACTAACCAATATGCTATTGTAAAAATGAAACCTATTAATGCATCATTTTCCATCTGGGAATGTGTTTAAATACTTAAAACATTAGATACCTTATGTTGTCTAAGATGGTCTAAGACCACTGTGCGTGCATATTCCTTGCAAAGGTGGGTCCCAGAAGCATACGAGGAGTCTGTCATTTCAAGGTTTGGAAAGAACCCAAATGAACTCCTCCCAGATGTCTGCCTTATGCAGATTTTTTCCTGTCAACATTTCTGATTTGCTGACATTGTCTTCTAATTCCATGCAGACTGAAGTGGCTCTAGACTCCCGTTTCTCAAGGTTATTAATCTGGGAGATCATGTACTTTGTGAATTTCCTGGGACTATCTAAGATCCCAGGCAGATCCCCTTGGGCTTTCCACTCTTTCCTGAGACTCCTCCCCCATGCCTACCCTGTTGAAAAAATAAAACTCATAATGTTATTAACCCATTAAATTGCAATTGGGATGCAAATACAGACATACCCCCATTTTATTGCACCTCACCTTCTTGTACTTCACAAGTGTTGTGTTTTTTACACATTGACAGTTTGTGGCTACCCCACATTAAGCAAGAGTCTTTTAGCGCCATTTTCTAACAACACCATGTGCTCACTCTGGTCTCTGTGTCACATTTCAGTAATTCTCACATTTCAAACTTTTTATTATTATTATATCTGTCATGGTAATCTGTGATTAGTGGTCTTTGATGTTATTAGTGTAATTGTTTTGGGGTGTCATGAACTGCACCTATATAAGACAATGAACTTAATTGATAAATGTGTGTGTTCTGACCACTGCACTGACTGGCCGCTCTCCTATTTTTCCCCCTCTCCTCAGACCTCCCTATTTTCTGAGTCATAACAAAATTAAAATGGGCCAATTAATAGCCCTACAATGGCCTCCAAGTGTTAAACTGAAAGGAAGAGTCTCACATCTCTCACTTTAAATTAAAAAGTAGAAATCATTAAGCTTATAAAGAAGGCATGTGGCAAGCCAAGCTAGGCCTTTTGTGCCAAACAGCCAGGTTGTGAATGCAAAGGAAAAGTCCTTAAAGGAAATTAAAAGTGCTACTCCTGTGAACATACCAATAATAAGAAAGTGAAACAGCCTTATTGCTGATGTAGAGAAAGTTTTGGTGATCTGGATAGAAGATCAAAGCAGCCACTGCATTCCCTTAAACCAAGGCCTAATCCAGAGCAAGGCCTTACCTCTCTTCAATTCTATAAAGGTTGAGATAAGTGAGGAAGCTGCAAAAGAAAAGTTGGAAGCTAGCAGAGGTTGGTTCATGAGTATTAAAGAAAAACATAGTTATTTTCATAACATAAAAGTGTAAGTTGAAACAGCAAGTGCTGACGTAGAAGCTGCAGTAAGTTATTCAGAAGAACTAGCTAAGATCACTGATGAAGGTGGCTACACTAAACAACAGATTTTCAGTATAGACAAAACTACCTTTTATTGGAAGAAGATGCCATCTAAGACTGAGAGCTAGAGAGGAGAAGTTGATGCCTGGCTTCAAAGGACAGGCTGACTCCATTGTTAGGGGTTAATACAGCTGGTGATTTGCAGTTGAAGCCAGTGTTCATTTACCATTCTGAAAATCTAGAGCCTTTAAGAACTGTGCTCAGTCTACTCTAGCTGGATGACAGTACATCCTTTTACAGCATGGTTTGCTGAATATTTTAAGCCCACTGTTGAGACCTACTGCTTAGAAAATGAGATTCCTTCCCAACCACTACTAACAAGGCACCTAGTCACCCAAAGGCTCTGGTGGAAATGTACAAGGAGATGAATGTTGTTTTCGTGCCTGTTAGCAT
Organism: Homo sapiens; assembly: GCF_000001405.40. Classification (NCBI taxonomy): domain Eukaryota; kingdom Metazoa; phylum Chordata; class Mammalia; order Primates; family Hominidae; genus Homo; species Homo sapiens. Next base: position 58,976,742 of record NC_000008.11, on the reverse strand, counting down.
AACATCCATTCTGCAACCCATGGATCGAGGAGTAAAATTTTGACTTCCAAGTCTTATTATTTCAGAAATACATTTTGTAAGATTATAGGTGCCATAAATAATGATTCCTTTGATGGACCTGGGAAAGGTAAAGTAAAAACCTTCTGGAGATGATTTTACCATTCTAGTTGCCATTAAGAACATTCATGATGATTCATGGAAGGTGGTCAAAATGTCCACATTAACAAGAGTTTGAAGGACGTTGATTCCAACTCTCATGGATGACTTTGAGGGATTCAAGACTTCCATAGAAGCAGCAACTGTAGATGTGGTAGAAATAGCAAGATAACCAAAATTAGAAGTAGAGCCTAAACATGCGACTGAATTGCTGCAATCTTATGATAAAATTTTAATGGATGAGGAGTCTTCATATGGATAAGCAAAGAGAGTGGTTTCTTCAGATAGAATCACCATTGGTGAAAATGCTGTGAACATTGTTGAAATAACAACAAAATATTTAGAATATTATGTAAACTTAGTTGATAGAGCAGCAGTAGGATTTGAGATAATTGACTCCAATTTTGACATTCTACTGTAGGTAGCATGCTATCAAACAGCATCACATGCTGCAGAGAAATCTTTCATGGAAGAAAGAGTCAGTAGATGTGGCAAACTTCATTTTTTTTTTTTTATTAGACGGAGTCTCACTCTGTCTCCAGGCTAGAGTGCAGTGGTGCAATCCCGGCTCACTGCAACCTCCGTGTCCCAGGTTCAAGCGATTCTCTTGCCTCAGCCTCCTGAGAAGCTGGGACTACAGGCACACGCCATCACGCCTGGCTAATTTTTGTATTTTTAGTAGAGACGGGGTTTCACCATGTTGGCCAGGATGGTCTCGATCTCTTGACCTTGTGATCCACCCGCCTCGGCCACCCAGAGTGCTGGGATTACAGGATTGAGCCACTGCGCCTGGCCTATTGTCTTATTTTAAGAAATTGCCACACCTACCCCAGCCTTCAGCAGCCACCACCCCTGATCAGTCAGCAGTCATCAACAGTAAGGCAAGACCCTCCACCAGCAAAAAGATTATGACTTGCTGAAGGCTCAGGTGATTATTAGCATTTCTTAGCAATAAAATGTGTTTTAATTAAGGTATGCACATTTTTAGACATAATTCTATCACACACTTAATAGACTGTAGTATAGTGTAAACATAACTTGTATGTGGACTGAGAAACTAAAAAGTTTGTGTGATTTGCTTTACTTTGATATTTGCTTTATTGTGATGGTCTAGAACAAAACCCACAATATTTCCTAGATATACCTGTATACTTCCTAAAAAGTATGAAATACATTCCAAATTAAGGACTTAATTAGTTTACTTGCTTTTCTAGAAGAGAACCTGGTCATAGACTCCCCTTTGTTAGAAAAATTGAAACGATGACTTTATATTGCTCTAAAGTAGTGTCAATCTCCCCTCTCTCTCTCTCTCTCTGTGTGGGGGTGTGTGTGTGTGTGTGTATATATATATCACACACATATACATACATATACACACTTATTATCTATATACACACACATATATACATATACATTTCTCTGTAAGTATATATAATAATATATATCTGTAAAATCTACATATAGGTAAACATAAATTATAATGTGTGTATATGTACAACTTTATACATATATTTATATCTGAACAATTTATAATTCCTGCCTGCTATCTAGTAAGACTACTTAAAAAATAATGCATACTGTGAATTACATGTAACTACTTTGTGTACCTATGAAGAATTACCCTTTTTACACAGATAACATCTTGAGGGGATACTCACTTGTCCTAAGAACCGTATGGAACATAGTAGTGAAATTTCAATTCCATTCATAAAATTAATAGTGCCATCTACTCAGAATACTAATGATTTTAATGAAGATGCAGCATCTTGCAAACAAATAATTAGTTTTTCGCATGAAAGGATAAATAGAATCCTAACTAACAAATCGGTAATTTTTCTTAGAGCTTTTAGGTTTTGATCATAACAAGTGGCAGTTTTTATGTGTAGTTTGAAGAATTTATTTTGTTATTCTATAGTCACCGAGAGTGATTATAACTCCAAAGTTTGTGTAATACAGTGTATGTTTATTTTGAGTTAACAGAGTTGTAAGCCTGAGACAATCAAGGCTCTTTGATTCTTCTTTTGAACACCACACCTAAACACCTGGAATAGTGCTAAAGGCCCTAGAAGAGTTGGGTAATTATAGCACATTGTACAAATTACCTAGTCCATATCTAAGTGATTCTTTAAAAATATATAGACTTATTGCCGGATTTAGAATTTGAGCTGTCTTTATTCCTAAGTGAAACATCTCATTGTTGACCTCATCTCTCAACTCACAGTTTGTCATAAAAATGACCAAAACCACAAACTCAACCCATGACATAGACAAGGGTTTCTCAACAGCAGCACTGTTGACATGAGTCTGGATCATTCTTTTCTACAGGGTCTGGGCAGTGTAGGGTGTATGGGAGCATCCCTGGCCTCTATCCACTAGACGCCAGAAGCATCCGTCAGTCATAACAATCAAAAGTACCTCCAGACATTGTCAAATGTTAAGTGCCCTCCCCAGGCTGGGGTGAAATCACTCCCATTTGAAAACCACTTCCAGGTGAGGCACAGTGGCTCACACTCGTAATTACAGCACTTTGGGAGGGCAAGGCAGGTGTTTCACCTGAGGTCAGGAGTTCAAGACCAGCCTGGTCAACATGGTGAAACCCCATCCCTACTAAAAACACAAAAATTAGCCAGGCATGGTGGTGCATGACTGTCATCTCAGCTACTCAAGAGGTTGAGGCAGGAGAATTGCTTGAACCTGGGAGGCAGAGGTTGCAGTGAGCTGAGATCGCGCCACTACACTCCAGCCTGGGTGACAGAGTGAGACTCCATTTCAAAAAAAAAAAGAAAACCACTTCTATAGAAAATGTGGGTTGCACTGTGTATCCCTCGTGATAATTAGTATTATTAAATAAGAGTGAGCAAAGCTATGGCCAAGCAATTGAAAAAACAAAACCAAAACAAAACTTTGAATCCACAAAGAACCAAGGAAATGCTAATAACCTTCTAAATAATGGAATTACTTATACTATATGGTTAATGCAGTTGGCAGTACAGAAACCCTTCATAAAGTCAGCCTCACACCTCAAGGAATATTGGACTAAAAATCAGTTTTCAGTGGCTGCTACTGGATAAAACATAAAAAGGAGTTTTATGGAGAAAATAGCAGATGCGTGGAGCCTCCGAGGCTTTATTCAGAATGCATATTCACAAGCCCTTTTCTTTTCAGTCATCTGATAGTGTGAAAAGGCACTGTTTTTTAAAAGTACTGTTTATAACCTACATAAAAGTTGGAAAGTACCTATTTTGAGAAACCACATTAGCTTTTGGAACCACTAATACAAATGGATTGTTACAAATGCAGGTTCATTGCCCGAAAATAGAATATAATGGGATCCTGTAAAATATGAATTTTAAATATTAGACGTGGCATATTTCCTGTCGTGCATCTAAAGAGCTTTGTTGCCTGCATTATGTAGAATGGGGAATAGGTACTATATCACTTTCTGAGGAAGGTCCTATTAGCACTGAAGAAAAGGCAACATTGTTCTGCTTTTAAAATAAAAATCTAAAATAAATGTTGGATAATTTAATCTTGTTCTAATGTTTAGTTTCCACCCCAGTCTTACTTAACTCCTGTTCTTAATACATGCTTAAGTTATTTGTTGCAAGTTTAATATCTCAAATAACGTTAAAAGATTTCTTGGAAACAAGACTCGTTTATTTAAAATGTGCACATTCTGCTCAGAACTGTTCCGAAGGTATTTTAAGCAATATTATCTTAAAACTACTTAATCTAACATTAATTTACTTAATGGTAAAAAGATTACTTTATGCAAGAATTTTTTATAGCAAATATGAAGTGTGCAAAAGTTATTAATAATGTAATTTTTGACAGAATGTGAAAAATATGATACAGAAGAGATTACATAATTTCTTTGATGTGAGTATTAAATGGAGCATTAATTGATTACTGAAACAGCTTAAGTATCTAGCTAGGTTATGTAATTGTTGAACTAGAACAAAAATGGTTATACAGTTCAATTAAATACAAAGAGTGATTGTTATGGATAATTCAATGCATAAAACTAATAAGCTATGGATACTAAAATGTTATAGGAGACATATCATCCTATGTCGTACTACTATATTTAAGTATAACCTTATATTTTCATGTCAAACTGTCTGATATCTTTCTTTTATGACAATAAATTAGCCCGAAGCAATTTTAATGAAAGTAATATTGTGTAGTTTGTTATGACTGGGTAATATTTTCTGTATGAATTAAGAGAAGAGTTCAACAGCACTTTGCATTTTCAGAAAACTCCTCCTGCAGTTTTGTGTGGTAGTTTTTAATACTGTGCTATAATAGCTGTTTCCCTAGGTAATCTGAAATAACTTTAACGTTAGCCAAATAAAAACATTGCAAGAGAAAAATATTTTGTGCACATACAGAGTAAATAAATGTGTACATATTTAAAGAATATGCACGTCTATGTATGCTTACATGCACATATATATATACATATAATGATCTACAAAGTTTTCATTTAATTGGTGATTTTACCATTATTTTCTTTTGTCCTTTTCATTACTTTCCTCCCATTATTTCATATTTCAGGTATAACTGCATTTACATAAAGATAAAAAATAATATGTAGGCTGCGCATGGTGGCTCACGCCTGTAATCCCAGCACTTTGGGAGGCCAAGGCAGGTGGATCACCTAAGGTCAGGAGTTCAAGACCAGCCTGGCCATTATGGTGAAATCCCATCTCTACCAAAAATACAAAAATTAGTTGGTAATGGTGGTGCATGCCGGTAGTCCTAGCTGCTGTGGACGCTAAGGCAAGAGAATTGTTTGAACCCCCGGAAGGCGGAGGTTGCCGTGAGTTGAGATCGCGCTGCTGTACTCCAGCCTAGGTGACAGAGGAGAGACTCCATCTCAAAAAAAAACAAAACGAAAAAAATCTACAGATAACTTTCCATATTAAAGACCTTTTCACAGGCAAATTGAGGGCACACCGAATCTGATTCTTTCCACTACTTCCCGCCTATTGATCTTTCCAATTAATGATGGAAACAGTCAAATAAACTTGCCATGAGGGGGAAGTACCATAGTTTCCATATGTATAGTGCTTTATAATTTACAAATGCTCTTGCATGTCTCATCTAAATCTGACATAATTACGTAGAGCAAGAACAATTTTTACTCTCGTTCCCAAGACTAGTCGGCTAGGAACTGTCAGAACCCAGACTCTTCTCTGGGTCTCCTTATTTCAAACCCACTCCATGATAGAATCTGTCCTCATTTTGTCCTATTCTGCCTTACCTACAAGAGAAGCAGAGCCCTGAATTTCCCACACGCCATGTGGGCGATGGGAAGGAAAGAACGGCAGTGTCTGCCATTCTAGTCGTTTTTCCTCATCGTGCTGCTACAGATTCAGAGCAGTGCCCACCCGCAGTTTGCTTTTGGCATAAAAGAACAAACCAGTGTGATCTGGAGCAGCTCTAGCACAATCTGCTTATTAGAACGGACCCCCAGAATCAAGGAGGAGGTTAAGGACTTGACCACTTGGTACCATGAAGCTTTTAGCCATTATCTAAACTCTGAAAAAATGAACTACTTTTCAGACTATTTAAACTAGAGTGACTGAGTGGTCTCTTTAGAATAGGAAGATGTGGAAAACTAAAGTAGGATCTGGTTTACAGAAACTTTTTTCCAGTATCCCTGGAAAATTAGCTATTTCCATGGACAGACTTTGATTTAGAAATGAAAGAATATGGAATAAATGTTACTGCAGAATAATGGAATGGTGAGATCTCTGAAATACTTTTAGTTGTGACAGTATTGCCCTGGATTTATGTGATTCATTTAATGTCATTGACTAAATAAAATGTGCTAAGCCTATGCTAAGTGCTAGAGATAGAAATGTAAGTTAGGACGGTCTCTGCCCTCAAAATGCTCATAGTTCAATATAGGAAAGAGGTAGTGAAGCAACAACAGTAGAAAGAGATGTGGGCTGGGATAAGCACAAGATGCCTTAAAGCACAGACATAGGCACAGAGAAGGCACCTCAATCATCCATGAGGTCAGGGAAGGATTACCTTCTGGTGGTAAGGTTTTCCTTGGCTGGGAGACTTCAAGTTTCTGCATGTTATTCAATCATAATTAGTAATCTTACCTCCTGGCACTGTCAGAAGTGTTCCAAGCTGGAGGATAAATTCTATGATCATCTAATTAGTAGTAAATAAGGGGAGAAATAGAAGGAAGTGGGAGCTGGAGAAGTATTTTAGGCAGATGAGATGATGGGTAAGCATAGAGATGGGGATTATCTGGTCATATGAAAATCACTAAGCAAGGATAAAATGTAGAGTGACAAGAGAAAATAGAGAGGTAGATGCAGACAGGAGTGATGTCGGAAATATTTAAAACTTAATTCTCCAGGACTCAGTTTTCTTACTGGTAAAACAACGTGGAAACTGACTGACTGTGGGGTTGTTGTGAGGATTAAATGAGTTAATGCATGTGTGTACCTGGCATATAAGTAGGCACAAAATGAGCATTTGTTGAATGAATGAATGATATCACATTTTTTATCTAGGAGTATATTAATGATCATTTAATTTTAATGTATCAACAAGACCATACTAGGTGGTTTGTGCCTGTTAGCATCATGTGGTGATACTTTGTTCTCCAAATTTTTCAGCAAAAGGGCATCACATGGTGACATTCCAGAAAGTAAGACAAGGGGCACCAATCATCTCTCACAATGCAGAATAAATAAGGCTTTGAGTAGAAGCAAGCATGCTGTTTCCAGCAAGTCTTCCAGTTTTGGCTTTGACATGTTTCTGGCAACATATGATAAAATGGACATTGTCAAAGGGGAGGATGAAGTATTTGAAAAATGCTATAAAAAATCAAACAGGAGTGGAGAATGATCTCGGTGTAGAGGAGATAGAAGTGCTATAAGCAAAGACACTTTGGAACTGAAAATCTGAAATACATTGAATGCATATGCCTTGTGAAGGGGACATCTTATGTGTGAAGCCTTAAACTAAAGCAATGAAAATTATTCTATAATCTTCATAAAAATTTAGATAAATCAGCAGGGAAAGTTACATGAGATCATGAGGTTTTATGAAGGGCAACTAGGCAATAATGAATATAACTATGTAGTACTTGAAGATGTAAAAAATAAAACATTATACTCCGGATATGATGATGGATTGAAAGACTTCTCAGATTCCTTAAAATGCAAAAGATATGTAAACAGAGCTTTGCTTCGGTTCACAATGGACAAATCCATACTCATACTCAATGTCGTGAAGGATTTGCCATTGAATCCAGTTATTTAAAATGACATGTTTTCATTTAGAAAACAGAAACTCTGCAATCTGAAAAAATAAATGTCAAATATCTCTTAAAAAATGGAGTAGTTCTAGACTGACCCTCATGTGTTTCAAATTGGTCAGGTTTGCCTGAGCATACCAAAATACCATTCCACACCTGTCTTACCCCAGGAGAGTTTAATCACCAAAAGTCTATTTCTGTCACATAATTGTTATACTTAGTCACGATGTAATTTGTCTGAGTAATAATAATAGGGAAGTGAGAATCTCCATCTTAATAACCTGTACCTTCTTATTTGTATTTTATTTTTATTTGATACTACCACTTTTAATCTCAAAGTTATTCAAGAATCGTTTGTCCTTGGTTTTTTAAAAAAGTTTTACCGTTTCAACCCACTCAGTGGTCACCTAAATACAACTTCTCTGTTGTTCTTTTTAATACATCTGTCATTCTCTTCCCATAACCTTTCCAGTGCCTTGACTTACTAGTCTTATTTTTTGTTTTGTTTTGTTTTGAGGTTCCTAGAACTGAGCATACTGTTCCAAACCAGATATGTGTAGAAAAATATTCTTACTTTTTTCTCTATGCATCTATCAGATACTGAAAAATATTCACTGTGCTTAAAAAGAAATAGCAGCAATAAAAGGTCCAACCCCCAAAAAGTAATTACTTTCATACTTTTCATTCCACATCTATGTTGAATTTAGGTACTGTGGTAAATGAGGTGAGAGCTGATAGGATGTGGAAATAAGTGAGTTTCGGCAGCAAGTTTGAATGCACTTCTCAAATTTTTCCTTCGTAGATGGATTCAGAAAAAATTTGTCTAAAACATGAAAAGTCAGAGGAGTGTTCTGAACCAATCATTTGAAACTGTGCTGAATTTCAACTATACGGTATAGTTTTACAGCTTTAATCATTACAGAATTTCAGAAATTACTTGGGAATTCATTTGAAAAAGAAGGCTCCTACAAAGAAGCCGAAGTCTTTGCTCCTCATTTTCTGATATCAGACACCCTGTGGAGGCCTTTTTGTAAAATCCATATCTTCATTTTATTAAACTTATTTTCATTAAATTCACCAGAATGGTTTTATAGTTAAGCTTTCATCCACATATTCTTTTCTTAAACAATATATAATGAAAATGGATTGCTTGGTACTGAAAGTTTAGGGTTAATGAAGTTTTCTAGAAACTTGCATTTTTTTCTTTCAAATGGAGTAATGCTTTCATGATATAGGCAATTCTTGTTTCTTCTATTTATCACTGTTTCATAAGTTTGTTTCTGTCTTTGCATATGGAATTAAAATAGAATCGATGACTCTTTAATATAATGAAAGCAGAACAAAGATGGAGTGAGATTAGCATAGCATTGCAGTTAAGAGTGTTGTCACTTACTAACTGGTACCATTGGGCACTATTTTAGTTCAGGTTCCCAGAAAGCAGAGCCTGCAGTGAAAGCTTGAGTGTTAATGCTGGGAATGTAAGCCCAGGGAAACCAGAGTGAGGGGAAAGTAAGCAAGGCAGGGAGGCATGGAGAAGAAAACATAAGATGTATATTTCCAAGTGGCCATAGCTTTGCAACAACTCATCGCTGGTTGCTGGGCATGAGGGACATAGAGGTGCTACAGAGGACATCATGAGCCAGTCCTTCCATGGGACAATAGGAAATTTCCCTGCACTCTCAGAGTATGTTACCCAAAACCTCCTCAGCTCCAGCCAGGTGCAAAGCTTATCTATATAAATTGCTGCTGTGCTTGGGGACACCTTGGTTTGTAGCTGTGGTGGCAATGGAAGTGGTGCCTCTGGAGGCTACATGGGAACAGTGTCAGCTGTTCCTGGAAGCAAAGGTCAGAAGCCTGAGGGTCAGGCAGGCTGAGCAGATCTGGGGAGCATGTAACTGGATCCATCACAGACAAGTTACTGGACTCCCTTGTGTTTTGTCATCTATAAAATAAGAGTAATAATATTACAGGATTATTACAAAAATTAAATGGCTTCATATATTTAGTGAAATTAGAGAGGGCCTCCAAAGGAAGAAGTTCAAACTGGTTTGAACCACTGTGGCATCATTATCTTACTTGTAGAGCTTACTAAGTGACTACTTAATACTAGTTAAAAGAATAACTTGGCCGGGTGTGGTGGCTCACGCCTGTAATCCCAGCACTTTGGGAGGCCGAGGAGGGCAGATCACGAGGTCAGGAGATGGAGACCATCCTGGCTAACACGGTGAAACCCCGTCTCTACTAAAAATACAAAAAATTAGCCGGGCGTGGTGGCGGGCGCCCGTAGTCCCAGCTACTCAGGAGGCTGAGACAGGAGAATGGCATGAACCCGGGAGGCAGAGCTTGCAGTGAGCCAAGATCGTGCCACTGCACTCCAGCCTGGGCGACAGAGCAAGACTCCATCTAAAAAAAAAAAAAAAAAAAAGAATAACTTGAATCATAAGTTTGGTGTATTTGGTTAAAAACAAAAAACCAAAAACACAACAATGAAAAACATTGCATTGTAGCCTTACCCTTAACAGCAGAGGGAAACTGTCGTGTTTCTCTCTTGAGATTCATGCCATGGAGCCACAGGTTTAGGATAAATGCATAGTATTATTATTATTATTGAAAATTTCAGTTTTCACAGTTAACAAAAAGAATATCTAATATTCCTCCAAATAAGTATATCACTGGGACAAAAATGAAAATACAAACTCAGCCCCAAAGTGGAGTCCAGCTTCTAAGTTGTGGGTCTAGCACTATCTTTTGCCCACCCGTGGCCAAGTCTTCCAAGCAGCCGCACTGTACCCAGGCCATTCTTCCTCTCCATACCATTCAGATCTGTAGTTGAGTGTTTACCACTCAAGTTCAAGTGACAGGAGCCCAATCAAGAGGGATTGCTCTTCCCTAGTTCAGCTCTGTGTGCTCCTGAGTTGGAATGCACATCCATAAAAAGCACTAGCAGAGTAACTCCGCTTTCTTTTCTTTGGGTGTTGATAGCCTCGGCTCAGTCTGGTCTCTTTCCTTTCAGTGTGATCCACTTCTGCAGTTGTGCTGTGCTCAGAACCAGTTTCATTCAGCTGGGCTCAGCATGGAGGCAGACTGACTTAAGACTTGTATCATCAACAGGTTCAGCCTTGACACTAGCAGATAAATAGACACCTCTTCCTTCTCCAGTGCCTCCTGACATCTTCTCTTGAGACTGGTGAGGATGTGCAGTAAGTGTGGGGGTTAGCTTTGCTCAGTTTTCACTGGATCTGTGTGACTGTGCATGTGAACAGCATTACAACTATGCGTATTATCACCCTATATTTGATGCTTAACTTTCAAAATGCTTTGCTTCTAGGAAACAACAAAGTCTTCATTGCCCAACCTTATTTCTTCTGTTACCAAAAAAAAAAAAAAAAAAAAAAAAAAAAAAACGATGACTCGTAATCTTATACTGGGCCAAGGAATACAAAAATGGAAATTTTGTTTTGGGGATATTAGCCTCTCTAAAAATGATTTATTATAATGCATCATCTAAGAAATGTCAAATTGACCCCCTGTTATAAACATTTCCATTTTTAGCCCTTCTTTTCAAACATCAAAGTATCAAATATTCTTTCAGAAAACACCCAGAAATGTAAGATTTTTCCCTTTGTAGGCAATACAATGTGGTACTGTTTCATGAATTCCATGAGGCTGTTTTTCCCCCTCAGCAGCAGTTTTCTGATTTTCTTTTAATGGTTTCCCTAAAATGTTCCCATTTTCTGTACCAGTGCCAATGACTGATTTACACTTCACATTCTATTTTTGACTTTTCTTGTCTTTGTGGTTTTGGTAGCCTAATATCGCCCATTTTTGCTCGTCATTCGCTATGTTCAGATATTGCTAGATTTCTCCTTTCAATTTTTAAATAAAAGAAATAATAACTACCTAGTTTGAAAGCTCTTTGGGATTATGGGTTTGGTTAATATCCTCTAAAAACAATTTCAAAAAACTGAAGTAGAAGATTATAAATGACTTTTTATATGATTGCATCCCCTGGTGCTTTGAAATAAAAACACAATAAAGAGTCTAAAAGCGCTTGGTCAAGAAGGCTGATCCTAGGTTGATGCCATTTACATTTAGATTTAAATAAATCAGCCTATTTATTCTTTCAAACTTTGCTTCAGGTTTTAAATTGAGAATACATGGAAATTAAAAGCCCTAGTATGCTTAGATATATTTTGAAAAGTTATGATGCCTAAATTCAGTTGACTTCTAAGAATAATAACTGTGATGAGCATACGGAGTAAGGAAATGCAGTTAGTTATATTTAATAAATACGATTTTATTGCAATAGTTACTAATAATGCTCACCTAATCTGTAATCCAGGTAGAGTGAAGTGGGGTCATTAGAATGTGGTAATGTGAATGCTGTGCCTTCAGGTCTGTAGGGTGCACACACACACACACACACACACACACCAGCTACAAATAGCCATTGAGTCTATTCCCACTTCTTATGGAGATGAAGTATAAAGCTGTAGTCAGAGTCTGATTCCTCATTTTTTATGAGTGTTGGAGTAAAAAGCAGTATGTCATAGTGGAAAACTCTTCTACTAAGAATCCAGACCTTAGTTCTATCCCCAGCTGAACCTTATAAACAATACAAAGTCTATTTATTCAATCATGACATGAGAGATTCTGATATGATGGTTTCAGGCCTCATTCTACAAGCACACTTCTAAGACCAAGAGCTATAATTCTACTTCAAGTGACAATTGTCCACAAGCCCATGGCATGGGGTGCTTTCTAAGATTGTTGGGTCAGCAGGAGGCCTGCTGAGAACCCTGGAACCAGCTCCTGGTCAGGGTGTGGTTGGACGGAGCTGTGACAGTGCAGTGATAATATTAACCTGATAGGGTGGGGTGGGAAAGGTCCTGTGAATGCTGGGATCTTGGCTTACTCTTCTCACCTGGGCCCTGGAGTGTGTCCAACCACGAGATTTCAACCTCAATGGGAATGACTACGCCTATTCTGATACACATACGTATTTTTATTTGGCAGCTCAAGATTCTTTGGAGAGAGGGCATACACATTTTATTTATAGCCAGGTCTCTTGATTCCTGACCAGTCTATATGTTTTATATTAAATAAAATTTTATTAAATAAAAATCCTGAGGAAGAACTGAATCTAACATTTGAGTAATGGTGCCCTGGCCATTTCTGTACTTTCTTTTCTTTTTATTCTTTTTTGTTGTTGTTGTCGTTGTTGTTCTCTTTAAGGGCATCTGTGCTTATATCAGTCTTAATCCACTGTAAGACTTTGAGTCACCTGCCTTAAAAAGCCATCAAACCATTCTCCGAAAGCTGAAATTCATCCTCTTCTCAAGTCACCACCTTCTCTAGAAAGATAATATATTTAATCCAGCAAATATGTTTCAGTTTTTCTTATTTAGGCAATAAACATTTCCGAAGACCTATTACGTGCCAGCCCTAAGCCATAGAGGCACTAAAGATAAGGAAGGTATGCACCATTCCCTCTGGTGGCTCCCAGTCTAGTGGAATCAATCCCCCAACAAAACCTGCCCTGAAACAGAGGGCTGCCTAGGGGAGCCCAGAGCCTGCAGACAGCCCAGCCCTCACTAAGGAGAGGTGAGGAGTCTACAAAACACTGCGACAAGTGAAAGGGAAGGAAGGCATTCTGGACAAAGAGGTGTGATTATGTGGGTGGGATGAACTGGAACACAGGAAGTGGGTGTGATAGGAACTGTGAGCAGAGAGTCTCATAGCAAATCAACATGGCTCTTCTCCTCTAGAAAGCAAGTGATAGCATGAAATAAATACATTTGTATATTGTAGGCTCCCCAGAAATACACTTTTGGAGGAGTTCTGAATATCCTGATAGTAATTTTTAAAAGCCACCTGTATTAGGGTGCTCCAGAGAAACAAAACCAACTGGATGGATGGATAGATGATCTATGTATCTGTCTGTCTATCTATCTACCTATCTATCTATCTATCTATCTATCTATATATATATCTATCTATCTATCTTCTATCTATCAAAAGAGATTCAGTATAAGGAATTGGCTGACATGATTATGGATACTGAGATGTCCCAAGACCTGCAGTTAGCAAGCTGGAGAGCCAGGAGAACCGATGGTGTAGTTCCAGACCGAAAGCTGGCAAGTTTGAGGTCCAACAAGAGCCAATGTTATTTCAAGTCATGCCCCAAAACAGTGAAAGACTGATGTCTCACCTCAACAGTGAGTCAGGAGGAATTCATTTACTCTAGTCAGTCCTTACTGTTCTAGTCAAGCCTTCAACTAATTGGCTGAGGCCCACCCACCTTGGGGAGAGCAATCTGCTTTACCCAGTCTGTCAATTCACATGTTATTCTCGCTCAGAAACACCCTCATGGACACACCCAGAAGAATGTTTGACCAAATACCTGGGCAGCCCATGGCCTAGTCAAGTTGACCTATAGAATTAACCATAATTCCCTCTCTCAGTTTTCTGCCAGGCCAAATACTAGGTTGACAGCTCCTCACGACACTTAAAAAAATTCTCACAATACCACAAATTCTGGATAATATACCTGCAGCCTCAACCTCCCAGGCTCAAGCAGTCCTCCCACCTTAGCCTCCCAAGTAGCTGGGACCACAGACATGTGCCACCACATTGGGCTAAGTGTCATTGAGATAATGTCATCACTCTGCTTTGATAATTTTTTGATGTTATTTTCAGAATTGATAGCTAACTTATCATTATGATTCAGAATATATTGATATGCTCTGGTGGTGAAGTGCATGGGTGGCTAAAAAGCCAGGGGTCCTGGGTTTGCATCCCAGCCCTACCTCTCACAAGCTATGTAGCTTGAAGCATCTAGCTTAACTTATCTGTGCCTTTGTATCTTCTTTCGTAAAATGTAGGTAATAATAATACCTAACTCTTGGTTTTGTGATGCTTAAATCAGTTAATACATGTAAAGATACAGGTGGCAGGAACATAAAATATACTTAAAAATATAGTTATAATGCCGATAGCCACAAGTCTTTTATGGTAAAATGCTGTTTTAGTCTTGGCTCAATATTACCTAAGTGTTGGTACTTCTTGAGGAAAGAGACTTCATCAAGAGCAGTAACACTGAATGTACTCAATTAGCGTACATGTTGGATAGACTCAACCCAAAACTTCAAAGCCTTTAGCTGGCTTGAGAACAACACCAGATTTAGAAAATGAGTTAGAGAAGATGAAATAGAAAGTAACACATTTATAGAATATGCACAAGCAGTGGAGTATTTGGTTCACTCCACTTCTTCGGTTTAGTTTGTTACAGTCAGAGAAACTGTCCATATTTTAAACGGTTCCTTGGCACCTTAACATGAAAACCATTTGCAAACAAACCAGTGTACTCCAACAGTGGGTGGAGATGAAGAAATGCACAGTGAGGCTCTTTGTTAGGTCTTGAGTTGTTAGGAGTAACAGGCAGATTGGTTGGGGCTGGCCTATCTTTGTGTTGAAAAGAATTCACCTGTTCAGCTGGGCATGGTGGCTCATGCCTGCAATCCCAGCACTTTGGGAGGCTGAGGCAGGCTTTGGGAGGCTGAGGTCAAGAGTTCAAGACCCTGCCTCTACTAAAAATACAAAAATTAGCTGGGCATGGTGGTGGGCACCTGTAGTCCCAGCTACTCAGGAGGCTGAGGCAGGAGAATCACTTGAACCTGGGAGGCGGAGATTGCAGTGAGCTGCGATCGCGCCATTTCACTCAGCCTGGGTGACAGAGTGAAACTCCATCTCAAAAAAAAAAAAAAGAGTTCACCTGTTCAATGGAAAAGCAACCTGGGGTAAGTCACTTAACTCCGGGTTCATGAGCCAGTTGACAGAGCAACCAAAACACCCAGCTTTTCTTTTTCCACTTGTACTATTTTTTATTTGCTCTAACAACCACATCTTTCAGTAAGTAATTTCATTCTGTTTAGATAAGTTGTTCACATAATGTGAAATATATTTTTAGGGTGATGTGCGAAGAAATCCTTTGATTCTCTGAGCTTAGTCTCGTGAGTGCTTCCATGTCTTTAGGGAGGTCTTTATTTACAGCTTATGTTGACGTGAATTTTCAGGGCACCCACTCTGGCAATTACAGTTTAGAGGCTGTGAGCGACCCTCATGTTGGTATAACCTTCTGCTAGCAGTTCATAGGTGGTGGAATGAGATGTCTATAGTACAATATTTTTTATGTTCTTATATAACACCATTTTTTCATAGTATATGAAGTATGTCCATAATACCATGGTTTGCACCACTATCAATAACACTATTCTGTTTCAAAAATAATAATTCAGACTTCCAATTCCCCATGTCTGAAGTTAGTCCACCAATGAAAGTATATTCAGACCCAGCTCTGTGAAGTTATTGTGTTCATCCATTTGATTATTACCTTGGAAAAATTCTTCCTCTAACTAAAAGAGAAATGCTTTGCTCATCTATCAAGTGACTAAAAATAGCTGAGGATTAAGTCTGAGTAGAGTGATGACTACTTGCAAAACCCCAAATACTGAAAAGTATTTTGTTGTTGTTATTGTTGTTGTTGCTTGAACTATTTGAGAGTTCTCCAATTGTGCTGCCCCTGCGAATTTCTTTCTTTCATCCTTTTCCTAACTTGAAAATTTGCGTATGAATTTCTATGCATTTTTAATACATAAATTCGATATCTGAAATATTTCAAAAAGGAGTATTTCATTGTGCCTGTGTATTTTTATTGTTATTATCATTCTTAGCCATGGTTGTAGTGACACATGCTCTTTTCAAATATTATTATAAAGTTAAATTTTTCTTAATCAGAAGGCTATTATGATGATGCCAGTTTTAGTCTATTATGAAAACTCTGCACTTTTTCTTTTTTGAGAGCTAAACTCAGAATGCACCGAGCTGTGCCTTCGTGTATTTTTCGTTATTCTTTTCTTTCAGAAATCATGCCATTCATTTAATACTTCATTACAACTGAACTGCAATATGTATACATGGCGTGCAAAATGAGCCATTTTGTTTTAAAACAGATTGCAGATGAAAGGAAACCATTCATTTCTTGCTTGCTTGCTGTAATTACTAGAGCACTAATTACTCCAAATCACTGACATCCAGGGTCAGTAAGGATGACAACAGAAACATCAAAGATGTGGCTCGCTTGCTGTGACAGATTTTCCATAGTCCCAGCCGCAGTATTTTTTATGGCTACTGTTTTCCAGTTTGATGGTTAAAAAACAAAACAAAACAAATAAAAACCAAACATACCCGCAGTCAAGATTGCTGAATGTTTACTATTATTTCATTCGCAGTTTGACGGTGAGAACATGTATATGAGCATGACAGAGCCGAGCCAGGACTATGTGCCAGCCAGCCAGGTGGGTTAATTAATCTTCTCTGCCTTGTTTCAAATTGTAATTAAACAAATTCAAAGAGTTGCATTGCAAATGAGTAGCACTATCAGTAACTGCCGCAATCAGGAATAATCATAATTTATAAACAAAGCATTTAAGCCTTGTTTCCAGTTAATGAGATAGAGCTGATAAAACGCCAGAGTTGGCATTTGTTGAAAGATACTACCTTGTTTCCTCTCCAGAACGTCAGGCAGCTGTTTTGCCAGCATGATCTTTCCTAAACAGTTGTTTTACCTTTAGGAAATAAAGTCTTTACAGGTGCAGGATATTTGTGCTTCTGACTGTAGATGATTTAATCATTATAAGCTACACGTGTCACAAATAGCTTTAATTATCAATGGTTGGGGCCATTTTCAACAAAACGTAACGTTCGTAACCCAAATCCCATGGCCGGTGGGGCTAGAAGGCTGCTTTCACGGTCTCCTGGGGAGGTAAGGAGTGGGGGCTGGGGAGGAGCTTTCAGGCCAAAAAACATGATATGATTGAAACCTTTCAAGGGCACCTTTGTATACATTTCACTGGGAATAGTTGACAAGGTATTTAATCATGAGAAATGACAACAAAAGTCCAATGAGAATGTAAATGGTTACACTTATAAAAGTAAATGTTTGACTATTTATTTTTAGATACTTAAGTCCAGGTCCTTTAATTCAGCAGAACATTTAAAGCCAAATTATAACTGCCCTTGGATACCAGTATAACGTAAAATATAAGAACATTGTAAGCAAAAATAAATAAACGAATAAGTGAAAGCAAGGAACAGTTCACAGGGGCATTTTGTTGACACAAACTTGTTTTTTCTAGAATGGTAAAAACCATGGTAGATTGGAATTTCATATGTTAGTAATTCTAAAATAACCTCTTAGTAATGTTCAATGCCTACATATCCACACATATAGATTTAATAACTGGGAGTGGTTGGGGAATGGGGTTGGGAGGGAGCATAAAACTTCTTTTTCTTCATTAAGGTTGTCAGTGAATTAAATCTAATGTATATGTTAAGGATGCACTCTGTGACCAAAATGTCTCATACTTAACTCAAAACAGAGGCAGGCCTGCATCTCCCTGAACTTTGCATTTAGAAGTCATTAGGATTACTGCCTTCTCTGGCAGATATTCTGGAAACTACACAGTATTGTTCAGCTGAAAAGGTCATCATGAAGTTCAAAGATCCTGACTACATTGCCTTCCATTCAACTGAGCTGTTCACTCTAAGAATACTTTTGGAAGGCTGAGCTTTGCATTTAGAATTCTTCCTTAACTGAATTCATTTGGCTAAGTAGCCTCCAAGATCCATAGGTAGTTCTGAACAGGACTGTTTGATTAAAAAATGAAAAATGTTACTATTAATTTTCTTCTAACCATCAATCCCAAAACTGTACTGACAAGTTTAGTATTACTATTAGATTAAAGCAACCTGGTATCATCTCTTTGGTGCCTTTAGGGTTTTGAAGTGTAAGGGCTAATTGAATTTGTTTGAAACAGTAGAAACACAAACTCAATAAATGATGGCTGTTATAAAGCAGCTGCTCCCTCTTAGAGAATCATTATGTCCGTCTTAAAGAGTTTTGGATAAAGGATTGGAAATTCAGAACATATACATCATAATGACTTGGCTCCTTAGATTTTAAAATTCAAGTACAATGCATAATATTAAGCCCTTACTGAAATCAAACAACTAACATTGTTTTTCTTCATATGTCAGTCAGGAGTTACTAAGAATGTTTTGGATACCAGTGATAATTTGTAAAGAAGAGCCCCAAATACTTTTGTGCTTTATAAAGATAGGGCAGGCTTGTGATCCAGAAATAAACACTTAAAAAAATAGTGTAGCATATATGAAAATGTTTTTAGAATGTGCTGTTTTAAAATTTAGACTAGTGTAAGATAATACATACTCTGGAGAAAAATAAACTTCACAAATTACATAAGTTGAATGGCCTTAGCTAAATTTTACACTTAACATTCCTTTTGTTTACTGTAATAGTGTGTGTTCAAGAATTCATTACCTGGTATTCTTTTAGGGAATTTTAATCAATTTACCCCTTTAGGCAACCATAAATAAGATTTTAGTCATCCTGCAGGGAAAAAAAAAATAGTTTTTTCCTTTTCCTACATAACATCAAACATCTGCATAGTTTAGTAATCCAAGACAACTTGCCTCATAGCATCACTCAACAATTATAATTCCTGTTCAATTTTCAAATCAGTACATGCTTTGGGACTTATAGACTAAGTTGCTAAGTAGCAACATATGGCGCACTACTGCTCCTGTGATGTTGCTGCAAGCAAATAGCATAATTCTAAACTTGAAATGATTTTTATAGAAAGCCAATGCTGGAACTGCTCCAGAAATGGAAGTACACTGTAAAAATTAATGATATTCTTTTAGACAGTCCCAAAGGGCTCTTTGGCACTATCTACTGCATGCATTCTCTACCTCTTAAGCTAGAGTATACAAATCCTTAAAATTTTTTGCATATAGTTTTGTAACTGATAGGCAGCTTTTAAATTGAATATACCACCTTATAATAAGCCTGACAAGTATATAATAAAAACTCATAAGATTTCCATTTTACTCTGGCACCATTCTTGGAATATTGACTGTTTTCTCCTATACTAGCTATAAGTGTGCTGGTCACTCAGTGCTTTAATTGAAACATCATTTAACTTTTTTCTTACTGTGGTTAGAATTGGAACCAGCAATTCAAGATTTCTTTGTGTTTCCAAACCCTGGCTAAAGGCACCTTGTTGCTTAATGCCTCCTGAACTTTGTCCCGTTAAGAGTTTGTGGGAGAAAGTGAGTGGGCTACTGAAAGGAAGCCAGATGAGCAGCTGGTCAGAAACCCACTTCTTTGCCATTCTGAACTTGTCATGTTTGATTGAGGTGACAATATCTAGACCAGAAGGATACAAAGTAGTGATATGTAGGATGAACAAGTCTAGAGATGTAACTTGCAACATGAGGACTATAGTTAATAATACAGTATTTAGGGCTGGGCGTGGTGGCTCATGCCTGTAATCCCAGCACTTTGGGAGGCTGAGGCCGAGAATCACTTGAGGTCAGGTTTGAGACCAACCTGGCCAACATGGCGAAACCCTGTCTCTACTAAAAATACAAAAATTAGCCAGGCATGGTGGTGTGTGCCTGTAATCCCAGCCACTCCAGAGTCTCCACTCCGGAGGCTGAGGCAGGAGAATCGCTTGAACCCACGAGGTGGAGGTTGCAGTGAGTTGAGATCGCACCACTGTACTTTAGCCTGGGCAACAGAGCAAGATTATATCTCAAAATAATAATAATAATATAGTATTTGGGATGTTTGCTAAGTGAGTACATTTTAGCTGTTCTTGCCACACACACACAAAATAGGTAACTGCAAGATGACGGATATGTTAATTTGCTTCACTATATTAACTGTTTTATTATCTATATGTATATCATAACATGTTGTACACCCTAAATCTATACAATAAAATGTATCTTATAAAATATCTGGACGAATATGCCAGCAGGCAGAACAAAACAGAGGGGCATTGGGCTTCCCACCTCAGCCCTGACTTTTCTCCAGAATTTTCTCAGCCCACTCAGATACGCATGCTATGGGGTTCTCTTATCTCCCGATAAAACTTCAGCCCCCTTCTCCAGCTCCTAGAATAATTGTAGTACCTTTCATAGTCCTTTATATGAGGCTGTTGTTAAGATATAAATGTTCATCTAAATTAAATACGTCAAAAGAAGCAGAAGTCTAGTTCTCTTCTTCAGAACTTTCTACAGCACTAGGTTATTTTATTTGATTTTTCAGTTTTGAAGATGTGCCATGGCTTTCCCCCATTCTTTCCTCTTCTGTGTCAGTTTCAAGAATGTCCTCTTCTGCCGGGCGTGGTTGCTCATGCCTGTAATCCCAGCACTTTGGGAGGCCGAAGTGGGCGGATCACCTGAGGTCAGGAGTTCGAGACCAGCCTGGCCAACATAGCAAAGCCCCATCTCTACTAAAAATACAAAAATTAGCTGGGCATGGTGGAGTGCACCTGTAATCCCAGCTACTCGGGAGGCTGAGGCAGGAGAATTGCTTGAACCCAGGAGGTGGAGGTTGCAGTGAGCCAAGATCACGCCACTGCACTCCAGCCAAGGTGACAGAAGGAGACTCTGTCTCAAAAAAAAAAAAAAAAAAAAGTGTCCTTTTCCACGGCTGCCTGTTTGTTCATTCTGTGTTTTCCACCAGTGCCCTGGACTCAGGGACTCAGCTCTTCACATGCCTGCCTCAGTTGAAGTACTGTATGAAAAGATAAAGAAGGACTGGTCTTTTTAATACAAGAAATAATCCTTTCATATTAAGGAAGAATGAGAAGATTTTCCTGGCATCAGGTTATGGAAAAGCTCAGGTTACTTGATTGAACTAGATTTTTAATAAATCACTTCCTCTTGGACCTTGGACTTTACTCTGCTAAACCATTTCCTTCTGTTTGGTTCCCCTGCCTTGCTTCCTTCATTCCCTCCCTCCTTCCCCACCACCTTCCTGCTTTTATTCCTTTCTTCCTTCTTCTTTCCGTGAACGGTTATCCCTTAAGCTTGAACTATTTTTTGTTGTTCATTATGAGCATTATAGTAAACCCTAAATATTAAATATCCTGGCCCGAGATCATATTTTAGAGGATTCTGAGATTGTGAGCAGTTTTCTCTCTCCCGACCCCCAGCACCCTCTGGAATTCTGTCTCTTTCTTACTTGATCCCTCAAATCTCAAGATTAAAAATAAGAATGATAAAATATAGCAATATTATGTTTTCCTGGAATCAGTTACAACTAAGCATTTGACATACAGTTCCTAAAGTACATTTTGAATATAAAATTGAAGAGCATGTATATATCCAGGACAGCTTTCATGTGAATTTAAGGTTTGATTTCTACCTCCACTGGGCCCCTGTTGCTGATAGCAGCTCAAATTCAACATATTAGTTCATCAAACCACAACTCATCACCTCCCACCTGCTTCCTCACCCACTATCTTCTCTTTTTTCTTTATGGCTTATAATCAGAAGTGTTAACACCACCTGTTCAAACACCCAAAACAGAGACTTGGGGAGTCTCCCTTGTCATTCTGCCTTTGGTTAATTCCAAATAGTGTTGATTCTACTTTTTGGCCTAACTCTTGAGTCCAGAGAGTGTTGATTCTACTTTTTGGCCTAACTCTTGAGTACATCTCCTCTTTTCCAGCTACACAATTTCTGCCTTTGTTATAGGACTCACAGTTTCTCATGAACTCATCTTACCTTCTCTCATTTCCTTTTCCTCATCTTTGCTGCCTCACCATTGTCTACAAGGCTGCTTTATCATGGTGTGTATTTGTCCCTGGGTGGCACATGGCACACTGACATCACCAGGAATGTCCTTGTCTTGCTCACCTGATTGTGAGCTCTTGAAGGTAGGACTCATTCTTGTTTCTGTCTGGCTCTCCTGTGCCTGGAATAATGTCTGACATATCAGAGGTATGCTGCATTGTTTGTTGAAAGATAAGCAAATCAACTAAAATATTTTATGTACATTTTTTAATCACATGAATACTTAGAGTCTTCCATTGCAACGATTCAATTCTTGACCCTGCATTGCAGACATTTAGCAAATCCAGCCCTGCCCTGTCCATTGCAGTAGGAACCTTTATCTTTGTGTCAGTGCCCTTATATATTAACAGAAGGTTATAGCACTCCCTCCTCCTTGGAGAATTATTTCAAGTACAAGACTCAAAGAGTTAACATGATAATAAACTAGATAATGACAGTCAATGCTTATTACAATAACATCATGCTGTTGTTTATCATCAGCAATGCAATGGTATTGGAAACAGTAGTGTGCTCCAAATTTCTTTTTGTACAATATTCTCTCAAATCTACTGTTAGAATTATGTTTTAAGATTTACAAAGAAATTAATGACTCTCTATTTGTTTAATTTCATGTTTTCCTAACGAGAAAATTCTCCAGGTTAGAGTATAAATGAGGTATGACAAAAAGGGCCTAGAAAGTATATTTTTAGAATACTTTCAAAAAAAAAAGGTATCTTTACTGTGGGCCATAACGTCTCCATGTTGATTGTGACATAAATTTGAACTGTAAATTAAACCAATTCCTTTTGGATTAGTTCCTTTTGGCAGAAATTTCAGAAGTAACATTAACTTGACTTTTTGACCATTGACCCAATAGAATGATAAAGCTGCCATGCTCTGAGTAATCGAGTTAGCCCAACAAAGTCTGGCATCTTAACAAGCCCAGACTAGTTACTCAAACCAGTCTTCAGTGTAACATTCAAATGATTACTCTGTGCAGTCCCGGAGGTATTCATTACAGACAAAATTGCTCTTGTTGCCTTGCATACAAGCTGAGTTTTCAATGGGAAATGAAAGGATGCCTGGAAAAATAGGCCACCTAATTAAGTTAAACTACTCTAGCATTTGGCTTGACATCTTCATTACTCAAAATTAAAAAGATGCTTCACTTGAGCACACAAGTTACTATTGTTTATGTTGTTTTCTTCCTAAATTGGCTTCTTACATGGAAGTCTGTTTTTCAGCATTATATCTTGAAATAGCTCACATATTTCTTACAGTTTATAAAAATGTCTTAAGAGCTGTATGGATACTGAATACAGGCACCATACAAATATATATCTTAGGGCTTGGGATAGTCAAACACACATTGGCCTTTCTGCTTATTTTGTTGGCCAACCACATTGATGTTGTTGAACTTTAGGTAATTCTTGACCCATCCAGCCTTTATTATTATTATTTATTATTATTATTTTAGTTGGGTATTGACTCCATTAGCTAAAATGATCATCTACATGAAAATATGAATTCCTAAAAAAAAAGTAAATAGGCCATAATATTTAAACTGAAATTCATTTGTCCAGGAAAAGTGTTTTATATCAACCTCGCCAGCGGATGAGCTATTTTAGGAACATTTTAAAACATAAACACATGTAGAGCACACCATCTACTGATTGCCAGTTTCTACTCATTGACACTAATGAGGCTGCTGATGGGTTAAATGTTGTGTATCATATACATTTCCAAGCTGTGGGATTTGTGAATATAAGGTTCATTTTTTATTTGTTTCTGGGTAGGTGTGAGAATTTTAGAATAAATGTCAAATAGTATGTTTTGTCAAGTATTAGGGAAATGTATTTCAGTGACAAAAATCATGAAAATATCTGAATGGAATAGCATTAGTGGTAAAAACAGATTCTCAAAACCTTGCACTCCATATGGAGCATGGTTTATTCAATAGACAGATGTCAAGTGATGCCAGCATATTTAGGCATTGGAGGGAGGAGTTGTAGCACTACTGCAGTCTGACCAGTTGTGTGGTAGCATTTGATAAATTTTGAAAGCAGCCATTTGGCTTGTTTACAATTATATTTTGAACTATTTTCTTCTTTAGCATGTGAACAATTATTAAAAACTAAATGATCCTTCCTGTTAAATTTTGCAATTATAACATGTTGTATTCTTTTCTGGTAGCGCATAATAAACCTGTCACTAAAGAATGCCCTCCAAAATAAGTATAATACTTCAATTTAAGAATAGTAATGTGTTGAATAATGTCACCTGTCTATGCTAGTTCCATTTCCAAGGTGCTTAAAGATTGTTCTAAAGAAACACTAAATTTTCAATATGTCATTATGTTAAGTAGAAGCAGTTTTGCCCATTTTTACTATAAAAAACAGTGGGGCTTAGAAAAGCTAAGGTGTTTTCCACCTACCCCAGTGTCTTCTGAGACCTCCTCCTGTGTATCCTCACCTGCCACTTCAAACACCTTTAAAAAAGTGCCAAGTTTCCCTCTGCAGTTTCAGTTCCTCAGTTTGGGAGCAGACCTAGCTAGACTTCCCAGAAACACAAAGAGGGTTTTAGTGTAATCTTCGTCCATATCTGTATTTTTTCTTTCTCCTGTGTTCTTTCTGATCTATATTATTTTACAGTTTGAGTGTTTAAAAATGTAACTATAACCCTAATGATTTGAAATTAATTGGTGGCTATCTTAGAAAATGTTCTCCCTACATCCTTTGCTGTTCTTAAATTAGGATATTTGATGCTGTCAGTAGCAAAGCCAAACAAGTGACTTCCAAGGCCCAGCATCAGATTATTCAAATGTGATAGCCTGATCTGAAATTCCCAAGGGTTCCGATGGTCATGATTTAAGACCAGTAACGAAGGCTTTCCTGTTTGCAACTGGGCCTCCCAGCATTTCAGGGGAGGCCTTCCTTCAAGAAGAGCTAAGCCTACTGTTTGTTGTTGTTCTCCAAAATCACAAAGAGAGTAACCTTGGAGGAAATGGGAGTGGGGGAAAATAGGGATGCCAGGTGAGACCGGGTCAACAGAAATTGCCTTCAAGGAAGCCTGGACTTCCCTGTACTATGGGTGCAAAGTTTTTTTTTTATTTCTTGTGCTCTGACCTCAATGAAACTTCTTGCTTTGAAAGATGATGATAAATTTCAGTAGTAGGAAGCTTCTTCTTGCCTGGAAGTTTAGGTCAGTACCCTCCTCCCCCAGTGTCCTGAAATAATTAGATTTATAATAATAATAGCTCTCAGTTGGAAGCTACCTGTTTCTGACAAGGAACTAAACAAAATCTATGCACTTATTTTTTCATTTGATCCTTACAACAATTCAGTGAGGATTAGAGAGGTAGAGTGACTTAACCAGACCTCAAAAAGATAGTAAATATTAGAGCTAGGATTCTGACCTTGGAAGGTCTAAGGCTTCTGTCAAACTCCATCCTTGGTCAGCTAGGCTTAATTTTATTTTAGAACTTTAAGGACAAAATGTTGACATACTTCAATTCTAGAGTATTGAGATAACGGCAATGTGTTACGTGTGTGAGAATACTCTGGGAAATATTAGCTTACGCCAAATGAAATCATGGCTATTTTACCATTTCTTAGTTACAAAGCAGTAATTTCATACTTGTGCACATATAAAAGCTGAACAATCACACAGTGGATATTTGCTGTCCCTGGATTCCTTGATGCAGAGCAGTGATTCCTCCCTCCCCTTGTCAGCCAGCTTTTGCCATGCCTGCACCACCGCTGCCCAGTCCTTTCCCTCCACACTCCACTACTTTTCTTGTCCAAGTCCAGGACTCTTTTCCCACCCAAGTTCTCTTCCTTTTCCCCTCCAGAAGATAAACTACAGGAAGTCTTTCCACAGAAGACATCTCACCCTCCCTCCACTCTTTCCTAGAAATCCCACTTCTGGGGAACTGAACATCGAGGGTTCTTATCGTCATTAAACTGGGGGAAATTGTCTTCATTTTTTCAACTATTTTTTTCCACATCCCTATCTTCAGCATAAGCTTTCTTTGTAGGAAAGATCTAGCAAGTGAGATGACCTCCAGTATTTAGAGAGATGCACTTACAATTCTTCCCTGGGAGTAGGATTGCATATCAGCATGTGATGAGTAGAAATGGGAGCTTCTTTTTCTCTTTTCTGGACCCCTTGATTGAGGAGGCAAACCAAGAGCACAGGCTTTCTGTTAGCTCTGGTCCTCCGCTAATTTGGCTTCTTTATGCAGAATGTGAGTTTGCACCCAGCATTTGTTGATTTCTACTCAAGAGACAAAATAAAAATGATTGGCCATAAATAGACACGTACAGCATGTATTTTTATATGTATATATGAACTATACACATGTAATTGTATATTACACGTGTATATGAACTATACACATGTAATTGTATATTACACGTGTATATGAACTATACACATGTAATTGTATATTACACGTGTATATGAACTATACACATGTAATTGTATATTACACGTGTATATGAACTATACACATGTAATTGTATATTACACGTGTATATGAACTATACACATGTAATTGTATATTACACGTGTATATGAACTATACACATGTAATTGTATATTACACGTGTATATGAACTATACACATGTAATTGTATATTACACGTGTATATGAACTATACACATGTAATTGTATATTACACGTGTATATGAACTATACACATGTAATTGTATATTATATGTGTATATGAAATATACACATATAAAAATATATATATTTTATATACATATAGAAAGAGCCCAACACTGAATGCTCAACTCCATGCTGGTTGCCTGCATATGGCTTAGCAAATAGAACCTAGCCATAAGCAAAAATCAATTTAACACATTTCTTTTAAAAAATAAAAATTTATTAAAACTTAAAGGCTGCACATGATTTAAAATAGTATATTAAAACCTAATAAATTGCAATCAATTGTTAACAGTAAAAAATATCTATTTAATTTTTTTTGGGATTCTCATCTGCCCAACTAGTTCTATAAATGCAGGCAAATAATTTAACCTCTCTGGACCTCATTTTTCTCATATGCAAAGTTCAGGGACGATTTCTTAGGTTTCTTCTTGAGCAAGCATTCTATGATTCCATTTGAGCATAAGTAGAGAACTATAGAATGTTATCCTAAGGAAATAAGTGGATTAAGTTATTTGTCATGGTGTGGTTTGCAACAGCAATATCCGAAACATCCTAAATGTTCAAAATAGAGAACTGATAGAATAAATGAAAGAACATGAATGCAATGCAATATGCAACCATTTAAACACTAATGTTGATAATATTTATTGGCATGGAAAATTATTCACAGTCCATTTTAAGTCATCACATTAAGTGATAATAAAAATATAGCTAACATTTATTGATTGCTTCTTTGAACCAGTGTATTACTCAAAGTATTTACATGATCTCATTTGTCTTATTTAATCCTGATATATCCTTAATGAATTGGAGACTATCATCATCCCTATTTTATAGCTTTGGAAACTGAGGCTTAGAGAAATTAAGTAAATACATCTACTAAGGGATGAGCTGAGATCTGTATTCAGCATTTCCAGCTCCAAAATCCAAGCTCAATTATCTGACTTTTGTTATGGAAAACAAAAACAAAAGCTCAAAACCAACTAGCAAATATGCACTAAAAAGAATCTCGAAAGACACACATTTTAATGTTTTGCTCCTGAGTGGTTGGATTAAAGGTGATTTTTTTTTCCTATGTATATTTTCTAATTTTTTTAAGCTAGTTAACATGGGTTATTTATAAAATAAAGCCAAAAAATATAGAACTGGATCTCAGAATGTACGAACTCAATATGAGAATTGAAAAAGTCTAGATGACTAAAAAAAATAGATTGCATTATGTATAAAATTATATGCTGAATGATGAAATTAAATACTTCAGTTACCCCTTTAAACATTGAATATGGAAGATGATCTAGCACTAAAAAACATGTCCTGACTAACTTTCAGAAGTGGCTCCTTTCACTTGAATCTGGTCTCTCTAATGATTTGTTTATGGTTTGGAGGGGGAGTACATTATTTGTTTTCCAAAAGCTTGGGGATTTTTTTAGCCAAAGGAGAGGCCCTTATTTATGACAATTACGTACAATGCCTGGTATGAAAATTCCCCCTAAAAATACTGCTTGGAGACTTATGTAGACCCCCAAGCAATACTGAGAGGAGACAAATCCCTTCCCCATTCTGGTATCATTAATGAATTATGGCGGGAGAAAGCCCTGCATGTAAACACTAAGGACTTTCCTGGAAGTATGTGGAGAGAGAGGCAGATAGTATTAGGGCTACCCTGCCCCACCCTCATTTGATCTGCTTCAGGTGCTTAGCCCAGGGTTCCAGTAATCCCTGAATCCTCAAAGCCTCAGCTGGCAAACCCTGACCTCAGGGTCCCCCAGCCCAGGTCCCAGGAAGAGCCAGTGTCAGACATTCTCTGGGGCAGGTTCAAGTTGACCTCGTGTTCTGGTGTCACTCCGGCTTTGCACACTGGCTTTTCATAAGTGAAATTTTACCTTACTCCCCAGTTCCAGAAGAGGCCTGCATTGAGCCTAGTAGCCTGAAGTTTGCTTTGATTGGTGGGACCAGTCTTGCCCTTGACCTTATCTTAGAGGTTGAAGGCCTGACCTTGCTGTTGAACCTGCATGCTATTGCCTGGACAGCAGCCTGGACAGTAGCCTGGACTTGCTCATTTGTCAGTTTTGTGGTCCTCCCCTGATCACTTATCGCATCTTGGCAGAAGTGTCTGATCTTTAGGCCCTGATATCAGTGTAAATCTGCTTATAGCAATCCCTTGATCATCCCAGCTTCAAGTAATTCTTTTTGTTTACACTCTGATATCACTTAGTTTGACACTTCAAATATACTGTTCTTTATTGAGAGCCTAAGTTCCCATTTCTCTCTTCTAATTCACTATCTTTATAACAAACTGTGTCTTTTTTTTCCTAGTATAGAGAGATTTTTATTGGACTTATGCAAATAACCATATCGCCATAAGAACACTCACAGTTTTTGAATTCTGGAGGAATTAAGTAATGTAATAAAACATTTTTATCTTTGTTTATAAAATTATACTTTACCAAATTGCTGTAAATTACATATAGCTGAAGAGAGAAAATTTTCTTAAATCTAGAAGACAAAACATTTGAATAAAGGACCAACAATATTTTAAATAAAAGTATAAAAACCTGATCTTGATCAGTTATTCAATCTCATATAATCAACTTTTGTTCTGCTTAATCTCTGAGTCATTTCATGACTCCATCAAATTCTTTATGAGAGTTCTAGAAATTTTATGTAGCCTATGGATCTTAAAATTATCTGAAATTTGTATTGAAGAGAACTTGGAGTCTTTCTCATGAATCTGATTGTAAATGTTTTTAGAGAAGAATAAAAAACAATAATGCTACATGACTAAAACTTAGAATAGCATGGTTAAAAAGCTGATGAAAGCTTACAATTGACAAATATTCAATTCTTTTTATTATATATAACATTTTAAGATAACCAGGTTTATGACTGACAACACACTGAATTTCTATAAATTTATATGATTTTTGAAACATGTACATCAACAAATACCCATAAATGCAACTAAAAGAAGATCTAGTATCACCTATAATTTGCCAGTGTTTCTTACGCAATTTTATAAATAAGCCTGATTCTTTAAATCTTTACAAAATGAGAGCTATATCTTTTGATGTTTTTCACAAACTGTGTCTTTCGGTTCTTTGTATCTCAGATCACTCTTTGCAGGATGCTTACACATAGTAGGTATATGACAATGCTTCTGTAACAAATGAGGCACTCATTGCTTTTTATTTAACACCAGTTAAAAAAATTAATGAGCACAAATAAATGTCATACTTTCTACCAAAAATTTCATTTTGATAACTGTTGCTTGAAAAATTAGTACATTGTGTGTTTTTAAATGAAGATGATTTATTGCTATTGTCTAAAGCATGAAGAAAGACAAAAAAATTGTTTGCAGGATCATTGGCTTGAGCATATATCAATGGCACTGTTGGACAATTCTTGCTGAGCGTTAAGATGATTTATGGAACAGACCGAAGCTTTCCACAGTAATACATTATAGTCCCAAGCTATCAACCCTTGTTCATGCAGAGACAAAAGAATCTGAAAAATACTTACTCCTGAAGGTCTTCTCAAAAGAAATCAGAGATTATATTGACACAATTTAAACTCTTTCAGGAAAAATCACCATTACATGTAATATCTTTACTTCTAAAAATGTACAGAGGAAGCTTATTATTTTTCTAATAAACTTCTCAGTTTAATTTGCTTTCCCTTCAGTTCTCTGAATCATGCAACAGGAATGTTTAATAATAGAAGATGAAACATGTTTAAACATTGGCATTCTTCTATCCTTAAGTTTCAGGAATTATGTTACAGATTAAAAATTAGTGCATTATGTATATGTTTGATGGCAGTACTATTTATTTATCTTTCAAATACAGTTCTATATGAGAAACATATTTGACAAAGTTATAACCATAGCCATATTTTTAGTGTATGCATGATTGCATGAATCCATCACATAATTTAAAGATACATACGAGATGATATCTTTTGAATTCTTCTGAGTTATGGGACTTCTTGTCACCAAAGATAAAGTGCTCTGTATAATGATTGCAATATGTGGACAGAGACTCACAAATACAATGCCTCTCTGGTAGAGAAACTAGATTTTGAAAAGAGAAGAAAAGGCAACGTTTAAAAGAGATTTCCCATTATTTATTCCTGGTTAGCATATATTAACACTCTCTCTGGGCCGTATGAAAACATGAATTCTCTGTAGTCAAAAGAAAAGTCAGCATAATTAACATTCCATTTCCAGATGTTGTCATATAGAATAAGAATATAGGAACTGGCTGTAGCAAAAGGAAATGTGGACTGCAGAAGAGAAAATAATGTAAACAGGATACTCAGATCATGGAACATGTAAAGCAGTATGATTAAAAAGGAATGTGAGTATGTCATTAAACAGGCAGGGGAAATGAGATCTCCCAGAATCAGGTGAGAAGTTTCCTTTTCTACTGAAATGGGAGTCTGGGAAGGTTGGACTTCAGGGAAGGACTTTGGCTTTAGTGAAATGGCTGAAAAGGCATCCAAGCAGATCAAACCAAAGCAAATCAGAAGGATCCACTATTACTTTCCCAATCTCAGTCTCTTGATTCCATTAATAGTCTCAAAAGTGAGCCTCTAATTAGCAATTTGACCTCCTTGCCAAGAATTGCCCAGAGAAGTTCGCTTTTCTAAGGACACAGCCAGTATGTTAGAAAGTATAGCTTTTGTACAAATTTAGACAGTGACATTCTGGTTCAGAAATTCATTCGCCTTTTAGTTGGGTTGGTAGGAGTTGAACTGTGAGAACCAGATCAGCCAGAGCTGCAGGCCCACCAGCAGAGCTCCCCGAAGGAGCAAAGTTGTTGGGCCTCTGCACATGCAGTAATTCTTGGCACCTTCCACTTCCTTTGCCACCCTGTTCCCCACCATCTTTTTATTCCTTAACTTAAAAAGTGCAATTTAATTCCGTTAGAATAAAGGTGAAGCCTTAACCTAGCTATTTATGGGGAGCAAATAAATAAATACATTAGGTATGAACGGGTTTACACTTTTCTCCACTATGAGGCCTAATCAATGGCAAATATACTGAAATTCCTTTATAATGACATTGTGGAGAATGGATCTAAATCTTCTGTACTGTCTACAGTTGTTTGTTTTGTTGGACATGACCCAACCCATGGCATGTATAAATCCGTTTAACAGTAACCGTAGCTATATAAAGCCATTGTTTATCCAGAACTTTGTATCTGGCAAACACATATTATTAGGCTTTTTACATATGTTTTTGTTTTTAATGCTTATAAGAACCCCGTGGTTTTTAAGCTTGCTGCAGAACCCAAATTAATATGTGGTTTAAAGGACTTGGAAGCAGACCTTGTCCATTGGGCTTCAAAGCCTCAATTCTTGGCAACATGCACAGTGGCCATTCTTAACAGTCACTGAAGAAGTCATGCGTATTCTCGCCTAGTCCAACATCTGTCTCCTTCTCATCAGAGAAAGATGTAGCACTTTATAAGCTAAATGTGCGATTACCAAATTTTAAGGTTTTAAGAAAATGACTTGAAATAGTAATTGACTCTCTATTATAGAACCATAGAAATACTCTTGAGGTTGGTAATATTTTGAAATTACTACTTTAATGCTCCCAACAGTTCCCTTGTGGGCTTGAAAAGTTCATCTATTTTCCAGAAT
Organism: Homo sapiens; assembly: GCF_000001405.40. NCBI lineage: Eukaryota > Metazoa > Chordata > Mammalia > Primates > Hominidae > Homo > Homo sapiens. The sequence continues at coordinate 58,944,271 of NC_000008.11, read as the reverse complement.
TAACCATGCCTCATGGTAGTTCACTCCACTCTAACCCACATTCAGTGGCGCTGGGATCCTGCTTCCCATCCGCAGAGTGATGCACAGTGCCTCTTGCGCTGGAACACAAGAGTCCTGTTGCGTAGCTCAGCACTAGCAACACCTCGCGACTCTCTTGTGTCTTGAACCAGGGAGTAGCTTAAGATCAGGGAGAAGCTGGTTAAGTAACAGTAATATAATTTTGAGTTCTTTGAATCATGTGCATCATTTAGACTGCCTCTGGTTTAGAACAAATCACTCTGTATGCTAATATGTTTCCAATTTACCTTGAGTTAATATGGTGAAGATTCAAGATAAAATTAAAAGTGTTGGCCTGATTTTCACCCTGTAGTCCCTAAATACTTTTTCTCCATTTGTGTAAGATGGTCATTGCTGACTTTCAGCATTGGTTGGGGAAGAGGGAGCTCGCATGGTTCATGCTGCTGTTCAGGTTCCAATCTCTGAACTGGGATGGGTACATGTCACTATAAAATGTGATGAAGAAGATGATACCACCTTTGAAAATCTATACCTGGCCTCCCTCAGCATTCTAGACTGGAACCCAGACTCATAGGACTTCCAAGGACATGTGATTCACTCCTTGGTGGCCTCTAATTTGTTTGTTTTTTTTTTTTTTTAGAAAAAAAAAAAAGTAGTCCTCTTGTCTCCTGGGCATCTGGGGATCATCTTGGAAAGGACCAAGTGATCTTTGTTCCCAAGAGAGTTGGAGAATGAATGATCTGTAAACTCCAGGCCTCACTGAGTCTTGAGGGAGGGAAATAAGCCCAAGTCAGAAAAGGAACCTGCTGGAATAAGTGGACATGTGTACCAGGTCCCCTGTATCACCCAGGCATGGCCTTCACATAAGCCTTCTCTGACAATTCAGCCCCTGATCTCATCACTCATATACCTTCTTGTGGTCTAATCAGGGCTTCTCTTCTGGCCAGGCATGGGCATCAGAACTGCTGCTGTGACTTCCTTCACGTGCCCCAGCAGTCACCCAAGGGGCCCTGATATCCTACCTGCCATGGGGGTTAGGCTCCATAGCTTCTGAGAGCCAGAGGGCCACAAACTCTCCTTTACGAATCCTCTGAAATCTCTGTGTCACTATGGGATAGGAGGTACCAGTCACTTCAGGGGATCAGAGCAGCAGTCAGAGAGGAATTATATTGGTCACTTTTGCATTGTAATAAAGGAATACCTGAGACTGGGTGATTTACAAAGAAAAGATGTTTAGGTGGCTCACAGTTCTGCAGGCTGTTACAAGCATCACACCAGCATCTGCTCAACTTCTGGTGAGGCTTCAGGAAACTTCTACTGGTGGTGGAAGGTGAAGGGGGAGCAGATGTGTTACATGGTGAGAGAAGAAGCAAGAGAGATGGGAGGAGGCACCAGTCTCTTTTTAACAATTGGATCTGTGTGAGCAAGCAAGAACTCACTCGTTACTTGGTGAGGAGGGAATAGGGAAAATATTGAATCATATTCTATTGTATAACATCCCCCAAAACTGCAAATTGTCTAAATTATAAAACTATTGTTAAGTTAAATGTATCTTTATTTTTTAAAAATCAAAATAAAGCTCTCATGTCATAGAAACCAATGATGAAGAATTAGCAAATTCATTTCCACATTAAAAAATAATAAGTAATTAGCCTGGCATTGAACTTGTTCTAAGTTCTGGGACATTTTGGCATTTATACAATTACCACTATACTTTTATATGGCATCAATTACACTGTAATAGGCTCATGGCAAATAAGCATATCATGATTTCTAATATAAAGAACAGAAACTACTAAGTAACCTTAGTAGTTAAAATTCTTGATCCACATAACTAGCTATTACCAGTTAAGTTGTGGAATCTGTGGTTTTGGTGTATAGTTGTCTGAATTAAATACATTAATGTGTAATTACATGAAAATAAACCATGTAGCTTAACTCAATTGCAATACAATTGTTATCACTGAATGTAAAGTGATACCAATTAAACCTTCTTTTAAACACCACAAATTAAGAATTAACTACTGAAGAAACCCTAGAGTGTAAAGTGGTGGTCTACTATAGGTGGATTATCCCTTAGTATTTTCAGAGATTTAATGGCATTCCTAAAATTAAAAACATCTTTCTCCATTATTGCTGGCATTAGTTGTGCCTTATTCAGGAGAATTTCTTTCTCTTTTCTCTTTTTTTTTTTTTTTTTGAGACAGAGTCTTGCTCTGTCACCCCACGCTGGAGTGTCGTGGCACGCTCTCAGCTCACCGCAACCTCCGCTTCCTGGGTTCAAGTAATTCTCCTGCCTCAGCCTCCCGAGTAGCTGGGACTACAGGCATGCGCCACCACACCCGGCTAATTTTTGTATTTTTAATAGAGATGGGGTTTCACCATATTGACCAGGCTGGTCTCAAACTCCTGACCTCAAGTGATCTGCCCACCTCAGCCTCCCAAAATGCTAGGATTACAGGTATGAGCCACCGCGCCCCGCCAGGAGAGTTTCAAACAGGCACTAATTAACTTCTTAAAAGATAGATGTCAACAATTCAGCATTTGCAGTGTTGACAGACAAATTATGAAATCTATGTTCATATAATTTCAGTGGGTGGGCAACGGGGTGGAATTTGGGAAAGGAAAGGCCTGATATTAATGCTAATACTATTACTTAAATTATGAAATTTTGTTTATTGGAAACAGTTGGGTGTTGGCAATTTTGTATCATTCAACCTAATAAGATAGTAGCAATTAAACTACTTTATAAATAGCATAGCAATAAAAATGCCATCTTTTATGATATATTTATCCCTCATGTGTATTGAGTTGATCTTTTCCAAGCTGAGTGAACTTGGACAAGTTATTTAATTTCTGAGTCTCAATTTTCTCTTCAGGAAACTGGGGGTAATAATAGCTACACAATGGATTACTATAATGGTTAAATGGAGGCAACATAGTCAAAGACCTTGGTACAGTGCTTTAATATGAAATAGACATCTCTCCCACCTCCCCATTAGGCATCTTTTATGCTTATATGCATACTTGTACAAGGAACCAATGGCTTAGATCTGTAAGGGTCTAAAGTATATCAGACGAGTGAGAATTTCATCAAACTTGTAATTTTGACACAGCACATACATATTTTTCACATGGGATACATATTGTTAACAGGAGAATTTGGTAACAAGTGATTGAACTTCTAGAGCTGGTGATTTTTTTAGCAGAACTTTAGATATTTAAGAAAAATTATCTGCATATAACAGTCAAATTTTTCCCTTCATACACCCCCTGTCTCTAACCTACATGTGCTGCTCTATGACCAGGTCTAAATTCCAGATGTTCCAAGTAGCTCTTCATTTAGTCTTGTCTTCTGATGGCACCTAAACAAATATATCAAAACTTGTACAACATTTAGAAAGTGGAACTTGAAGATTTTCTTTCTGTTAGACAAATAGACGCCATCTGGAAAAAATAACCCCAGGCGCTTGGACACAGGAGCATGACGCTTATTGGCTGGACACCATATGAATACCTTACACTACTTTATTTGGCTCCCACCCTTGCCTGCTCATTTCAAATCTTGCACACTTGAGCAGGCACTGGGCTGTTAGACAAGGGAATCCTTGTCACCCATACACCCAAACACTATGAAGGCTCACTCTTAATTTGAAAGATAAGCTTGCGAGAATTATCTGGACCGAAACGTTTCCTTTCATACTGTGACACCTGTTCTATGAAGGACTGCTATATATCACTGTGTATTTAATATTAATTGGTAACGATGTTTGATTTTTTATTTCTTCCATGTATTTTTCAACATTTACCACATTCCATTTCAAACAGGCATGTCCTCACATAATCTTTCCTTCCTGTTCCCCTCCCTCCCTTTCTATTTTATCTAATGCTAGTTTGTAAAAGAAAAAAAAAAACCCACATATGTTAATGCTATTTATTTTACTGCTGGCTTTTATTCCAGAATTAGTATTATAATAATATTAGTACTATTTTGTCTTTCAAAATGGACAGAACTGAATTTAAATATTTGCAATATTATTTGTCAGCTCTTAGGAGGAAATCAAGTAAATCTTATTGGAAATCATAAAAGTAATCTTCACTTTGATTTTGATGATAAGATCTTTGCGATAAAAATAGCTCTTAATGGCATTTTCTTCATATATCACACTTTCAGTGGAACTACACTTTTATGCAGCATGTTTAAGTCGCTTCTTTTCTACGACATTTTCTTTTGTCAATTGTGAGCAGGTAGCCTTTCAAAACCCAAAAGCAATTGCCCAGAACTTCTGGAATTCGTTTTTATTACATCCCATGATCTGAGCAGTAGGGAGCCCCGTGAAACATGTTTGATCAAACGTTAATTTTATAAATTGCCTTCCTTCCGTACAATTCCCATGAAAGAGGTATTCAGCTAGATTAAAACTCTGGAAAATTTTAATGGGAACTTTGAAATCTGTTTGAGTTCAGCTTTTTGGAAAAATAAAACCACCTAATGGAAGTGGTCTTTATACGAGAAGTGGATCTGCCTTTGAGGCAATTTTCTTTCATGCATAATGATGAAATGGCAGCAGGATAATCTGAAGGTTTGAAATGTCTTTGCCAAATCCATATGCTGCTTGTAATAATATCTAAAGGGTCAAGTGTTTGATATGATGATGAAGAGCAAGAAGATGATAATTTGCAACAATGTCACTTTTGTCTTTTCACAGTCCTACCCTGGTCCAAGCCTGGAAAGTGAAGACTTCAACATTCCACCAATTACTCCTCCTTCCCTCCCAGACCACTCGCTGGTGCACCTGAATGAAGTTGAGTCTGGTTACCATTCTCTGTGTCACCCCATGAACCATAATGGCCTGCTACCATTTCATCCACAAAACATGGACCTCCCTGAAATCACAGTCTCCAATATGCTGGGCCAGGATGGAACACTGCTTTCTAATTCCATTTCTGTGGTAAGAATCTGCTTACCTGTTTGTGGTGGGGGCTGAGGGATACCATAAGGACAAGGACCAAGTTCATGCGAGGGCCTGGCATTGTGATAATAGCATTCTGAAACTGTTTCTAGCTGTGGAGACAGTTATTTATAAATCATACACATTTCTAAAGCAATGTTCTATTTTATATTTAAGTCAAGGTAAAATCAATTAATTACTTGTGCAGTCACTCGTATTTATGACCCAAAGTACTAAATATTGTTTGACACTGAATGTGCTGTCATAGAGTCAAACCGGCTTACCAGCTTTCAGAGAAAAAGTCATCTTGAAAGATGCCACCTCTCATCCAGTGGAGGATTCCTCCCCAAAAGGGAGATCCCCACATCTTCTGAACTGCAGCTGCTGTTAACCTTGATTTTCCTTCCTATTTTCGGCTCTCAATTTCCACAAATGTATACCATAGGAAGGTAAGAAAAAATTTTTCAGTTTTATTTTGGAGGTATAATTCTGGTGATCAAAATTTATCTCCATTAAAGTATTGCAGTCTACTGGACCTGTTGTCTAACAATTTATAATGACAACACTATGAATTCCCATTAATTTTTCAAATTTAATAAGAATGTGTATCAACCAGCAAACTAGCAAAAAATCAAATTCTCAGGCTCTACCCAGGGAGTCCAGTGGTTTGTATATTTTACAAGCATCCCATACTTGAGAAACACTGGCTTATTATAAAATCTTTCCTTCTGATTTTTATGTCATCTGAAACTTAATAATTTCTCTGTCTATACCCCAATAGTGGAAAAAAAAATCAGTAGTAGATGGCCAAGGAGAGAGCTTTAGACCATGTCATAAAACCCTCCTCCCAGGTTTACAGTGGCTTTTAATTAGCACTTTTTGGTTTTCATTGTTCACTCACTTAACAGTCCAACTAACTCTCTTGTCATTTTCATAAGTCATCGAACAGTACTGTCATTTTCACAATGAATAAATTAATTAACTTGCCAATATTAAAAAACACATTTCATATTATCACTTATCTAAATCATTGGGGGATATATCTCTAACTTGAGTGATTTTGCAGGATGACTTTTCTGTTAATCATGAACATAAGGGTGGAATAAAAGTAGAGTCAAAAGAAACTCCAAAGTAGTTTCTTTAGAGAATGAAACCCAGAGCCTACTGCCTAATACACAATGGTGTATAGAATTTTCCTAAAATCTGGCAGCCATCTGGGCAGCCAAGAGGGGAGACTCATTGGCAGCACCATCACTCAGGTTTTTAGATTATATTCCACTTGTATAGATTTAGCTTATGAGTATTAAGTATGACTCCATAAATAGAAAATGGATTTTTTTTAACGTGCTAAATGTGTAAAGCTGAAAAATGTATTTCAGTGTAGTCACCTTGAAAAATCACCTGCCTACTTCTCTTTGGGACTAAGCCTTCAGACCCAATTCATGAGCCAAAGAAGGCATTCAGGTCATGCCTCTGTAGGGACCCCTGTTCCCTAGAGAGGAGAAGAAGGGGGCGTTCAGTATGCATGGAAAATGCCAGTTTTGTTCTCTAGGCTTATTCCCCATGGTAGGAGTGAGATTGGGGCCATAGGAAGGATAATGAGATATTCAATTATATAGTTCAAGTCTTTTTCCTTTATAAAATTTACCTCCTTTCTAGTAACAAATTTACCCTCCTTAGCATTTCTACATCCATCTCAATACACCTTTAAGAGACGTCACTCTTAAACAAATGCTTATGCAATGTCAGTAACTGTGGCTCAGAGATTTTTTCCAGATTTGCTGCCCATGGCAGTCATGCCATCCTCAAATGGCACATTTGGGACTGGACTCAGTCACAGCCACAAGATAGGCCATTTTCATGTCCATTCCCACTGTCCCTTCCTCTTTCCCTATCAGGAGCTTCCTTCTGTTCATAAAATTTCCTTATGCTCTCTGCCCACCAACCTACTGTCAAAAACTGGACTTTGATAATTTTGCCTCAACATGATGTTTCCCTAGGAACTTTCAACACTTTGCAGGGTATAGGGGAAACAAATCTACTATTTGGCCTAAGATAAAGGAATGAAGCTCTGATTTGCTATTCTAGTTCTTGAAGATGAGCCTGTTTGGGATTTTCATAGGGTGGCAAGCCTTCCCAGTACCCCTCAAGCTACATTCTGGAGCTGCACGTCTCCTGTGCCTCCTCACAGCACTGGTCCTAGCCTTTAATGCTGCAAGCAAAAAGCGACTCCAGCAAATGCCCGTGTTGGTGAGACAGTGGGTAAGGTTCAGCACTTCCCAGTGGAATGTGGTGTGACGATGGAGCTCTTCTATAATCTGTGCTGTCCAACAGCAGTAGTCACTGGCTATTAAATGTGGCTAGTGGGACTGAGGGACCAATTTTTCATTTTATTTTATTTTAATTACTTTACAGTTAAGTAGCCGCATTCACCCAGCAGCTACTGTGTTAGAGAGTATAGGTCTCGTTAATGATGTTGATTCTAGCATTAAGTCTATATTAAGCCCAATTTTTCCAGGCCAGCATGGTCTCAGAGAAAGAAGATTTGGAGATTAAATTTGTTGTTTCTGTTTCTCAAGGCTTGGGGATCTCTGGCTGGATTCCAGAAGCCAGAGTCTGATACACTATAAAGTTGCAATAGAAATCTAATAAAGTTGGAAGAATCAGGAGCTATCTTTTGTCTACTAATTCCTGTGAGAAACAAAGAGCCTCTTCAGTTCTTGTTTTGAGCTCCCACACGACTAGAATGCCATTCCTCAGTGTATATATTTTGAATGCTTACCATGGTCTCAATGTTTGAAAAGGCTCAAATGATTGATAAGACCTAGCTACTGTCCTTCTGGACAGTGAAAACATAAACAGTTATGAAACAATTAGAAACATGGGGCAATTAGAGACCAAGAGAGTGCCCAACTCAGATGTACTGGCCATGAACTCAGTAGGAACTCTTAGTTGAAAGAGTTTTATACTCTGGTTTGGGTATAAAACTTAGTAGAAAAGGTAGGACAGCCGTCACGGCTTGAAGGAGGGCTTTGATTTGGATAAACCAAGAGGAAAGAAAAGGCATGTTGGAGAGTGTTCAAAAATCAGATTGGGTATTTTGAAATGAGAGATTTGACCAAAACCTTCAACAACCACCTAAAGAACTTGGGCATGTTAGGACAGGTTAGAAGCAATCGCTGGTGGTTTTTACTCAAGGGCAAAAGTATTACGAAAGCAGTGTTGTAGGAAAATCCTTCTGGCAATAGGACCCTGTGTAGATAGCAGCGGTAAGAGGCTGGGGTTATGGAAAGCCGCTGGCGCCCGTTATCCCAATGTAGGTAAGAGGTGCCGAGGAACTAGAGCAGTGTGGTGTGCCATTAAGCCATTTTTGCATCCACAAATATGTATGGATCTAAAGATGAACAACATTTTGTCTTTTCATATTTTACATTTTAAAAGCATGAAGGAATTAGTTTCTTTGAAAGAAACTTTGAATATTAAATTTGCTCATCACACTTCCTTGTAAAAACTTACTAAAACTCTTTGCTAGCAAGTTTGCTCATGGCTAATATGATCACAAAATTTAACAACTGAGCTACGGACTGGTTTGCCAATTGTTGAAATATGTTTATGTGTAGGGACAGTTTACGTCATCAGTGCCCATTAGACAGGAAAATAATGTCTACAGATATGAGAGTTTAAATGTTGCCCACCTCGAAATGACAGTGCCCCTTCCAAGATTTTCTTTCAAGGTCACCTACAATATGAGAACAACTAATAAAAGCTAACAGTTGTAGATTCTAAATATTGATTTTGCTGTGAATTTAAAAATCCTATGAGTAGAAGCCATCCTGGGAAAATTTATGTGTAGGATCAACTTTCTCTAATTATATTTTCTAAAAGCTCTTGAATGTGATCAAAGCTGAGCCTTTTGCTGTTAGTACTGTGATTGTATCTTTGTATTAGTATTTTCACATGATGACATTTTAGTATTCGAATGGATCAAGGAAGTGAAAAATACTTAAGTTCTTTTATATTATTTATTGTATATATTTAGATACTGTATAGATTTTAGATGTTATTGTGATGTTTTATATATGAATTATGAGATATTATAGATGTGTTACTTATATATCAATTATTATAATGTATGTCATTTACTGAAATTTTGTTTTTAGATATATTCTCTTGTATCTGCCTCTGTTTCTTATCTCCACTGGCAACATAAGTGATACAGTTTCACCATTTATAAGCATTTCCTACAAATGCCTAATATATTAGACATCAACAATTTAGTCCATAATTAAAAATCAGTGTCTGAATGAGGAACTAGTATCCCAATTTTACAAATGGAAAATGAAAGTTCAAAGTGGTTAAGTGACTTAATGGCTTAGTCAGTAATTACTCCAGCTTCCTTATCAGGAAAATGGGGATGATAATTCTAGGCCTTACCTCACGGGGTTCAGGAAATATTTAAGATTACGCAGACCAGTAGCTGGCACATAGGAAGCATTATATAAGTGTTGGTTAAATAAAATGAGAAAAGCAAGCCTGTATGACTCTTTTGGAGAAGTTAAAATGCATGGGAAGGAAGACTTTCCAAAAGAGTTATTTATACTTTCATCCTGAATCTTCACATCTGTCAAAAAAGACTGCAATAAGCCTACTATTAACCAAAGGAGTATTTACCCTTTACTGGGTGTCTTTATTTATCATTGTGATTCAAATTGATGTCTTTGGGCCAGAGTGCGTCAGTTCAAATCCTGGCACTTCTGCTTACCAGCTGTGTGACCGTGAGTAACTTTTTGTGCCTCAGTTTCACTTGTTTAATCTCATCATGTTGTAAGTATTAAAGTAGCTAATATCTGTAATGTCTGGCTAGATATATTCAATGGGAACCTCTTTCTGATAAAAAGGTATCCAAGGTAGATATCTATATTGCCTTCTGGAATTTATCATAGACATATTGGGGTGCAGCATACATAGAGTGAAAGTTTTTCCCAAATTTCCCACCACTTTTTTGCATTTTCTTGTCTGTGCCATTTTATTGTTAGTAGGGATTCCTGCAACTAGTTAAATTTCTGGCACTTTGAAAAGGATTCCATTTTCCTGAAGTCCCTCTTTTCTAAGACAGGCTATAAAACAGGGTAGAATTTCTATAAGTATGTAACTGTCAAATAAGTGCCAATTAGTTCTGATTCTCTAGGTCCAAGTTAAACAGTCATTCATGACCCAATATGCAAGAGTTCCATTTTTCTCAACATTCCTCTGAGTTATTTTGATAGTGAGTAATTGATTTGTGTGCACTTCTCAGAGATAGAGTCTGGTTAGAAAAGCATTGAAATGAGAGCCATGGATAAGCTTGTCAGTCATGGGCAAGTCACTGAACCCTCTTACCAGCAGGGCTGGAGTAGATCTATAGAAGACTGGATCCACACTGAGCTTGTTGGGAGTGGTGTCAGGGGTGGGGTGCAGGAGTTAGAGGAAACAGTGTTGCTTTTATTTTTCTTTGCATTTCTTATAAAAGTTCCCTTGAACAAATGTTCTGCCCCCAAGAAGATGGAAAGCCCCAAGACTAGTTGATCTCCATGATCCTTCTCAGGACTAGCATTTTCCTGTAATTTGTTTTCTGTCAACCACACAACTTTGATCTAGACTTTGAGACTCACCGGGTTTGTCATTTTAGTTACTTAGTAATTTTTCTTGCCATGGCTTTGGCTGTCTCAGTGTTTTAACTGCACCCCCCACCCCCCTTCAAAGTTTAATCAGTTATAAGAACCTACTGGATAGATAATTTCTTTTGACTGGAAAATGTAATCCTGCCATTAAAAAAAAGTGATATTGCTTTGTGTGGATGGATAGTGTTTTCATGTTGTTAAAAGGAAACTACGGAACTATTTTAGCAGAAAGGTAGAATAAGAAAATGCCCATATTAAGTATTCATGGCTGAAGAAAAATCCTTTGATTTCTCCAAACTGAAATCAAGAGCCTCTCTTCTGTTTCTCCCCACTTTGGTATATTCACCGCTGCACTTAATCATGGATTGGTGAACGGGAAAATGCAACCTTGTATAAAGTCATCCCAGACTCTCAGCCTGGCCTATATGTGGTGATTGCTTGTTCTTTGTGCAGTCAACAGAAGCTCTTTCATACAAAGAAAAACCGTGCAAAGTTTTAGAATGGCCTCAAAGAAAGGATTCGTTTAGAACCTGGGCTTTTTGTAGAGTGTGCTTCCTAATGACGCATTATAGAAAATTTACAATGAGGAAAGCAACAAAGGCGATTTCAATTTCTTTGAATGTGTCAAATTTCCAGTTCTGGAGTTTGAAATGGAAAAAAGATGTTAAAAGGCAATAAAATTGGGGGGTTTATTTCCCAAATGCCTTCTTTTTCCAGCGAACAAAAGCAAGCCTAATGTATATACTCAGATTTATTGTCATTTTTAGCATTCAGTCATGGTACACTTTGCATTCAAAGGCCACTGTACAACTGTTTTGACAACCATCGCTTTCATAGGTGCTATACAGGACTCATGAAACTGAAGCAGAAGTGTTCCTTCAGGCCTATAGGGAGTGCCGCACATCAAGGAATTCAGATGTATTAGAGCAGCATGAATTTCCAATATGTTGCCATTATGGAAAAGACCACTGGCTTATTGAATAATGCAGCTTTCAAAGCCAAGCAGAAAATGTGATTACAGACAATTTGATTGCTGTTTTTAAAATAAATATTTTCCAAATCTTGAGGTATTTTATTTCATGTAATGCATAAAGTATGTAACCATGGACTAGAGCTAAGCATCTTTCAGAACACGGAGGAGCTTATGATGTCAGCCCATTTAATGGTGGAATAATACAAGTGTTTGTTTAAAATGGAATGGATGTCACCGCAGCTTGTTTCTTTCTTTAAACAAAGAGGAAAATAAGCCATAAAAAATAATTTTGCCACTTTAACAGAAGAAAAATGATGAAGAACAATTATTTAGCATTATGCCACAATTCATCAAATGTTTAGCAATTATAGCCTGTTTTTTTTTTTCACAAATTATCCTTTTTTGAATATCGCAGAACCCAAGAACAATGCGTTAAACCACTTTAATACTGTGAAGAAATGGGCTGGTTTTTTTGTTCTTAGTTTTGACCAAATACAATAAATATGCGGGTTGGTTGGGTTTTTTCCTTTTTGGACAAATTCTTAATAAGGCCAAGAATAGGTGTTGTTTATAGTTAATTGTTAAGATCTACTTAAGATCTTTGTTTGCACAAAACAGACTACTTTGAATGTGGTATTGATATAGTTCAATGGACTCAGTATGTTAACGATTTGGGGCTTTTATTGCTATAATAAAATATTATCCCAAACTAGAGTTCTCCTTAATAGTATTCAGGAAAGGAGCCAATTTAAAAATAACACTTTTTCTTTTCTAAGCCAAGTAATCAGACTCAAGATTCACTTGGTATATAGGAGTTCTTGTACTTTTTCTTCAACCCTTGAGTTCATACAAATGTGTGCCTCACCCATGCATGAAAGAAGTAAAAAGGGTATAACATCAGTTATATAATATGCTATAAGCAAACTCTGGGACCTACTTAATCCAGTCTCTTAAGTCTAGGCAGGAGTAAACCTAAACCATTTGAGATATGTGGTTTTCTAAGAGCCAAGATTCCATAACTTTCCTTGGTAGCCTGTTTGTGCTTAATTAACCTTGTAACATTAAGTTAAATTGCAGTAAGAGATTTAGATTCTTTCCAGGAAGTTCCTTATTAAAGTTAAACCAAAATCTCTTGCTTACCAAATAGGAAATTTTAGCCTATTTTGTCTGCCTCAGCCATCTGAATGCTTGGAGAACAGTTGATTTCAAATATTTGACATTTATTAAGTCAATCCTGCAGTTGTGTTTTATCTGGCCCAAATAACCCCAATTCCTTTAACCTTTCCTCAAAGGTCATTATTTTTCAACTTTTAAATCAAATTAGCTCTTTTTTTTTTTGACATTTATGATCTTAAGGAATGTTGATGACAATGGATGGCAGAGCTCTAGAACCTGAGATTGCAGATTAATTTCTGATTTTTTCTAATTATTCTCTGCCTCTACGTGGATGTTTTATGATAGGGTCCTTAATAGCATCATTGATTGCTGATATGTTTAATTGCTGATTCATTGATCCCTCCTACAGTGTGTGACTCTTGCTGTGTTGGTTTCTAGCCAGCAGTTTCCCATCTTGTATTTGTGTAGGTCATTTCATGTCCTAAAGGCAAACATCTGAAAAGGCCATTGTGGTATTGCTCTTAAGGCATCTTTTTTTCCTGCCTGGGTATCAATTATTTAGCAAACAAAGATGAATAAAAAAATTTATTGTAGTTTATATTTGAATAATTGTCTTTGGACAAAGGGATTCTAAGTATGTCCATAAGTAAGAATTTCCAGATCCTAGCCATGAGCTTTCAGTCATTAGTTATAACTTCAAAATTGTTAGTAGAATGTTTCGTAATGTGTTGAGGGGGCAGTTTGGGGAAAGCAGCACAGAACCTGGATAAAGAAGACATAGGACTGGAAAGAAGGAATAAACAATAAATGAAAACAGGCCTGTTCTGGATAGCAGTTATATACCTGGAGGATCTGTCCAGGCATGTGTAGGGGTATGGTTGGGGCTTCTTGTGGGTGGTCCTTCCTCCAGTGCTTCTTCTAGAACTGAGCTCTGCGCTCCTCATTTCAGGTCCAGCGAATGTTCTGTCCTCCCTCTCCTACCTTGAATAATCATGCTGGTGCTTCATGTGTCAAGAATTGCTTTCTCTTTCCTTCCTTCCCCATTCAGCATTAACACTCAGCATTAACTCCACTCCCCATGGAGAAAAACATTTTTCTTGTTCTCTCTCTGCCTCATGAGCTCATTACAGGAAAGAGGACCTAGAAACCCTGAGAGTTTACTTGGTTTCATTGCCTAGACCTCCATGTAGAAACTGCTGATAGCAATGCTCTATATAAGTGTACAGCCCATAGTAGGAGCTTAATAACTATTTTTCTGATTGAATGAATCTATTTGTTCCCACTTAAAGTTATCTCTAGCCATAATATTTCCCCCAGACAGGTACAAGATTATTATTGCTTTTTGGGCTGACACTTCTAAGCAGTTGTTTAGTCTTCTAAAATGATACAAATATTCCAGTTTTATAGAAAGTACAATGTCATTTATCATGGTGTCTAAAATTCTATAATGCTTTCAAAAGACCTAAATGAATTTGAGCCCTAAACATAGATCTAACTTTATAGTCTTAATACTTAATCAACTTACTACTGATCATTTCTAACCTATTCCACTATTAAATTGATGTATTTGACAATTAATTACAATGTGTAGTTGATCCTCCTTTTTAGATAAATCCATTTATTTTCTGAGTATGGCTATTTTTATAGAGAAAAACTATCAGTAAAATTACAAGACTTCTAAAGGAGTATATTTGTGCCTAGTCTTCCAAAGTCTTGGGGCAGAAGTAGCAGTAATATGAAAAATTGATGTCTATTAAACATTTGCCCATATGACTCATGTTATTTTTTTAATTACAAAATGATTATATCTCAGCTTGCCATGTCTTTGACTTGCTTTTTGCTTGATTTATGCAAGTAGATTATTAACATTGAAATGTTGCATTATAAACTCATTTTGTCATGAAATCATAGGAGAATTCATCTAAAATATTTTTCAGGAGAACAATGAGCCAGTCTCATTTCAAGACACCACTATCTTCATTATTCATTAACTATTATTATCTAGAGCATATGGGAATGCTTTAAGAGCAGGTTTTGGTTTTAGATTTTTTTTTCATTTTAGTTTTTTTCTAGTTTGAAAGTTTCAAGATCTCTTACGTGGACAAGCATTACCTACAGAAACATAATATTATTTGTCTTTTTATATTAGCCATTTATATACTTCTTTGTGCCAGCAGCAATACACACTGTGTAGGAGAAAAGGTATGAAGTCCTGGAGGGTTTTTGACCATTTGTTACAGTCATTAAAATACTAGATTTGACTTTCCTTTTTTAAATAACTTAAAATATGAAAAATACCAAAATCATCCAGAGAGCGTGTCTTTTTTTCTTTCAACTAATAAATATATTTCACATTTTGATAAATATATAATCACAAAAATGATAGTTAAATCCTCTGAATTTAATGGACTATACAAATTCCCCAGAGAAATAGAAGTACTCTTTGACAGAGAGAGGATTAAACTTCTTTTTGTAATTCAGGGTAGCATTTTTATTTTTGATAGGCAAAAACCCTCTCAAAATGTGTTACATTTGAAAAGCATTATTTTTCAACCTTTAGGGAGTTTTGTTTTCTTTAATCATGATCTTAATAATCTTTAATAAAAATATGATCCAACCCTGTAAACATATCATGCTATTAAATGCTTTACATTTTTATATCTATTGTATATGTAATCACATTCTGTGTTAACCAGTAGATGTAACTAATGGTTTACCAAATGGAGATAGGATCATAATTCATACCGTATGAAACTTGCAAATGCTATGGATGAAAGATAACTCTCTCTGCACTTCTCAAGACAGTGGATTCATAAAGTTTATTGCTAAAAACGCTGTATTATTAAGGCTATCAAGAGACAAAATTATTAGCATTTTGAAGTATTTTTTCTATTGTGATGTGTGTGTATATATATATATATAGTGCTTGAAAAGTTAACAGGAAAAGGAAAATAGGCTATGATCACGTAACTATTTTTCACATAGAATAAAAGTATGCTACTTGCATCTGTATGTATATATGTATGTATCTTTCTTTCTGTCTCTCTACGCATTCATGTGTTGATTAGGTTTGTGTGTCTGGGACTCTGATCCCATTGTCTTTAGTATTAAAAGGTAGCTGCACCAAGGTGAAGCCATGGCTGAAAGTATCAGTGGCCATTTCCCCACTGGACAGATGCAGAGTGGGACCTCTTGTTAATAGCTACTATCACATGGATTTTTTCTTGTGTGCGGTTGTTTTTTCTTTCCCCAAAGCAGCCTTGTTCCTGATTTCCATAGCACACAAGGCTGGCCTGTATTTCCCAGCTAATAGCGGGCGCTCTGCCTTCTCTGAAGCTGCGCTTCCCTGCAGCATCTCCCGCATAAATCAGACATTTCTAGGGTGACTTCATGATGCCTCAGATCTGCAGGTGGTATGTATAGTGAATGATAGAACCCAGGAACTGATCATTCACTTGGGTTACATATATTAAACTTGACGAAAGTATGAGACCAGGAAAGATCAAATTCTCAAATATGGAACACTTCTTAACTTGTCCGGGGAGTGTTGGAGTCACCCGCAGAAACCTACTGATGGCATTGGGATCTTGAGAAGCCGTATGAGTGGTGGGTACGCCTGTGGGTCTGGGTGAGGCCGCCTGCACTTGAACCCTGGCAGGCCCTTCACTATCCACATGTGACCGTGGGGAAGTGATTCCACCTCTCTGCACCTCAGTTTTCGTGCTGGTGGTGAGGCTTGATCTGGTCTGTGCATCTGAAGCCCTCCGAGCAGTACTGGGCAGACAGTGAGCTTCATGTCAGCTACTGTGTTATTCACCTCCTCAGAACCCCCATAGGTTGTGGTCTGGGTTTTTCTTATACTATCTGTCATTCCTCTTCTCATTACTGGTATCTGTGTACCACGGGACGTTCTAACAACCAATCAACTGACATTTATTGGGCTCCGACTCTTGCCAAGTCCTGGGCTAGGTGTTTTACACACAGTTTTCTTCTTCATCCCCACGATCACACCAGGAGGTGGGAGGTGCGATTCTCATCTTACGCAGAAGGACCATGGGACAAAGATGCAGAGCACAGGGATGGACAGCTGGCAGGTGGTGAACTAGGCAGGCTGGGGTGCAGATCTCCTCTACATTTCTGGTGAGGCTGGGAGCCGTGCTTTTACACTTGGTAGAGGCTTGGTAAATTTGCATTGGAAACCTCAATTGAGCCTTTTGTCCTCTCTCTGTCTCTCAGTCTCTCTCCTGATGAACTCGGCACCGTGATGACTCAAGCTGACAGTGTAAAGCCAGCATTCACAGTTCTGCCCTCTTCTTTAAAAAATCAGAATAAACTCATATTATTTTTACATTGCTGAAATAATAAAAGAGAATGAGTAGAGAAAACGAGAGATCCTACATTTCAATGAAAGAAGGATGGGCTTGAAATCCTGGCTGGGTGACTTTGACAAATCAGTTGATTTCTCTGAGCCTGTTTCCTTAGCTATAAAAGAAAAAAAAAAAAAAGGTGTGACAATGATCATATTTACATCACCATATGGTTGTGGGGATTAAGCTGGATACAGGATTAGCATTTTTAGTACCTAAAGTTGTAGGTCCATTCTCAAGTCACTTGTTAAAGACATTAGCTTTCCAGCTAATGAAAAATGTCAGCTCTTTGTCAAAACCCAGTAATTTAAATTATACCAGTCTTCTGCAAGGAAGACAGCGTTAGCGCCTCAGGTAGCAACAGGCTGTACAACAGACAAGGGTTCTGCAGCTCTAACTGAAGACCAGGAGTTGGGGTCTCCGCCATTTACCACATTCCCATTATTGGCCAACCTCAAGGTATTCTTTTCTCTCCATCGACAGTATAAAAAATTTAGCTTATAAATGTATGAAGACATTTAAATCATTTTATAAATAAAAGGAGGAAAAATTCTAGGCAGCTTGCCAAGAATAGTAGGTCTAAAATTAGCTAGAAATGTTTACCTCTCTTTATTAAATTCCTGCTACTTTTTCTAATGTGTTTATATCAGTTTGTCCCCTCTCAAAACTGCATATTCTATATGCAGTGCCTTCACAAAAGCCAAAGAAATTAACATAGAGTGGTAAATAAACTCAGCCAACTTTTCTTCATTCCCGTTCAAGAATGATAAATTGACGTGGCTGGGATCACAAAAGCATCTTGATAGGCCAAGTCCCAAGGGAGCAGCATACTCATGTCCCCCCATGGGCTCAGGGCCTTCTTGATAAACCCCAGAGTGAGGACCAGAAGACTGGTCCACAGAGGATCATGAGGCCATCATGAAACCAGCCATCTTCCTCTCACCCAGCCTAGGGAATGTCCCAGCCTCTGGGGATAGGGTTGTGGAGATCCCCTCATGAGGCCAAAAACTCGCTGGGAAGCCACTCTCTGTGCTGGGCAAAAGTCATACTTTGATATCTCAGAAGATGAGCTATAGGGTCCAAGCATGTGAGCACTTTGTGAGGTTTTCATGGTAATTCACAATCCAGCTCAGCCCAGGCACTCAACTGACTGCATAAAGTCTCCAGAAGAGAGTTTAGTCCGGGATGGATTTACCAGGGTAGCTCAGTGGACCAAGACCCTCTTATGCATACACAGCTAGTCTCCACTGCAAAGGGGAAGGGGCACATATTCAGAATAGTCAGTGCATGGTAAAGTGGCAGCACAGCCTCAGGTGGCAGAAAGCTATAGAAACATAGTCCCTTAAAAATGGTACGACAAAGGGCTGTTTCTCAGAGCGCAGTATACTTTAAAAGATGGAATAAAAATGCAGATGTGTTTAAAAACCAGGGGTATTTTTTATTGGTATAATGGAAAGAATATTGAAATCAGATGTGTCTGAGGGCAGAGAATCCCAAATCTAACATCATGGTGTCCGTTGTTCCAATTACCATGCAGTGATTAGAAAGATGGGCTCGTCCTAGGTGCAGAAGCAGGCACAGGGTACTTTAGCTGCCGCCTCATATGTGAAATGGAGAAAGGTTGTTATCGTATACTTTCTTCCTCTTGTGGTGTGGATTAAATGAGATAGTCCACGTAAGGCAATTGTCATAGATGCTTGTGAATAGCAGGTTATAGATTCTCCACTTCCTTGGCCTCCTGCTTTATCACAACAGCAGGGGATGGGACCCCGTCCTTCCCTGTGGTCTTCTTTCCTTTTGGCATCTTGGGCAACTGGAGAAGAGCTAACTGCGCGATGAATGCTTAATTCTCTTGAATGTACTATTGTAATTTCTTTATTCTCATGTGAGTTTTCATAAAAACAATGCAATTTTTATACTGTAACTGACATGATTTGCAAAGTAATGCTTTTTATCCACATTCAGTTAACATTTTGGCCTTTTTAAATTAAAAAACTCAAATTTTCTGAGGTTTATAAAACAGGATTACTAAGTGTAGGATTTGGGTTAAACCCATAAGTTCTCCTCTAACTTGCCATAGAAGCTGTGGCGTGAATGGTGAGAGGTGCAGGCAGGCCGAGGGTTGGGGGCTGTGGCTGTGCACGAGGTGCATCTCCATGTGCCATCTGGGGCTGCTTCTGGAAAGTAGGGAGCGCTGCAGTGAGGAAGAGGAGGAGTCAAACTCCACCCCACATTCTCTCGCATTGTTCTCTAATGATTGTGTGAAAAAGATAAAATGAAAAATGTGAAACTATTCCAAAAAACACAGGCCAAGTAAGCCAAAAAGAAATGACTATAATACACATATTCCTGAAGAGGCCAGAGAAAGAGGAAAATAGGAATAAATCTCCCTGGGCAATCTATCAAAATGTTGAGAAAAATACATTACTAATGAGAAAATATCAAACACCTATCGGGAGACAAATGCACATAACTCTGAATCGTGGATCACAAGAGTTTCCTCAGGCACCTTGATGACAACTTTATGATGCATAAAATAGTAGATTCTCCCCTATTACGGTTTATTGGATAAGCACTTCCATGAACACAGGACTGCCCTCCACAGGGGAAGGAAGAATCATGCCTGAAGGGCTCTTGGTCTAAGTTATGAAGAAGATGCCATTCAGGCATAAAATGTGTGAGATGAGAAAGTGATTAGGGTTATGTCCACAAGAGAGCAAACAAATGTTTTGACAAGGAATAGATCTGGTTATGGGTTCTTGGCTTTGAGAATCTTCGAGTGAGTATTTGTGACAATATCCTGCAGATGGTGTCCAGGGATTTCCCTCCCTACTTCTGCTTAGTATGTATGGAGAGAGGGGATGGTGAGGACAACTCTGTATATACTGTACAATTTGAAAATCTCTCCTTCTTACGTCTTCTGCACCTTCACATGTCATTGGAAAATTAAGGTGTTTACCTGAATACTAAAAATGCATTTTTACCTAAAATAGCAAGATGTTTGATGCATGAAAATCTTTGAATATCTGCAACTCATTATTCTGCATATCATTTTCTATTTGTGAACACAGCCGAAATTACTGTAGTACTAGCAGCCTTAACTTTTTGACTGGGTTCTTTATCAGAAGATTCTCTTATCAGAAGATTCTTACCTTAGAGCTTCATGGAATATAAAAGTTTCCAAAATTGATATGAAAGTTGATTCCCAAACTGAACCCCAGTTCTTCTCTTTGTGTTGCATTCATATGCATTCATGCACACAGGACTTAGAATAGCTAGGCCGTTGGGTGTCTACTCTATGTAGTAGTGTATCATTCCAACCAACACAGCTGTGAGAGTCAAGCAGGTAACTAGTAATAATTAGGCCTACAACTGGGACTGTCTTGAGGGACCCGGAACCCAGGTCCTGGTAAGCTATGTGTGAGACATTATGCTTGGTGATAGCAGGAGTACAAAAATTAATATGGAAATAGTTCCTGCCCTCCAGTGTCTAGCAAAACAAATGAGGTATGTATTCAGAAAATCATGCAACAGTTTAAAGCATCACTCTCCCTTTAAGTTATAAAATGATGTAAGGAATCAGGAAAAGCTACCTAATTAATGGAGGTAGTGTTCTTAAGGATCTTAAAAATGAAAAAAGGTTTGATTAATGAATGACAGGGAGAAGTGGGGAAGAAGACGTTTTTGGAGTGAGGAAGTTTCACTGAGTGAGTATTATGTGAAAGGAACCATTGTCCCTCCCAGATGCTTGGCCCAAAAACCTGGGATTCATCCTTCGTTCATCTTATTTCTGTCACTCCAGACACCCAGTTATTTTCTTACCCAAACTGAGCAAGTCTCCACAGAAATGCCTCCAAAATACATTTTGAAATCTGCCCTCATCGCTTCCTTCTTCACCACTGCCACCATGATCCAAAGCACCATCTTCTTTGTGGATTATAGCAGTGATCCTAACTGGCCTCGCCTCCTGACTCCTGTTCCTCCATGATACATTCTCCACACAAGAGTCAGTGTGACCTTTTTAGCATATATTAATTAGATTGACCACCCTTCAGTGACTCCTCATTGTACCTAGGATAAAAGGAGAAAAAAAAATCCGTTTCTTCATATGATATTCAGGCTCTGCCAAGATCCCTGACCTCAATTCACACTATTCTGCCCCTCACCGAGCTAGTCACACTGGTTTTCTGTCTCCCACCTCCCACCGGATGACCTTTGCGCTTAGCCATCCCTCTATTGGGAACACGCTTGCCCCAGATCTTCACATTCAGGTCTCAGCTCAAATGTCACTGCTCGGAAACTCTAGCCGTAAGTGGCACCTTGCTCCTGCCCTGCCGCTCGCCCCTCATTACATCACCCTGTTTTATAAAATGAGTTGTCACTGGAAAGTGCATGTAATGAGGAAGAAGTGAATAAATATCAGCCACTTGGAGCATTGTTACTTCCTGAAATCATCTAGTTTATTCAAGTAGTTGATTGGCCACCTCCCACTGCTAGACTAGAAGCACCGTGAGAGGTGGTGGTCTTGGCTGCCTAATCCTGCTGTGTTCCACACATCTAGAAGAGAGAAGAAGGCATGCCCTTAGTATTGTTGAATAACACATATATATCTGGTGTTTTTTATATATATGTATATACACATATATATGTGTGTGTTTGTGTGTGTGTAACACCTATCTATAATAAATTAAAAAGTCATTTAAAAATTAAAGGCTATAGGAAAGGTCACAGTTCATATTTTAATATAGCAGGGATTCCATAGAAGCAGGTGGAGGAGTTAGGTATGCATATGTGTGTATACACACGCATGCACATTTCAATATATACACGCAAACACTAACTGTGCAAATATTCTAACTTATCATGATTAAAATATACGTTACGTCTTATCTTTGCCTTCTTCTCCTGTCCCTTCCTCCTAAACTTCAATCCTGGAGCTGTAAAATTCATAAAGCACACAGTTAGGAGAATTCCAAGAAAGTATACAGATATGATTGAGGCACCAGGGATACTGGCTTATCAGCCACATGAAGTAACCCATCGTTAACTTACATTTATATAGCACCTTCATTTAGGAAGATCCTAAACTAAGAACAGCTATTGTTCTCAGCTCAAATGCCTTAGCTATTGTCAGGCCACGGCATTCTATGATCCAACAAAGAGGGAAAATTAGGGACCAAGATAGTAATACACAATTCTTCCCACCCCTGGGTACCTGATCATAGTCCTTAAAATGATAAAATCTAGGAGTCCGTAGGTAATAGAACATCATCATCATAAAAGCTCTGTGGTTGATTGTACTTATGCTTTTGAAGTATAAACATTAAGATAAAAATATATGTAGTGAAAATGACTTTGATAACTAAAAACGACCTCTTTCAGAGATTTTGAGTCCAACAGCTATTTAGGAAGTACTTTAATAATGAAAAACAATTATAAAAATTTCAGGTTAGTGGGTTTTAGTAAGATCTGGTTGATTGGCAAATAGTTTGCATAAGTATTTACAAAATTTGTAGGGAAGGGCAGAGAAGAGTTTGAGATTTTTTTCTTTTTCTTTCTTATTTCTGCCTCTAGGAATCTAGTTAGGGAAAGAATGCTTATTGTGTAGTAAAATTAACGTTCATTTTGGGGTTATTAGAAATACTGAAAGTGTAGCTGAAAGATCCTGGTAAGTCACTTAACTTATATGGGCCTTAACACCAAATGTATTCTAATATTTCTGGTGGAGTATAACATTTCATAGTTAACCATGTGGATTTTGGCAAATTGTCATATAGATCTGTGTCTTAAAGAACTGTTTTTGACATTTGGATCCGATTCGTTCCTATCTAGGTTGGAATATGAACTGGATATTTATTTGAACTTGTTTATGGATTTTTATGTAACTTGATTCTTACTACATTCTTAATGTCAATAGATCAGTAATCAAGTTTCAAAAACAGCCATTTTACTTTGCTTAAAGCAGAAACAACTTTTAATGAATGAAATATAGCTTGCACTTGTTCAAGAGATGGTGCAAGAGCTTCAGCTTCCAGGCTGAATTTTCCTTTTGACATACTTCATGACGCAGCCCTCTGATGAACAGTACCTCCTGGTTCTCTGTGTTTCCTTTCTTAACTCCGTGTCTCCACATAAGGCAAGATAGGTCCTAAAAAATGACTGGACACTTAATGTGATCAATCAGCCTGTCTGTCACCTATCCATGAGTCATAGATGCATATTTACAGGAATCTTCACAATCTTATCTCAAGGGAATAATTAATAAACTGGGAATATCAGATACTTTAAATATATATAATTTTTTTCTTAGTTCTAACAAGTATATATTGAGCTCTACCTCTGTTCCCAGAACTATGATAGGTGCTGAAGAAGTAACTCCTCACAGAGTAGTTATTACCTAGCTTACTGTCTAGATCAGAGATTCTTTTTTTTTTTTCTTCTTTTTTTTCTTTTTTTTTTTTTTTAATGTTTTTTTTTTATTATACTTTAAGTTTTAGGGTACATGTGCACATTGTGCAGGTTAGTTACATATGTATACATGTGCCATGCTGGTGCACTGCACCCACTAACGTGTCATCTAGCATTAGGTATATCTCCCAATGCTATCCCTCCCCCCTCCCCCGACCCCACCACAGTCCCCAGAGTGTGATATTCCCCTTCCTGTGTCCATGTGATCTCATTGTTCAATTCCCACCTATGAGTGAGAATATGCGGTGTTTGGTTTTTTGTTCTTGCGATAGTTTACTGAGAATGATGGTTTCCAATTTCATACATGTCCCTACAAAGGACATGAACTCATCATTTTTTATGGCTGCATAGTATTCCATGGTGTATATGTGCCACATTTTCTTAATCCAGTCTATCATTGTTGGACATTTGGGTTGGTTCCAAGTCTTTGCTATTGTGAATAATGCCGCAATAAACATACATGTGCATGTGTCTTTATAGCAGCATGATTTATAGTCATTTGGGTATATACCCAGTAATGGGATGGCTGGGTCAAATGGTATTTCTAGTTCTAGATCCCTGAGGAATCGCCACACTGACTTCCACAATGGTTGAACTAGTTTACAGTCCCACCAACAGTGTAAAAGTGTTCCTATTTCTCCACATCCTCTCCAGCACCTGTTGTTTCCTGACTTTTTAATGATTGCCATTCTAACTGGTGTGAGATGATATCTCATAGTGGTTTTGATTTGCATTTCTCTGATGGCCAGTGATGATGAGCATTTTTTCATGTGTTTTTTGGCTGCATAAATGTCTTCTTTTGAGAAGTGTCTCTTCATGTCCTTCGCCCACTTTTTGATGGGGTTGTTTGTTTTTTTCTTGTAAATTTGTTGGAGTTCATTGTAGATTCTGGATATTAGCCCTTTGTCAGATGAGTAGGTTGCAAAAATTTTCTCCCATGTTGTAGGTTGCCTGTTCACTCTGATGGTAGTTTCTTTTGCTGTGCAGAAGCTCTTTAGTTTAATTAGATCCCATTTGTCAATTTTGGCTTTTGTTGCCATTGCTTTTGGTGTTTTGGACATGAAGTCCTTGCCCACGCCTATGTCCTGAATGGTAATGCCTAGGTTTTCTTCTAGGGTTTTTATGGTTTTAGGTCTAACGTTTAAATCTTTAATCCATCTTGAATTGATTTTTGTATAAGGTGTAAGGAAGGGATCCAGTTTCAGCTTTCTACATATGGCTAGCCAGTTTTCCCAGCACCATTTATTAAATAGGGAATCCTTTCCCCATTGCTTGTCTTTCTCAGGTTTGTCAAAGATCAGATAGTTGTAGATATGCGGCATTATTTCTGAGGGCTCTGTTCTGTTCCATTGATCTATATCTCTGTTTTGGTACCAGTACCATGCTGTTTTGGTTACTGTAGCCTTGTAGTATAGTTTGAAGTCAGGTAGTGTGATGCCTCCAGCTTTGTTCTTTTGGCTTAGGATTGACTTGGCGATGCGGGCTCTTTTTTGGTTCCATATGAACTTTAAAGTAGTTTTTTCCAATTCTGTGAAGAAAGTCATTGGCAGCTTGATGGGGATGGCATTGAATCTGTAAATTACCTTGGGCAGCATGGCCATTTTCACAATATTGATTCTTCCTACCCATGAGCATGGAATGTTCTTCCATTTGTTTGTGTCCTCTTTTATTTCCTTGAGCAGTGGTTTGTAGTTCTCCTTGAAGAGGTCCTTCACATCCCTTGTAAGTTGGATTCCTAGGTATTTTATTCTCTTTGAAGCAATTGTGAATGGGAGTTCACTTATGATTTGGCTCTCTGTTTGCCGGTTGTTGGTGTATAAGAATGCTTGTGATTTTTGTACATTGATTTTGTATCCTGAGACTTTGCTGAAGTTGCTTATCAGCTTAAGGAGATTTTGGGCTGAGACAATGGGGTTTTCTAGATAAACAATCATGTCGTCTGCAAACAGGGACAATTTGACTTCCTCTTTTCCTAATTGAATACCCTTTATTTCCTTCTCCTGCCTGATTGCCCTGGCCAGAACTTCCAACACTATGTTGAATAGGAGCGGTGAGAGAGGACATCCCTGTCTTGTGCCAGTTTTCAAAGGGAATGCTTCCAGTTTTTGCCCATTCAGTATGATATTGGCTGTGGGTTTGTCATAGATAGCTCTTATTATTTTGAAATACGTCCCATCAATACCTAATTTATTGAGAGTTTTTAGCATGAAGGGTTGTTGAATTTTGTCAAAGGCTTTTTCTGCATCTATTGAGATAATCATGTGGTTTTTGTCTTTGGCTCTGTTTATATGCTGGATTACATTTATTGATTTGCGTATATTGAACCAGCCTTGCATCCCAGGGATGAAGCCCACTTGATCATGGTGGATAAGCTTTTTGATGTGCTGCTGGATTTGGTTTGCCAGTATTTTATTGAGGATTTTTGCATCAATGTTCATCAAGGATATTGGTCTAAAATTCTCTTTTTTGGTTGTGTCTCTGCCCGGCTTTGGTATCAGAATGATGCTGGCCTCATAAAATGAGTTAGGGAGGATTCCCTCTTTTTCTATTGATTGGAATAGTTTCAGAAGGAATGGTACCAGTTCCTCCTTGTACCTCTGGTAGAATTCGGCTGTGAATCCATCTGGTCCTGGACTCTTTTTGGTTGGTAAACTATTGATTATTGCCACAATTTCAGAGCCTGTTATTGGTCTATTCAGAGATTCAACTTCTTCCTGGTTTAGTCTTGGGAGAGTGTATGTGTCGAGGAATGTATCCATTTCTTCTAGATTTTCTAGTTTATTTGCGTAGAGGTGTTTGTAGTATTCTCTGATGGTAGTTTGTATTTCTGTGGGATTGGTGGTGATATCCCCTTTATCATTTTTTATTGTGTCTATTTGATTCTTCTCTCTTTTTTTCTTTATTAGTCTTGCTAGCGGTCTATCAATTTTGTTGATCCTTTCAAAAAACCAGCTCCTGGATTCATTGATTTTTTGAAGGGTTTTTTGTGTCTCTATTTCCTTCAGTTCTGCTCTGATTTTAGTTATTTCTTGCCTTCTGCTAGCTTTTGAATGTGTTTGCTCTTGCTTTTCTAGTTCTTTTAATTGTGATGTTAGGGTGTCAATTTTGGATCTTTCCTGCTTTCTCTTGTAGGCATTTAGTGCTATAAATTTCCCTCTACACACTGCTTTGAATGCGTCCCAGAGATTCTGGTATGTGGTGTCTTTGTTCTCGTTGGTTTCAAAGAACATCTTTATTTCTGCCTTCATTTCGTTATGTACCCAGTAGTCATTCAGGAGCAGGTTGTTCAGTTTCCATGTAGTTGAGCGGCTTTGAGTGAGATTCTTAATCCTGAGTTCTAGTTTGATTGCACTGTGGTCTGAGAGATAGTTTGTTATAATTTCTGTTCTTTTACATTTGCTGAGGAGAGCTTTACTTCCAACTATGTGGTCAATTTTGGAATAGGTGTGGTGTGGTGCTGAAAAAAATGTATATTCTGTTGATTTGGGGTGGAGAGTTCTGTAGATGTCTATTAGGTCCGCTTGGTGCAGAGCTGAGTTCAATTCCTGGGTATCCTTGTTGACTTTCTGTCTCGTTGATCTGTCTAATGTTGACAGTGGGGTGTTAAAGTCTCCCATTATTAATGTGTGGGAGTCTAAGTCTCTTTGTAGGTCACTCAGGACTTGCTTTATGAATCTGGGTGCTCCTGTATTGGGTGCATAAATATTTAGGATAGTTAGCTCCTCTTGTTGAATTGATCCCTTTACCATTATGTAATGGCCTTCTTTGTCTCTTTTGATCTTTGTTGGTTTAAAGTCTGTTTTATCAGAGACTAGGATTGCAACCCCTGCCTTTTTTTGTTTTCCATTTGCTTGGTAGATCTTCCTCCATCCTTTTATTTTGAGCCTATGTGTGTCTCAGCACGTGAGATGGGTTTCCTGAATACAGCACACTGATGGGTCTTGACTCTTTATCCAACTTGCCAGTCTGTGTCTTTTAATTGCAGAATTTAGTCCATTTATATTTAAAGTTAATATTGTTATGTGTGAATTTGATCCTGTCATTATGATGTTAGCTGGTGATTTTGCTCATTAGTTGATGCAGTTTCTTCCTAGTCTCGATGGTCTTTACATTTTGGCATGATTTTGCAGCGGCTGGTACCGGTTGTTCCTTTCCATGTTTAGCGCTTCCTTCAGGAGCTCTTTTAGGGCAGGCCTGGTGGTGACAAAATCTCTCAGCATTTGCTTGTCTATAAAGTATTTTATTTCTCCTTCACTTATGAAGCTTAGTTTGGCTGGATATGAAATTCTGGGTTGAAAATCCTTTTCTTTAAGAATGTTGAATATTGGCCCCCACTCTCTTCTGGCTTGTAGGGTTTCTGCCGAGAGATCCGCTGTTAGTCTGATGGGCTTCCCTTTGAGGGTAACCCGACCTTTCTCTCTGGCTGCCCTTAACATTTTTTCCTTCATTTCAACTTTGGTGAATCTGACAATTATGTGTCTTGGAGTTGCTCTTCTCGAGGAGTATCTTTGTGGCGTTCTCTGTATTTCCTGAATCTGAACGTTGGCCTGCCTTGCTAGATTGGGGAAGTTCTCCTGGATAATATCCTGCAGAGTGTTTTCCAACTTGGTTCCATTCTCCACATCACTTTCAGGTACACCAATCAGACGTAGATTTGGTCTTTTCACATAGTCCCATATTTCTTGGAGGCTTTGCTCATTTCTTTTTATTCTTTTTTCTCTAAACTTCCCTTCTCGCTTCATTTCATTCATTTCATCTTCCATTGCTGATACCCTTTCTTCCAGTTGATCGCATCGGCTCCTGAGGCTTCTGCATTCTTCACGTAGTTCTCGAGCCTTGGTTTTCAGCTCCATCAGCTCCTTTAAGCACTTCTCTGTATTGGTTATTCTAGTTATACATTCTTCTAAATTTTTTTCAAAGTTTCCAACTTCTTTGCCTTTGGTTTGAATGTCCTCCCGTAGTTCAGAGTAATTTGATCGTCTGAAGCCTTCTTCTCTCAGCTCGTGAAAATCATTCTCCATCCAGCTTTGTTCCATTGCTGGTGAGGAACTGCGTTCCTTTGGAGGAGGAGAGGCGCTCTGCGTTTTAGAGTTTCCAGTTTTTCTGTTCTGTTTTTTCCCCATCTTTGTGGTTTTATCTACTTTTGGTCTTTGATGATGGTGATGTACAGATAGGTTTTCGGTGTAGATGTCCTTTCTGGTTGTTAGTTTTCCTTCTAACAGACAGGACCCTCAGCTGCAGGTCTGTTGGAATACCCTGCCGTGTGAGGTGTCAGTGTGCCCCTGCTGGGGGGTGCCTCCCAGTTAGGCTGCTCGGGGGTCAGGGGTCAGGGACCCACTTGAGGAGGCAGTCTGCCCGTTCTCAGATCTCCAGCTGCGTGCTGGGAGAACCACTGCTCTCTTCAAAGCTGTCAGACAGGGACACTTAAGTCTGCAGAGGTTACTGCTGTCTTTTTGTTTGTCTGTGCCCTGCCCCCAGAGGTGGAGCCTACAGAGGCAGGCAGGCCTCCTTGAGCTGTGGTGGGCTCCACCCAGTTGGAGCTTCCCCGCTGCTTTGTTTACCTAAGCAAGCCTGGGCAATGGTGGGCGCCCCTCCCCCAGCCTCGTTGCCGCCTTGCAGTTTGATCTCAGACTGCTGTGCTAGCAATCAGCGAGATTCCGTGGGCGTAGGACCCTCTGAGCCAGGTGTGGGATATAGTCTCGTGGTGCGCCGTTTTTTAAGCCGGTCTGAAAAGCGCAATATTCGGGTGGGAGTGACCCAATTTTCCAGGTGCGTCCATCACCCCTTTCTTTGACTCGGAAAGGGAACTCCCTGACCCCTTGCGCTTCCCAGGTGAGGCAATGCCTCGCCCTGCTTCGGCTCGCGCACGGTGCGCGCACACACTGGCCTGCGCCCACTGTCTGGCACTCCCTAGTGAGATGAACCCGGTACCTCAGATGGAAATGCAGAAATCACCCGTCTTCTGCGTCGCTCACGCTGGGAGCTGTAGACCAGAGCTGTTCCTATTCGGCCATCTTGGCTCCTCCCCAGAGATTCTTAATTTTGGCATTATTGACATTTTTGGTTGAACAAGTTTTTGTGGGGGAGAAGGATACTGTTTTTTGCCTTGTAGGATGTTAGCAACAGTTCTGGCCTCTCCCCATTAGATGCCAGTATTTCTGTCCCCCACCCCCTAGCTGTGACAGTCATAAAATGTCCAGACATTGACAAATATCTTCTGGAAGGCAAAAATACCCCTGAATGAGAACAACTGCTCTAGACAGACAATTTTGGTCAATGTGGAATGGGCAATGATTAGAGATTTCTTCAGGCCTTCTCTTAAAAGCATACTGCAAAAGGAAATAGGGAGTCTACCTATTTGCAGAGTTAGTCTTGCAGGAACAATCAGAGCATCAGAGATTTGAGCTGAAAATTACATGGCTCACTAGGCAAAATCCTTCATTATACAGCTCAATAAAGTCAAATCTCAGAGGTGTTCAGACTTGCCTAAGTTTATACAGCTACCAGCAGCAGGACGAAACCAACCTGTTCTGACTCTCTTTGGGTTCTTCCCATCATACTTCACTGCTTCTGGATAAAGGAGGCATTGATATTGACAGCACAGTGCTTAGAACTATGACCTTCACTGTTTTCCTTGGGTAACCATTTTGATAAACGCCACTTACACCAGTTTCCATGATTTAGTCAACTGCCAAATGATGCCAGGTGGACCTCCTGCCACTGCAATTCTCTCCACTCCATTGAGCACACTTTCAGCGCGTGCTCTCCATTTCTTGTCACTCCAATAACCAGGACATGATTTATATTTTTCTCGAAAAGTGGCTAAGTGAAAGCTAACTT
Source organism: Homo sapiens (assembly GCF_000001405.40). Classification (NCBI taxonomy): domain Eukaryota; kingdom Metazoa; phylum Chordata; class Mammalia; order Primates; family Hominidae; genus Homo; species Homo sapiens. Next base: position 58,913,877 of record NC_000008.11, on the reverse strand, counting down.
TGAGCAAAACTCAGTGATTTTTGAATTTTAATGTAAATAAATCCAAATTGTTCTTTTTTTCAAGCATCTAAAAATCCGGCAATAAATATTTTTTAGACTTTTACATAGAGCTTTATAAAACATTCTTATACTTCCAAGTATTGGTAAGAAAAGAGTAATATGGCATTTTTATTAAGCATCTACTAGCTTCAAGGCATAATGCTACTCCTGTAAAAAAATAAAAAATTTTATGAAACAGACACTAAGGAAGTGATATATAAATAAATCAAACTAAAGCAATTGTTAGAAGGTGACTTTACCACGACCCCACAGGTGAAGCACCAAGAGAATGAAGAAAAGGAAAAGAGAAAATGGAAAACAAGCATTCATCAAGAGCACATTCTGCCAGGCAGCAGGCTAAGTGCTGTACGAACACTGTCTTGTAGTCCTAAGATTTGAAGGGGTATCACTTCCCACATTTACAGAAAATTGCAGTGAAAACAGTGGAAGTGAAGGCATGCCAAAAGGGAAGGAAAACAAAGATAAAATTTTCAATTTTATTTTATTTTTATTTATTTGTTTAGAGACTGTGTCTTTCTCTGTCACCCAGGCTGGAGTGCAGTGGTGCAATCATAGCTCACTGCAGCCCCAAACTCCTGGCCTCAAGTGATCCTCCCACATCAGCCTCCCAAGGAGCTGGGACTACAGGCATGAGCCACCAAATATTTCAACTTCATTACATCATGAAATGGGTGAAGGGGAGAAGTTGTATATAAGGTGGGAGTAGAGAGCCAAATCTCACCAAACATTCATTCAATGGATATGAATGAAAGAATAAACATTCGATTGGGGCCAGTTCGTAGAGAACCTTGAGTGTGAAGCCAAGACATTTGAACTTCATTTGTTAGTAAGGACAGTGGAAAATTTGTCATCAATCAAAGGAGACATGATCAGAGTTGTACAACTTGTCATTTCTCTCCTAAGTCACTCTGTGGATATACAGGTAGAACACTCTGCTGTAAGATTAAAGCATGACTCAAGTATGTTGGGAAGGCCAGAAGGTTAGCATTGTCATCATGCTCATGAAGAGATAGGAGAGCATGTGTTTGTTTGTTACAGATAAGATCTTGGCAATGTAGTCAGAGAGAAGTGATGTATTCCCATGCCATGTGCACCACTGGGTCTAGAAAGGTGAGTTCACTCCTGAGCCGTGGGGTTTCTCAAAGCGCAGCCCACAGAGGGGCAGCATCAGCATCATGTGGAAACTTGTTAAAAAGATAAATTCTTAGGTCCTATCCCAGACCTTTTCAATCAGAAATTCTGGTTGTTGGGACCCCCAGTTGATTCTGTCACATACTCAGGTTTGAGAGCTGCTGTTCTAAAGTAACTTAATGTGAAACAAATATCTGCTCTTTTTCCCCAGATGGAAAAAAGAAAATTTAGTCAGCCGGCCCTTTGAAAAATAGAAAGAGAAAAATGTAACCATTGCCATAGTAAACCCAGACAAAGAATCATGCGCAGAGTTTGAACTAAGCTTAGTTTAGGATAAAACCTAATCATGGCTAGTAAAATGAATTGAATTGGGTCTTCAGTTACCTTAGTGTATTTCCTTATGCCTGTCAGAGGGCAAAATATCCTATCTGAAAACCTGATTTAAATCCATAAAAGGAGTAAATTAAAGTAAATTGTACTTCTTTGATTTCAAAATGTGAATTCATTAAATTTAAGAAAAATTATGATGAGACCTGTGGAGATAATAGGATAAAGTTCTATAACCAGAGGAATTACAATAAAACCAAAGTCCATTTCAGTGGTACTCTCTGAAACACCAAAACTCCATTTTCATTTTAGCCGAAGGCTGGGGTGGAGCCGGGGGAGCTGCATTGAAAAGTATTTGGGCCGGGCACGGTGGCTCACGCCTGTAATCCCAGCACTTTGGGAGGCCGAGGTAGGCAGATCTCCTGAGGTTAGGAGTTCGAGACCAGCCTGACCAACATGGAGAAACCCCGTCTCCACTAAAAATACAAAAGTCGCTGGGCATGGTAGCATGCACCTGTAATCCCAGCTACTTGGAAGACTGAGGCAGAGAATCACTGGAACCCAGGAGGCAGAGGTTGCAGTGAGCCAAGATTGCACCATTGCACTCCAGCCTGGGCAACAAAAGTGAAACTCCGTTTAAAAAAAAGAAAAAAAAAGAAAAGTTTTGAACTTGAGTCTTATGTGTTTTTTTCTGCTCAGAGATGCCTTGATCATCTTCCACTGCAGTTCGGAATAATCAGCTTCAGTTCAGCCATGTCAGCATTTAGTCTATTCTGAACAACACCTAACTATCAATGAAGACTTACCTATGTAAGATAGAATACTTTATGAAATTGTGCATTTTCTGAATTTAATCCTTACATTATTAAAAATAGTATTAGCGAGAAATACATATGTATTAGATATACAGTATATGCATATATACATACATATACATATAACAATAAGAAATAGTATGGAATTGGAATAAAGTTTGGGGTAAAACTAGATATTTCCAATTATATGTAGATATTTTCATTTTGCTTCAAGTAGTGCCATTGAAGTATCTAGACATTTCTAACAATCTCTCCAGGTCCAAGGTATTAAATTAAATAACTACACTCGTCCCAAACTGAGAGTGACTCATTTGAACAGCTCCTGTTCAACACTTTCAAAGGGAACTGCTTAAAATGGGTCATCCTGTATTAAACCATGAAATAAACTCCCAAGGGGATTTGGAAGACATCCAAGGGGTTGTGTAATTTGACAGTGAAAAGGGAAAAGACTGCAAAGTACACTAGAGGAAGGAAAGCTTCTCCGAAGGAAAAAAAAAGAGAGAACTAAGAAATATTTTACCAAGCAATAATTTAAATCCTATATTTAAATTAAATGCCTAATTTAAATATAGGAATAACTTTAGGAAAGGAAGTATCTTTGGTTATCCGAGGTGCATGTTCTGTAGATGCTCAGATCTCTAGCCTCATTTGACCATACTCCTTTGCAACTATTCTTTGAATCTCCTTGATAAATACCAGTGATAGCTCCATACTAGAGCAAAGGGCCAGGATAGGGGACTCAGACCACTGAAATAGAGGAATACAAATAAGTCTACTATGACTTATTTCTTTGCGCCTATTTCTTTGTGCCTTGGAGAGAGTTTACAAGACTATGCTACTAAGGAAACAGGCTCTCTAAAAGGTGCTTGATAAATACATTTTGATAAATCAAATCATACTTTTTAATTCACTTACTTTAAACTTTCAAAACTGTATTCCAGAGAAAGAAAAAATTCCCAAATAATAAAATTCATATTGTCACAACATGCCCCAACAAAATATGAGCCACCTGCTAGACATGGGAATATATCCATTGCATACATGGCCGGTTGAACATTGAAACTTCATGGTATTTCTGTTCACACAGGATCCATTAACCATCTACCCACTCTTTGACAGGTTGCCCTTAAACTTTTGAACTCCAATAGTTCCCAAAGTTTTTACATTCTAATTTCAAAAATCTGTCACATTTTTCCAACCTGACAATGGTTGAACTTTCAAGATTCATTGGTTTAAAAAAAAATGCGGAAAATCCAAAGTAGTTGGTAATGCTATTAAATCTATTTGGATTGTATGAATCTCAATAATATTTGTGTAGGCTTGAAAAACATTTGTCAAATACAACTATATATTTTTACGATTTGCATATGGATTCCTAGACTATTGCAATAACTTCAAAAGTTCCTGATTCAAATTTGTGTATTACTGTACCAATGCATGGCACAATTAGGGCCATTTAAGATGATGCCAAATTGGTCTCTGTGGCTGGGGTCAATTTTCCCCACCTCCTTTACTATATTATGTGGTAGAAACATGATCTGCTCCCTGATGGGCATTTTGGAAACTCAAGATTCAAAAGAGAGTTAAGGCTGGGCACAGTGGCTCACACCTGTAATCCCAGCACTTTGGGAGGCCAAGGCAGGCAGATCACCTGAGGTCAGGAGTTCGAGACCAGCCTGGCCAACATGATCAAACCCTGTCTCTACCAAAAATACAAAAATTAGCTGGGTGTAGTGATGGGCACCTGTAATCCTAGCTACTCAGGAGGCTGAGGCAGGAGAATCGCTTGAACCCAGGAGGTGGAGGTTGCAGTGAGCCAAGATCATGCCACTGCACTCCAGCCTGGATGACAGAGTGAGACTTCCTCTCAAAAAAAAAAAAAAAGAGAGAGAGAGAATTAAGAGACATATTCAGTGCTTCTCAAACATTAAATTTTTGTAAATCACTGGAATCTTATTAAAAATGTAGATGCTGATTTGGCAAGTCTGAAATCAGGTGTGGGAGGTTAGGCCTAGGTTACTGGTACAGAATTAACTTTTTTTTTGTAAATGGTTGCTTTTCAAATTTTAATGTCCATACAAATCACCAAGTGATCTTGTTTAAATGCATATTCTGATTCAGCATGTACAGGATGGGGGCTGAGATTCTGTATTTTTATTTATTTATTTGTTTTTAATTTAATTTCATTTAATTTTAAGTTCTGGTATACATGTGCAGGACGTGCAGGCCTGTTACATAGGTAACTGTGTGCTATGGTGGTTTGCTGCACCTATCAACCCATCACCTAGGTATTGCAGGATCCACATTTTGAATAGCAAGAAGACTTGTGTTGTCAAACCTGAGTGCTCATCAGAAGGCAAAATGCCCTGGGCTCCACCTCAATGATATTGGGTCTAACTGTTTCAGGGTGGGGCCCAAAGATTAGTATTTTCAAAAAATTCCCTAGGTAATTCTAATGTGTGACTAGAGTTGAAAACCATGAAGCTACAGTGTTTCTGTGTTCTCTGAAAGTTCACTAATCCCCAAACCCACTAGTTCCTACAAAGGGAAGATAGCCAATATCATCCCATTAATGAGAAACTCTAGAAAACAAAATGATTAAAACAAGAGAAAAAGCTGTAGGTAGTTTTCAACTTCATATAAGAAAATACTTTGTATAAAGTAGAGCTGACCATGCCTTAAGCAGGCTGCATTAGACTCAATAAATTTTTGTCCCTAGAGACAGATTGAGACCAGAGAACTCTTTGTCAGAAATAGATAAGGTGTTCTGATTAATTTATTCAGTAAATATATATTGTCTTGTGTGTTCCAGGGGCTAAGCTAGACATTGGCTCTTGTGATAATCAATGAATAAATACTCAATGGTCCTTGCCTTTAATATCAGATAAGGAGACACAAAAGTATTGAAACATGTTATGATCATTGCTTTGGAGGAGGGATAAACAAATTGCTTAAGAAACATAGAAGAAGTTGCTCATGAATCAGCCAGCAGTATTCAAGAATGCCTTTCAAGAGACTTTCAAATCTGAGGTTTGTAGAATTTGGAAGAGTAAAACCCAGAGAAACATGAAGGGCCAGCTTTCAAGGCATGGGGAACAGCGTGGCTGGAAAAAGGCACAGAGGTAAGAACAGCAGGTTTGGGAGATGAGAGGTGAGAAGGCATCAGGTGCATGACAGGAAAGGCGTTCAGACAGTTGGGCACATGTACCATCCTAAAGTGCCTGTGTGCCTTGTTTAGATTGTGTGGGCTGGGTTACGTGTAAAAGGTTAAAATGCTGACGTCCAGATTCCCCATCTGTGCTATTACTGTACAGTTCTATGATGAAGGATTTTAGATCACAAAATTGTCTCACCTTTAACAAATCACAATTGATTTGATTACCTCCCAGAGGTAGACATTTGCATTGAGGGGAAAAACACACACTGGGGGCCTATGGCGGGGGCTCTGGGAAAGGCAGAGAGAGAGCATCAGGAAGAATAGCTAATGTATGCTGGGCTTCATACCAAGGCGAAGGGTTGATTTGTGCAGCAACCACTATAGCACATGTTTACCTATGTAACAAACCTGCACATCCTGCACACGTACACCGAAACTTAAGATAAAAGTTGACGGAAAAAAGTTTGGATCTTTCTATATATTTGAAGATATCTAGCACAAAACCCAATGAATTGAGTCCAGATTACTTGCCTCATATAGGCTTTCTGTACAAGAAACTGAGCATCTAGTTTGTGCCCTCGAGGAATTGCCACTAGTTTTATTCTAAGTTGGCATTAATTAAACCAACTTGAAATAATAGTCTAATGGTCTATGAGACAGCCTCACTGATACTGGACTAGGAGGGCGGATGTGGGGTCCAATTCTGCCTCTGATCCTAAAAAATTGTATGTGCCTTCATGCTTGAAAACAACATTCCTGGTGCTTCTTTTTAAGCTAATTCACTTTTTTTTTTGAGACAGGCTCTTCCTCTGTCGCACAGGCTGGAGTGCAATGGTGTGATCTCAGCTCACTGCAACCTCCGCCTCTTGGGTTCAAGCAATTCTCCTGACTTAGCCTCCTCAGTAGCTGAGATTACACGTGCACGCCATCACAGCTCAGTTAATTTTTGTATTTTTAGTAGAGATGAAGTTTCACCATGTTGGTCAGGCTGGTCTCAAACTCCTGACCTCAGGTGGTCTGCCTGAATCCTGTATTTTTAACTCCCAGAATGGGCAGAATAATAAGCATTATAATCCATAAACATCTCAGTACAAATATATAGACCAAATTATCAAGTCCAATGGACCCTCAAAGGACAAGACACATTTGATGTACATCCTGTGTTTGGGACATTTCCAGGGGACCTACTTCAGTATGGATGACCCCAATAAGAATGGAGCTATCAAGTGCCTTAGATGTAGGTGGCAAGGGAAATACAGGAGGGATGGAGAAGTCGGAGAAACCTTAGAGAAATCAATCGACTGATCTTTTCCCTCCTGGGTTCTAGCAGCTTGGTCCCACTTCAATCTGTAGAGGATTCCTAAGCCTTGAATGTCAGAATATAATTATGAAAAGAGATTTAGACTTTCAGTGCTACAGGCTGAAGGAATTTTATGACATCCAAGACAATCAGAAACAGTGTTGCCAGAACAGCCAAAAACTGTTGGTTTTATTCATAATCTCATGCCAGGAGAGAGAGGGACATAAGCAAATATTTTTATATTTTGAAAGGGATGTTTTATTTTATAACATCTTGAAGGAAAGAAAGCAAACAAGCCTGGCTAATGCCTTTTTAAAAGAGAATATGTTTTTCCTAGTTAACGACAAAGATTTCACTGAGATGGAGAAAAAAAATGTAGCGTTTATAAAAATGTTGATGTAGATATAATTAGATCCATTTTAGGACCAAAAGTTTTATGCAGAAACTGACAGAAGGATACACAATAATTATAGTTTCCTGACAAGCTGAATAGAGTTTTCTTTTTTTATCTTATGGTTTTAAAAAACCAAACTGTAAATAAATATGCAGTTTGACAGATTGTAATTGCGATCAGCAAGGCGTCTTTTCATTTAATCAGATGGTGTTATTAAAATGGGGTTACAATTAAACATTTTATAATGTGACGTAGAACTCCATTAAAATTCTTCAGCAAACAGCAATTTACATCTGATGCTTCAGCATCCCTTTTCTATTTGCAGAAATGTTATTGGCTGTGACCTTCCACTGGACGGGTCTCTTTTTATTTTTTATTTTTTCTTCTTACTTTGATAAATGATATTGAACAGCCACTGTCTTTTTCTTCTTGCACAACTAAGATACTGTTTTTGCACATTCTCGACTTGTGGCCCTTATAGTAGACATGCTGGACCAAACACAGTGTTTGAAAAAAGCATGTTTACTTGACAGGAAATTCATTTTTCTCTGTTTATATAATAGTCATCCCCATCAACTTCAAATTAATATTGAACTTACAGTTAAATTTGTTTCAGGGAAAGATTAATAGGAAGCTTTTGCAAAGTGTAAATATCAGTTAATATTTTATATTCCTAGAAAAGTACATCCTTAAACAAAGAATGAAAAGGTGTGAAATTGAATTTGACAGTAATTAAAAGGAAAGTGGTCTCACAATGCTGGCAGGGTGAAATTATGAGATGCTTTACTGTTCTTGCTCAGAATCTTTGGCACGATTGTGACAATGCATCGCCGATCTTCATAAAGAACATTCAGAAATGTGACTAAACATTGCCATAGGATCAAAGTCGAATGATTGGATAATGAAACATAATGGAAAAGGGAATCCAAATTGTAACTCTACACTTCCGTCAGTATAAAGGAATAATGCAAGCATGGCGCACGTTGTGAACTCGACTGTGCAATTACTGAAAATCTATCCCCATACAAAGCATAAGGAGAAGTTGAATTGATTTATAGCACAAAAAGTAAATTCAGCAAAGCCTATGGGAGGACTTTTCGGCCTAGTGTTGACCAAAAATTCCCTACCTGTACATCTTATCCAGCCAAGGAGACAGTTTACTGGTAATGACCATGGTCACTCTCTGACAGCATAAGTGTTGGAAGTATTTTCCATTTCCAAAACAAAGCAAACTCTAGGAAACTATAATTAAAGATTTTTTTCCAAAGGCCACCTTTCAAGTTAGAAAATGTTCAGGTGGTAAACATTGCCTGTCAAAGTAAATAGGATCTTTCAAGGAGAAAATATTTAGGAAAGTAGTCATTTGGTTAATGAATATAATTGTTCCTCTGTGGGAGTGAAATAAATTAATTTCATATTATTCAAGGGCCAATGATCTACTTTTGTATAGTATAGATATGTTGGGCCAGGCACGGTGGCTCACACCTGTAATCCCAGCACTTTTGGAGGCCAAAGCGGGTAGATCATGAGGGCAAGAGATTGGGACCATCCTCGCCAACATGGTAAAACCCCGTCTCTACTAAAAATACCAAAATTAGCTGGGCGTGGTGGCGCGCGCCTGTAGTCCCAGCTACTCAGGAGGCTGAGGCGGGAGAATCACTTGAACCTGGGAGGTGGAGCTTGCAGTGAGCCAAGATCGTACCACTCTACAGATCGTGCCATTCTACAGAGGGGGAAGAGCCCCAGTACTGGAAAGTTAAATGGTTATACAGCCAATTCGTGGACAAACAAGAATGAGAACAAGATGCATTCCCTGAGCCATGTTCTATTCCCTCTGCAGCGTGCTCTCCCCATACATTCAGATTTGGCTATTTTATTTTCATTCATCCATTCAATAAATATATTTTGAGCTCCTACTGTGTGGCAGTCATGTGGAAGTCATAGTGAGTTTGTTAAAGCTTTGATTATAATTCATTACCAACTAATTCCATGTGGGAAAAGAAAAAGTAGACAATGCAGTCATTACCATGGTCAGGCCCCTGCTGCTACTGCTTAAGAGTAAAAAACTAACTAAATAAAAGTGATTACTGGAGTATAGCTATTATCTCTGAGCCATTCAGGAATACAGGGTAGAGCTTGTCATGTTGGGTCAATAGAACACCAGTGAATGTCATTTTCCAGAGATTCCCAGAGCTCAACCACAGGTGGAAATGGTTCTCGAATCCCCATAGGCTGTGGAGGTAGAATAAAATAATAAATGTGAAAGCACCTCCTTTGTAATGTGGAAAGCCCTTAAACAATCTAACGACAAATATTTATTTTACCCCCACTGGAAACTAGGTTCTGTGCTTTAGTATCACATAGAAGCCATAAACGAACAAAAAAAAAAATATGTCGTCTACAATCACAGTGTTTACAGACAAGCAGGAAAGATGGTTATTAAACAAATATACAAAAAAGTCACACATTTCACAATGTAGAGGCATTTTGTAAATTTTTATTCCACTCTGAAGCATTCTGTGGGACCAGAATTTTAGTATCTTTCTTAGCAAAACCATTCAAATAAGTGTATTTGAACACTTTTCTCATTGGAATATACCATGAATCTTTTTAAAAAACATGATCTGAGCCTCATTTTCTAAACATCTAATCTTTCTTAATTGCTAAAGTAAGGTTTTGGTAGTACTTGTGTGGTTCATTTTAATAGTGTTTGCTCATCTAACCTCTACCAGGAATAAGATAATCCATTTTATTAGAAATGCATATATGGCACACAATAGCACAGTGGAAAGAACCCTGGGAGATCAGGCTGGGGTGCAGGGTTAAGAGTTCTGGATCTGATATTATATATTTCTGTAACTTTGGGCCATTCATTAATTAAATATCTCTAAGCCCACATAATAAGCCCTGGATATATGTTAACTCATTAGTAATTCAGTTTTCTCCCTCAAAGGAAGGATGCAAGACTAGGGGGATCCCTGAGGTCACCTCCTGTTCAAAAATTCTATATTTACCATGTACCCTCAATTCAGTGAGACTTTTAGTAGTGTAAATATTAGCCAGTATTCAAAAAGATCCCTTATTAAACTTGGAAAGCAAAGATGAATATTCCTGGAATTGATGGAACACCCAACTGAGTCCAATTCTAAATACCATTGGGGGCAAAAATGCAGCAGCTGTTTAGCAGTGCAGAGAAAAACTATATCTGAATTTTGGATTAGAAGTGAAAAATACCTTATCCAGTTGAAACTACACAGGGAATTTAAATAGGATATAATTACACAGTTGGAATTTGTCCAGAAGCTTTAGACTAACCCGCCTCCTTCTGCAAGAGCTACATTTACCCTGGGATTTTTAATGATGGCATATGATCAAGGCCCTCAATTTTAACAACCAACCTAAAACAACAGAGTCCACTACACATTTGTAATATCATAAACTCCCTTAACACCCATCTTAGAACATTTGCTTAACTGTGTTCAACACCACCAGTTCTTACAAAATCATGTCTTCTCTCCAGGGTCTGTGTTAATTCTGCAGTTCTTAATTTCTGTGATCAGTGCTTGAAATAGACCAAATGAATCCTATTTGCTCAGTTAGTGCTTTTTCAAAAAAGTTATGCTCCATTCGAAGACTTTTTTAATGGTAAAGAGTATTGTTTTTATTTAGGACAACTATTCTCATTTTCATGATTCAGGCTGGGCTGCCAGCCAAGATTTAGAGAGAGACAGAGGGTAGTACAAAGTCATTCTAAGGCTTTGTAATAGGGATGACATTTACCAAGAACTGGTAGAGCTGGCATTTTTCTAAACAAGTAGATACTGAGTAGAATTCATAGGAGTTCATGAAAAAAATTGCTAGATTTTCAAACGCTCACAAAGGATATTCAGCATTTTGTAAGGCATAGGGTGGAATGAGGAAGAAGCAAAGAACAACATATCATTGTGAAGTGGCAGGTGTAGTTCAATCAGCTTTTGAAAGAAACATGAATTTAAATAATCCAGGTGACCAGAAACAGAAAGATTTATATCCCATTTTTGGCAAAATGACATGATCAACTAACTCATTTTTCCAGAAAACTTATAAGATTCATCTTTATTATAAAAGTTCCATGATGCCAAATGCAAAGTAGGCAGTACCTAAGTTCTAGATTTTGAGATGCCTCCAGGTTTGACATTATTTTCTGAGCCTGGATTTGAGTCTCAAATGAGGTGCTTCCCTTGCCAGCACTCAATTTCCAGAGATTTTGATAGGTCTTTGTGAGCCTAATCATTCTCCTATAGGACCCCCCGTCCTGCATCTGGCACCGATTTAGAACTGCTGACTTGGATCACCATGCAGATGATGGATTGAATTGTTCATTTTTCATTCATGCACAGAGATAGAGGCATTGTTCTTCTTCAGTTCAGAAATTGATGGTGACCAGTAAGTAAATGCAAGAGTTAAATGTGATTTCTGTCAGATAAAGGCTGTAACTTTTGCATTGAAAGGAATATACACACCAAGTTAAGGAAAAAGGGGGAAGAAAAGCATACTCGTAATGATAGTTTCCCTAATTTGAAATAACAGATTTATATTTTAATGCACTGAGATAAATATAGAAATATTTATAAAATATGGAGATATGTTACCAGAATCAAGAAAATGAAAATAATGCTTAAATTAAACCAGAAATAGTGTGCTATACAATAAATAATACTATGTTAATATACAACACCTTTCCCATTGGACAACAATGTGGAAGATATCCATGGTGCATTCCCAATCTTATTCTATAAAACTTGGACACACGAATGTCACTACTATACCTATACCTTTTTGTAAAGTCTGTCCAGGCTACTTTAAAGCTTGCAGTGTATTCTCTCTATTGTATTTTTACATTTCAACTTGTATGTACCACATATTTATAAACCATCCTGATCTAGCTTGAACCAGCTTGATTACTTTTGATTTGTGCTGAAGATTTCTTCATTCTTACTGGAAATTTCAAGACATTTTACTCTAAACCTATTCTTTCTTTCTTTAGATTTATTTACTACCTTTAGAAGTAGAGAAGTCCAATTTCAATCATGTTTGAAATAACTCATTTTAGACAAGTACGTGCTGCTCTGCTTACAAAACATATATGAGTGGAATATGCAATTACTACAACTCAGTTTCCTGCCACAGAAACATTTCAGCAATATAGCATTACAGAAATAGAATGACATGCATAATGAAAGATTTCAAGATTCACCCAAGGCATTTATTCTCTTCACCTTAATGTTCTCAGCAGTAGCAGAGTATCCATTAAAAGGTACTATGAATTATGGTTGCCTAGCAACTGGAAGGAGCTTGTAACAGCACCAAAGAATGAAATGGCTGGTTGATAAAATGAATTTTCTCTGAGCATTAGCCTGTTGAAACTGCCTTTTCTTGTGGAACATAAAGTGCATTTATTTGTCTCATGCATTTTTTATTAGAAAATTATTTGAGTTCCATGGACTTGAATCATTTTGCTACAGGAGATATTTGATTTTAATGTGTTGTACTAAAATAAGTAATAAAAGACACTTTATTCAAAGCAAAGTCACCAAACAATCCTATGTTGATTTTTGAAGGAAGAAATAAAATATTTGATAAGCTACTCTGTTACTGGTTTCTAATTAAGAATGGCCTTAGATAGAATTCAAAATTTGACTGATGCTGTCCAAGGTATAGGGTTAAAATAGTGGATTCTTTTTAGTTATATGAACTGTAGAAGCATTCTGTTGACAATGAAATGCAAGAGAAGAATGGATTTTAAAAATCTTACTCTATTTGTAAAAATTCATTTCAACGAAGGTCTCAGTGTTTACAAAAAAAACCTCTACCAACTATACATGATCTTTATTTTATCTTAATTTTATTCTTCTAAACATCTTCATCTTAGTATGCTGCCCATTTGGAGAAATACATATATTTCACTGTCATTCCTAGACTTTCTTTATTTGCAGTGATTAAATTATGGCCTATATAGTCTTGCCTTGCAGGTCCCTTGCCCTAAGAAATACACTCACATGACATGAATAGATGGTGTCACCAGCTACTGAAAGTACATTTTTGAAATTGTCATATTGTATGAGCATTTTTTCAATTTAAAGTAAATCAAATCTTCTGTGTAGGTTCATAGAAACTAAACAACCAAACCTTGAAAAATTAGTTAAAAACAGCTTAAAGTAGAAATGATTAAAATGCTAGTTGATGTATTCAGTTATGATTTTTTTTGGCTACTCATCTTCTACACTTCGATATTATTATATAGATGTCTAGAATGTTTCATATGTATGTTTTTACCTTGCTGTACAAAATAAGGTATTATATGTATTCATCTACTTGTGTGTATAGAGGTTGTATTATATAAATGCCAGGCATACATTTTAAAAAGCCATTTTGTATAATATTTTGATTATGAATGATTCATTTTCAAAATAACATATGCTGTGGTTGAAAAAAATAGTTATGTTGGGCCACTGTTTATTCCACTGGGTGAATGGGAGATACTTCTTTGTTCATAAGTAAATATTTGGTTCAAGCCTGGGCCAGGACAAGTTAGTTCAAAGAGGAAGGGTCAAATGGGAATGTTATTGATCACTGCAAATAGAAGAACTTCATACAGAATAATTACCCATCTAGATAGCAACAAAAGGACCATCTCCTGAAATGATAATCTTGGCACTATCTTAGAGTCCAACTAAAAAAAAAAAGCATTGAAAATATATTTGTTGAAACAGATCAAAATAGGCAAACAGTTTTGTAATTTCAGCTAATAACATTCACTCATGTGTTTTCCCTGGAGTGTGAATTTTCCAGCTGATAGCCTCAGATCCTCACTTCAGTATGGATATTTAGCTTTTCTCATATTATTCCTTTAACTACAGTTAGAATAGTGGTTCATGTTGAATATCCCTAATCTGAAAATCCGGAATCCAAAATGTTCCAGGAGCATTTCCTTTGAGCGTTGTTTCAGCACTCAAAAAGTTTCAGATTTCAGAGCATTTTGGATTCCAGCTTTTCTGACTAGGGTTGCCGAACCTGGTAAGTATAATGCAAATATTCCAAAATTCAAAAAAAAATGTCAGAAATCTGAAACACTTCTGGTCACCAATATTTTGGACCAGAAATAATCTACCTGTATTTCTGTCTTTGTTAATTCCATAGTTGACCCAGCTTTCTCATTTCAAGGTGGAGAAGTTCTCATGTGAGCACTCTATCACAACTGTGTGAGAGACTCCAATATAGTTTTGCTTGAGCAAGTCTCAAAGCACTTATCAAAAGAGAGAGAATTTATATCTTTTAAAAAGACTGGTGTCTAAAGCACAGATTTTGGCCAAAAATTGAAAAATGAGAGTGTCTATCTGTATTGATTATTAGCACTTTTCCTAAAATAGTTGTCTGCAAGGGCTAATTTTCCCTGCTAAAGAATAAGAAGTTTATACAATTGCTAGCCAGTTAGTAGAAAGCGGGAAAGTATAGCTGAGAAATGATTATGTTAGCCTGTACCTTACAGATCTTTACCACTTACAAAGAACTTTCATGTACATGATCGTGTTAGATTTTTACAACCACTCTGTCCTATAAGTAGGCCTAGGAGCTACCATTAAAGAAGGCAGAATTTATTGGAAAGCATCCTGGATCTGGAGTAATGAGACCAGGGCAGGGCTGCACCCTGATTATGCCACCTCAGCCAAGGTACTGGACCTCTCAGAGCCTTGATTTCCTTTAAAGGGAATGATATTGCCTACCTCAGAGAGTAAACTACAAGATTACATTTGTACAAACACCTCCGTTTAATAGATGCTTAATACATAAGAATAGAAATAGTCAATTTGCAACGTGGAGCCTTGGAGATACAACTGATTTCCCAAGGTCAAGACACAGAAGGGGTTGACCTCCTCTGAATCTTAGTCAGTGTCCTCGTGGGATTCACCCCTACAGTTTCCATTGCAAAGGAAGCATGCAACTCTCTTCATCTGAGAAGAAACTGGGTTGGGAAGAAAACGGACAACTTGGACTCAAGCAAAAGTGTGAGCACAAATACTCTGTCATTCACTGGTTTGGGCCCAAATGCTTCCTGTATCCCCTGTGCCAAAAACCCTGCTCTTGGGCCCACTGCTTATAGTTCCTGAAGCTTTTTGGCATGATGCTCTGCTACCAGATCACAACTTCCTCAAACTGAGAAACAGTATGAGTTGCTTCCCTAAACCGGATGTTTTGTAGAACAAATTTTGCTTTGATCTTTAATGCATTAGCAGTTACGTTACTAAAGTTAATTATAACCTATTGGGACTAAAATATGTAGTTTTTGAGCACAACGAGAGATAAAAGCTGTATATGAATAATCAAACATATGAATAGATCAAACATTAATCACTGTTAATATTTTGCGAAGGTGTAAATTGAAATTCCAGAGAGAGCTTGACTGATTTGATTAACAATGAGTTTAATGCTGCAGAATCCCACTTGAACATAAAACTGTTATACTCATAATAATCCTATGTGGCTATTGAGGGAGCCAAATTGAAAACTCTTTCTGATATTTGCATAGAATTATGAGATATATCCTGTATGTGTTTACCATGTGCTTACCAGATAAAGGATTTTTAATGGAGAAAGGTTCCTGAAAATATTTTTATGTTTGTATCAAATTTATTCTTAAAATGTTATGATATTGCTATAGTTTAGAACCCAATTATTAGTTTATCTTGTGATTATAGGTAATCAGTATTAAATTCAAGGTACATGTTTTCTTTTAACATGAAAAACTTTAATTAAAAAATTTTTTTCCATAGACACAATCAAGAACTAGCCAATCTTTTGATGGATTGCCAAGTCACTAGTAGAATTAAAAAAAAAATGTAGAAATATCCAAGGTAAGAGGGCAAACAGGATTTATCATTCATGAAAATTACATTCACGGTTCAACAACAATTGTTACTGACTCATGTATGTAGGATGTGTTAAAAAAAAAAGACTTCCATTTAAATGAAATCCCACTTCTACAGCCATCTATGAAAAAGTGGCAGAATCTAACATTTTAGTCTTGGAATGACTATAGCCTCATGAATATTCCATCACTGACAGTTGCCAGGATCTTCAAATAAGCAACAACAGAAGGTCAAAAAGAAGCAGAGAACACATTACTGAGTTTTAGTTGATGTTGCAGTTTGATTTTGAGTGATAAATTTCTCTTTACAATGAGTTCCTGTCATGCCTGTGGTTGACATGAACTTGTGATACATGGATTATGCCCTCCTGGACGTGTCCTAAAAACACTATCTTCACAGGTTTCTGATTTTCTGACACGTTAATTTATTTTGTAGTATCCAGGAATTCTACATCCAAATTATTAAATTCTGCCATCCAGATAGAAAAGTTGTAGGACAGGTACATTGAATTTCACTTTAAAATGAAATAAAAATGTTTATAGAGTAGGGTGTGAGTGGTAATTGGAGAAAATGATGATCATCATCTGGGAAAGGCAGGGCATTTTTATATAGGTGAATTTGCTTATAGAACTTTCCATTGCTAGGAAGATATTTTATAATGCAAGGTGTAAATGCCCTTTTATTTCAAACCGTCAATGGTGATACTAGAAGGCAAATAAAATTAGGAATATTTTTATTATTATCTCCAGGGTTAATATTTTAAGAATTACACTCAGAGCTATAGTCTAGGAAGAAAAATGTAACAACCTGACAAATAAAAGACTAAAGAAATGTCTTATATGCCTTTATACTACTTAAGACAGAATGCTTATGTCTTATCCCTAACGTAGGAATATGTTACAGTAATAAATCTCAGCATTTCTTTGTGTATGAAGCAGAAGAGTGAGTAACTAAATAATGGGTATCTTGCCTATTGTGTGGCCCATGCAGGGTAATAGGACTAAACCCAGCACCTTGGATAGACTAAAGTACTGAAATGGCATTTCCTCCCTTAAGGTGAAAAGGATTTTTTGTTTTTATTTTATTTTATTTTATTTTATTTTATTTTATTTTTGAGATGGATTCTCGCTCTGTCACCAGACTGGAGTGCAGTAGCATGATCTCGGCTCACTGCAACCTCCGACTCCCTGGTTCAAGCGATTCCCCTGCTTCAGCCTCCCCAGTGGCTGGGATTATAGGCACATGCCACCATGCCCAGCCAATTTTTGTATTTTAGTAGAGACAGGGCTTCACCATATTGTCCAGGAGGGTCTCAGTCTCCTGACCTCATGATCTGCCCTCTTCAGCCATCCAAAGTGCTGGGATTACAGGCGTGAGCCACTGCACCGGGCCAGGATTTTTTTTAATGTTGTGCTAATATGGTATATTCTGATGGCCAGCTCAAGGAATGACACATTCATTACCTATTTCCAGGGGCTCAGAGGCAGAGCCATCCCCCTTTTATGTTGGGTGTGGGTGTGTTTTCCCCTCTTGCCGTATTGTCTGCGTCCTTATGCAGCCAGGGTTTTCCGCTTGAACCTCCATGTGGGCTGGCCATGGCCTGATTCGTCTGTCTGTGTCAGGACTGGAAGATTTTATCCCACTTTTTGACATAGCCAAACGTAGGAAGCAATGCAATTTGGTGAATCAAAGTTATGTGAACACTTGAATCTTACTAATACTGAAAAAAAGAATAAAAAGGAGAGAACTAAAAGTCTGATATTTATTAACTACTCCTTCAAGTCTCTTTTTGAAAGAATCTAGATGTGAAACAAATCCCTCTTTAATTACTTACAAGTCATCTGCTCTGGGCTGGGCTCTGCGCTGGAAGCTTTGTAGATGCAGTACAGTATTTAATCCACAGCATCCCCTCCCGAGGTAGGAACTATAACCTCCATTTTTGTAGACAGAGAAACTGAGCCTCAAGGGAATTAAATAAAACAAAAATTAAAACCCAGTCTGCCTCTCTGGTGGTCTTTCCAGAGCAGTCCCAAACAAAAGAATTTGCTGTGTTATGCAGAGAAAAATGGAGTTGTGGCATCTTCCAGCATAGGATAATTTCAGAACAGAAGCCTATGACGCCAACACAGAGGAAGCAGATCCACATAATTCTGAAGGTCAGACAAAATTCAGTCCTATCAGATTTTGGTTTAAAGTAAACACACAAAGAACCAAATGCTTTAACTGCAAGGCTTCATATCCAGTGAATTCACTGAATCACTAGCATACTATAGAACTTAGACCTCCAAAGTTTTTCCTCTTCTTCTGTACAGCTTTGTTTATGTTTGATTTTTGTATTCCTTTTAATACAATAGTTATACAAAAATGAGTAGGATAATAAATGTTTTATCTCATATATTTATACGTTTGCTTATATATAATTGTATTCATAAAGAACTACTATATAATCTTTTTATTTATACAGATAGACCCTCTAAATCTTTTTTAAACTTTTCCAAAGACTAACTCTACTTTAAAAATAGAAAAAAGTTTACTCAGCTAGAATTTAGTAAGACTCCAAGCAATCAAAACTCTATCTATCTATCTATCTATTTATTTTGGAGACAGAGTCTCACTATATCCCCCAGGCTGGAGTGCAGTGGTGCAATCTCCACTCAGTGCAACCTCCCCCTCCCCGGTTGAAGCGATTCCCCTGCCTCAGCCTCCTGAGTAGCTGGGATTACGGGTACCTGCCACCATGCCCAGCTAATTTTTGTATTTTTAGTAGAGACACGGTTTCCCCATATTGGCCAGGCTGGTCTCAAACTCCTGACCTCATGATCCCCCTGCCTCCGCCTCCCAAAGTGCTGGGATTACAGGCGTGAGTCACCGCCCCCAGCCTATTCATTTTTTGAGACAGAGTCTCACTTTGTCTCCCAGGCTGGAGTGCAGTGGCGCGATCTCGGCTCACTGCAACCTCCACCTCCTGGGTTCAAGCGATTCTTCTGCCTCAGCCTCCCGAGTATTTGGGATTACAGGCGCCAGCCACCAGGCCTGGCTAATTTTTTTATATTTTTAGTAGAGATGGGGTTTTACCATATTGGCTAGGCTGGTCTCGAACTGCTGACCTCAAGTGATCCACCCGCGTCGGCCTCCCAAAGTGCTGGGATTACAGGCTTGAGCCACTGCACCTGGCCCAGAACTCCAGAATAACCAGAATTGTTAATAATGCACATATTAGGAAAGACAACTGAATAGCAAACAAGCTAATATCAATGAGCCTTTTAAGAATACATCATTATATCAAAACTATTATTAATTTAGCTCTTTCTCCTATTCTTTTAACATCAATATCAATAAATAGAGGGCAAGCCCCACACATGAAGCCAGAACATCTATGTTTAAAGTTCAACTCAACTTCTTACTAACCATAGATGGCAATTAATTTCAAAGATCTTTTATTAATTCATCTACAAAGTGGAGGATAATAGAACCTTTCCCGCTGAGCTGTTTTGAGAACTAAACACCACAATGTTTGTGCAGTACCTGCACAGATTGCCGTAGCAGGGTGTGCAATCAGCAAAGATTTCCTGAATCCCAATCTGACCCATTGTCGCATGGCATGGCAACTTTTCAACTTTCAGAAAAACATTGAATTAAGGCCCTTGCACTATTATTTCAAAGCACACGAGTGCAATTGGATATGATTTTGAACACAGTTAAAAACAACAGAGGCATTCTTGGGAATCAAGTTTCCAATAAGCTAAAGGGCAATCCATTTTACTTGGAAACGGTTTTTATATTCAGTTAAAAAGTGATCTTTATTTTTAACTTACCTAACAATAATACATCTAGTTCATAGATGGAAGTGAATGCCTTCCTGTCTACTACTGAGGGAAGCTCTCATTTTCACCTGCTCACTAAGAAGCAAACATACTTTGAATTCGCCTCTTCATGCATTTACACTTCAATCTTCTTTTTAGCTTTCACGTTTCACCTTAAACAGTTTTAAAGTCCAGTCCAATGTTCAGTTGTATCTTGAGGGTGAAGTTTTGAAAGCTTTTGTAACTTTCTTCTATGTAAAGTCAACTTAGGTCTTAGGAAACACTTTGTTTGGTATTTGTGAGGGAAAGAAAACCCACCAAAGGCAGCTAAAGCCATTAGGAACTCCACATGCGAGAAGAGGTGCTGATGTGTTTTGTTAGAGAGCTACTAAATTAACTCTGCCAAAAATATAATAATTGCACTGAACTTATAACAAATTAATGACATGATTTACATAAACATGCACTGAGGACTTATGTGCTGTAGATTTCAAAATTATATTTTCAGTTTTGACAAGACTTTGAAAACACTATCACTAGATAATGTGGTGCATGTTACTCAGGGACCACTGCAGTGGTGAATATCATCTGGAAATAGGTAATATTTCACATGGGTAATAATTTCAGAAGATTATTATATAAAGATAAACAATGTCTTCGGAGAAAAGAAAGAAATATTATCTTCTTGCCACCTGAAGATATGAATAAAGTTGTTGAGAACTCCATTTTTCCCCAGAATTACAGGAGTATGTTTGTCTGTGTTTTGTGGGGGGGAGATTATGGATGTAATCTGGAGCAATTTGAACGGCAAATCATGATTCCCATGCAAAATTATAACTTTACAAAATTACTGTAGACACAAAGCAGTTACAGATTGCTGAGTTAAATGGCAATTGGAGCAAAATAAACCAATATAGTAGAGTAATATAAAGACAATTTATTTGCTCTTACACTTTTATTTGACCTGAAACATATGGTGTTGGACCAACAAATTCATCTGCTTCTAGTTACTTCTAAGACTTGGTAATTACACGGTTCTGTAGCATTTTATAATATTGTTGCCTGCATCTTTGTTATTTTAATATGTAATCCTCACAATTGCTTCTCCAACTCTTTTAAGTAATAGGGAGCTCCAGTTAAGTAAATTGGGGGAGCAGGTAGATGAAGTGACTTGCCCAAGGTCGTACAGAATTAATGCAGAAATGAAGCTAGAAATAGTGAGGTGCTGATTCCCAATAGAGTACATCTCCAAAGGCCACCTCGTGCAAGCAATACAGTCCATACATTTAACCTAGAAACTGACATGCACAGGCTGCATGTGACTCAACTTTACCCGGTATGTGTGATTTTACATATCTCTCAGTTAACTCAGTACTTGAAATCCTGTACGGGCAGTGTTCTTGTGGCCATCTGACACTTTTGAGGGAGCCCAAAGCCACATGCATTCTTCCTTTATCTGTTTTGGATACAATATTGGTAACATCCTTCATACAACTATAATCCAAATGGATTTTAATCTAAAATCAGGGCAGTTCAGGTTTATGTTTGCTCAGTTTAACTGTTACAGTACCCACTGGAAAAACTCAACTGACTAAAGCCACCAGGAAAGGCAGTTTTATTTTAAGTGGAGAAAAAAATGTCCCTACATGAATGATTTGGCTTCTCTCTCTCTCTCTCTTTCTTTCTCTCCTCACATCTGCCTCCTTTAAAACTTTGTACATCCTGGAATGGAATCCATCATTGTTTTTGCATTAAGGCATGCCATAAAATAAAGAAATGCTGAGAACCAAAATGTTATACAACAATGGCTGTAAGCATGTTTCTGTGATATGTAGAAAGTGGAGCAATTATAACAACAGTCAATTGTTGAAATTGCTGAAGAGCTTGATGATTAAGCTCTTCAGAAATGGTTTCTACCCAGGAATGGCAGAGTTTTTTTTTCCCTCTCACACAATATCAGTCTCATTGTCTAATTTCATCTGTAGCATGCTATGAATACGAATGCTTTAGAAAATGTACTAGGTAGTAGAAACCGGGTGATGCGAGTAGCTGACCAAAATGTGTAAATAAAAACATTAGAATATCATACTTCTCAGTGAGACACTGTTTGCTAGAAACACAGAGCCCAGGCTCTGCCACGGCAAAGAGTGCTAAAGCAGAAACAGCTACACTGCATCTAGGATGAATCTCACATGAGAAAGCAGAGTTGCTTCCTAAATTTAAAATCATGTTCAGATTCAAGCACTCCAGTCTCTCTAAGCGCTCAGCTTCTCAGTTCAACAAGGGAGCTTAACTTTCATTTCATGAAGAAATCAGAGTTATCTAACAGAAACTCTTTCAACTTTCCTTTTTCCCATCCTGAAGGGTCTCTGTTTTCACCTGTTCCCCTTACCTACATAGGCAGTCGGGTGGCGTGATTACAAGGGGAGGGTGGTACCTCCCTCCCCATACCACCACTGTTCACCCTTTGTGCTAGTCAGATGAGTTTGGAGTTTCTACAAATCTGCTTGCCTTGATTGTCTTAAAATTACACATCACATAGGGCTGAACACATAAAGCAACACAGGATGACATCTTGGTCCTTTGACTAGTCCTTCCCTTTGGCTTCTGTGGAAGAAAACTCCTCCCCTGCTCTTTATTTTCTTTTATTCCCTTTTTTCTTTTTCCTATTTAGATTAGCATGTCTAAATGTGTACTTGACCTTCTAATATGTCTCTGTATTTTAAATATTTTGTCTCTTGCTTTGGGTTGAATTCCTTCTACCTAAAAATGTGTTTAGGTCTTTTATTTTCTTAAAAGACAACTCAGCGCTGTTCCTAAAGATCGCTAGTGTCTCACGTATTTGCTCCATCTTTCCTCTCTTTATCACCCCATACTTCAAAGGTGGCCTGCCCTTTTCCTTCTTTGAATCCCTAGATACCATCAATTTGCTCATATAGAAAAAATGCAGGGAGGAGAGAGAGGAAGGGAGCACCTCAGAGATCAGTGTGCTTAAGTAATGAACATACCGATCTCTAAGATCCTGTTGGACTTGGCTGTGATTCTGGCTCTATGACATCTCACTGGCCCCACCTCATCTGCCAGTCTTAAGTGTGAACACCACCCAAGGTTCTGCATCCCCAGGATCTCAACCAGCCCCAGAGTTTCCATCACCCTATTTAGGGGACTGACACATCTATGTCACCCACACTACTCTCATTTTCAACCTCAAGTTCCATGACTTCAAATGCTTGGTGAACATCCATCCCGTCCAGGGTTTTCTGCTAGCACCTCTAATTTAATAATTTCTTCACTACACCAAGTATCTCCTCCTAACGTTATCTATGCATCCACGCTTCTACCTACCAATGCCTAAGACCTTTCTCTCATAGCCCCCTGGAGTTATATGACACTGTTGCCCTTTCCTCCCTACCGTCCAATATCACCTATTGCCCACCTTATTCAGCCTTTATTGTCATTATTTCTCAACTTGTTCCTCATATATCCAATAAATTAAATACTTTGCCATTGTATGAACGCTTCTTATGCTTTCCTGCCCATCTGAAATTAATTTGACTTGGAATTTTCTACTTTCCCGACTTCTGCTTTCTAACATTCTACTGACCCTTCAGGTTCAGTTGAAGATGCTCTCAAGTGGACATAGTTTATCTCCTGCCAGTGTGCTCTTGTAACGTGTATCCCTCCCACGACTCTACCACATTCTGCTTTTAATTGTTGATGCATGTCTTAAGTCCTGTGAATATGATAACTACATTGGATTCCTCTTTGAATTTCTCCCAGTGTAGACTACCAACCATATTTTGTACATAATTCCCATTTACTGAACAATTGATGTATTGTCAAATATATTTGGTTAATAAGAGCAAAAAATATGATGATCAGAATTATGGACATAAAATATTTTGTGAAATGTGCAAATGATTACACCTCACTTTTCTGATTTCCCACCAAAATAATTTTTTAAAAATATTTTTCTATTTTTACACCCAACCTTTATGAATAATACATATCCATCTGGGAAAGTGTGAGTCATATGTCATAACATATATAGCCTCTAAGGTTTTTAAATTGGAAACTTTGTTTTTATAATGTTAAGAGATCACTTTAGTCATAGTTTGAATTTTCAACTCTTGGCAACTAATAATGCACTTTCTGTTGATTTTGAAATAAAAACTTAGCAATATTAAGGTGATTACAAGATATCTCAGCATTGAAATTTTGTTGTGACAAATCTTTTAGACATAGAAATTCACTTCTTAAATCATGGCTTCCATTAGATAAGCTCCCTCCTAGGAAGTAAAATCTTATTTGAAGACACTTACGGGAGGTCCATCTATTACTGACAGATATATTTTATAGTATAAATGTCATTTTAAAATTTCTGTTTTTTTCTAAATTTAATTATTTGAGTTAGTAAAACATTCACATTGTTCAAAACTGCAAAGTATCCCATTCTTACCTTCCAGCTTCCCATTTTCACCCCCACCACCACAAGAGGTAGCCACAGACTTGGTTTCTTCTCTCTCCCTCCAGAGCTTACAGATTCTTATTCCATCCTCCCCTAACCCTGACTTTTTCTTTTACAAAAGATGACACACTACTCCGCTCCTTTCTTTTCTCTCCTGGAGCTCTTTCTCATGAGAGCTGCTTTATTGTTTTTTTAATCATTGCCTAGTGTTCCATTGTGTGTATTCTTCATAATTCAATTAACTAGTATCCTGTTTAAGGGTATTTTGTTTTCAGGGTTTTTTGTTTTTTTTTTTTTTTTTTTTGCTATTGTAAACAATGCTGCAATGAAGAGCCCTGTATAAATATCTTATATGAGTGTAAGTGCAGCAGTGGAACTTCTGGATAAAAAATGTATATGCATTTGTAATTTTAATAGATATGCCAAATTGTACTCTGCATGTGTTATACAAATTTACATTTTTATTCTCTAGATATGGGAATGCCTGTTTCTCTTAGCCTTATCAAACTTGGATTTTGCCCAATCTGATAGATGAAAAAGATCTAGGTATTATTTTTTATATATTTAAGAGCCATTCATATTTTCTTTTGCTTGAATGAACTGTCTCTTAAAATTATCCAGCTGTTAGGGAGGAGGTATGGATACAATTTGATTTTTTTTTACTTGATTCACTTATTAAATCAATGACATGCATTGAGTAATCCCTCCTTAATTCATTGATTTGGATCCAGTGGATGATGATTTATTTCTATTATGTAGAAAATTCAAATGTACAGTTGATCCTATTTCCAGATTTTCTATTCTGTAGTCTTTTTATTCCTATACTAATATTCTGCTGTTGTGATTTTTTTCAAGTGTTTTAGTAAATTTTGGCATCTATTAGTGTTAATTGTTTTTCATTGCTCTTTCTGCATATTTCTGTTGAATTTTGTATTTTTACTTTAGGACAACTTGCCCAACCCTATGAAACAAATAAAAACAAAAATATCCTGGTAGTATTCTATAGGTATTTCTTTGTATTTCTAAGCTAACCTATAGAAAATTGACATCTTAATGATATTGAGTTCTTTTCTTCAAGTGCATGTCACGTATTTCCATTTCTTCAAGTCTTCTTTTGTGACCTTCAGTAGTGTTTTAAGTAAGTTTTCTTATATATCTTACACATTTGTTGTTAAATTTATTACTAGTTACTTATTACTAGGTGTATTTCATTTTGCTATTATAAATGGGGTATTCTATTGTATGTTCTATCTGGTTGGAGACTTTAAAAAAATAGGAAAATGAAATGTGGCCTTTCAGAATGTATGAAATACAGTCATGAACTGCACAATGACATTTCAGTCAACAGTGGACCGCATATATGATGGTGGACCCATAAGATTATAATACCACATTTTTACTGTACCTTTTCTATGTTTAGATACACAAATCCCATGGTGTAACAGTTGCCTACAATATTCAGTTCAGTCACATGCTGTACAGGTTTGTAGACAAGGAGCAATAGGCTACACTATATAGCCTGGGCCTTTAGTAGGCTATACCATCTAGCTTTGTGTAAGTACATTATATGGTGTTTACACAGTGACAAAATCACCTAAGAACACAATTCTCAGAATGTATTCCCATTGTTAAACAACACCTAAGTGTGCAACTAATGCTGTATTCGTAAGAATATTCCTAGCCTTAAATACTTAACATTGATCAAGTATATAAAACGTATAAAAACCAAATTAAAAAGTTTAAGAGGTAAAAGAGCAACAAAATAAACTTAAGAAAGGCAGAAGAAAGACCTTAAAGAGCAGAAAATAGCAAGCAAAACAGAAAAACAGTAGAACTGAGAAATAAAATTAAAATCTAGTTCTTTGAAAATACAATGAAATAGGTTGGTTGAAGAAGAGCAAAGCACAGACTATATAAAATAAACACAATTATATAGAGAATTAATGGACTCATAAGAGACTACTTTGCTCAATTCCTTGTAAATAAGTTTGAAAATTCTATAAAAATATAATTTAGAAAATAATTGAACTGAGAAAAGATAGAAAGAAAATGAAAAAGTTGTGAAAGTTGTCCCTCTCCCCAATAAAAACAGCAGCATGTATAAATGGCTTTAGAGGAGAATTTCAGCAAATATTTAAAACTCTCAAAAACTTTTTCAAAACATCAGGGGAAAAAGTAAAACTGCAACCTTTCTTGTATGAAGTGAGTATAATATTGATACTAAAAATTGACAGGAATTACACACAAAAATAAAACTAAAGAACAGGCTCACTAATAAATACCAACACAAAAACCTAAATAAAATATGAAAAAACAAAAATTAGAAGAATCCATCCTGAATAAGAAAGATTTATTCCAAACATGCAACAGTAGCTCAATATTAGAAAATGTGTTGATTTCACATAAATTACATGATAAATATATATCAGTGTATCTGACAAAATTCCACACTCATTTTCTATTTTTAAAATTTAATAAAATAGTATTCAAAGGATACTTTCTTAATGTAATGAAAAGTATTTATCTGAGCATAAAATTTAGTCTTATGTTTACAGAGGAAACCTAATGTTTCCTGATAATTCTCATAGTAAAATAATGAGATAAGGATGCCCCTATAACAACTACCTTTAACACATTGAAAGTACTAGCCAATAAAATAAAATAAAAATAAACATAAAATAAAATATAAAACATAAAATAAAAGTAAATATAAAAGGTAAATTGTGGTTGGGAAGAAAACAAAGTAAAGCTGTCCTTACTTACAGATGATTTTATTGTGTACTTGGAAAACTTAAGAGTATCCATTATAAACCTGCAAACAATAGGGTAATTCAAATAGAAACTTAGTATAAAGAAATTAAACTTTTCATGTGTAATTATCACTCCTAACATTTGCTTGAAGATTATATTTTTTTGTCATTTAAGCATCAAAATAATTATTTTAACTGCAAAATATGTGCATTTTTATCTGACCACAGGTAGAATCTGTAATCTCTTTGCCATTGATCTTGATTTCCTATTTTTCATTTAGGAAGCAGTCCACTTCAGACACATACACATGGTCACATGTAGCCCTGGTTGTGTCTCAGCAAGGAAGGCATCCAGTTTCCCTTCTGATGCAGCTGTGATGTCAACACTTTCAGAAAATTTGGGAAACAATTTGATAAAATAATTAGAGTTAGTTGCAGTTTGAAATTAAGCTTTATGCTGCTCATGTCTATTGTAGCTTTCCTTAATATGTGATACTTTCATGAGTAAGAATGTCAAGAATTTAGCATGTATGAGGGTGGTAGGCTGGGGCTTCCAGCATTCTTCTCAGTGAAGGCTATTTGAGTCCATTTGATCACATCTAGACAGAAACATGGCCAGGTAAAAAGACTGTTCTCTCCTGAAACCTCTCAGAGGCTGTCCCCTTTTAGACTCTGTAATAGCAATCAACTGATAGAATGTGCTTTGGGACAGTCATTAGGGATAAATTGGGGCAGATGTACAAGTGTGTGAAAACACTGAAACTTCAACATTGCAATTATCTTCAGGGATCCAATGTTAAGAGTATACTGTGGATGGAGGCATGGTTTAATATCCCAATAAAACCCCTGTTGTTGTGAATTCCCTACTCTAGAAAATCCCTTTAATTGAAGTTTCAGGATATATTATGTGTACATTAGTGAAATAATAGCCAGATTATTATGGAGCCAATATTATAAGTCTTCACTGCAGCACAAACATCAGGGATTGAGGTATAGCAATTAACCTCTGAAAATCAACACAGCAAACACACCAGACTAATCTGTAGCACTTCAGTGCAGGATGGCCCTTGTCCACCATGGACTTATGTGGTCTTTGTCATGAAGCCACAAGACAGAGAAACATTAGCCAAGAACAGGCGATAAGTGAATCTCAATTGAAAACTGGTTTTTGGTAATATTTGGTATTGGCACGGCATATTGGCTTTCTTTTTTTACTAACATAGCAAAACTCTTTAGATACCCAGTAAATTATTATGACCATCAGAACGAGCTCATTTGGTGAGAAGAAGCCAATGTGACCAGAGTAAGGTGACACATAGCAAGAGGTAATATTTTATACATAGTTTAAAGCTATCCAGAAAAGAGACTGTTTGGAAGTGAGCACACCTCTCAGTTTTTCAGCCAGAAGTAGCAATAGGTTCCAATCTGACTACTGTAATGAAAGAAAACTACCAAAGAAATCAAAGAAAACTATACATTAAGGTGATTTATTTAAAATAAGGTACCAGTAATTATGAGATTACTGCTTTTGTCGTATTTTGCAGTAGAAGAATGATAGAGAATATAAATTTTTTCATTGCCCACACCCAAATTAAATAAATATACATCACATATAACCCATTAATCTATTGTAATGTTGAACTATCCTTATTTTCAGAAAGTGCTATCTTCTGTAAAAGGTTAATACTGTTTTAACCTTTTAGCTTATTCCTCCTCCTTTTCTGGAAGACAAATAGTACCTGCAAATACAGGTAACTCTTTTGAAAACATTCTAGGAATATTAAAGACATTGTTACACATGTTTGAAAATAAACTTTTCAACCCATGTTCAGCTTTGAATCACTTCATTCCAGTGTTAGCTCAGAATGGTAAATGCTTGGAAATGTATTTACAGTGCATATTATTATGCATGCAAATAATATTAAGGAAGTGATTGTGACTATAAAAGTTCTGAGCATTATTTGGTAAAGCTAAAAGAAATTTAAGCAAGGGTCATGATGAATCTTTATGGAATAACCAAAGTTAAAAAGAATTTTTAAAGCCTTTATAAGGACAGTAGTAATTCAAGGAAGGATTAAGTCTGTCCTGAATTAAAACTTGGATTTTAAGCAAGAGACAACCATAGTTGTAGTGGTTTTGCTGTTTTGGTGCTGGTGTTTAATTACTCCAAGCCAGCACAATTTGGGTAGAAGCACCAGAAAGAGCCTTCTTATACCTGCAAAGCTCTTTGACAGTCTATTGTAATGCATTTCAACCAACTTATAAATCATTTTGCAGAGACTAATGATTTATTACTGCTGTAATGAACTTCACAGGCATCAATACATTAGTATCCACTTTGAAAAGAAACTTGTCAGGTCCCATTGGAATGATGATCAGTTTACTATTGTTATTAATGACCCTGATCAGCTCTTTGGATCTATGAATAACCTTCTTAGATGACAGAGGTCTTCCATTTGGCGGAAAAATCAATGCATATGTAAAATAAAAGTATATGCTGTGCTTCATCCCTTTATCAATGCCAGGGATTGTTGTCAGCTTTCAAAGCTTAAAGCTTCAAAATTGTTTAAAAATCTACCTAATTCAAACCTATTAAAATGCTGGTGAATACATCCTAAAAGGATATTGTCATTCCAATTGCTTGTCTCTATGTTACAAAATTATGGTGTTTTCTTTCTTTCTGCTTGAAGCCTCAGCTGGACCCTGGTGGTTTGACGAAAATAGAAATTACCATGTTAGGGCTTTTTTCTTTTTTAATGTTCAGTGTCAGACATTTGACCTGTGAGGCTTTTAAAACTGACCTTGTTGCTTCTTTCCATTCATTAAACCACAACCTTTGCACTCTTGTCATAAAAGATAAATGAAGATTCACACAATCTTTATTTAAGAGAAGATTTATTGTTTACATTAATGTAGATTAAGTGGAAAGATACCAATTATTTTTCAAGTCAATCATATGTCTTCTTTGAGGTTTCAATTTGTGGACTGTTTGTCATTATTACAATTTCTATATAATTAGCAGTGCTTTTATAAAAAAAAAACATACGAATGAACAATGTTCATAGAAATCCTACATTCCATACTTTGTCCACTTACCCAGATAAAGTTCCCTAATGTGATGTTTTTGGTAAGTGATTAAAATTAGATTTTAAAATCATAGTTTTATTCTACAAGGCTGTCACACTATTAATCAAAGCTTTGGAGAAATTTTTGAAAGGGTAATTATTTGTCAATGTAGAAAATGATTTTAAGAACAGAAGTAACATGAAGTTTCGTTGTAGCATAAAACTCCCTAAACTAAGAATTTGGATTATTGGCCACACTAAAAATAGTGAAATCAGTTGATTTGAATGTATAATTTTCTAAGGTTTTAGTAGGCCACATAATGGAATAATAAAATAGATCATTTAAAAATGTTTGATCTATAAGGTTGTTCAATCAAAGTCCTTTAGGCCATTTACTGGTAAGAAAACTGAGGCCAGAGAGTTTAAGGCAAGACCTCCTGTCTGAGGCTCACAGCCTGCTGGTGATAGTGAGCTCAGTAATGGAGAGTCATGTGTTGAGCAGAATGTGGGGACTTCAGATGGGAACTTAAACTCTGTCATTGTAAACCCAGAGTCTAGCTCTGTGTGCCTTGCTCCACATCATAGATGTCTAATGACACTGCTGAGAAAGTGATTAGGACACATATCACTGAGAAAATAGAATTAAAAAAACAAAAGTAGAAAGCAGGTGGGTCGTGTACGTGTGTGTGTCAGAGAAATCTATGGTTTGCCTTTATTCAGAAATGAGTGTTTGCAAGCGAGACATTGTTCTTCTGTACCTTAAAGAGTGGAATTTCCAATTAGGGTGGATATGTCTCTAATGAATTCTAGATCCTATCTGTCAGTGAAGCTTGCATGAGACAGTTCGAAGAATCTTAGAGTTGATAGTGACATCATCCAGTTAACTCTTTTCCCAATGCACTCATATGTCCTACAACATCTCCCTCATGTATTTGTCAAGCCTGTGCTGTGATACTTTCAGTGATGGTAGTTGACTTCTTTGCACAGCAAACCATTCCAGTTTGTCTATTGTTAAAAGGTCTTCTTTGTGTTGAACTTGAACTTACCTTTTTAACATTTTTTCAAAATTATAGTGACATTGGCTATGTTCTTAAAGAAAGTGGGTCAATTTCTAATGAAATCCATCTGACTTCAAGGACAAGATACCCTTAAAAGCTTAGACAATTGCAGAGCAAAGCAGGGGCTAACTTCAGTGGAACTCATTTTGTCAAGTTCTCTTAAGTAAACCAGAGCTACTATGAAATTGCAGAAACAGCTAAGAAAGATATGACCAAATTTGGACCACTAAGAAATGCTTCTCAAACATCAAATGAAATTATCTATTTTCCTATTGTTGTTTGGTGTGACAGTAGCTGCCTGTCCAATGAAAGATAAAGTCATCGTGAAGCCAGGCATAGAATGTCCTAGCACACTCAAGAAAAAACAAGAGTTCAAACAAGGAGTATATGTTAGGATGTTAGGATGATCTTCTTGTTACATTCTTATGCCATCCTAATAGTGTCAGGCAATGCCATTAGGGTGACATAACAACTGGAAAATGAAAGTGTTTATTTTCCCTAACAGTCATGGTTCACCAGACATGCACTGCAGTTTCCTGAAATGGCTACTGAAGTGGGAGAGCTTAGTTTTAGTCACAATTGCACAATTACATGAACAAGTTACTTACATGAGGGAAGTTACTGACATGAGGCAAGTTACTGCAAAGGCAACTGCAGTAGTAAAGTTACCGCAAAGGCTAATTACATGCAGCAAGTTACTGCACCTTTTTGAGGACTGGTTTCCTCCTCTGAGAAAAAGTGAATATTATGCCTTCCCTATCCATCTTACAGGGTAGTTTGAGATGATGTGTAATCACATTTCATGATAATGACAATACCCTTAGTATACTCCTGATACTGCGGCTTGGTGTGCATGTCACCTTTCCTAAACTAGACTTTAAGCTCTTAGCCTCTAAGCCTTTTTTTTTTTTTTTTTTTTTGAGATGGAATCTCACTCTGTCTCCCAAACTGGAGTGCAGTGGTGTGATCTCGGCTCACTGCAACCTCCGCCTCCCAAGTTCCAGCGATTCTCGTGCCTCAGCCTCCTGAGTAGCTGGGACTACAGGCACGTGCCACCACACCCCACTAACTTGGTATTTTTAGTAGAGATGGAGTTTTGCTATGTTGCCCAGGCTGGCTTTGAACTCCTGACCTCAGATGATCCACCCACCTCAGCCTCACGAAGTGCTGGGATTACAAGCATGAGCCACAGCACCTGGCCTTACTCTCTACGTCTTAATGGTTCACATGTGCCATGCAAGGATGGGGGCTAGTTAATCCCAAAGTTCTTGCTGCTCCTCACAAAAATGAGAAAAATCCACGAAATTCTTTTTTAAAGCAAACTTTATTGTCTTTAGAGGATAATACTTTATTCGAAGATAATCTCCTAATTTCATGAGTGTTGAAATGTATTTGCTTTTATGAAATGGTGATAATGAAATAGTAATCAGATTTGCAGTGTCCTCATTTAACGAAGTTAAAAGTTGGTAAATCTTTGTCATTTTCATTACTTTGGAAATACTTTGTGGTCGGTGAAATCCTAAAGTTTGTGGATCCACATTCTGAATCTTTATAGCTCAATCCCGCTCACCCCCCACCTCCTCCCACACAGGGGAGGCCCCTGTGGGAGTCCTCTTCCCCAACCCCAGATACCAGGACAATGCCTCCTATATAGGAGGCCTGCAGTCATTATTTGTTAAATAAGTAAATTAATTGGTGATGTGTTTTCTTTAGAGGCTAGCTGGTACATTATTCACATCTTCATGTAGCTATTCAAGGATAACTTCCATATATGCAACCAAATTGATAAAAAGTTAAAACCCTCCTTTCAATAAGCCCAATAAATCCAATTGCTTCTTCTCAAGTAATGCGATGTTAAGCCATAAATAACTTAGCTGGACAGCACAGAAACATTATTTATAAGCTTCAAAGACAATCTTAGGTATACGTAAGTCCTTTCTCAGCTCACCATTTTTCTGTGAGCAACTTCATCATCTCAGGCCCATGCAGAGCTCTATCTCTCACATTTTGCTTTAGCATGTTTAGCTTTCAGGGTCTTATTCTAGCAGAAAGAGAGAGAATGCCTGCATTTCCTATTCTTTAATAAACTATCCAGTATCCCCTAAGAGGATACTCAGCTGCCCGCCACTCTGGTCTCTCATGATTATTCCCTCCAGATGTAGAAATAAAGTCTTAAGTTCATTAAAACTCTTTCCAGCTAATGGCTATAATAATAGTATTCACCATTTGTTAAGATCTTAATATACGCCAGATATTTTGCATGTATTATTTAACTCTCACAGCTCTGAAGGGATGGGTTTTATGATGTCCCATCTTACATTTTAGGAACTCAAGCTCAAGGATGTTAAATAACCAGCCATCCTTTTCCCCTTTAGTCATTGCTTCACTCTGCAATGCCATTGTCTACTGCCCCCTCATCCCAGAGCACTGACATCCAGGCAGATAGGACCAACTTGCACACTACTGACTTTCCTCCACCCTCAAGGCTTCTTGTATCTCCCTTACAGTTGTCCCTTGTCCCAGGAATAATCCCTCATTCTAGATTAGTAGCTACGGAAGCTGCTCTAGGTTTCTTCAGAAGTGGATTTCCTATGGGATCTAGGAAGTCTTTATTTTTGAATGTTTCAAAATAGATATGACCATTTTAAAAAGACAGTAAAGATAATAAAACATAATAATCCTTTATTCAGTGCCATTTTTTACAAGGAAGAGAGGAAAAAGCAAAGTATTAAAAATGGGTTGTACCAGTACAAGGACATATTACATGTGGGTGGCACTATAAAAAATATTTTTTTTAATTCTTGGGGATCAAATGATTAAAATATGTATTCTGAGGTTTGTCATAGATCCATCCAGTAGAGCCTTGTTTGTTTTGGAATTTGGTCAACTACAAAACCAGGGTTTGGTTTTGTTTCATTTAGATTTGTTTTTAAGGAATGCTTTGTTTGGTACAAGCCAGTCTCTCGATTTTTTGCAGGGAACGTACTGTGGCATTCCCCAAAGGACTAGTCAGCCACAGTAAAGAATTTATTAGATGGCTAGATTACATGGCTCAGTGCTCTTGGCATATTTTTTTTCATTTATAATGAAGTATATTTGTTTGACGTAATAACTAAAAATATGTTTTTACTTCACAATCTCCAAGTCACAAATTAGGTGATTTCTTTTGGGCCTTAAGTAGGAATTAAGGAGGTTTTCTTGAAATGTGGTAATGCTTCTTTGGAGAAAATTAATTTTTATTCTGTTGGGAGAACATCTGACTTTTACTTAAAATTCTGCAAGACTTGAGTGTAATTTCTAAATTATATGCACTAATTGACATTCCGTTTTAGCCATCATGGTAAAACTATCTAAAATAGATTGCCATAGAAACACAGAAATTCTTAGCTATCATGCCAGTAGTCTAATATGGTTTCTGTACCAAATATCAAAGCATCATCAGTTCTATAGGATTCTAATTGGAGGCCTTTGC
Source organism: Homo sapiens (assembly GCF_000001405.40). Classification (NCBI taxonomy): domain Eukaryota; kingdom Metazoa; phylum Chordata; class Mammalia; order Primates; family Hominidae; genus Homo; species Homo sapiens. The sequence continues at coordinate 58,879,171 of NC_000008.11, read as the reverse complement.
ACATGAATGTAGGTCTTAATGGAAATGAGATTTTATGCATTTTCCTTCTGTTGCCCTTATTCAAACACAATTTTTGTTGTTGTTGTTGAGTTTTTTTGTTTTTTTTTTTTTGAGATGAAGTCTTGCTTTGTCGCCTAGGCTGGAGTGCAGTGGCATGATCTCGGCTCACTGCAACCTCTGCCTCCCGGGTTCAAGCGATTTTCCTACCTCAGCCTCCAGGGTAGCTGGGACTACAGGTTTGCGCCACCACACCTGGCTAATTTTTGTATTTTTAGTAGAGATGGGGTTTCACCATGTTGGCTGGGCTGGTCTCGAACTCCTGACTTCAGGTGATCCGCCCGCCTCAGCCTCCCAAAGTGCTGGGATTACAGGTGTCAACCACTGTGCCTGGCCTACTCAAACACAATTCTTACGTGATGATCTGTCTGCTGGCAAATAATATATTCTCAAAAAATGCCTTTACAAAGGTTTCTTTCCTTTTTATCCATAAGAGAGCTAGAAACTACAGAAAAGCCTGGGGAACATTACCAACAAGGTCCAGAAAAATAGAATTCTTATCAAAGACAAATGAAGCTGAGTGTGTTACACCAACAATACGTTGCTCAAGTGTTGATACTGTAAAATAGAGCTTGACTGATTATTTCTCTATTTTCAAATGGCATTGTTTATCTCAACATTCACCTAAAGATTGAGGAATTATTTCAAAGCAGATTTAAAAAGAACAATGAGTAAGCCTCACTAGTTTTAAAGATGATTGAGAAGAAAGATGATAGACCTAAAATTCTAAAGTTTCTTTGGCCTGCAAAAAATTTTGTTTGGAATTTTAAAAAAGTATGCTATAGAAGCATATTACCTAAAGAACATTGCTTGGAGTTGGCCATCTGTCCTACTCCCTGTTCTTTTGATGTTGGTTTGAAACTAGGGAGAGCAAAGGAGTTTTTAGATTCTCTCTCTTTTTTTTTTTTTCCAAATACCACCTAACTTTGAGTCATTGCCTCTTTCCACCCTCCTATAAAAAAGGGAAAAGAATTGTGAGTCAAGATGGGATAAACATCAGGGATAAAAAGCTGATGGCACTGCTAGTGATGAGTATCAGATCAGAATTCTGAAATCTCAGAGAGAGATTGTATGCACCGTGGTTGCCAGGAACCTTTCCATACCTGGCATATCAGTGTTTGATTCTGTCACTGTGCTCCCCAGTCAGGGTAACCTAGAGCAACCTCTGTCATCCTCATTACCCTGAGCAATCAGAACAAATGATTAAGAGTAAGCAAAATCAATTGGAAAGTTTTCCTGAGGCTTTTTTTTTTTTTAATATGTAGGCTTTCTCCAAATATTCATCTACTTCTGCAATGAAACAGAGGTTGTTGCTGGGATTAGAAAGTGTTTGAAAGGCCTGCACATGTTAGTACACTGCACGACTGCATATTTGCTTTGGATGACAGACTTGTATTTTCTTTCTGCCTGAAGAGACTGTTTGTTTTGTGAAGTACAAGTTAAAAGAGACTGCATATAACCTACAGGATGTTCTTTCAGATCCCTGATTACATATATCTTTGGTGGTGTGAGCTTTATTGGATTATGTGCAGTTCTGTGATTCCACTAACCATGTGTGCAAACAGCAGGCAAGGTTGGAGGGTTATTAAGAAGTCTTGTTGAGTCTCTATTTCACAAGATCGAGAAAGTGAATACATTTATTCTAAGTCAAGTGTGCCAATTCAGAATTGAGGAAGCACAATTTTGTGCGGGACCACACATTCCCTCTGGTGCTACTATAACTAGCAACATTTATGCTTTTATTTTCTTGTCTGATGCGTTTATTATGGTAAAGTGCATGTCACTGTTCCATAGCTATTTTAAATATGTAAAAACCAAATGAAGACTTTCATGTTTATAGGAAAATCACTTAAAAATCATACGTAATGCTGCAATAGACCACCTAGATACATCACTGTTATAATTAATTAAAAGGAAGACACATGGAAAATCTTTTCGTAATGAAAAACACAATTGTGAAATTTGGTTCTAGCATTGGTTCCCTTTGTAAACTGAGATCTCAGGAACTAGGACATAAGTCATTCTGTAAATGCAATCCTTTAGTCAAAATACAGTCTCCATAAATATTTTAGCAGCCTTTGTGATGCTTTTAATTCTACATCATTTCACTTTAGTTCACTTCAAAGCTAAATTATTAACGTGCCTCTTCCTAAAAGTTCAAAATATAATATACTGAAGGGACTTTACTAATTGGAATTCAGAACATTCTCAGAATGTCTGAAAGTATATTGTTCGTGTTTATTTGCATTTCTAGGAGAAAAATGAAACTGGCTAGGCAAAATTGTAACTATTTCCTTCCACCAGCAGAGTGCTTGGCATGTAATAGGCACTCCACGAATAGCTGTGGAATGAAAGTTCTCAAACAGAAGTTTTTTATTCTAGCCTTTGAAATGTTGTCCTTTTTTGCTCCTTGAACACCCAGACCCTTTATGCTACCCGCTAGCTACATGTAGCTGGGCATCTGTATCTTTTCAGCCTCCGCAGGACAATTCCCTATGTCCTCTTTGACTCTCCTTCAAAGCCACATTCGCTCAGTGAAACTGATCACATAAACTTTCTGAGGAAAACAATCAGATTAAAGTAATTCAAACCAAGATGTGAAGGATTTGGGCTGACTTTATATATTTACAGTTGTCCTTTCCCCCCACCCCAGCATTTTAAAAGAGGGATATGTTGATTCAAATTAATGAATGCGTAAAATAGTGCATTCCATCCAAAGTATTTGGAGTTTGGGGAGCTCATCTAGCCCACATCAAATCACAACACATTTTATTCTGTCTACCAGGACCCAATATCAGCCTGAATTAACCCAATTCAGATGATAAAATTCAAGGTAATAAAAAAATGTGTATACAGTTTCTATCATATATTGCTGAGCAAATATCTGTATTTCCATTTGATAATACATAGCTTCCCCTTAATACATCATCTGTCAGAATCTTCTCTTAAAAAAAAAACAAGATTGTACACTAACATGTATTTTGTGGCAATGCTTATGTTTCTGAAATATCCATCTCTATACTTAGTTTATTAGTCAAATATTAATACCTGGTAGAAAAGTAAGGCATTCTCGGAAACTTTATTAAATATTCTAAGTTAAGTATACAAAGAAAAGTAATCTAGGATCTGAGGACCAGATCAGTCTGTCTTAAGCAACAATTACAACCTTGATTATACTGACTTACGCTGTTTATTCCTTCTTTCATAATTCATGCAATACACATACCCTGAAGATACAGTCCCAGAATGGTCAGACCTCAGGAATCATCTGGTCACATCCTCGTATTTTAAAGAGCAAAAACTGAAGCTTAAAGACTATTTGTGATTGCCAGTTGTGGCTAACAGAGAATTGAATCCAGCTCATCTAACCTTTCCAGAACTTTTGCCAACATGAGCCATACCCTCTGCTCACTTCTTTTTCTTCCACTACGTATAAAACCAATTGCCAAGGAATATCACCAAAATTTCAAAGATACTGAACCAGAACTTTGGTTTAAATTATTCTAATGCATAGCCATGAGATTGTAAATTATAGCCTTTTAAACTTATTATGCTCTTTTTAGATTGTTTTTCTATTCTAAGAGGGAGTCACTTTTCTGAGTCTAGGATGTCATGGAGCCTGCCCTGAAAAAAATCCCTGAATTCAGAAAATCATCTTTGAAAAACTTAATGACAGAGAGAAAATGCAAAAAGTTAACTATTAAATTACTATATACTAGTACATTTCTCCCTTAATAGACAATACATGTAATACCTTTAACTTCGAGATCTTTGAGTGACTTAAAAAGAGTTTCTAAGGAAGATAAGTTATTTGACTCAGCAGAATTTCATAATTCTTGCCAATCATGTTAGAAACCACTACTTTTATTTTTATAAAAAAATAAAATAAAAGTAAGCTGTAATAAAAATCTCCTTAGTTGGCCTCCCACATGTGAAGCAGAAGCAGTGACAAATGTCACCACCAGAGAGGTCTTGTACTTATGTCCAAACATACCAAGGAAAGACTCCGTGAACTGTCGGCTGTACTCAGAGGTCTTCTATGTCCTTGCTGACTCCTAGAACAAGGGAAATGCAGGAATCTTCCTCCTGAGTGTTTAGATCGAGCTTGTCCAATCCATGGCCCACAGGCCACATGTGGCCCAGGACAGCTTTGAATGTGGCCCCACACAAATTTGTGAACTTTCTTAAAACTTGAGATTTTTGGCAGTATTTTAGCTCATCAGCGCTCATTAGTGTCATTGTATTTTATGTGTGGCCCAAGACAGTTCTTCTCCAAATGTGGCCTGGGGAAGCCAAAAGATTGGACACCCTGGTTTAGATATAGCCTTCATGGTGGATAAGATAAAGACATAGTCCACTAAGTTGTCAGCAATAATGGGAATTCCCCGCCTTTTAGTGTTAGACACCCTACATGTTTTTGCATCCTTTGCAATGTTGTTTTCTACTCCTAAAAGTTTTTCATGACCTCATATCTGTGTTTTAAATTAAGGTGGATTAAAATTTTGCCTTCATTTTGCTGTTTGCAACCTCTATTGAGATTTTTTGGAATTGACTCCAATACAAGTAGACTTTCCTTTCTCAAGAATAAATAGTGCATGATTCTTGTCCTTGGCTCTGATTTTCTAATCTTGGCTCTGAAATGCTTCAAGTAGGCGAATCCAGAAGCCAACGTTACCTTAGCGCTCACAAAGTCTTAGGAAGCCAAAATGTCCCTGGGAACACATATATTCTTACCACTGTCTACCCACACACACTCAAAACATCTCTCACTCTTTCCTTCCCTAAAACAAAATAAAAATTCCATCATTCTGAATAGGCACTCCTGTATTACTAAACTAAAAAACTTTCCCTCCTGAAATTTTAATACCAAAAGTTTTTTTTAAAAAAATCTACCAAAGGGCAGGGGGCAGAGAGAGTAAAAATATGGATGGGCCTGTTAGCACACTTCCAGCACTTAGAAACCTGATAGAAAGGATACCAGGCACAGATGGATTAAAGTCCCTTATAGTAGACTCACTAGGTGAAAGGAATACTCTGGAAGTTTCTTTTTCTTCAGTATGATTAATGATAGGACCCAGCTCCTTGTCATGCTTGGCCAACAATAGACCCTCATCTATCATGGTTTCCCAAAAAAAAAAAAAAAAAAAAAAAAAAAAGCTTCCTGGCATTCAGGATGTGTATTCCTTTCAAGAAGTGACAATGACAAGTCACTCAGGAAATCTCTGGTCTCTGCCCTTAAATAGATTATGGAGGAGAAATATCCAATATTCATGGAATCTCTGGCAACTGGACAGCTAAATGGAGTCTCCCTCATGAGCAAAGATTGAAAGTAGTCAGATATTCTACTAACCATCTTCCAAAGATGTTTAGTATAAGTTTAGTGCCTTCCTTTTGAAAGATTCCATCAGATGCCAGCACAATAAGCCCTTAGGGAGGGAAAAACATCCCGTTAACATTCTTAGCTGCACTTTGATTGACACACATGAGATTGTAGTATACAGACAACTTCTTTCTACTTACAATTAATATTTTTAGAATGTAGTAGAAGCATCAGGATGCAGTAGTTCCTTGGTTAAAAAGACAGTTGAGCATATAAACATCCAGTCTTTTTGGAGTAGTACCAAGGCACCAACTGACTGTTTGGGTCCATGTTTCCAGCTCTTGTAGTCTTTGTAGTACGGACAACAGATATGAAACTTTGTCTATGAAAATTTTCCCTTTAGATGTGTTTAAAAGGGTGCAAGAAGTCAAAGACTCCTATGAGGCAATGTGAAAGAGGATTCTTTATGGATTTTTAGAATATTTTTCATAATCTTTTAAAGTATCATCATGTTGTAATTCAGCAGCAAGTTTTTATGCAGCATATCTTTAGTCAGTCTTTCCAAAGCATTAGGCTTAATTTATAAAGAAACCATTCTGTTTGTATGCATGCAGGTTTAATCAGTTTATACACTATTTGAATAAACGTTATAATTGCATTAACAAGTACAATGAGCAAGAACATTATTTGGGGAACTAATATACCTGACTCTTGGTTAGCATACAGCTTGACTATTGGGAGTAAAACTGGGGCAATTTTTAAAAATAAGTTTTTTATTTTAGAGAAGTTTGAGATTTAAAAAAATATTGTGAAAATACTAGAGAGTTGTCACATACCCCAGACTAAGATTCCCCTATTTTTAACATCTTACATTAGTATGATATATGTGTCACAATTAATGAATCAATATTGGTAGCTTCTTACTGTCTAAAGTCATACTTCATTTGTATTTCCTCAGCTTTTCCCTGATATCCCTTTTCTGTTCCAGAATTCCACCAAGGTTTCCACATTACGTTTAGTCCTCATGTCTTAGTAGACTCTTCTCAGTTGAGGCAGTTTCTCAGACTTTCCTTGTTTTTGATGACCTCAGCAATTTTGAGACCATCAGATTTGTCCCTCAATTGGCATGTGTCCGATGGTTTTCTGATGATGATACATTAGGTAATGTACTATTGGGGGGAAAATGATAGAGGTAAAGTGCCATTCTCATCACATCATTTCAAGGGTCCACATTATCAGTATGACTTATCACTGTTGATGTTGACCTTGATCACCTGCTTGAGGTGGTATTTGTCAGGTTTCACTGATGTAACATTACTCTTTTTTTTCCCTCCCTTTCCCTACTATACTCTTTGAAATAAAATTATTATATTCAGCCCATGTTTAAGGAATGAGGAGTTGTGCTCCCCCCTTCTGAAGGTGTACAACTACATAAATTATTTGAAATTCTTTGGCATTGGAGACTTGTATGTTCTCCTTCATATGTGTTTACTTATTCAACCCTTTACTTTAATCAGAATGTGCTCATGGGTATTTATTTTTATACTTTGTGTTATGATTCAGAACTATTTTACTTAGTGTTTTGCTCAAATTGTTCTAGCATTGGCCAATGAGGCTATTTTAGGTGGCTCTTGTATGTATTTTTCTAGCAAACACTCACCACTCTGTATGTGTGTGTATATTGTTTGGTTTTGTATTTTGTACATGTTCTATCTTCCATGAAAAAAAAATGCTCCAGACTTATCTTGTATATTTTCTGCTCCTGTCCTAGAGCAAGCCATTTTTCTAAGGAGCCTTATTTCTTTTTATTGGAGAATGGTATCAGAAACTAAGATGGCTAGGTATGCTCATTGCTACTGGGGTTTTATTGCTTCCTGGATCTCTTAACTGGCAGATTAGGGAGATATATGTATGAATACTGACCTGTATATGTAACACATATCTATAAATATTTCCATATGTAAACATGTATCTACATTAAGCTAAATATGAATTCATACTGATTGTCTTCAACTCCAGTCCATTGCTGCATAGCCTCCTTCTCTTGCTGTAACCCACCACAATAGTGAGAAACTTGGCACCCACATCCACTATCCATTTAAATCAGGGTTCCATTCCACCATCTGCCATGGAATAGTGGTATCCAATTTGTAAGTAAACCCATGCCCACTTGGGAAGCAACTTTATGAACTAGGGTACAGTGCTTATGTACAATTCTTTTGCCTTTAGTCTTATGGACTTCTCTCATTTCCAAAATTACTTAAGTCAGCATCTTATTATCCTGCTCCTTTCAATGAGGTTGTTTCATATGTTTGCAATACATTAAGCTTCTTTTGTCACATTATACTTTTCATCCTGAGATTCCCCCAATGTCCTAAATAGCTTTTTAAATTTGTATATATTATGGTTTACTTTGTATGAGGTTAAGTTCTAAAGGTTTTGATAAATGCCTACTTTCCTATATGCACTATTACAGTATCATACGGAATAATACCACCCTAAAAAAGCCCCCTTTGCTTTCTATATTCAACCATCTTCCCTTCCTGATGCATGGCAACCAATGTTTACTGTCCACATATAATTGGAAGCAAATGGGATGTAGCTTTTTTTTTTTTTTTTTTTGACTGGCTTCTTTCAATCAGCAGTATGCATTTTAAAGTTCAACCATGTCTTTTCATGGCTTGGTGGCTCATTTCTTTTTATCACTGAATAATGTTTTACTGTATGGATGTACCACACTCTGTTCATCCATTTACGTATTGAAGGACTTTTTTTTACTGATTATGAATAAATCTGCTATAAACACTTGTGTGCAGGTTTTGGTATGAACATACATTTTCAAATCAGTAGAGTAAATTCCCTGGAGCATGATGGCTAATTGTATGTGAAGACTATTTAATATTGAATAAAAGATCCTACTCTACTTTTTTATTTTTCTTTCTTTTCTTTTGGGGCCTGGGGTAGGAGCATATGGATTCCAATCTTCCAGCACCAATTTTTTGAAAAGACTGTCTTTTCCATTGAATTGCCCTTGCTCCTTTTCCAGAGATAAGCGACTATATTTGTGTGGATCTATTTCTGGGCCCTCTATTCTGTTCCATTGATCTATGTGTCTATTCATTTGCCAATACCATGGTGTCCACATTATTGCAAGTCTTATAGTAAGTCTTGAAGTCTATCAGTGTGTGTTCCTTAACTTTGTTCTTTGGTACTGTGTTGGCTATACTGGGTTGTTTGCCTTTCCATATAAATTTCAAAACCATTTTGTCAATATCTATGAAATAGTTTGCTGATGTTCCATTGAGATTGCATTGACTCTATCGATTAAGTTAAGAACTGACATCTTAACAATACTGACCCTTTTATTCCATGAACACAGGGTATCTATTTATATTTAGCCTATCTTGGTTTTTTCCATCAATATTTTGTGGTTTTCAGTGTGTAAGTCCTGTACTTGTTTGTTCGATTTATGTCTTTCATTTTTGGAGTGCTGTTGTAAATGGTATTTTTAAATTTTCAAATTCCAAATTTTCACTCCTGGTATACAGGAAAGCCTTATATCCTCCATACTTGCTATATTCACTTATTATTTCCAGGAGATTTTTTTTAATTCTTTGGGATTTTCTACATAGACAATTATGTCACTTATGAATAGAGTCGGTCTTATTTCTTCCTTTCCGATCTGTTCAACCCTTTATTTTCTTGCATTGTCTTATTGCATTAGGTAGAACTTTCAGTACAACGTTGAATAATAGTAGTGAAAGGGGACATCCTTGATTTGTTTCTGATCTTAGCAGGAAAGCTTTCACTTTCCCACCATTAAGTATGATATCAACCATAGGATTTAAAGATTTTTAAAAATCAAGTTGAGGAAGTTCTTTTCCACCCCTGGTTTGCTATGGTTTTTTTTTTCATGCATGGTGTTATATTTTGTCACATGTTTTTACTGCATCTATAGATATGATCATATAGTTTTTGTTCATTAGCCTGTTGATGTGTTAGAATACATTGATTATTGGACTGTCGATGTGTTGTAATACATTGTTAGATTTTCTAATGTTGAACTTTAACCTTGTATATCTAATGTTGAACTTTAACCTTGTATATCTAATATAAATCCTGGTTGTGGTGCAGTTTTAGATTTGATTTGTAAATATTTTGTTGAGGAGTTTTGCATTTGTGTTTATGAGAGTTAACAGTCTTTAATTTTCTTTTCTTGTGTTTTGGTCTGGTTTTAATATTAGAGTAATACTGTTCTCATAGCATGAGTTATGAAGTCTTTCGTCTGTTTCTAATTCCTGGAAAATATTGTGGAGAATTGGTATAATTTTTTCCTTAAATATTTATTGGTAACTTTCTGGGACTAGTGATTTTTTTTGGAAGATTGTTAATTATTGATTCAATTTATTTAGCAAGTAAAGGATTATTTGGGATGTCAGTTTCTCTTTGTATGAGTTTTAGTAGTTGTTGAATTTTAAGGAATTGTTCCACTTCATTTGACTTCTCAAATTTGTAAATATAGACTTATTCATATTATACTTCTATTAACGCTTTTTTTTTTTTTTTTTTGAGACGCAGTCTCGCTCTGTTGCCAGACTGGAGTGCAGTGGTGCAATCTCAGCTCACTGCAACCTCTGCCTCCCGGGTTCAAGTGATTCCCTTGCCTTAGTTTCCTGAGTAGCTGGGACTACAGGCACGCACCACCATGCCCAGCTAATTTTTTGTATTTTAGTAGAGACGGGGTTTCACCATGTTGGCCAGGATTATTAGCTTTTTAATGTCCTTGAGATCAGTATTAATGGCTCCTCTTTCATTTCTGATATTGGTAATTTGTGTCTTCTTTTTTGTTGACTAGCCTGTCTAGAGGTCTATCAATTTTACTGCTTTCTCAAAGAACCAGCTTTTGGCTTGGTTGATTTTTTTTTTTTTCCTGTTCTTTTCCTGTTATTGATTTCATTGAATCCTCCTCTAATTTTGATTATTTCTTTTCTTCTGTTTGGTTTAGGCTTAAATTGCTCTTTCTCTGGTTTACTATGGTAGAAGCTTAAGTTATTGATTTTTGGATCTTCTTTTCTTATATATTTAATGGTATAAATTTTCCTCTAAGCACTGCTTCGGCTGCATCCCACAAATTTTATTGTTGTACCTTTATTTTCATGTAGCTCTTTCTTAAGTTATTCATATGTTGAGAAATTTTAAATAACTATTTTTTAAGTACTTTAGGAAAGTTTGACCCAGATTTTGAAAACTTTTAAAGACCAAGAGCCATGGTTTGATTCCCACATTTGCTGATAAACTCTGCCATGTTTGGTGGGTGGAAGTCCCTCTATTTCTTATTCTCTCTTAATTAATAATAGCCCAGGACTTGAAAGAGATAACTTTCTCATTAGTCCACCGTGCAGAAAAGCCAATCATTGTTTTTTATTGATTCTCTATCATGTGGACTAGCAAAAGAATTTACAACAAAATTCTATTAGTCTGTTTGCATGCTGCTAATAAAGACATACCTGAGACTGGGTAATTTATAAAGAAAAGAGAGGTTTAATGAACTCACAGTTCCACATGGGAGGGGAGGCCTCACAATCATGGTGGAAAGTGAAGGAGGAGCAATTGCATGTCTTACATGGTGGCAGTCAAGGGAGCATGTGCAGAGGAACTGCCCTTTATAAAACCATCAGACCTCATGAGACTTATTCACTATCACAAGAACACAGAAAAGACCTGCCTGCATGATTCAATTATATCCCACCAGGCCCCTCCCATGACATGTGGGGATTATGGGAGCTACAATTCAACATGAGATTTGGGTGGGTACACAGCTAAACCATATCAAATACAAAACAAGACAAAACTCTCTTGGGAGATTAAGAAGCTTTAACTGATGGTTCTGCAATTCAGTGCCTACATCCTAATTTCCTCTGAGCCTGGTTCTTCAATGTGCCTGAATTGGGCACTGACAACAGAGCAGTAAACAAGTCAAGCAAAAAAGCCAGCCCTCAGAATTTAGATTCTGGTCAGGAGAGCCAATTAGTTTGTGCAAATTCGTGCCCTGCTGCTCAAACTTGGGTTCACACACTAGCCACATTGACACCACCTTGGAATGTTAGAAATGCAGAGTCTCAGGCCCCTCCTCAGAACTTCTGAATCACAATTACACTTTAAGAGGATTCCTAAAAGATTCATGTACATGTTAGAGTTTGCAGAGTCTTACCCTAGACAATGTTAGATTGTGGTTATGCTGTGAAAAAGATGCTTGGGTTAGGAAGGATGGATCTACGTTTAATAGGCTTGTCCGGGAAAGCCTCTTAGAGGAGGCTGCCCTCGAGGGAGACTGAAACGTAGAGCCTTATTCATCTAGACCCAGCCCTTTAGTCCCTTCAACCCCCACCCCCAGAATGGGGACAGCGCCTGCTTATGTGCTATACCTTGTGAGCAGACAATGAGCGTTTGGGGCTGAAGGCCAGGAACATAAGCCAAATAAAAGCTATCTCCCTTTTTTTTATTAAAAAAGAACAACATCAAAATATAAGTGATTTTAGTCTTTAACTAAAATACCCCTGGCCTATGAAAGGGGAAATAAAATATAATGTACTATTCCAGAAGATTCTGACTTCTGTCTTTGCCAAGAGTGTTTTTTGTCTTCAAAAAATAAACTGTTCCTGGAAAATTCTATTAGCTTTTGTAAATGTAGATGCAGAAGAATGATCAGAGGGTTTTAAATTTAAAAAATGCTGGGTAGATATTCCTTCTTGTTCTCCTATAATAGGCTCTAAACTTTAATGGTGCAAGTTTCTCACTTTTCCCTCAGTTGATCAATGTAAATGAGATTTTTCCTATTTATTGGAGTTGTCATGTTGTGGTCATATAATTATGCTGAGATATTAAATATGTCTTAGACACAAAAATTGTAAGTAAATACAATACAGAGGAACTTTGAGCTTATTTCCATATCATTAAACCACGTTTTACCCATAAGCAAAGTGCATTTCTCATAACTTGTAAGAAATATCTTGCCTCACCGTAGCACACATACTTAACATTCTTTTAAAAGCTACTCAATTTGACATCAGTATTTGAATTCTTCTATCACCAGGAAATTAGGGGACAACAGAGTTGCAAATATCAATTTATAAATGTGCAGTTAGTAAGATTATAATTCTATTCTAAATGGCCATTCTGCCAATTAACATTTTTTTCAGGAGGCTGGGCATCATATTGAAAAAATTTACCTAAGTTAAGATTGCCTGGGGGCATTGGTTAAGAAAAGGATAGAAAGCATAAATTTGTGTCCAAAGGTAAGTACTTACATAGCAGCTGTTTCTATCAGTTACTTTGTTGCAATTAAGGTTTTGTAATAAATAATGCTGCTATTTTTTATTCCTGTGGCATTAAAATGTGTGAGGCTTATCAGTCTGGTAATTATGTAAATCCTAAAATAATTTATCCTTTTTAGTGTCTGGCAGTCTGACCCTGTTGGAGGTTATTGAACCACTGCTTGATGAGTATGTCAGTCAGTGTACCTTCTCATCCAGCAATCCCTGTATAACTAAGTGCAAGTCAACTCTTTTACAATACAGAAATTTATTGTTTAAGTGGTTCTGTTAGTATATAGACTTAGGCCACAGTCGTACTTTGTTGTTGTTAAAAACATGTCACTGTCAGCCAGGCACAGTGGCTCATGCCTATAATCCCAGCACTTTGGGAGGCTGAGGCGGGTGGATCACCTGAAGTCAGGAGTTTGAGACCAGCCTGGGCAACATGGTAAAACCCTGTCTCTACTAAAAGTACAAAAATTAGCCAAGTGTGGTGTCAGGTGCCTGTAATCCCAGCTATTCCAGAGGCTGAGGCAGGAGAATCACTTGAACCTGGGAGGTGGAGGTTGCAGTGAGCCAAGATCGTGCCACTGCACTCCAGCCTGGACGACAGAGTGAGACTCTGTCTCAGGACAAAAAAAAAAAAAAAAAAAAGCCACTGTCATTACCATAATTAAGAAAAAAGATAGTGAAATGACAAAATGAATATTACTTCTAATTTTAAAAAATTCCCCTGGCAGATTAAAATCTCTACTAACGACTCCAAACAATACTCTCAATTAGCTGACTCATATTTTCTTTTTCTTTTCTTTTTGTTTTTACCACATAAAGACCGAAAATATATTTAAGAAGGGCATGTCCACAGAGCAGCATACAATTGCTTTAGTCTGTTCCATATTCCATAACCACAAAACTTCACAATTATAATTGAGGGGAAAATTTATTCTCTTGAAATCCTTTCAAGATTTTATTGAGAATCAGGTATTTAACAGGGACAGAAAAGCAGGCAAAGGCATTCTAGAACAGTTTTCAACAAGAATTAAAACTAAAAAAAAAAAAGTACGAGGATACCAAATTAAATTTTTAAAAACACTGTTTTCTGAGAATATTTGGACATTTTACCAAAATTGTGTTATCCTGATTGTTGGCATGAATATTCAGAGTTAACTGCAAACTTAATTGAATTCTTATTCTGAGACAGCCTTCCAATATATAATGGCAGGGACCACACCAGAGTCATTATAATCAACATATGTATTCATTACTCTCCTGTGGTTAAACCCCTTGTACACAATTTTAAAAGCTTACAATGGCCTAGAAATGGTTCCACAGGCTTTGCTGGGTCTTTAAGGTCAACATCTCCTCAGTGTCTCACCCATCCACCACCTTCCTCAGTTAGATTGCATGGGAGAGATGCCACTTAATGGTTAAGTGGGAAAAGTTGTCTTCATCTAAAACTGAATGTAGGGAAAGCTCTTCTTTTCTGATACAAGTTTCTGATACCAGCTCTCATAAACCCATCAAGCATCCATTTAGTCTTTCACTGTTAAAGTGAAAGGAAACTGTATTTTTTAAGCGAACGATGTCTACTCAGTGTTTATGCCTCACAATGAATTTGTTCCAAGTTCCTTTTCCCTTTCAATTTTGTCTCAGAGAGTTATTAAGCTTTCACATAATTAAGCCATGATCCCCGTCTGGGCCCACAGTAAGACTTGTGCACTCTCCACCTTCTCTTACAGAGTGTTTTGCTTTCATTCTTCCCTTCTAGAAAACATGCTTTACTAACAAGTGAAAGGCACTGATTGACAAGTGAAACAATATAAAGAAAGGTTTTGATGGAAATGTTTGTCAGTCACTCTGTGAAAGCATAATTTATGTGGCAACATTTTTAGCTAATGAAATGAACGTTGTAAAGCTCTAGATAAAAATGGCTACTGTTGCTGTACCCATAAATGTTTTTTAGGACCCAATGAAAAAACCCAAGTTATTTTTGAAACGTTAGGCCCATATTTGGGGACTGGTGAAATGGTCTCTCTGCTAATATAGTATCAAATGGTAGTGTATTTTTTATTTTTGTTTTTTGATTTCTTTCAGTTAAAACAACTTTATACCTCAGAATATATTCTGACATATAGTCTTGAAACTACAGACTAAGTCTAGTCATCCTAAGACTTACAGGACAATACACTTAAGAATCACATTGCTAATTCCCAAACAGAAATCAAACTGTCAGATAGCTTTTAGCCACATTTTTTAAAGTATAATTTGATTGTATGTTGAATTTTTGAGGTTTTAAACTCATCCTTATCATTGGATGAAAGGCCACATGATTGTTTTATTTTTGTTCAATTTTCTTTCACACTATCTTAGACATATCATTACTTTTATGAAAATATAGCAGATGTACTGACTGTCAAACAATTAGATGGTGTGTCTGCTGTCAATTATATTGCCTCCGGAGTTAAATTCTACTCATGTACCTTCTGATGTTAAAAAAAAAATTCTTAATTCTAAGTGATGCTCACTGCAATTTTAATGCAATGCAGACAGACTCCTTGTTGCAGCATTATTCTCTGCAATTCTATAGCAGTGCAATTTTGGTTATAGCAATTAATCCCCTTTGACTTGTATTATAGTATGTCTTCCAGGCTGTGAGTTATTTGAGTACAGGGATAGTCTCATCTGTCTTTGTTTCCCCTAGGACCTCTCACAGTGCGAGGCACAGAGTAAGTGTTCAGTTAAAAAAAAAATTAATTGAATTTCCTGCAAAAGAAATTAGTGCATTAAATTCAGTCATTCTAGGTTCTAGCTGCATCCTCCCCTATAAGTCCTTCCAACTATCTTTTGTTTAAAGAACAGCTAAAAACATCATCAGATCATACACTGAGTCAATAGTACAGTTCCATGGTTATGATATAGGCTTTGAGATCAGGCGCCCTGTGACAAATTGCAGCTGACCCACTTACTGAATAACTGGAGAATGCCCTCTCTGTTCCTTTGGGTCCCTCGTGAGTACCATGGCAGTGGCGACTGTAACAGTTTCACCTGGTTGCTGTGAGTCCTAAATAGGGTAATTCATGGAAACTTCTTAGTACCGTGCTTAGTATATTAGGTGGGACCTGTCAGTATTAGATATTTTTAATAAGAGAACTTAAAATCACAATTACCAAAGGCTAAGAATGGGCATTTGAGGAAACTGATATGAGGACAGTTACCTGCTTGTGAGAGAGAGACCAGTTCAAATCAGTTGTGCTGAGTATAGTCACTTGGAGAAATAGAGATTGAAAATGTGAAAGATATATTTCCTATTTTTCAATAATACCTAAATTTATTTATGCCACTTGTCACACAGGGCTATAATCATGCAGGATTATGATTTTTTTTAACACTTTAGACCATAATGACATAATTTCAATGTATATTTGGTAGGTGTTAAACCAGTAAATGATAGATAATTCAAATTATTAACATTAGTGCTTTAAAGTCAGTCACTATTAAAACCTTATTATTAGTTGAGAGGGTCTATGTTAGTGGACATGGAACTATCCCCCCAAAATGGAAGATATTTGTTCAAATTAAAATTAGAACATGTAGTTCATATATTCTAAATGAACATGTGTGCCTCTGTAATAATAACTTTATTATCACCAAGTTACAGGATAGAGTTTTAATTATGATCTTTATATCAGTAGAAGCCATGTATTTAGGATTAAAGACCTACTGCTTTAGCTAGTCTAGTTAAAGACTATGGCTTGATACATTCTGGGCTCCAACTTTTATAAAAACCAGAGAATACTTCTAATAACACTTTTCTAATTTCATGGTTCGGTGCACAGTCAGTAAAGATTTAAATAATTCAGAAAGAAAGCCTATTCTCTTTCTTTATTAGAAGTTTGAGTCAGGCAAATTCTTTGACATTTAATAGGTTTTTAACCCTTTTAATAACTTTTTATAATGAAATTTATTGGCTGTTGTTTTAAAGAAAGGATCATTATATTAGCATGAATAGCAGTCACTAGTTTTTATGATTAGTTTTGAGACCTTGACCTTATGTGACTCAAAGTTTATAAAACCATAAATGAGTGAGTGATGTTAATATTAACTAAATTAGGTATACCTAGAAATATTGAGACTATATATAATTACATCTATCCCATTATCTAACATGCTATAAAATTTTGGCAGACAAATATTTGAATCTTGTAATTGTTTTAAAGGAGCTTAAGGTCACTTACAGAGTCAGACACTTTAAAATAGCTGAAAGACATTGTAATTTTCCTAGAATGATTGTTCCAAGTTATTAATACCATGCTCAAAAGGAGAGGATTTCCAGCCTTTTCCTGTCTTCGTTTCATGCTATTTTAATGTTTTATAATGTATTATTTGAAAGGATTATTGGATGATTTCCATAATAAAATACTAATGTAAAAATTGTACTTTTCTTCAAGTCTCCAATAAGTTGGGGCATACAAGTATTCTGCACAGGGAAGCTGTCTGGCTCAAGCAGAATATAAGGTTTTAATTTTGCTTCTTAAGATGTATTTTTAAGCTGAATGTCACGTGTATCTAATGATTTAAGTGCCTCTAAATGAACTCAAATATCAATGTTCTGAACTGATGTTAGGAAGTCAATATCCCACTTGACATCTCTATTTTTGCAAGCATCCCATTAACATTCCGTGGAAAAATATGAGAAAGCAACTTAAATTCCCAAGTTTAAATATGGTGTGAAGAAGCATTCTTGCTAGCTCATGCTGCTATGAATACACAGAGGTAGTTCTAGTAAGTGATCCGCTACTCCCAGACGGCATGTCTCCCAGTACGTCCCAATTTTCTTATTACTTAACCTACACTTCCAATCCATTCTTTTTATTTCAATGCACACAATCCTTTGAAAGTATTCTAGAAATAAAGCACATTATTCAGTCCCTTCTCTGGGCACATCAAAACAAAGGAGATATGAGCAAACAGTAGCATGTTTGATACACTTTTAATATAAAATCATAGCCCCTTGTG
The DNA here is from genome assembly GCF_000001405.40 of Homo sapiens. Classification (NCBI taxonomy): domain Eukaryota; kingdom Metazoa; phylum Chordata; class Mammalia; order Primates; family Hominidae; genus Homo; species Homo sapiens. The sequence goes on along the minus strand of NC_000008.11, from coordinate 58,861,465 downwards.
AACAAAACACTGCCTACACTTTGTAGCACAGATGCAAAAGTCATGATCTATACAAATACAAATAAAAGGCTTCGTTGATTCTAATCATAGGTAGACCCAGAGCACATTCATAAACTCCCCTTACCAGAGATGTAATTTGTAGGAACTGCTAATTCAGATGTTTTGGGAATCAGAGGGTGGACCACATGATCCCCAGAGCTCTTTTAGACAGGACAGACCCTTTAGTCCGTGAGCCTCTCATGTCCTGCCATTATCTGCAGTTATGAGAGATGCACCTTGTCAAGTAAAAGTAAACTTTGCCTGTTGCCCATTTGCACATTTCCTTTATTTTCGCTGGGCAGGAAAGCCCTTTCAAGGGCTCACTGAAGCACGGTGTGTCAAACTTGGTAATATTGACGTTGATAGTTTAAGATTCACAGCAGGAAACAAATGGCATTGGCATGAAGCAATCAGAAACGAGGTGGCTCAATCTGAGTAAAAAACATCTTTCCAACTGTGCAGTTAAAGGGCAACGCTATACGCCATAACCTCCTGGCCGAAGTTGTGATCCAAAAGAGAGATTATATGTACATAGTTGATGGAAAAGAATGCTGTCCTATGAACTGGAATACCTTTTTATACGTTAAAATGTTTTTGAACTTTGTATCTACCAGTTAGCCTATTAGCCTTGATCAGGGAGCTATTAAAACCCAGGTTATAAGTTCAACCTTTATCTGTGCTGTTGACTTTCTCTCAGTGAAACCCTGTGCTCTGTGACTGTAAGCTGCCCTGCTTATCCCAGGGAAGGTCCCCATAGATACAAGCTTTTGGCTGCCAGAATGTTTGGTCATAATTGTGTCAGTGGCTCACCAGGGACCAGAACTGGTCAGGGAAAGCAACTCAAGGATAATAACCGAAGAGAACCATCAGCGTGAGCAGCAACCACAAAAATGAATTCATTTGTGACAAAATGCATTCGTAGTCCTTATCTTAGTTAATCCTCACAGTCATGTTTTAAGGAAGCATTTAAGGTCAGTACACTCCTCTCCTATTTGTCTCCTTACAACATCTCACTGTCCTAAAATATTTATTGTCTTGTCTGTCTCTTCCACTAGGAAGTGAGCTGCATCAGGGCACGAATTCCAACTACATGGTCACCACTGTGGACCAGGTACCTAAGACAGTGCCTGGCACATAGCAGGCACTCAATAAATATTTGTTGGTGAAAAATTATCCTCTTTTTATGAGTTGAAAAATGAGGGTTAAAGAAGTTGAAAGTAAGACAACTCATTAGAAACAGTGGCAGCTAGGTGTCATGAACAGGGTTGCCTCCACAATAGCACACGGCCCCCCTCTCCTTTAGAGAAAGGAAAAAAATCGAATAAAATGGCGTAAAATTGCTTTTTCAGTTGTTTATAGATATAAATCCAGATGCATACACTAGAGCAACTAAGACACTTCTTTCTGGATCTGCTGGATGTGGCAGCAATTGCAGTGGAGTTCTGCAGAGGAGGCCAGGCAAGGGCACTAAGGGCGTTAACAGGTTCAGGGTCCCCCTTCTCTCTGTTGCTTGCTGCTCTTCAATATCTGATCTTTGGTTCATCCCTGGGAGACGATGTACAAACAAACAAACACCAAAACTGGTGACATGGTTTTTAGCCAGTGTGATTTTTAGCCATCACTTTTAAGACTCTTCAGTGATGTTTTGCTCTGAACACACCAAATTCCTTGAGTAATAAGGGGCCCATTCGTGGAAGAAGCCACAATGGAGAGACCACAGTGTAAAGGAGTGAGATGGTCAGGTAATGTAGAAGTCAGGCAGTGTGAGCACTGGTTTCTGAGGCAGTTTTAATCTTCTCTGAAGATGGTGGTTCTAGAGAGTACTATGGCTGTTCATTTGGCAAATATCTAATAAATTGTGCTCCAGGGTTCTTACTTTCTTGTGATAAATTGTTTTATAATGACTAATTACCCTAACTAAACTACAGGTATTCTATTGTAGCGTACTGTAAAGAAAGCTGAACCCTACTTGTTGCTATTGTCTTTTGAAAGAAAAGCGAAGATTCCAAATATTAAATACAAAAACAATTTTGTTTTTGGAAATGCAGAGTTGAAATCAAGTTATTCTAAATTAAAATACTGAGGATAAAAATACATTTTTATAAAAATGTCCAACCTTTCTTTTGAACCTCACTTGTCTCAATCTTTAAAAATATAGCAAGTTCTGTGCATATGTATTTTTCCAAATTTTCCCTCTTTCATTGTTAATTATCAGTGTTCAGTGCAACTAATTGAAGTCTAATAGCAAAAATCTTAAAATAAAGTTTATTTAAAGTACACATTTCTACATAATAAATAGATCACAAGAAGGTCACGTAAAAACGATTTATTTAATGTGTTTGGACAACAAATAATTAAGCTCTCTCGGAAATGCATTTAGGAAAATAATAAATAAATTTTGATTATTAAATTTCCCCACACATTTATTCTGTTGTATACATTTACATATTAATTGAATCCCTGGCAAAAATATGTAATCAAATTGGGGACTTAAATAATATCAACATTTACATTCTTCTCATAGACTCTTAGAGTGCATTATTCCTAAGAAAAATGAAACCGCTTTGCCTTCCTGCCCTAATTAATCATGCAGGCCTGCATGGACAGCCAAGAGCAAGGCTCAGAAGTTTTTCTTAAGGTGCTATGAACGGTGTGTGTTTGATAGTGTGTATAAAAGGGACCGAGAGGAAGCACTTGTCACAGCTAAAGCCAGCAGGGTCTCCTTATTGCCCTGGGGAAAGCACTCCACAGCTCAGGGTGTCAAATGCTGACAGACAGGGGTAAATGGACGGGCTTGAGAGATTCCTCACGTTCTCCTGCTCCTGCTGCAACTGGCAGCCTTCCAGGCCTTGCCTGCAAAGACCACAGAAAGCAGCAGCTGGTGAGCCACATTAGCAAATAAGGCCTCAGGGCTACCCATGTTCCAGCGCTCTGTGCACCAACTGCTATTCACTCTAACAGCTGGATCAGAGCAGAGCCAGCCGAGGCGGTGGTGCAGTTTTATGTGTACAACTGTTTTGATATAGATTGTCTGCTAGAGGCAGAGATAATGATAGCTTTCAAGGCTGGTGTGTTGGACGGGGAAGGATGCAGATACTTGAAGGAGGAATACAGACTCTGGAAGGATTGTGAAGCACACAGAGTTTTAAACACTGAAAGGCAGGCCCTCCATCGTTCTGGTGCCATTCAAGTATGTGATTTTAACACTATTTCATCACTAACATGACTAATGTTATTCCAAGGATTTTTTTTTCACCATTCCAGTTACACCAAAATCTTACTCATTTTTTAAAAATAATAACCTGAGATGAGCACAGGGTTTTTATTTTTCTTTTGCTTTTCAAAGAAAATCCAAGGAGCCAGTCACAGTGGCTCACGCCTGTAATCCCAACACTTTGGGAGGCCGAGGTGGGTGGATCACCTGAGGTCAGGAGTTCAAGACCAGCCTGACCAACATGGTGAAACCCTGTCTTTACTAAAAATACAACAAGTAGCTGGGTGTTGTGGCACATGCCTGTAATCCCAACTACTCAGGAGGCTGAGGCAGGAGAATCACTCGAACCTGGGAGGCGGAGGTTGCAGTGAGCCAATGTCGTGCAAATGCACTGTAGCCTGTGCGACAGAGTAAGAGTCCATCTCAAAGAAAAAAAAAAGAAAGAAAATCAAAGGAAAGAAAGTGAAAACATATGCTGAAATATGTAGCTAATATTGTGCCTCATGTTTGCACCTTGAGCTCTGTCCTCAACGTGGCACTCTTCAGCTCTAGGTAACCAGACAAGGGGAGAAAGGAACATGGCCTTAGCATCAAGGCAGGTCATGAGGGACAATACATGACTTCAGCTTTGGCTTCCTAATTGATTTTAATGGGACTTTTGTTTTGCATTAATTGGAAAAATTGAAATCTCCTCTTCATCATTATAATACCCCTTCATTATTTTAATTGACAATGGTCATCAATAGCAATGTAAATTTTTAGGAAACAGATCTGTCTTCCAAAAAAGTGAAACCTAGCACCCATTTTCAAATGGACAGAGTTTTGCAAATGGTGAGATAAATATTAAGAGCCACGCAACACTAAAATGCCAATGACATGCAGGACATTTTGCCAAGAAAATATGAAGTTCATTAGGCTTGAAAATAAACAAAATGAGGAACACACACATGAGAAATTACCTTTGAGACATTTGAGCCCTAGAATTTAGCAAATGAAGTTCCCAAAAGATTAAGGATTTATAACAACTATTTATGTGAAGCTGGCATCATCAATTCTAATTGTACCAGACCTAAACATCTATTCAGTGTTAACTCAAGAAATATGTATTGAGTTCCTACTACGTGCCAAGATCTGTTCTAGATACTAGGGCTATAATGGTGAACAAAATAAATTCTCTCCCAGCTTTTTAAAGTTTATAATCTGTTAGGGTGTATCAGTTAGGATTATGTTGGGCTGCCTATAACAGAAAACCCCAAATGTCAGTAATTCTGCAATGACAGACATTTACTTCCCTTTCACTCCCACTGTAAGTAGGTTGTCCAGGCTCCAGAATAATCACACCCTCAGCCTCCTTTCTTGTGCCTTCAGCGTCCTTATGGTGCCATGTCTTGGTCCAAGATATTTTCCCTAGCTCTCTCCATCACCTCCACGTTTTTGCCAGCAGGAACTTGAAAAAAAAAAAAACAAAGGAAGGTGAGCCCCTCCCTTCATGGAGACTTCTTGGAAGCACCACACGAGGATTCCGCTTACATTTCATTGTCACAGGGCCATGCATAGCTGCAAAGGAAGCTACAAATGTCCTCCTTGAGCCAGCTAGAGGGGCCCATTTTTCAGCACAAAAGGAAAATGAGTGTAGGAGGGTAGCTTGAGGCTTCTGCCACAAAGGGAAATGGACATTAATCAAGTCTTTTCATCTTGTGACTAAGAAGTTCCCAGGAAAAAAGAAAAATCATCAGACTAGTTAAAGTCAGTTTATACTGATGAATTCATTTCCTTAGTTACACACTGACACAGCAAATATTTTTTGAATATTTGGAATACCATTTAACTAAAAGATATCTCAAGAGGGATTGAAAAATGCATTAGTCATGAACTAATCAAGGAGATTATTATCTAGAAGGTACATACATGTTAAAGAAATAAATTTTAAAGTGGTGTCCCATAAAGAAAGTATAAACAAAATGCTTTGGCAATTCAGAATAAGAAGGTTCTTGGAGCCTTATAGATAAGGTGACCTTTGAACTTGACTTTAAAGTACATTTAGGGTTTGGATATATGAAGATGGTAAAGGCAGCATGGAATCGTGGGGAAAGTACAAGTATGTAAAAAAAGTATATTTCATTTTTACTTCAGTCTTTGTTGATAGAAAGATCTGAGATCATTTAACCTCTCTGTGGGCTTTTGCAAAGCAGCTATTCCTACATGGCTCCCTCAAAGGGAAGTTACAAGGATCAATAAGTAAAAGTACTGGGCAAACCACAAATCACTGAGCAAAGTATGGGGTTTTTCCCCTCTTTTTAATAACTTTAGACAGCAAATTCTCGGAAAATGGTAATTGAATAATGACAGAGCAGCGTAAACAAAGACGCATGATTAAGGGAGAGAGATTTAGGTAAAAAAGGAGCAATTGGATTTGACTGAACAATAGAGTAGATGAAGGATGGTTATAGGTGTGAGTTTCATTTGGAAGGTTTCATGTCATGCTGAACAGTTTGGATTTAATTTGGGGGACAGATGTCATTGGAGAATTTTTGAGCCCATGGCTCATGAAGATTAATTTTGTACCACTCTTTGGGGTAGATGTAAAGAGACCAATTTTAGTTAAGCAGCTATTGCAAGTGAAAAGATAATTAAGGCCTGGATAGATGAATGGGTGTGGAAACGGGTGGAAGGGCAGATGGAAATAATTGATGTTTCAGGGTAGACCCAACAGAACTCACAAGAGTTTGGTAGAAAAGGAAAGAGTCAAAAATGACTGCAACATTTTGAGTAGAGGTGACAAGGAAGATGAAGGTGTCATCAACAGATATTGGTCAGACAGAAAAAAAATAGATTTGAGAAAGAAAACTTTGTTCACATTTCTAGCAAGAATGATGTCCAAGTAGTAATGTCTCACAAGCAATTGCAGACTTAGGCTTGGAATTTGGGTCAGAATTGTACATTTTAGTTGAGAACATTTCCCATTAATAAAACCATGGCAAATTTTATCTGGGTGGAAGAAATGTGACTCAGAATAACATGTTAAGGAATCACTTAGAGGTGGGACGTTGTAGAAAAAAGAGAAGTCAGTGAAGGGGTTGAGAAGAATCAGAAAGAACAACCATTGCAATTAAGCATGACTTAAGTGAATTATTCAAAATAAATTTAAAATATTGGTGATTAACAGGAAATAATATTCTGCTACTTCAGGTTTTGCATTTGACATGACAGAGCTGTAGTCAATCAATATCTTTACAGCAGGAAACCAATAGTCAAAACATTAGCTTACTTGCATGATCTAACTAATTATTCATATTTTCAGTAATCAAACTTTATCGAGTTTAATTTTCCCCATATTATACATTAGGCAGTGATTAATACTGAACTGTCTCTTAGGAAAACAAGGTAAGTGGAAATACTCCTCCTAATTCAGAAATGTTGCCATGGGTAGATCCCACTGTTTGTAAGTGTATCTGAGGACTGAAGACACAGATATGCTCCCTCATTTGTGCTTGCCATGCTCCACACAGGAAAAGAGTGCTTTGATTTGGTATTCAAGCTGTCTGCCTGACCTAACACCACTGGTGACAGGATACATTGAACTAATGATGAGACTGTGGAAAGAGAGGTACCCTCTTGAGTACTTCACCATCCTTACCCAGATTGATACTTTACTCTTCCATAGCCACACCCACCTTCTTCTCCTTCCATTGCAAGAGTGGGAATGCAGATTTTAGTGTCCAGAGATCTACACACTACACAAATTAACATGAGAAAACATCTTAGAAGATTGCAAGACAGGGGAGGAGAGAAAGTGCGATAAAGTGAAGATTGCTTCAAGCTTTTGGAACACTTTTAGTTGTAGTCATAAATCTGGAACTCCACATGAAAATTAATTTAGAAACCATCCTCTCTGATATATTAAAACCACAAGATTTCTGAAAGGATGAGAAGAAATGGGCTCAATACAGACATGTTACAGACTGTACGTGTTTTGTAACTTGGGATTTATGTGAAGGAGAAATAAAGATAGCAATTAGTTACATACTTTTGGAAAGATCATTTAGTTGAAGTATGATTTTGCTACTAAATGCTTTTCATTTACAAGGCTATAAAACATATAAGTTGGAATATGCACATTAGTGCTTTATTTGGTTCAGGGTTGGGAAAGAAGACTGCCCCCCTGTAGGATAGTGTCCACTTACAGGTAGCCATTACTCTGTGCCCATAATGGGAGCTTTTCTGCATGCTAAGGGTCTAAAAACATACAGGACTTGAGGACATTTGACAGTAGGCCTGAAAAGAAATTTAGTATACACTGTCTCTTCTGTGTATTTTTAAAAATCAGTCCTAATTTTCATGGTACCCTCTGTCCTTGGCACAACTTTAAGGATATCAGTGAAAGTTAGTATTATTTCATAAAGAAGATCAGATTGTAGAAGTTACATGTACATCTAAGAAGAGGCAACAACCATTTTAGTAAATGTGACTGAAGGCAACATGAATGGGCTAGATAAAACCATTGTTGATTTGGGTAGACAACATTTGAAAATGCATTTTTAAGTATCTTTAATTAACTGTAATCCTTTTTATGGAATATGTAAAATGTTGAATCAGCTGCTTAACACAGTGGGAAGTATCAAAGACTGGAATTAGGAGAGGTGGGTTTTATCTTTGGTTTTGGTCAAGTCATTTGATCTCTTTGGGTTTCACTCCTTCATTTATTCATTTATAATTATTTATATACTTATTCCACAAACATTCAACAAGCTTGCACTATCATCACCCCCTCCCAGTTTTCCTCTTCCATAGACTGACAGTGTCACCAAGAGCCTTTGCAGCTCTTGCATGCACCATTGAATAGTAAAAGCTGCTTTATGAGGGACATCACAGAAAGGAGAATCCTGAACTACTTTTGAAGGCTTGGAGGAATACAGTTTGGATAATGGAAAAAACGTTGATTCGGACTTAGAAAAGGCAGGTACAAATCATGAGGCCAGCCAGAGGTCTAGGATACCTTGAACTGTGCGTGAAGACTGAGAAGTAACCAAAGTTGGAAAGGAGCTAAAGGAGTGAAATTGACTAATAAGAGGCCTCATGGTGGAGGCAGTAAATGCGTTCCGGAGAAGAACACAGGGCACACATGGGGGCTGTGGACAGCCTCAGTTTTAGCTTTAGGTGAATCTAACTAGATTGGTAAAATGACTACAGGGAAAATGGTGTAAAATGATTTTACTATCATAAAAACAAAAACAAGAACCTATGACTAGGTTACTTAATTTGCCTTCACAGTATTTTCACGTCACAATAACATTTGCAGACAGGTCATTGCTAAACATCTGATACTTTGTGGGATTTTCTTTTCTAATGAAACAGAATAAGGTAACATTATTACTTTTTCACTTCCAACGTGTAACTTTAACCATATATCTTTTTTCCTCACAGTTTTCTTGTTTTTCTCTCTTGTTTTGTGTGCCCTCTACCTGCCTGAATTCCTCAGCTCCCCTCAGGATGAAAAAACTGAGCTGCTCCAATAAGCACCATGAAATATTCTCCATTATTTTAAGTTTGAAAATGCCAGAGAAATGTTAAGTGAAATTCTCCATACTCCTCTTATACAATACATTTGACCTCTAGATACCTTAAAAGCTTCATCCTCCAATGCTTTTAATTCTAATCCTTGCAGAGACAAAATTCATTGCTTGAATTACAAGAGTGAGTCTCATTAAGGCTAAAAACCAGTGACTCAGATAGCATAATGGATTAATATGTTGACCTTGCAATTTTAGAGCTTTACTTTCAAGTCTGACTGTGCAGTCATTTCAATAGTCAATTAATAATTGGTTAATACCAGCCTATCAGTGTTTTGAGTCTGGTAGTTAGGAGATCATTTTGGCTAGTAATACCCTGTAAAGCTTTAAACTGAGTACAAGAGTATACTTATTAACTCCCAAAGCCTTTCTTAAATGATGAAGATAAAACAAACAGGGTTTAATGAATTTTTGTGAATATTGTAATCACTAATAATTGAATAATTTTGACAGACACTCTAATGAGCATCAACATCTTGAAACTTACGTTATATAAATATGATCATGCTGTAATATACAAATACATATATAAATAATATATTTCTATATTTCACTAGTGTAGAAAGACTGTAAATATAATTAATCACATCTTGAGTAATGAAGTATGATGCTAACTGGATTCTCAAATTCCAGTCTTTTGGTAGTCTTATGCTATCCTTTATGGTGATATATACTTTTAGGATTATTTTACCCCAGATAAAATAAATGTGTATGTAACTCAGCAGAACATCTGGAAATCTAAAGAATTATTACTTTTTTGCCCAAAACATATTTGTTAAAATTACTCCTTTCCTATTTATTTATTTATTTATTTATTTATTTATTTATTTATTGTAGATGCCAGATATACGAAACCCAGAAGGAACTCAGTACAGTTCCCATCCTCAGATGGCAGCCATGAGACCAAGGGGCCAGCCTGCAGACATCAGGCAGCAGCCAGGAATGATGCCACATGGCCAGCTGACTACCATTAACCAGTCACAGCTAAGTGCTCAACTTGGTTTGAATATGGGAGGAAGCAATGTTCCCCACAACTCACCATCTCCACCTGGAAGCAAGTCTGCAACTCCTTCACCATCCAGTTCAGTGCATGAAGATGAAGGCGATGATACCTCTAAGGTATGAATAAGTTATTTTTAGGACCTATGGGAGACTATTCTTAGGCACCTTCTTTGACCTGTGCTGGGTACAAGTTTATATCATCCATGCGAGAAACATTGGAGGGAGACACCTGCTTTGTTAATGAAGCATGAGGTTACAAACATACTGGATTAAACCACCTGCTTGTCCAATTACACTTTAAAGCCCCTGAGAAATCCTTTAAATATAGATGTGTTAAGCGTAAAAGTTGTTTGTGCCCACAGAAGGTTGGGCCTGTATATTCAATGTACCATTTTAAGAAGGCAGTATACTGGGGTACAATGAAGGTCGTGTGTGTGTGTGTGTGTGTGTGTGTGAGAGAGAGAGAGAGAGAGAGAGAGAGACAGAGAGAGAGAGGAGATGTATGGTGATGATGTTACATGAAACCTTTGTGGCCACCTGACCCAACCATTTCATATTGAGGACGTGGAAAGTAAGTGCCAGGGATATTAGATGACTCCTTTCCTGGGTGATTCATTGCATACCTTTTGTTAACGCCTTACCAATATAGTTGTTTATTTGTGTGTCTGTCACCAGCAGAGCCATTCTTTTAAGTTATCTGAATAGGAAGATGGGTTTTATGTCAGCCACCTTTTCTTCTTTTTACCATTGTGAGAATTTTGTTTTTGGAAAATTAAACTGTAAACATGCTACCAAAAGCAGCGCTGTGCAATCCTGATATACATGGTTAACTTTCTAGTAGCTTCGCTAAATTTTTTCAGTCCAGATAGTGATTCATCGATTTATTTAGCCTGATGACAAAGATAAGATTGCTGCATTGACTATATTTTCCTATTGTTTGTATTCTTGATGTTCTGGCATTTGGAGCCTTAATCCTGGAAATTCAGGGCTAGCTAATTTTTAGAGATTGCAGACGACACTCTGCTAGCCCCCTTTCTATAAACAAGCCAACAATTCACAGCTGCACCCCAAAACATCTCCTTTAAAAACTCTCACATATGAAGCCAGTATTCCCTCTACCCTACATCGCCCCTAGGCTAAGTGTCAGACAACTAGGGATCACTCCTTACAGCCCATAGCCTGCCAAAGTTATTCAAACTATCCAGTCCTAGGCTTACTCAGCATGCCAGCCTGCCTTGCCTATTCCTGCCCACAAAATCCCCAGTAAAGGCTCTGGGCATGCTCTGTCTTCTCCCTCTTTCTGTCTCCTGGCCAACCTGGGTACTTCCCTAGGTGGCCCTGTGGGCTCTGCTGTGCCTTCTCTTTCCAGGGATCTATGAATGGAAACTTCTTCCTCACAATCATCATTTCCATGTTTTCTGTCTTACCATACCTGACTGAAACAAATCCCAAGTACGTTTTAGAACAGCTGCAGAATCTAACACTGCCCAAGCCAATCCCTCCATCCTTACTGTCTCTCCCTGTTGTCAGTGAGTCAGCCTCTCATGAGTTAGGTGAAAAGGCAGGAAGAAACTAATTGATATTCATAAATAATTGACTGGGTTGCTGAAAGCCTTGCCTTTAGCTGACCATTTCCAGGGCAATAATTTTCTTCAGAAAATACAGGTTATTCCAATGGCTCCAGGTACTCATTGGCTGTTAGATTACACCTAATGGCCAATGAGTACCTGAACCCAAATGTGAACACTAATAATTTGTTTGTGGACAGTGATTTAGATTTTGATTATGCATGAATAATTCAAGTCAATTTGCTAAACACAGATGATATGTACTATATTGTAAGGCGAAAAAAATTAATGTTCTGCTCATAGTAAAGATCAATTTTTGTATCTGGATTGTGTCTTTATCAGTATTCATTCCTGACATTTCAGGAAATTAAATGCAAAATTAGTAGCATCCTCTGACAGTAAATTGTATACCGGATTATTCCTAATTACAATAACATTTTTCACAGTCTTCCACTTATATGAGTAGAAGAGTAGGTAGAAATCTGAAATTCATAGAATTAACATTCATGGGTTCTGCCATTTGCTATTAACCTGTTAGGTCCATATTTTGTAATTTTGCTAAAGCATGAATTTACATGTCTCCATGCTGATATGAAACTTTGCCAGTGGGTATCCTATTCAATCATTCAATATCCACATCTTGAAATAATTTATAACGCTTCATTTTAGTGGACTGTGTAAGCATTGCATAGTAAAACTCATATTCTATAGTGATAGATTATTGAATTATCAATGCAGGAAAGTTTAGGGATTGATTTCTAAGACTGCACCCATTAAAATGACTTTTTTATCTGCACAAACATTCATACGAATTCATGTTAAGTTTAAGTGTATTTTCCATCTCAAGAAAAGTAACCCTTCATTCCAATTCTATGCACTGTTTTTCACCTTGTCTCCAATTCAAATCCTCCTACTCATTTATTTGAGTTATATTATTATATTTATTTAAGCTAGAAAAATCCTCTGATGAAAATGTTAAAGCATTCTTCATTACAGTTAAGGATTAAACTGGATTTTTTCCTTTATATGTGAGTAGGATTTATGTGGAATGTTGTAGTGCAACAGCTCCAGTTAAATGTGAAATAGCATTAAGTCAAAAAGATCATTTAAATCATTTCTAACAAGTGAACTAAACAAGAATATTTAGTTCCACACCAGAAAAAGCTTTTAAAGCTTTCCTCTTAACACTTTGTGCTGTCTTTAAGCAATTATATATTGATTCCAGCTCATCTAATTGAACAATTAAATGAAATAAGTCTGTTTTGACAGACAGGAATATTGTAAATACATCAGTAAAATAAATTATCACCTTATAAACACTACCCGCGATTTTGATTGCTAGGAAACTGTGTTGACAGCCTTAAGTCATAATGAGACACAGTAAAGCATCAAAGAAATACAAACTTAGGCAGCTTGTGGTTCTAAGCCTGTAATCCCGTATTTGTAATATAAGAGATACTTTAAGACACATAAAGTATCTGACATTACAATCACATTTTTGGCACAGTTTTCTCTTTAAGGAAATTGTGGGTAAGAATCACATTATATATTTTTCTATCCTTTTACTTTCTGCTTTTCTGTTGAAAATATCCATGTTTTATCTGAGTGTCTCTTATAAATTTCGTGTAGTTAAATGAGCTTTTACTTTAAAATGAAATCTTTACTGCATTTACCTTACTATAAATATGAAAATAGGCTTGTTTTTCTAAGTATGTTACTTTCTGTTTATGCCACAAATATTTTATGTTTCTTTTTTTTCCTCATCTTCTTTAAGATTGCTCTTATTTTTCTCATTACATAATTTCCCATTTTGAGATTAGAGATTTTATATTCTTTCTCTTCTTTCAGTAGCTGTCCCTGGAATACAGCTATATAGAGGTCTAAAATTTACCAATATCTTTACCTTTTTTCTTAGATTACTTTAACTACATACACCTTCCGTTCAATTTATATTGGGAGCTGTTATTGTTGTTCATTCTAATTATAGTTTAATTGAATTCTGTAACTGAATAAACCTCATGAAACACTATTTTAATTATTTTATGAAGTTATTTTTCCTTTGGATTTATTCACATATATATTTCTTTCACCTGACATCTTTTTCTTTATGCCTTTAAAATGTTCTTTCATGAAGGTCTGCAGGGAACATGCTTACCTTAAAAAACACATTTGCTAGGTATAGAATTCTAGATTGGCAGTTATTTTCTTTCAGCGTTTTGAAGATATTATATTATTTCACTGAATCCTTGTTTTCACTATTGCTTTTGAGAATTTACTGCCTGACTGTCTTTCCTTTGAAAGTAACCTGACTTTACTCTCTGACTGCTTTTGAGATCTTCTCTTGTCTTTGGTGTCCTGCAGCTTCATGGTGATATGTGTGGGTTTCTTTGCATGCATTCCGATTGTAATCATTTCTGTCTATCAGCATTTTGGGGAAATTTTCATTCCTTATTTTTTTCAGATACTGCCTCTATCCCATTCTTGCTCCCTTCTCATGCTGTTATTCTCAGGGGATGAATATTAGACTTTCTCCTTTCCATGACTCTTTTTCATATTTTCTACTTCCTTGCCCCTATGTATTACATTCTGATTTAACTTATTTTCCAGCTCGTAATTCTCTTTTCAGCTATACCTAATCTGAAATGGTCTATTGCAATTTTAATCTCAAATATTTTATATTTTTGGTTTCATTTGGTTCCTTCTCAAATGAGTTTGGACTTCTTTCTTTAGTTGCTTGCTCTTTACCCATGTATTTAATCTCTTTTATTCTTGTAAGCATGTTCAACATATTTGTTTTATACCCTCTTTTGCTAATTTCAATACATGAAGTATTTTGAAGTCAGAATATGTTGGTTTTAATAGCTTGTTTCATTTTGCTTTTTGTACTTTTGAAATGAGAATTAATATTTATGAAAACTTTGTAAGAATTCTTTTAGAGCTTGTTTAAAGGTGGATTTCTCTGGGGATGATTTATATTTGTTTCTGCCACATATTTTGAACCATTAGAATCAAGAACCACACTTGGCCTGAATTTTTCAGACCACCCACATAGAGTATGTTCAGGCTACAAATCTTGCAAATGCTGGCTTTTGTTTGTGAATGAACACAAGAGATTTTGTTCCACTCTGCATTTGTAACAAGGTTCCAGAGCAGCCATTCTTGCATGTTCTGGGAGGTCACATACAAGGGAATGTTACTTCACCCTTGCACTGACAGTCTAATCTTTTACGTCTTGATTTAACAGGACCACTCCCATTACACATCTTGCTTTTGGTAAGGCATGGGGTTTGTCTTCTGTCTATTGCACTCTTAACTCAAATTCACACGAGGTTCAACAATATCTTCAGTATGAAAGCTGCCTTTAATACACGCGTCGTCTCTGAGTTCACTTCGTTTTTGCCTTTAAGAGTTTGTTACTAATTTGCTAGTTCATCAATGCATGTGCTCTGCCACACTAGACAGAAGCAGGAGGTTTTTTTCTCAAAGCAAATAGGATAAATCACTAGAGCAGCAATTAAATAAGCCTTTAGAGTAGGAGTTTTTATTTACCACTGCTCTGAAGACAAGAAGACTCCTGGAATAAAGTAGAAATGAGAAACAGACAGGTTTCTACAAATATTAAGTGAAATCAAACAGTGTTAGAACCAAATGTCAGGTTACTTTATCTAACTAGCAATGGGACAGAATACTTAAAACTGGGACTTGGAAGTCTGGTATTGTCATCATTGAACTGTACTTATATTGTAACTGTTCACTTTATATAGTATAATGTGTATGATACTTTTAAAGTATGTATTAGATCACAGCAATTAAACTAATGTATGACCCTTATTTATTTTAAAAAAAAAGTATTCTATTCGTTAAGGCTGAGCCTAATAAACTAGTTCAGGAGAAAATGATAAAATTTAGTCAGCCATTTAGTACCTGGTTCCAAATCATCTTTCCTAAAATTTATTCAAGTAAATAATTATGCCAGGATATAGACATACCCTAGATGACTGAGCATACTTAATTAATTCATGGAATAAAAACAGAATGAGACTTAACATAGCCGCCTAGCATTTTATTCAGCGGGTCCCCACCTCAACAGCTTGCCTTCTTTGTAAGCCTGTAAAAGCCCTCAATCCAAAAGAATAAGAAGTAAACATATTTCCCTACATCAGTGAATTTAGAAAAGATCAAGTGGATCTCCTAAAATTGATAAATTTAACCAGTAGGTGTATAAAATAACAACCAACCTTTTTTCTCTTTAAAAAATCACTTTAAAGTGATTTTTCTGGACATTAGCCCAGACTTCCTATTTCACATAAGGCCGCTGAGTGCCTTTGCTAAACTCATTCAAAAATCATACTCAGCTATGTTTGGCAGAATCAAAGATCCTTAAAAATGAAATTGCTTTACAAACTATGACACTGATACAATGCCCCACACTTGTGAATCATTTCAAAAGTATAGCACTTCATATGCATTTTTCTATAATTGATGTTTTGAGTCATAGAGTGTATCGTTATTAAAGATAATAATAAACCCAATTGTAAAATGAAAGAAGTATTACAGCCTTGCTGATTTCACAGTAACTAGATGACTTACTTTCCATGCTTATTTGAATTTATTCTCATAAGGGGATTTTAGATGGCATAGTTTAGAAAAGAGAGAATGAATTTAAGTAGCAAAATTTTCACTCACTGAAACATCACAAAAAGTGCTGTTATATGCCCTGTTTCTATGGAGAGGAGTTTATAATATTTACTTTATATGATAAGAGTTATAAGTGGAGTTCTATGTTGTTTGTTCAGCCTATTATGCAGATGGTGCTTGATTAAAATCTATTTTAAACTACAGCGATTACTGCAAGATAGTGTGCATTAAACAGCTCTCCCAGCTCCATTAAAGGCTTTGGGACCGCGGCAGTTTATTTTAAATATGCTTATAGACGTTTCTAACTTCTCCAGGGACATTTCAATATCAGTGATTCTCTTTCTTTGATAGTCTTAACTCCTGTGCTCTGGCTTCTTAAGAAATACTGTTATCTAAGCAACACCATTAGCACATGCTTTTTTAAAGTGAAAGATTATTGTTTTCTTGTGATAAATAAGTTAAATACATCTCTATAATTAACCAATAAGACATGACAGGGGTGAATTACCAGAAGCCTTCAGGCACCTCTAGGGATTTGAGAAATAAATCTATGTCTTACGAGTAAGTTACATGAAGCACGTGTATCTGTGTAAAGCTTATGTGTAATATTTATTTATAAATAATATTTATTTAGGTATTTGTGCACTTATGTATTCGTTAGTGCTTTAACTGATGGTGAAATCAGTGCGTGGGTAATCAGGGCGACATTTAGGGCCTCAGCTCAGCCATGTTTTAGTTGCTATGATTTTCATACAATTTCTATGTTTGTTTCAAATTTTCTTTGCCTCATAAGTCTAAGCCTCTGCCCACTGCTGTAGAATACCAGAGCAGAAATGTATAATGATCCATTGCATGTAAAACACTGTACCGATGCTATGAAGGACGTGAAGATTAATGGGACCTGCTCCTTACTTTCAATGTGCTTGTCATCATAAGGAATTCACATTTGTGCATTATATGGTTTCTTCCATATTCTAAAGATTATGATGGAATAAAATTTAACTCTCCAGTCTTAGCACCCTGGTAACTTTACAAATACTGTATGTACTCTAGAGCAGTGTCCAGTACAAAATACTGTGCTGTCTAATCCAGTGACTTCTAGTCATGTGTGACTGCTTCCATTTAAATTTAACCAATTAAAATTAAATTTAGAAATTCAATTGCTCAGTTGTACTAGCCACATTACAAGTGGCCTATAGCCATATGTGGTTAGCAGCTACCCTTTTAGACACGGCAGAGAGCATATCTATCGTTCTAGAAAATTTTACGAGACAGTGCTGCTCTAGACTTTAAAAGTCAAGTACTCTCAGAAAGTTAGGATTTAAAATTATAAGCTTCCATCCATCTATGCAAGAAGTCCGGATCCAGACAATATCCAAAATTAAGGTCCAGGGACAGATTATAAATCCATTTAGCTAATTTTTCTACCACAGTCATATCTATCATCATTGTGTTTATCCCAAATAGTTTGTGGTCATAAGAGCCAAGTATCTTTCAAAGTGCATCCGTTACTGACATGAAAATGGATCCAAATTACAGCAGCATTTCTGTCTTCAAGGAGGCTTTGGACACAACAATGATCATGTGTTTTTCACACATGTGATGAAGCTACTTCCAAAAGTAGGCCTTACAAATTCCCAGTTCATTACACAGAATCTAAAATGGCAGCTCATTTCTGCATCCTTTCCACACAAGAAAAATGAAAAATAAAAAATAAGATCCCCACAGATCAGGGGACAATGCCCAGTGTTCATAAGACAAACAGCTTTATATTTCATAGAGCAAAGCCCAAGTACTTGGGTACATGAGAGATCAAACTACAACAAGGAGTTTCCATTCCATTCTATTGCATTTATAAAGAGCAAAGATATTATGAATATTCACTAGTCCTTTATGCAGGAACATTGAGCAATATAATAAACAATTCCCTCCAAAGTACATTTTATCTCATAAAAAATGGAGATCTTTCATTCATAGTTTTTCCCCCATATGTAAGTCTTCAGTGGAAGTCAGGGCATTGTCTTAGATTATAGTTCAGTTCTACAAGGGCAATTTTATAAATGTTCAGAATATTATGTTCCAAGAATCTAGCTTTGGTGATCTAGTTTAGTTATTGAAGGAGAGGCAGTGAATCTTGAGTAATGAATATTTTATGTGTATCCTTTAGATTGGTCTTCTCAGATGCCAGTTTTCTTGCATGGCAGAAAATTCAAACCAAAGTTAACATGAGTATTTAAAGGGAAGGCATAGTGTGATGTTGACTGAAAGCAGATCAATATGCTCTTGTTTTTAGGCACAACAAAGACAAAGATGATATAATCTTATAAGACTGGCTGGTAGTCTGCTTTAATGGGGGCAACACCATAGCTTTAGAGTCTAGTGCCTCTCAGGTACTCAATCAGATATACAATGGAAGCCCCAGAGTTACACTCTATAATGCATAAATGATGTCTCCTGAGCCTTGAAAATGTGGAGGCAGAAGTCATGAAATACTTGCTTCTATTAAACAAAACTTTGAGCAACATTGCATCCAGCTAGCCCTCCAGGACAAACCAGGAAAATAGGTAAAGCCTTCAGGCAACTAACAAAATGGATTGGCTGCGTGGAATTATTTAGGCTTTTCTATAGGGTTGCTATCCATTGCCTCAAAATGATAACTGGTGGTTTTCATATGATTGAGCCTCTTACTGGCAGTAACAAGTTCTCCTGTTTCTTCAGGACATCCCTAAAAGTAGGGCCTGTTGTCAAATGCAAGAGGATGACTGTCCTCCTACCTGTTATGGCAAGGAATCACACTTCCAGTAGATCTAAAGCCCGTACCATACTGTCCAAATACCAACTTAAAAAGGAGATAAGCATGATGATCAGTGTTTCAAACACAATTTTGGACAATAGAGGAGGGAAATTGTCTTAGTCCATTTTGTGCCGCTGTAACAGAATACCTGAAAGTGGGTAATTTATAAAGAACAGAGATATATTTCTTACAATTCTAGAGGCTCAAGAGGCCCTTGGCGAGAGCCTTCTTGCTGTGTCATCCCATGGTAGAAAGCAGAAGGACAAAGAGCACATGTATGACAGAGAAAGAGAGAGAGAGAAAAAGTTGTCTTTTTTCTGTCTTTTTTGTTCTATCCAGGACCCCAGCCTATTGAAGGATGGCTGGCCACACTGAGGGTCTGTCTTCCCCACGCAGTCTGCTGACTCACCCCAGTCTGCTGACTCACCCCAGTCTCCTGACTCACCCCAGTCTCCTCTGGAAACCACCCTCACAGACACACCCAGAAGTAATATTTCACCAGTTCTCTAGGAATTCCTTAATCCAATCAACTTGACACCTAAAATTAACCATCACAAAAACTATTTAAATAATGTGGGGAAATCTTTTAATAAGAGCATTTAAATTGCATGATAGGAAATTTATCTCTATGATTGACATTTGATTATTTTCCAGAAAGATTGATATAATCTGTAATCATGGAGATTTCAATGTGTCAGATCATTAATTTTTTAATTAAAATTTAAAATGAGTCTAGGTAATATTCCATATGAATAAGCATTCATTTATTTCTGTACTTTGTTCCCAATTTCTCTCAATCGTTGATGAAATATGAGGATTACTCTTTTTGCAGCTTTATTGAGGTATAATTGACAAATAAAATTGTATGTATTTAAAGTGTACAATGTGATGTTTTGATATATGTGTACGTCATGAAATGATTACCACAATAAACTAATTAACCTATCTGTCACCTCACCTAGTCACTTTTTTTAAAATGAGAACGCTTAAAACCTACTCTCTTAACAAATTTCAAGTGTACAACACAGTACTAACTATAGTCATTGTGCTGTATGTTAGATCCCCAGAACTTATTCATCTTATAACTGAAAGTCTGTACCCTTGACCACTCTATCTTTAATATTCTTCATTGTGGACCTTGTTGACTCCTTTTGTCTCCTTTTAAATAAATATTTTATGATTGTGAATGTAAGAGTGGCCATGTTTACAAAATATTATCATTTTGCATTAATATTTTTATTACTACTATAACAAACGTTAAGCATTTACTACGTATCAGGGACCATGATACGTGCTAGTGGGCAAAACCAGGCCCAACCCCTGCCTTCATAGTGCCTACACACGAACAGGAGTAGATCTAACAACCACATACATTATTGTGTAATTACAAGCTTGATACGTGCTATGAATGGAAATATACAGAGCTAAATAAGCTTGACTTAAGTTTGAAATATCTTTGAGACTTGCAAATAGAGATGTCAAATAACAGTTGTTTCTGTGTGTGCAAAACTCAAGGGAAACATGAACTTGACCACCATCCACCCACAAATAGTAATGGAAACCCTGCTTACATGTGAGATTACCTAAGTACACTCACAAGAGAAGGGAGTTTACTGCAAAACAAATCAGGAATCGCTACCAATTAATGGCCAGGTGGAAAAGGATGACCCTAAAATGATTCTGGAAACATCAAGGGCCAGTGAGGTAGGAGTAAAACTCAGAGAGGGTGGTGTCAGGGAACCAGTGGGAGAGAGGGCCCTCACAGTGAGAATCAGGTAAGGGGGAGACTCAAGCATCAAGCATCCACTGGATTCAGCAGTGTGGCCAGTGGAGATCTAATTGAGAGCTAATCGACAGGAAAGCACACGGAAGTAGGTTGCAGAGGCTGCATCAGGCCAGCACAGCCAACCACTTGGAGGAGTTTGGTTGTGAAAAGGAGAAAAATATGGCCATAGGTAGCCTTGGGGCACAGAAAAATTTTGCTTGTTTGTTTTGTCTCTCAAGATATCAAAATGCCAGTTGGAAGAGTTCAGAGGGTGTGACTGAGGCCAGTCTCCCACCCATAGGCATCTGCTTTAATCTGTGTAGGGTAAGACTTGGACATCAGGGTATTAAAAGCTGACCAGGTGACTCTAATGTGCAGCCATGTTTGAGGAGCACCATTCTAGGTCATATATATGCCTATGTGTTTTAATATAGCATTGTTATGCCAGTTTGTCGAATATCAAGCACCAGACATGCTGAGTCTCTGACAGATTTACATGGTGGCCAGTGACTTCACAGGATCACCTCTCTGATCCATCTCAGGGAAGTTATCATCTAGTGTTAATCTACATTAGCTTGTCAACTTGGTTCACAGCATCCTGTCCCCCTGGGGTTCTTTGATCTGCTTCAGTAGACAATTTCAGAATGATATTCTTTTTAATAGGTTTCTCAATAAAGACAAAGACAAAGAAATCACTTAGCTTTTGCTTATCTCTTTTCGGTGCTTAGGTATATCTTTCATACTGATTATAAGGTATCACATATTAATATTAAAGTATTTTCCATCCACCCATTCAGTGAATTATTTTGAAAGTTTATACCTTGTCATAATTGATATTTGAATACGCTTTTAAACTTCTACACATATATAAATATATACCATCTTAGTCATTATAAAATGGCACCATACCTGGTTTTCACTAGAGGAAACAGAGGCCCGGAGAAATTAATTTAACCAAGGTAACAGCTAAAAATAATAAAAAGAAGGCATGAAGCGAGTTCCTCTGAAATCATATCCACAGACCTCTCTGTACATCATGCTTCATCTCCAATGGTGGCAGTTATTTTACACAAATATCCCATCTAGGAATTTGTCTAAATAAGATACATATTACATTATATCTGCAGAGAGAAGGCAACTACAACCACCACAATAGAAGGTGAGGGTACAGAAGCTGCATTGACACTTCGTTAGGGGGCAAGGCATGTGGAAATTGAATCCTTCAGATGCAGCCCTATTTTGTATTCATGTAGACTCATATAATTTTAGAGCCGGAAAGAAATCCTATCCAAAATGCTTTATTTTAGAGGTGGATGAATTGATATCACATCTAGTTAGTAACAAAGATAATATTCAAATGCAGCCATCTTAAATATGTTCAATGTGTTTTTTCCCAGTTGTATCAGAATAACAATTAAAATTATCAAAATATTCATACTTTAGGAACATGGGAGAAAATAGAATCTACTCTTAAATTGAGTAAAAACCTTTTCTAGAACTCTCTAGAATCTAATTTCTGGAGGTGCACTCTCCGATATGGTAGCCATTAGTCATATGTAGCTATTTAAATTTGAACAAAGTTAAAAATTTAGCTCCTGATTAACTCTAGCCACATTTCAAATGCTCACTAGCTTTATATGGTTAGTGGCTGCCATATAGAATAGTGCAAATCGTAGAACTTTTCCATCATTGGAGAAAGTTCCATTGGACAGCACTGATCTAGGGTCTAGACCATACCATTCTTTAAACCATGAGCATTGCTGGGTTTTCCTGGCAGCATTCCGTAGATCTAGGGACAAAGTCAAAAGCCATTTGACTTTATTTATTGGGCATGCTGCCCCCGAGGTTTTAAAGCCATAATTAGAAAGACAAGGATGGCTGGGCACGGTGGCTAACACCTGTAATCCCAGCACTTTGGGAGGCCAAGGCAGGTGGATCACCAGGTCTGGAGATCGAGACCATCCTGGCCAACATGGTGAAAACCCATCTCTACTAAAATACAAAAAATTAGCCAGGTGTGGTGGCGCGCGTCTGTAGTCCCAGCTGTCGGGGAGGCTGAGGCAGGGGAATTGCTTGAACTCGGGAGGCAGAGGTTGCAGTGAGCTGAGATCACGCCACTGCACTCCAGCCTGGCGACAGAGCAAGACTCCATCTCAAAAAAAAAAAAAAAAAAAAAGACAAGGATAACTTCCTTAGAAGAAAACAAGTTAGATTGTTCATCCAATAGTGTTACTACCAGAGAAATCTGCTGTTGACACAGTTACAGTGTAAGAGAAAAAGTTAGGAATGTTAAGGGGTTGTATTTAATAGTGTAATAATATAAAAAGAGCCAACTTTTTTCAAAGCTAGGTGAGTAAAGTTGGGAGTAGGATGAATATGAAGACTACTTGAAATATGCAGTTTCATCTGGGAAAAAAAAATAACAAAACAATGTGTCCCTTAGAAAAGCCTGTGTTTGAGTGATGTGAATGGGTATGTGTCTAAGTCTCAAAGGAAAACAACGATATGTCTTGTCCCCAAATTGTCTCAGTCCCCCTATAATTCTATTTTGATTTCTCTTTCAGATCAATGGTGGAGAGAAGCGGCCTGCCTCTGATATGGGGAAAAAACCAAAAACTCCCAAAAAGAAGAAGAAGAAGGATCCCAATGAGCCCCAGAAGCCTGTGTCTGCCTATGCGTTATTCTTTCGTGATACTCAGGCCGCCATCAAGGGCCAAAATCCAAACGCTACCTTTGGCGAAGTCTCTAAAATTGTGGCTTCAATGTGGGACGGTTTAGGAGAAGAGCAAAAACAGGTAAGGGATTCCCAGTGGAATGGGAATCTACATAAGCTGAGATTGTGCAGTCTGAAGAAATGGCCTCCCAGGGCTTGGGGTAAATTCTTTAGATCCCAGAACAGACGCTGAGAAGGTGTCCCCATCCGAACCAGACTTTCTGAGACGTTCACATAATGTTATGCTCCTTTATTACTCCTCCATAAATAGCATGTTGATTCCTTTGTTTCAAAGTTTATATAGTTTAGTTACTTTTGGAAGCACTTTTACATATCTCAGACAGGATTGCCTTATTCCTTAATGTTGCCAATGTGAACATAAAGACTGAAAAAAAAGTCCTAAAAGTATTTTGAAAACTGTCCACACCTCTTTTCAGCACTTACTATTTACCATTTTGTCATCAAAACCCTCTTTGCTCTTTGCTAAATGAACCTCAAATTCAAGGGTTTCCGCCCCTAGCCATTCCTTAAAGACCGCCAGGGGCTGTTATTCAATCCCCCAAATGTATTTACACCATATTTTTAGGCTGTGTTAAATGGGACCAGATGCCTGGTTTTTTCCTTCTCTCATGTATTGCCCTGGTGTGACTGAGGACCATGCTCAGGGAAGGCCACGTGAGATACCACGGACACAGCATAAATAGCTCAGAAGGTCTTAAAGAGGATTGGAGTCACAGAGTGAGGGTTCAGTGAGAGGATGGAGCCAACCTAAGCAAAGAAGCAATGTTGATCCCACATTTCTAAACCAGGAACTAGATGGCCATGGTCACCATCTAAAAATCTCAGCATCACAAAGAAAAATTTAAAAGCATTTTCATTAAAATAAGTGATTGAAATAACTGTGTAGGTGCAGTTTTAGCCATTGCAGAATACTGAATTGCATTAATGATGAACTAGTCTCATATTTTATTCTTAATTAGAGACACCAATCTTTCCTCATTATGTCCAGGAATTATATAAATACAGAAAAGCCCACACTTATTTATGCATCTAGAAGGATCTATATATTGTGTTTATATTATATATTAACATCTATAAAGTATATAGTGTCTTATAGTTTTAAAAGCACTTTTGCATTATTTATTTGATTTGTTCTACTCAATACTCATAGATATACAGGGAAATTATTACCCAAATTTTGCAGATTACAAAATGGGGCCATATAAATTAAATTCATTCATTTATTCAACAAATATTTGTTGAGCACTTATGTGCCAGGCACTGTTCTGGGCACTGAGGATAGAACAGAGAATAAGACAAACAGACCCCCATTGTGTTGAATAATTTATCTACAGTTACATGCCTGGTACCTAGAATTACCATGAATAAAACTTGTCACTCAACTTACAATGCTTTTCCTAACAAACCCTATGAAATTAATGATGGGGATAATGACAAAACCAGTTGCTAAGGAAACATAGAACTTGCTCTTCCAGGTCCCTCCATTCTCTCTTTTCTGTAAGTCAAAGCTGTCTTCTAGAATCTGAAATCTCTACGTATTTCCCTACGTCCTTTTCAAGATTGCCAGCCTGAAGGAGTGCTGTCCTAGGAAAGCACAGGCCTGCCATATGGAGCTCTGTGTTGCAAGAGTTTTCTTTAAGAACAGGAAACACACCACCAAAACGTTCTCTGTACACTCAATTAAAATACCCACTCACCATAAGAGGGTAGTTGACATTGTATTATGGGATTCTAATCGAAACCTAACATATTGTTGCAGAATTTTAAAGCTAGTTTCTATTCTAACTTGGGTCAGTTTGCTCTCACCCTGCCAAACCTGAGGTGTGGTTCCCAACTGATGTTGGACAATCAGGGTGAATTCTACAGTGACTTGACTTCTCCACTCAGCAGAGCCTCACTGAATGAGAAACTAAGTGTATTCCAACCAGCAATCCCAACCCCCTCCCTGTTCCCTTAATGTCACCTTAATGCCTCCCTGCTCCACCCATGACGCCACATATGAAGACATAGCTCGCTGTCTCCTCCAGTAAGCCCTCTGTGTGTTCTTGAATATGCACCTGGCTTCAGTACCATAAACTTTGTTGCTTTGTGAGACAAAATTTCCTGAAGAAAGCATCCCAAAAGCAATTCCCTTCCCTAGGGATTGGGTACAGCAATTCTTGTTCATCTGAAGACACATGATTCCCCCGTGAAGGCTCAGCCCCTCTTCCCTACCTAAGACTTAGTGACTGAACTAGGAGTATTGTTTCAAGGCTCGTTTGTGCCTCTTTAGTGTCTACTTTGCCAAACTCTTCATTTCTGGAAACATCAATCGCCTGCTCTGCCACTCACCTTACTTCTCTTATCTGTCCTCTGACCCCAGTTACATTTTCCTAATCATTTTCCATATTCAAGAGCAGTGATTTCTAAAGAGGGAGGTCTGCAAAGGCACTCCCTAGCCCACGATTGGTTCTTTACATTGTCAATATTAAAAAATAAATCCCTGTTCTCATGTTTCTGATGGAAAAGAATAATGTTCTTATGATGAAAATCAGATAGTTCCTCAAGGCAGTAAATATCAGGCTGCAGATTTCTTCCCGCTAATTCTATAACACTAAGGCTTTTTATTTTTAATATAGCAAGAGGAGAATATTAAGATAGCATTTTGCATTCATTTTGTCTAACCATCAAAGTTATTTACAGACCCCAAAAATATGAGATTCACTACTCTCAACTGTCATGTTAAAAAGGGAAATCACTCCCATTTTCCCATTCTGGCATTCAGAATCGAGGCTGGTCTCCCTAATGTGGATATAATTACAATTATGTGCAAGGCTTTTTAATTGTATATATATGATGGCAAATATTTTTCTCTTTCTCTTTTGTATGTTTCTCTTTTGTAGGTTTCATATGTTGCCTAGTTTAGTAAGTAACTTGTAATGAGTCTACCTTTGGGTTGTCTCTCAATGAAAATAGGGTTTGGGGGAGCAAATTCATTTTATAAAGGATAAAATTATATAATAGTTGACTTATATAAATCATTTGGTATCATAAAGCAGTTTCTCAATCAAAATCCAGTTGCCAAAACAATTATGCCAAGATTGAGAGAAATAAATTTTTTTATCTTACAAAAGTAAATGTTTTAAAATTTGAACACTTGTTTAAGAGTTACCAAAACAAGGCCTTGGGATGACTAAAACAGTTTTGGTCACTCTAAAATGATTTGTCCCCATGCTGTATGCTCCTTTGACTTCACAGAAGTTCAACATAACCTATCATGTGAACCTAAAAGATGATCTTGCTTAACCAAGAGAGTGAGGCTGCAGATTATGCCTAAAGGTATGGTGTAGGACACACGTTGGATGCAGGCCTGTGCCAGAACCAAGCAGGGAGAGGGTCAAATTAATGAAATCAGACGCTGCTTACAAAAGGGAGCACATTGCACCGGCTGGGCCACCGCTCTGCTGCTCCACAGCAGCCCTTCTCTAGCAGTTTGCTAGAGTCATCGGCAGAGCAAACGTGCCTGCCTGAAATGCACATTTGGGCATCCAGAAAATTTCAGCAAAATATCCCAAAGTGTTATAACAGTAGATTACCACCTGTTCTCTCCCTTTATGTTAACTCATTGTGCCAACATACTATAATATCTCCGTTTCAAGCTTAAATTAATTGTGTTTTGTTCTCATTTAATATTCAAGTTGGGGAACACACATACTGCTATGTATTTTTAAAAGAACGTTCCTGGAGCAGATTCGAGGCAGACTATTAAAATTCAAAATTTTGGACAAATATGCATGTTACAGAACCAACCATGTGATGCTGTTGGCATTGTGTAGGCAGCTGGTTCCGGTGGAAGGCTAAGATTTCATGTGCCACAATTGTTCCAAAATCCTGTTGTCATCATAGCCCACAATTATGAACAGCTACAAATATAAACACAAACTGGGAAAAATGGTCAAAATTATTGATGACTTATTGGGGGCCTCAGAAAATTACAATATTTAAGGAAAAACGGCTATTAGTGAGATTACAATTGCATGTTTTCTTGACAGCCAGAGGGAACATGACTAATAGAGCTGCTGTGTGTTTATATCACATGCTTCCTCATTGTGGAGTATAGGCGGGAGTAAGAAGCCACTGCAGAAGGGCAGATCTTTATTTTCAGAATCCATGGTGAGTGAGAAACAATATGTACTTTGGTTTCTGTGAAGAATCTTTCAAAGAAGAGAAATCAAAAGGAAGCTGAAAGAAGCGATAAAAATCCTCAAGGAACACAAAACCTCCCTTATGAATCATTCCTACCAAAGCCACTGAACAAACTCCACATATCAGAGATCTCCCCATTTTAATACTTTGGAAGATGGTACTGAATCTGGAATGGGAGCAGAATTGTGTTTGGGATTCCAACCGGGGGTTTTAAATGCTAATGACTCGTAAGACAATGGAGAGCCCATTTCAGAAGCATACTAAGTTGTTTAAAATGCACCAGATGGAGAAGGAAATAAAACATAAGTATTGCTGTGATGTTGGTCTCTGCTACTTATCTTTCACGGACTGGAACCTGCAGAGAAAGAAAAATAAGTTAACAATATCACACCCTTTGTATTAGGATCCTAGGAGTTTGAGCAACCCTCAGCATCTTTTTTATGAGGTTCCAGCTAAATTTCCTGTTTACCTCCATTATTTCTGAACTCTCTGATTCTGGTCATTGTAGTGGAGGACCTGGGTTCACAGTGACAATATAGAACAAATAAAACCCTACAAAATAAAAGAGCTCGTCCCGCTTTGAAGCAGAAAGGGTTGGTCCAAAGAGCTATAAAGTGTTCTTGGGTCCTTTTTAGCCACGGCAAGCCGGCTCTTAAGTGAAAAAGGAAAGTCACCTTAAATCAGAACCAGATGTAAATTACTAAATGAACCTTAAGTTCCTAATTGGAGACACAGTCGGGCTGTAAGACATTTAGCAAATTACAAACAAAATGTTCTTGTTTACATTACATTAAATGGCTTTAAAGCTGCAGCCAAAGAGCTAAATAAACATGCTGTTTTGCTAAAAATGGAGTGGAAAGCCTATTCAGAGTTTAGTGTATTCAGGAGAAACCACAGCCCACGGTACCCAGAGTGTATTTTTGTAAATGCTAGCCCTGTCGTGGAAGAGGAGAGTGGATTTACCTAGAGATCCAGAACCTAATGAGCAGATCTCACTTGCAGGGAAACTGTTTGAATACTGTTAACATATGCCTTCTTTCAGGATGCATAATTCATATCCAAGGATATTAGCCATAGCAGTTCAGCTCAATAGCAACACCTCATTATTTTATTCCTCAGTATTTATTCCTATGTTTGACGCCTCGTGAAATTACTGTTAATGTGTTTATATAAGGGCAGATCTGACACAAGTGGGAAGAATGTAATTTCCTACTCATTCTTTCCTGCTGCTGTGTCCTCTTCCCTGGTAGAAGTGGCAAGTGTAAATAGTTAATTTGCTTCAATTATGAGCCTGTCCTGCTAAATTAGAAGCAGCAGGGATATGAAGAGCCAGAATTATACTTATGAGGCAGCTGACAAATCCTCTGAGCCCACAGAATCAAATCATTTCCTCCTCATTGGTGCTCAGACACCCACTACATAATGCTGTTGGGGTTTCTTTTTCCCCTTTATCTTCTGATAAAATTTGGATTTTTATGTCAACAATACTTAAGGTTAACTAAAATCCTGTCGCACTGTAACATTCACACATGTGTTTATCTTGGCCATTTTCTTATAAACATTAAGCATTTTCCCAATTTTTTAAAAACTAGGAGTGAAGGATATGTAAAACAGTTGCTCACTTAAAAACTGTAGAATGTAAGCAAAGTCCGTCCATATTCACACAAATTTGAAACTGAGCAATGAAAATTATTATATGAAATGGTGAGCATACTTGTAAAATTCAGGTATTTATATATATATTACATATATTATATACATATTACATATATTATATATATATTACATATATTACATATATTATATATTACATATATTATATATATTACATATATTATATATATCCACATATACAATTATTGGTATATAAATGTGATTCTTACATGCCTTTATGGGCATAAGCATTTGTTTTACACATATACAAATATTCATACGCTCAGAGACCATGGAAGCAGACGTTTCATTTGAAATTTTCCATGATGTTGGCAGGAAAATAATTTAAACATAATACTCCTTCAAGTCTGTTGTGCTTTATCTATAATTGAAAAACATGTTTGGGTGGATTGTATACCTGTATATCAGTCCACTGTTTCCATTGATGTACATTGTAATTTAGAACATGCAGTTCAGTTTCATCCTTAGCACACATGCTAATGCTGATTCATAGAAGGAGAAACCTGAGACCATGGATTAGATGCTCAATAAATATTTCATGAGCACCTACTATGTTCCAAGCATGCTGGGGCTTCAGCAGTGAACAAAAGAGACCAGGCCTTGCAGTTGTATGTCTTGAGAGAAGAATCAAAAGGAGTTCTCATGGCTAGGACAAACCATTGAGCAAAGAAAGATGGAACATTTGACACCAGACTCATTTTATTCACACCATGGTTTTACCATATACCTGTTCTAATATATTAGGTAAAATAATTACCCATTCTAGTCTGTTTTCTTATCTGCAAAACGGGGATTATCCCATATTCATTATGCCAATGCAACATTTTTATTGAAAGAATTAGAGGTAATATATAGAGTGCATGATCCGCAAAATGCACACAATGGAGGCGTAATTTTTAATGACTTTTTGATTTTAATTTTATAACATCGGTGCCTCACACCACAGTAGGCACATACTGGGCACTCAATAGATTGGTAAGCATAACTGAACAGCATCATACTTTCCTTAGTGACCTTCATTTAATAAATCAACAGATATGTATTTTGTAGCCATTTTTTCAGGCAAGGACCTCGGTTCGGATTCTTACCATTCCAGAAACAGGTCAAACCGGTGTTGCTGAGACCATTTACGTGGGTCAGACAGTCCTCAAAAGGAATCCATAGCAAGATGTTTGTCACATTGTATAATGTTTTCAATCCTCTGAATACCACTTTGTGAAGGCCTTGGAGCCTAAGAAAATGCTGAGCGAGTTATACAAGATGGACATTTAACCATTAAGTTAAATGGACTAAGTTCTATATAAAATATAGATGCACTTGCTCTAACTGACCTAAATAACAACAGCCTTGAAAGAAGCTGAAAATTTTAAATTTCTAAAAAATATTGCAGGGAATTGTGGTTAAATTCTAAATCCTTATGCATTTCTAAGGATTTTCTATAAATATGAAATAGTAGTGGGAAAAACGACATTTGAACTTACCCAGAATGAAGAATGCCTTTAGTTTTTGGATAGAATCCAGAATTGGAAGAATTTTACATTTTTTCTTCTTATTATTGTAAAGACTGTTAAAATAAACTATGACTAGAGATTAACTAAGGGCCAGAGCAGAAAAGAAGGAAGGAAGAAGGAATTAAATGGTATTTATAAGATTTTGCTTTTCTATATGAGCTGGATGGATTGTTTGTTTAGGGAAGAAGCAGAAAGTAAAAGGAAAATGACAGATTGTATGGGAAATTTTTTCTGTTTGAGTTTGTCATATCGTTGATATTGAACTGCTGATTTCAATTAGGGATTATAAGCGTATGAAAACGTGTATATGCTGGTATTTAGAGCATTTCAAAAATGCCTCAGTGAATCACTAGATCATGTGACAGGATTTGGGTTCTCTAGAATTGCTATTTGATGACTATCTACGTATGTTTTAGTTTAGCCATTATATATGTTTTAGTTTAGCCACTGAGATGCAATCCTTAGATGGGATATGGTAGCTTTCTTGGAATAAAAACCACAGCATATAACTTAGTTAGGACAGGATGAACTCAAACGTGTTTAGATGAGTGGGGGAAAATGATAAATGATGTATTATGATTTTTAAATCCTCATCTGGCCAACTTTGTACTTTATTTCAAACAGCTGTGGACCATTTGGAAGCCATTTTGTAACTCAACTAAATACTAATATTTACTGTATGAATCACATACCTTTAAAATATTTGTCTTTCCCTAAGAGTGAGAGACCATTTCTTTCCTAAACTGAACTTTGACATAAATCAGACCCATCCTTGTCAGTTAGAAGGTCTGTGCACTTGCTCATGGCAGTGGTTGTTCATTGCCAAATGCCGTGCTGGGACATCTTTGCTCTCTGCAAGCAGAGGACTTTCTTTATCTATCATTAGAGGCTTTGAAATGTTTTTGAGAGATTTTTTTTTGATAATTTTTAAACATCTTTTTTTAAAGGATTTCCCCTACTTCACCTGCATGTGGAATTTTTATATATCATTATCATTCATTCATAGTTGAGGCCTTTCTTCAGACATTTCCATTAAATATAGAATTCAAGCAACATCCTTGTCCAATTTTAGAAGGTAACATCAGAAAGACATACAGAGTGTACAAAATGGGAGCCATCAGGTAGTTCTCAAAGATTGAGGTGCTAATTACTGTTGAGGAGACTACCTCAGATTTTAATTCTGGTCCAGGCTACTCCCCTTTCAACACAATTACAGGAATCTACCTTCTGAAATGACCCCCCTTTGAATTCTCCCTCTGAACATCTGCAGCTATTCAGGAAAGAGTGTATCCATCAATCCATGTAATGTGACGTGATGAGTTTACTCTTTTCTAAAGTGGTATTTAGGCACTTATGCGATGATCCCACATAGCCAATCATCAATAGCCAATAGGGAGCCATTTGTAGAAAACAGGGGACTCTGCATGCTAGTCAGGTATCCCGTAACAACATCGATTCTGGAGGGAAACCAGGGGCATCTATGCAGCCTGAAACATGTGGAGTTAGCCACCTTTCTTCCCTGGTTGTTAAGCAACAAATTTCAGGAAAGTTAACACTTTGTGTGATGTTAACTGCCAGGAGCTCAACAAAGGGATAGCATCGTAGTCACACTGTTGCTGTTTCAGTAGAAACCAATGAAAGAAAAATGATAGATGCCGTAGTCAGACCATCTGGCAATACTGTCTTATCTGCCACAACTTAGAAAATGCCACTGTGGGCAATGCTATGAACCAAAGTGCATTCTATTTGCCTTTGAAAGCAAAACGCATCCTAGTTAGCTGAATGGGAGTCACTTGGAGTAGCATATTAATAAAAGCATGATAGAAATGCTTAGGGTATACAAAAATGCATTACCATAAAAGACGTATTGACTAAATGTTTGCTTCAAAGTCCTGAATAGGATTTCTATCTGTATGGGAGAAAAACCCTCTTGAAAGTTTTGAGGTATTAAAAGCAAATGTAAACATTGTCAGTTTAAGGTCATTAATTATAAATTATGTCTTTGAGAAGAGCTTTAAGGAAAAACTATAAACAGAAATCTGTCTCTCAAAAAAAAATAAATCAATGAAAAGCAGGAGAGCTGTTTCATGGCTGCACCAAGGCTTACGATATACACAGATCACACTGTTCAAAGGCACTTACTCGACTTTAGCATTTATTTGTTTTCACGTGTGAATTTCCAAAAAAGAATTTGAATTTGACTTCCAATAATTAACTCAGTAAATTTAGAATACTCCTGTGCTTGAACCAAAGGATTTCTTGGCTTTGTGCTTAAAAAAAAAAAACTCTGAAATATAGTTTTTAAAGTTTCTTTAGTTTCATACTTAGGATGATGGCACATTGATTATATGATAATATTGTACTAATTCTTAATTCCTTATTTTACTTGGCTTTTATTAGACCAAAATGCCAAATACAGAAGTCAAGGCTGAAGCCCCCCACTTTAGGAGAAAAATTAGCACATTCATTTCATACAGTCCTGTTATAATTCTGTTGACAAGGTTAGTCATTTGTTTACCTTAAGCAAAATGTTCTGCTTTAATTAAAATATTCATGAATAAACAATATTTCTCACATCTCGAATTTCATAGCTGGCGTTGGGCTCAGCAAACCACAGTCAGCATTTGAAACCATAAATTGACCCCTGCTGCCAAATGGCAGATATTTGGTCTTTAGACATAATTTATATTTAACTACTCTGACTAATTCTGAAGCCACTTTTCAATACTGATCTGTGTGTCTGTTTTTGAGTTCAGCATTACAAAATATTAGCCAAGCCTTATGCCCTGCTGTAAAATCCAAAATGTGGGAAATTTAAAATAGCTGTATCAATGAAAATACATTTCCATTTACACAGTGAAGGATGAAAAATATTTTGATCTTTCAGGCTGATTTCAAAAGATTGCCAAAAAATATACTCTAAAGCCTTGAAAGAATCAACTTAATGGTAGCAGAGAGCCATGTGTGTTCACTTTGCTAATCTTTCATTTTCAACTCTAATGACTGCTCACTGTTTAACTTAGCAATGTGACCTTTAGCATACAAGCAAGTCATTTTTCAGTACTTTTGCTCAATTTAGGATGATTTTGCTTTTATTTTCAAGATGATTCCCTCTCAGAAATGGAAAGCTTCTGTAAACTGAAATTCATTTCAGAACACTTTTACCTTTTCAAAATGAGGTGTCCACAGACCCATGACATCCAGTGTTTTTCTTGGAAAGGACGTGACCAGAGTGGACTGCAGGGCAGGGCATGCATGCAATCCACAGCCACTTGGGCTTCCCATTCCTCTCCCAAACGTGTCCTTAATCACCATCACTGTTTCCTGAGTCTTTGAAAATAGAACTTCAAGGCTCCAAATCTTAACTCAGTGATGAACCTGCACTCTCCCTTCTGTTTCCTTTGATTTGCTTATTGAACATGATTTGTCATCTCTAAATTCTGTCTTTGTTTTTGTATTTAGCGTGGAACATATATATCAGGATGTGAATGTGCTGTGGAGTTATCTGCCCATTATATAAATATGAATGCCTTGTTTACTCACATGTGGTTTCCCTGGGAACCTTCATCAATAGTATCTTTGTAAGCCAACTACCTCTACACTCATATCTACCCAGATAAAACCTTTCATATGTTTTATGTAAAAGTGTAAAGTTTTACTGTTGCTAACTTTTTTTTTCTTTTCTAGTCTATTGCCATACTTCTTAAAAATCTGTTTCAGTAAGAAAACACAATCTTTGGGGAGATATATATTATTATATTATATAACTATAAGTGTGTTTGTGTGTGCAGTTATCATTCTATATTGTACTTCTCTGAAAACAAAAGCAAATGCACTTTCTAATTTAAGACTCTTTGCTGTTGTTGCAGGTCTATAAAAAGAAAACCGAGGCTGCGAAGAAGGAGTACCTGAAGCAACTCGCAGCATACAGAGCCAGCCTTGTATCCAAGGTAACGTGCAGTTGTGTGATATTGTGAAGGATTGTGGCCATCTCGGCGCAGACTTTGATAGTCACTTAAAGGCATAAAAGATCACTTTAACGATTCTGCACAATCTTCTTTGTTGGAAAAAAAAGTAAATTACAAACAAAGCTATACGATATGGAAATATTCGTTCAGCTCCAAAAGACCAGAGCAGCATCCCCTGGGCCATTTCTAAAATATTGTCCACCTGTGGATGATTGGTTTTGTGGATTAGTCACAGTACATTCTTCAACCTGAGCCAACTTTCTACTTCTCCATATCCCTTTCTTAAATTGCCTCCAGGCCCCCATGCCATTGGCCTTTACTGAGGACATGCCAACTCTAAGTTCTAGACTCATTACAGCAGCATTAGGAGGTAAGCAGGACCCAAAAATGTTTATAAATCACATCATTTTGTTTGAAAATAAAAACACCGCTTAAAAATATTTAGTGATCTAGAATATCTTAAACACTAGTTCTTCCTGTTATAAATACCCAAGAGTTGACTGATTGGTTTCATGTTATTAAAGATACAATTCCCGTTATGGAATTCTTCAGAAGGTAACTTCAGAGAAATGGACTGAGTCTATAAGCATTAGACACTGTTATCTCATGTCGCAAATTGGCTGTTACTGCGTTCACTGTGGTCTGGGGCTCTGGACTTCATCCCATTTCCCCTTAGGAAAGACTTTTTTTCTCATTCACAAATATCCAGACTCATTGTAACTCTAAAGTAATTATATAAATTATGTTTTATTGAGGAAAATACATACTGAATATACTGATGCAGAGAAGAAAAGAGAGCCCAAAGTACAAATGCATAAGAAATTTCAGTAAACTATTTGTCTAATCCAGTCTTATGTTCTACTTCTAAGGTATGGCACTGTGAGAAAACTTTAGTTAGATATAATTTACCTTAAAATTTCTAGCTTTTTTGTATTATCTCACACTTTCTAATTTATCTAATTCCTTCTGAAACTATTTATATTTTCTGTTGATACCAACTCACATTTCTGCATGTATTACATAGAATGTGTATAAAATTATAACCTAAAAAGTGTAAAATATTAGATCAATATAGCCATTGGATTAAATAGTCATGTGGATATTGTTAACAGATAATTATGCCAAAAACATAGCGGGGCTTTTAAAAAGTTAATTCTCCTTATTTCATCCAAGATCAGATTCTTTTTGAAGATTTTAAATAGAGTTTTAGTCAGAGCACTTTACACAGGAGCAAATCAATACATGAAGTCTCAATCCCAATACAAAGCACACTAGTTAATGATATGCAGATTGCCAGAATGCTGTGATACTGACTAAGCCTTTACTTTCAAAACAAGTGTCCTCAGATTTGCTCTTAGCTGCAACTTTTCTTACTATTCAGTTTCAGAGTTGCAACCCGCAGTGTACGGCAATTTGTATAAATGCTGCGAATTGCCATTTCTACATTTAAAAAACCAAGCACTTTTTTTACAGCTTACTCTGACATTTTTCTTCTCTTTGGCAGTAGAAATTTTGCTGGAGCTGTTGAATATCTATTTATGTACAACCATCTATTGTGTGTATACAAATTGAAGGAAAGTTACAAACATCCTCTCCAGGTTAAAAAAAATGACCCTCCAATGTTGTATGTGAGTGGATATTTGCATTGTAACTTTCTAGACATCATCAGAAAATTTTCCAGCCTATCCTGCCATAAGATGTAATCACATATATAAAAATCTAATTCTTTTCCATTTTAATTAGGACAAGGCAAATAATAACCAGTCATATTTAAACATATTTTTTCTACATTATAATTTTTTTACTATGTTATAAATTATTTCCCTATTCTAAAAGATTTAAAGGGGCAAACAGAAAATGCTACATGATATATTCCATAATTGTAACTCCCAGGAACCACCATGTGCCAACCAAGCTCTATTTTTTCCCCACCCCCCATTTGTATATTCATTTGACCAATCTTCCTGGGCTTGTGCTCTGTGCCAAGCACTATGCCAGGCTCAGAGAATGCTGTGGAGAACAGGGAAATCCTTTCCTTAGACTTGAAGAACTTTCTCTTTCGTCAAGGGAAATCGTTAGTGAAAACATAAACTAATAAATGATTGAGATTTGAGAATCCAAGTATTCTGGAGGAGATAAAGCAAGAGATCTGCTTAGGTGATCTGCAAAGACCTCTTTAAAGAGGTGACATTGGATCTGGGGGTTGAAGGAAGACAGGAGCTTGTAGAACCAGAGAGCCAGAGGAAAGAGCTGGCCAGGCAGTGCTACAATAAGTGTAGAGACTCAGGGTGGCAAAATGTTTCCTTGAATTGAAAAGGTCTGTGTGGCCAGAGCTGAGTGAATGGAGAGAGTGTGGTTTGAGCTGAAGTTGGAAAGATGGGCAGGAGCCCAATCCTGAAGGACTTGCAGGACATTTGAAAGGCACTGGGTTCATTCTCAGTACAAAGGGAAGCCACAGAATGGGTTCTGGTAAGGGACAGATACCCTGATGGGACTTACGTTTTTAAAGGATCATCTTACGTGCATAAGTTCCCTTAATCCTCAGGCCTTATCCCTTGAAGTAGGCTTGATTATCAACATTTCACTGAAGAGGAAAGACACCTGCAGGTAGCCACTGGCCAAGGCTGACATTGACCTGCACTGCCCTCAGTCTTCTGCTGGGCCATGCTGCTCATGAGTCCTCTCAATGTGCTCTCCCGCACTCCTAAAATACCCAGTGCCTCAGAGTCATGGCACAGCATTGACATTCAGCATTGACATTCTCTCTGATAAGGTCATTTTTGTTCATGAAAAGCTGTGTTAGCCAGAGCACCTCGTCCATTTTCCTAAATTCTTCCTAGCTACTTTGACTTACTCATCCAGAGCTATATATTTTAGTACCTATTTTCTAGGCAAGGCATTCATTTCCCCAAATATGACTTTGCATTTCTAGGCCAATAGATCCTTTCACTAATTTGTGGCCATGTCATAGTCACAGTCTGCTCCTTCTTCCCTCTTCGCCCCTAGGCCATACTCTGCATCCAGAGCAGGGCTGCAGGACACTTGTTCTATGTCGGACACTGGGCTGGGTGCTGAGAGACAAACATGTATATAGCAGATCCAAGTGGACTGTTTCATGATACTTGAAAGGCCTGAAGTGATCCTTTAAAATTAGCTGCTTCTTACAGAACATGATCAAAAATAAGAGCAATCAATGACCTTTGACTCTACCTGTGAAATTGAGTCACAGGATTGACAATGCTTCAGTGATTACTTCTTCCATTTAAAAATACTATATACCAGCCAGGCACGGTGGCTCATGCATGTAATCCCAGCACTTTGGGAGGCTGAGGCAGGCAGATCACTTGAGGTCAGGAGTTCAAGACCAGCCTGGCCAATATGGTGAAACCCTGTCTCCACTAAAATTACAAAAATTAGCTGAGCATAGTAGTGAGTGCCTGTAATCCCAGATGTTCAGGAGGCTGAAGCAGGAGAATCACTTGAACCCGTGAGGTAGAGGTTGCAGTGAGCCAAGATTGTACCACCTGCCCTCCATCCTGGGCGACAGAGTAATACTCCATCTCAGAAAAATAATAAAAAATAAAAAAGTGCTATATACCATCTAATCCAGCAGATTAATTAACATGACTCCAAGCTAGAATAACGTTGAACTCTGCCAAAAATAAAACGCTTAATCCTAGGAAACAAATATTCTCGCTTTTGTAACTTCCAATGGAAATCCTGGCCCATTCTTACCAGGATATTGAATTGTTTCCAATAGTAACAAAAATATACATGGCATCCGTCTACAGAGTAGCTTCTGTGTGCCTTACACTGTGGTAGGCATTTTACACGTGTTCCTATTTCCCATCACAGCAAACCTGCACAGTAGGAATTAGCCCCATTTTCTAGACAGTCTCTAGGCAGAGAGAGTAAATGGCTTGCCCACAGTGGCTGTGGCAGAGTAGGACTCAAACTGCCCACTGTCTTGTTGCAGAGCTTTAGGCTTTTCTCTACCCTCAGTGATTCTCAAATGTTTTTAATCTTTCAAACTGGCACCTCATTTTATCGAGGTAACAACCTCCCATAAAATTCCATGCCAGCTCTTACATAGGAAACAGCTAAGAGTAAAGCTGCCCTCACTTAATTGAGGGTGGAGTCCAGCCGACTGCCCACTCTGCTACCCCCACTACCAACAGAGGCTGAGACCTTCAGAGGAATCTGGGCCTGCAGAATGTTTGGAAAGCACTGCTTTCTGCCATGCTATTCCAGCTGGGTGGGTACCTCAGCTGGTTGTGTGGAGCCAGGGACAAAACTGCCCGGCTCTGGTCACTCCTGCTGTACAAGCATATCAGAATTGCAGGATACATCTATAGGACATAGGATGCTGCAAACACAGTGCTGGTCAGACTCCAAAATACCTTGTTCAATTTTAGGCTCTGTCATTTAAAGGGGGAAGTTGGAAAAGGTCATAAAATTGGCTGGAAGGCCGAAAGTTAGAAGGTAGTAGCAGAAAAAGAGAGGATTCAAGATTATGAAACCCAGAAAACAAAGACTCAAAGGTGTTTAAGTCCACATTGGCATTAGACATAGGGTGGTGATTATTCATGCTTAATTTTCTCTGACTACAGAATAAGAAAATAGGTTCCATTTCAAATTAGATTAATTTAATCTGAACAGGGGACATTGCTAAACTCTTGAATTGTTAAACAACTTCTTTCCATAGAGAAACTTAAAAGCAGAAGCAAATGTTATAAATAAGGATTGGAGGCCTCTAAGGCAACTTCAACCTCTGCACTTTCATATGGAATCACAGGAAGCCTGTTCTAGGACATCTAAAAAGTGCCACCTCTATCATACTGGGAGAGTCCTCAGACTGAGGAGTCTGTAGTCTCTGGGGCGGGTGGATCTGGATTCGAATCCCAGGTTTCCCACTTCCTAACTGCATATCTTCATGCAGTTCCTTGTATGTTCTAAGTCTCCATTTACTCAAATGTTAAACAGAGAAGATAATAGGACCTACATCTTAGGGTTTCCATGAGGATAAAATAAGCAAATCTATACAAATTACATGGTTCACTTGAGGACATTATGCTAAATTAAATAAGTCAGTCACAGAAAGACATGTACTGCATGATTCCACTTATAGGAGGTATCTAGAATAGTCAATTTCATAGACTCAAAGAGTGGCACGGTGGTTGCCAGGGCTGGGAGAGGGGGAAATAGGGAGTCAATAATCAACAGGCAGAAAGCATTCCTCAAACCAGATGAATTAGCTCTGGAGATCTGCTGTACAACATTGGACCTAGAGTCAACAATACTGGATTGTACACTTGAAAATTTGTGAAGATGGTAGATCTCATGTTAAGTGTTCTTATCACAATACAATTAAAATTTTTAAAATTCAAAAATTTAAAAAATAAACAGCATGACTCAGCATCCTGAACATAGGAAGCACTTAATAAATATAAGCTATGAGTATTATTATTAATTTTATTTTTAGTATTAGTAGGTATAGAAAGGAGGGGGGAAAGATTTGCATATCATTGAAAATTTAGCTGGATGATATTTTCAATTTGTCTTTATATCAAAGGCTACTTTGATATAAGGAAATTTTAAAAGTGACATTAAAAAGGAAAATTTTGCATCATAGATGCATTTCTTTATAAAGATATGATCTAGATATAAACAAAAATGCATTCATCTATAGTTTTCTTAATTGAAATGATCTTTATGAACCCTGCAAAGAGGTCCAAGGATATATGCTATTATGGAGGCTTGGCCTTCCCATCTTAAGCAATTTTACACGCTATTGAAGGTCATATGGGGTTGGACTGTCAAATAAAGCTTAAGGAAATATAGTTTTTCCATAGACTCGGGAATTCCTAGACATGGATCTAAATTATTATGCTGAAAACAATGTATAACTATAGAGCAATGGAACTAGTTTCATTTTACCACATAGACCAGAATTTATATTCCCAAAATGAGTGTTGCATTCAAAGTAGTCACCTTGGGAGGCTGCAAACTCATTTTATTATTGCTCCCAGAGTTCAAAAAATTTTTGAAACTCCTCTTTTAGAACTGTAGTCAGGAAAAGTTTATGAGCCACATTAGAAAATCAATCTTGTTACATTGTTTTCACACCTCATTCTTTTCCCCAAACATCACCCAGATATAACCCGCAGACTTGGCTTCAAGTGACTATTAGCTGTTTCCAAAAATCAAATTCACCATCAAAAGACAAAGAGTTGTCTGAGGATATGTAAAA
Source organism: Homo sapiens (assembly GCF_000001405.40). Taxonomy (NCBI): domain Eukaryota; kingdom Metazoa; phylum Chordata; class Mammalia; order Primates; family Hominidae; genus Homo; species Homo sapiens. Next base: position 58,820,553 of record NC_000008.11, on the reverse strand, counting down.
CAGTGTCTCACAGGCTCTGAAGAGAATTCCAGTAGGGAAGCTCCCAAATATCCCAAATAAAGGCAGCATTATTGAAATAAGTGTACAACTTCTCAGGATTGCCAACCTGGAAGGATATGGCATTTGGATAACTATGTTCTGGTTTATTAAATAAAGGCAATCAGATTCATGATTTTAAGGTCATAACATCAAATATAAGATTTTGTTTCTACCTTAAGGAATAGTTCATGAAGTGCTAAAATTTATAAAGGACAAATGGAAACCTTTTTTTTTTTTAACGTACAGAACAGGACAATATTGAATTAAGTCAAGAAAGTTCTCTGTTTCCATAGTCAGTAGTAAAGAAGCACAATGCTTAGTTCAATTAAAGGAAAGTGGATTTGAAAAAAACAGTTTCTTTTTATAGAATGAGGCAAACTTACAGATACCATGCCATGGTGAGCTATGGAGACAAATATTGAGTCTGAATTTGCAAATGGGATGGATCATTGTATGACTGTTAACGTAAAATTTGCAGCTCTGTAAACCCAGATCGTGATTTAAAGATAATAAAATCTCATGCTTCAGGGTATAAGTTAATCACCTGCATGGAGCAGAAAGAATTTTCCTTCCAGAAGGAGCAATGCACAATTGAGTAGGTGCATAAATTTTGTTTAATTTTCAATGCATTAAGTATCGGTCAGTGCTGAAAACAAGAATCAAATTAGATGGACTATTAATTTGATTTGGTTCAGCAACTCTTATATTGTTCCTTCCACTGATTTTTATGCATTGTATTTATACTTTGCTATTTTAAATAACAATAGCTTTGTCAATCTTTCATTTTTATAGCACATATCATCCCAGAATGGGGAAATTTATACACTATGCAGTATTATCTTCATTATACAAAGTAAATGGGATTGAAGCTACCTTCAGTAATCAACAATTTGGTTAGTAAAAGGTATCTTCAGGCTTATAGAGTTGTATCCTTTATACATTTTGCATATGTCAAAGGAACTCCCTACAGATAATACTCAAAATGTCTCTATGGCCACGACCCCCACTTTATGGCTTGTAGAAAATATCTTCCAGAATCTGTCGTCTAAATGCAAATAGGAAAGAGAACATACTCAGAAACTAACAGCAAGAACACATTCCTTCTGTGAAAGTGTGGGATTCAAAGGTTGATTTTCAGTTGTCTACAAGCTAGGAAACACATTTGTCAGGTGACCAACATGACACTCATTGCTAAATAAAAGTGGTTAATGTGTTTAAAAGTGGAAACAAATGCAAATTACTTAGTATGTATGAGAAAATAGTTCTAATTTCTGAATGATAGGTATAGAAGTCTTCATATGCAATATAATTGATCAGCAAAATTGTAGCCTTGCTTTCACAGTTAAATTGGGAAAAAATGACAGTAAGAGTACATTATGATTTCTATGTATTTTCATTTAATCACATTATGAATTTATGGCAGTTTGCCACTGAAAATGAACTTATTCTACCTATCTTCCAGAACAATAAAATAACTCTGTAATTAATAGATGGTCTATTGTACTAGACTGCTTAATAATTAATGAAAAGCGAAGCCAGAAGCAGGTTTTTCCTCATCTAAATGAGTGGACCATTACATAAACATACAAATTCCCAAAGTATGGGTGAGACTGAACTAGCTGCCCTGCTACTGCCATTCCCCCAAGACCAGTGAGGCATAAAGGGCAGTGTATCTAACCAAAGGACAGAGCGGAAAGCTGTAATTTCTCATCACTTCAGGAAGGGTTTGGGTCCTGCCGAGAGCAGAGAAGAGCATGAGGAAGGTCAATCTAATACTCTGTGGCTTTTCCAAGCCTTCAGATCCTTCCTCACTCCATGGGAAGAGGAACGGTGTGTCTGGTCAAGAGGGCAAGTCAGCAAGGGCAATGGTGGCTGCCTGGAGGATTGCTCAAGAATAGTCATTCACTCCTTAGAAAACATAATTGTGTTTTTATGTATTTTGCACTATGGTAGATGCGTGGGCTACAGAAATTCAAGTCCCTACCATCAAAAAAAGATGCCCTTTTGGAGGAATCAGGACATCTTTGTGAAAAGAGACTACAGGAAAATAACTTATATTGGAGCACCTGCCACGTTCAGGCACAAGGCTGGATACGTTATTTCTGTTGTCACAGTCAATGATTAGAAAATAAAGGGAAAATATATATAACTTCCCCAAATTCTCCCTCCCTCTATGTTAAAAATTATGTTTCAAGTGTTGTCTGAATCATTATCTTTGGAACTCTATTTACTTTGAGTTTGCCAATAGTTATTCTAGTGATTAAAAGTTACTACTCTTTCAAAGTAGGTTGAGGGGGACTGGTCTTTGTGTGCTTTGATATGGAGGACATAAATGACAAATAAGTGGCTAGATAGAGAAAATGTTTTGTGTTTAATTATCCATGAAAAAAGAGAGCTTTACAAGGTTGGTAATAAAGTATCTCAAATTAGGTTGCTATCTGTTCACTTCTGTAAATCTGTACATCTATTCCATCTCTACCTCTGCTTATCTATCATCTCTCTATATGATGGACCACATACAATTATTTAAATAGTAGAATTCAGGAAAATTAAATTCATTGTTTATTTTGAATTCGATATTTTTATTTCTTTAGCCAAAACTTACCTCATTATCTAGTAATATGTTATATATAGAAATTAAAAATGAAAACATTTTTACAGTTACACATATTTTCTACTTTTGATCATACAAGAATGTGAGTGACTTGTATTATTTTTAAATTAAAAACAACACCTATAAAGCAAAAAATAAAGATGCACCAATATGTATCCATTTTTATAAATATGATTTCTTTCTGGTATGAAGTCAACACAGTCTGTGACTAAATATGAAACTAGCCCTTCTGCAATAGGCTAAAAAGAGGGAATTCAAACATACCGAACACTTTTCCAGATTACTTAAACACACAGACTTAACACATAATCTTTCTGGCATATACGGAATAATTTTTGAGGCATATGAATTGCAGTACATGTTATTCTGATGTGGAAGTAGTCACTGTTTACACAGGCTCGATTAACCCATTTGACCTTTTCCTTGAATTGTTAACTATTTTGCACATCAACAATAAGAATTTTTAAATGGAAGCCAAAAAAAATCTACTTAAAACTTGTTTTTTTTTTTTAATGAAAAGCACCTCTTAGGAGCTACATTTAATAAAGCTTCTTTGATCTAAAACCTCCCCTTAAAATTTTTGCATGAACAGTTTTTGATGTTTTTAATGTTAATACTGAAGACAGGGAGTCTATATGTTTGTTCCTATTTCAGAAAGCTGCATCAACAGTGTGACACAGGGGAAAATGTCAGAATGAGAGGACTCTCCAAAGGGGCTGGAATTATTTCAGTACACCTTACTTTATACTGTGCGTGGAGTATTCAGAGTCTCACAGGACCCCAGGTTTCCATGGTTTGGCATACTTTTACAGGTGTCAGATGTGTCCTTTCTATAATGACAGAACGTGGGGCTGATCGTCCACCCACCCCAGCCTGTCCCCGTCACCCCAGGAGTCAGCAGACATACACAGCATCATTCTTACTGTGGTTTTCATGAAACTTGACTGCATTATTGAAGACAAATGAGTTGTGTTGCTAACCGTAATGTAAGCTGCCTGGTGATAATGAAGCTACCCGGCCTGAGTTTCACGCTGTCGTGCATGATGAACCCGTTTCTCTAAGGGCCTGTCAGTGGGTTGCCCGGTGGTGCATTGAGCAGAAGGACCCCGAGAGCCCTCATGGCACAGTTCTCCCTGCAGTGTGGAAAGTAGTAAGAAACTCACTTTGACTTGAAAGCTGAATAAGCATGACATTGAGATTGCAGAGTAAAAGCATATATGCGTCCTCAAGACCTTGTTTTGACAAAGTGATTTTTTTTCTCCAATCCATTTTATCACTTTTTTCCTTCCAGTTGGTTCTACCTGCTACCTTTGGTTGTTTTATCAGTCTCTTCCTCTCAGGAAATGTAGGAGGTAGGTTCAGGCCCATGAGGAATTGCCACAGGGTTAATTCTTGATTCTTTTCAGCCTTTACTGAAATGTTCAGTTTTAAAATCAATTAAAATATTATTAGGAAATGATCATATGAAGGTGCGGAAAAAATTAGGGCAAAATTATATTAATTTATGATGGAGTCTAAAATTTCTAAGAGAGATTATTTTTATCTACTTCATTATGGAGGACAATTCATCACCAACTTCATTTTAAAACTCAGGATAAGTTCTGCAGTTACTTTGAAGAGTATATTAATGTAGTTTTATATGACTTCAGAAAGGTATTTTAGAACTCTGTTCTCCCATATCCATTTCCATCAACCAGCTTTGTTTTCTTTGTGCAAATATCTAGGCCAAGTCTCTTTGAGAATATAAAAAAGGAAAAATTAAAAACTAAACCTATAATCTATAGAAGAACTCCAGAACTGATTTGCTTTGAAAGTAATCTTCACGTGTGTTTCCCATTTGGGCATTCACGGCATCTGCCTTCTCCCGTCCCCCACCCTCCACAAACCCATCTTGTCACCCTCATTTGGATAATGAGAAAAGTCACCGAGTTAAAAACATTTAGGCAAAGGAACAAAATGTCATTGCAGATTGTTTTCAATTTCCTAAAAGGGATAGAAGCTGTCTTCTATAAATCACATTACAAATAATGGTGAAGAAATTCTTAGATCAGAGAGTCCGGGATAGTCATGGGTATGGATTCCAGGGAAGGTGCTTTAATAAACTCACAAAGCGTCATACCTTGAATCAACACTCATGTATCAGCCTCCCAACTCTGCTCATTTATTTCCTCAACAGAGCTACAGTGAACCTGTTGACGTGAAGACATCTCAACCTCCTCAGCTGATCAATTCGAAGCCGTCGGTGTTCCATGGGCCCAGCCAGGCCCACTCGGCCCTGTACCTAAGTTCCCACTATCACCAACAACCGGGAATGAATCCTCACCTAACTGCCATGCATCCTAGTCTCCCCAGGAACATAGCCCCCAAGCCGAATAACCAAATGCCAGTGACTGTCTCTATAGCAAACATGGCTGTGTCCCCTCCTCCTCCCCTCCAGATCAGCCCGCCTCTTCACCAGCATCTCAACATGCAGCAGCACCAGCCGCTCACCATGCAGCAGCCCCTTGGGAACCAGCTCCCCATGCAGGTCCAGTCTGCCTTACACTCACCCACCATGCAGCAAGTAAGTGCAATGGCTCTGGACTTAGAGTGTGCACCCCTATTCTGAAGTGTGGTGGTGGAGGTGGGGGGAGCTGTTTATCCAGGACAGGATTGGGGATATGTGTTTTCTATCCTTCTATTTAAGTCAAGAGAGCACTAAAGATATTCAACAAATATCTGCTTTCTGTAAAATGTAATTTACAAGTGGTGAGTTCGTGTGGCATTATGCCATCACAATTGACAGTCACTTCTTTTCATAATCACTGGTTTCTTTCCCATGATATCCATTTTGCTTCATGTTTCTAATCATTCTTCTTGTTTTCTGTTTCTTGAGTAAAGTACATTTGTTATTTTAAGATACCAAGTGCTGCCGAATCTCTTTGGAATAGAGAATTCTACAACTTTTTAAAAAATATTGTTTGGAGATGAGAAAGTCTTGACTGGTATGCCTCTTGAGTCCAATAAATGCTGAAAAATGAAATCAGGTCCAACACCAAATCTGGTAGAACCCTGAAAGTCCTAAGAACTGAACATTTTAACCAGAGTTTTATTTAAAAATGGATATCTGGCTTCTGCATAAATTGAAAAACACAGGCTGTTTGGAAGCCTCCCTACCCACTCCCTGATTATTGAAACCATTTGTGTGCAATTTTAGCTTAACTTTTCTTTGAAATCAAATATTGCTTTTGGATTTTGGTGTTATTTTAAAATTTGAAAATTAGGCTCAAACAATATAAACTAAACTGAACAGAAGGCATCCTGAAATCCTAAAACTATTTTTTAAATTTTATTTTAAAAAATAAAAGCAGCTTTGCGCAGTGGCAGTATCATAGCCAATAAAGTTTATCTGAGATGTGATTATTGCCAGTTGAAAGCTTCTCCCACTACCCTGCCATGACAACTTGCAGTATAATTGACACTGGCAATCTTTTATAGTCTCTATGGAGACTGAATATAATTTTTTAAAAAAATAAATAAAAGTAAAAACTACAAATCACATTAAATGCAGGTATCACTTATATACTCCAATTACTCTATTGTTCTCCAAGCTATAAGGATATAAGGCAAACACAGATTTCCTATAGAATTGATGTCTACCTCTCTGTGGAATTTGAATCTTTAGTTGGACTGGGATCGAGATGAAGCGGAAGGAGAGGCAGAAAAAGAAATCAAATATACATAGTCCCCAATTCATTATTATTATTACTACTATTATTATTGACAGAATTTTTGAGAGCTCACAGTAACAAGCCCAATGCTTTTAATACACCACCTCTTCTTTAATTCTCAGAAAACTTATAGTGTGGGTATGAGCATTATCTTCATTTAGAGGAAGACACTGAGGCTTGGCAGAGTTAAGTCATGTGCTCATAAGGTCAGAGCTGGAATTCAAACCCAGGTCTGTTCAAAACTCAGAGGCTGGATTCTAAAATGCTAGGCTTGCTGCATCTCATTCACAGTCGTTCTTGTAGACTCTTAACTCTTTCATATGAGAAAACCTGTATCTCCTAAGAATTCAAAGGATCTTTAAATTCTGGTTACTTCTCAAATCAAAGTCGTTATGAAGAACAAAGGGATTTATCTTCTTACTGAAGTCTTTCTTGGTCCCTAAGCCAAAGATACTGTTAAAGCTATGATGATTTTCTTATCTGCATCCAACAGACAGTTGTTGATTCACTGGGGAAGAAGAGTACGTAGAAAGCCACTTCCCACCACCCTGCCTTGTCTTAAGAGGCATATGACCAAGTTATATTCTGAGGGTCAAATTCCCACTCTTCCCATCAGACATCAACTTCAATTAAAGGGACATACTTGGGTATCCATGCATCTTAATGAACCAGTAGTGTTTGTATGAAGAATTAATGGTTTGGAGGATGCCACCCTTGGTTGGGTAATTGGCCCCTGTTTGAGGGTGCTGCCTAGCTAAGGACCCATGTTTTGCTTACAGTGCTATAGTTGGGGGCTGTTTCTTCCTGAAGGAAAAAAACCAAAAGTTCAGTTTCCTCACCATGCTGCGGGCTGGAGCTGTGTGCAGAGATCTTTTTTTCTGATTTATCAATCAGAGATGATTACTTTTTCTATTTATGCTAACACAAACACCTTGGATGATGTGGCCATGATCCTGAATAGTTTTCAAATATTTCAGATTTACATAAGACCACATGTAAAAATCCAAGAGATTTGTCTTTCCATATAGAATCTTAACTGTATAAGAAAAAATAGAACAGATTACATTGGACAAGTTATTCATCATCCTTTAAGTCAGTTCTGTTAGTGTATCCCAAAAAGTATGCTTGCTGAGATGGGAAGACCTGATTACAATTTACCCAAATGGCATAAGCCCAAAATGGAGATTAAATCGCTCCAAAGACTACATTGACTAAGAACTCTTTTAACAATGCCTTGATCATGGTAAGTAGTCAAAATAATTGTTGAGTAGTGAACAAATAAACAAACAAATGAGCAGTAAAAGTGTTTCACTGTTAGAAGGATTTAAAGATCAGGTAGTAGAATTTCAATTTCAATTCCTTGGAAGTTTTTAAAAATGTAATTGATTCGAAAAATTTTAATTGAACCCCTAACATGTGGTAGGCACTATCTAGGCTCTGGAAATTGAGTGATGAGTGAGAACAAGTCATGAGACCCCTGCCCCGTGGAGTTGGCAGGGGAGGGATGGCAGTGGTGATATGATAAACAAATAACGAAGGTCCCCTGAAAAAAATAAAACTGGAAGACAGAATTCCAGACTTTCAGGGTGCATGCAGGAAGGACAGAGCCTTTAGCTAGGATGGACAAGGAAGGCCCTTCTCAAGGGCTGGCACAGTGACCTGAAGGATGAGAAGAGGAAGCACGCTTTAAATACTGGAAAGTGGGAAGGGTGTGGAGGACGTTCCCACAGACAGCAGCAGCCAGGAAAGGGGACTCTAGCTGGGAGAGCCAATCTGGGGATGAGCATGGCCTGTCCAGGAGATCGGAAGGAGGCCAGTGGAAAGGAGGGGAATAAAGAGAGAGGTAGGGGCAAGGTCAGAGTCAAGGGCAGGGAATTGGAGTGGGATCCTGCAGGTGAAGGGGACTGGTATCCCCAGAGAACTGATAATCCTAAAATCAGGATCAAAAAGGGAGTCCACCACCCCTCCACATTATCACTTCATTTATTGCCACCGCCACAGTCTGTTGGGGCCCACATCCGAGTCATCAGTTAGTCTTCAGCCTGTAGATGCAGACCTGAGTTGTGGATAAAATCTGACCTGATTCATCATTCAAAACACCTTTATGCTGAAGATGTTTGCTTCCTCATGTGGGAGCCATGTGGACACATCCAAACACCAGACAGAGAGAGAGAAAGAGAGACAGAGAGAGAAGAACGTTAACAGCAACTGTATTTTTAAAATAGTGTCTCATATTCCAATATTACTTTAGCTATTTTATTATCCTTTTGAAAATGAATGTATCCTACAAAAATGATTGTGTAGTCCACCAGGAATAATAGTTTCATTTTTTTCTAGAATAATGTTTTATACACTGAAACCGTGGACCTGCTTTTTTTGTCCAGTTTTCTTTCTTTTCTTCTGCTCATGAGATTGTCGAATGAGGTCAAGAGAAAAAAATCATTAATATCTGTCAACTTCCTTTATAACCTTAAGAAAAAATCTTTGTATGATATCACACAGACAGATTTTCAATTTCCTTGTGTAATAAACAGCTGCTTTAGGATTTGGGTGTAATTTAAAGGTTTAAAAAAAATCACATTGAGATTGATGAATAAATCAGTTGTGAAGACAAAAACATTGATGCCTGTTGAAAATACCTCTCCAGACAGGCAGGAAATGAAATTAGTTCCCAGTAAAGTGTGGATATGAGGATCACTGTTTGGTTGTGCTGCAGGCTTTTTCGGACTTGCTCTGGTGGCACAACAAAACTGCGAGGGCTGCAGAAATCTAATTAAAGAGCAAATGTCCCTTCTGACATCAAATTAATCTTTATCATGTTTCCTATTTTTATTTCAATCTGGCACCAGAAAATGAAATTTAAAATTCCAGGCATGCTACAAAACAGTTGGTGATTTTTCTCCTGAGTATTAAAATGCAAAATATTCAGTCTTGTTTAATTAGACTACTAAGCAAACATTTTTTCAAAAAGTGTGTGTCATCATGTTGTTTCATATTTACACCAATAATCAATATTTACTGAGTGCTACATTTGACCTCAGCATCTCTTTTTATAGTGTTCAGAGGAATGTGTCATTTGCTAAATTGAAAGAAAGTAAAATAATGTGAAATAATATTACTTCAGGCTTTGCTTGTATGTTTCTCGGTCCTTGTTTTGATATTAGTGATCTTAAAATAGACATTGAAGTTAGCTGAAGTTTAAATCTTTGAACTTTGTAGCTAACACATAATTTTGGTTTTGTAAACTGAAGTCACTCATTTAATCTTAAACTAATAATGTTTTCTTACAACCTGAGAACTATTTTCATTGGATGGGGGGAAAAAATGGCGGTTTCTGTGGTCTTTGTGTGGGGAAGGGCAGCGAAAGGGGGTGGGTTGGTCTCGTGTGGTTGCTGGGTTTATTTGTTTGTGCTTGTGTTTTGCTTTTTCATATGTTTCCACGCTGTCAACTAAGTCAATATATTCTCGACTACTTCTTTTTTGAGACTTTTTTCCTTTTAGGTTACATTTTGTCAACTGTGTAAAACTCCAATATGGAGACCAAGCATGGTAGCTCACTCGTGTAATCCCAGCACTTTGGGAGGCCACGGTGGGAGGATCGCTTTAACCCAGGAATTGGAAATGAGCCTGGGAAATATGGCGAAACTATGTCTCTACAACACATACACGCACACCAAAAAAAATTTAGCAAGGCATAATGGCAGCACCTGTAGTCCCAGCTACTTGGGAGGTTGAGGTGGAAGGATCGCTTGAGCCCAGGAGGTCGAGACTGCAGTGAGCCGAGATGGTGCCATTGCACTCCAGCCTGGGTGACAGAGCAAGAGCCTGTCTCAAAAACAAAACAAAACAAAAATCCAATATGGAGAACTTTACACTAAAAAGATAGCAGCTGGCTACAATGGCTCATGCCCATAATCCCAGCACTTTGGGAGACCAAGGTAAGAGGATCCCTTGAGCCCCAGAGTTCAAGATCAGCCTGGGCAACATTGCAAGTCTCCATCTCTACAATAAATAAATAAATAAATAAATAAATTTAAATTAGCCAGGCATAGTGGCACACACCTGTAGTTCTAGCTACCTGGAAGGCCAAGGCATAAGGGTTGCATTAGTCTAGGAGTTTGAGGCTGCAGTGAGCTATGATCATGCCACTGCACTCCATTCTGGGTGACAGAGCAAGACCCGGTCTCTAACAACAACAAAAAGATAGGAAATCCCTGACATTTAATCATTTATATACCCTGCACCTTTCCAACAGTAGCATCAAACAGTCTGCAATAAACTTTACTTATGAAAAACATGATTTATTGAGCCACTATTATGGGCTAGGCCCTGAGAATACCCAGTAAGTATTTGAAACACTCTCTGATCTCAAGATGCTTACAGCAGCCTTGTGATGAGGCTGAATAAAGGAAGCCAAGACAAGGCTCCTCTCAAGAGTTTTCTCCTGTCCTTCGCCCAGCATCGAACTAGACACTAGGGAAATATTTTGGAAGATATTTACAGCTTGAGGAACAGGTCATATCTACACAGACAAACTTATTTTCCGTAAACAAGCTGTGAATTTCTTTTAGTCTGTGTGAGATCAAGTAACCAATCTGGTTGAATTGTCCATTTTTCAGTGATTTGTCTCCAGTCATTCAGAGTTTTGTCTTTGTCCACAGCTTGTGTGGGAATCAGTGGTGATGTTGGCTTGAAGTCTTTATCATTTGAATAGGAAATAAACTTAATATCTAAAACTGAATAATGAGAAATGAGAATATTTGGTAATAGGTGCCTTCGAGTCTTTACACGAGGGACACTCAAACATGAATAAAAGTCTAAGGAGGTATCCCTAGTTAAAAATCAATCCTCCTGTCATCCTGCTGAGTTCTTTAAAAGTGAAAATTCAACAATATTATGGCTTCAAAAGCTTTCTCCAAGTAAATAGAGAATGGTTTGTTTTTTAATCTCTTGATTTCTTAGTGGTTAAAAATCATGGATGGAATCTGCTTTGGAGACAACCATGAGATTAATTAAGTTGCCTTTTTGGTCATTTCCAGAAAAACTTGCTTATGTTGATCTTGAATTCACCAGAGAAGCTAAAAATAAATCTTAGTATAGAATGCTTTTTGTTTACCAGATATAGCTATACACTTCAGAGATTCTGTCCTTGAATTTTTAATAGCTTCGCTAGGATTAAAAGTCAACACTTCACCATGCCAGTGTATTAGAAGAATCTTCCTGAAGTCTGATTATTGTTTGCCAGTTAATAGACTTTTCAATTAAAAAATATTTGCTCTGTCGTACACTTTTCCCTCCCCGTGTTTTCCAATGGCAAGTCGTTTTGAATCTCTTTTCCCTGTATTAGTCCAACAACTGTTAAAAAGCTTTGGTTGAAATTTTTTAGCTGAGAGAGAAATACAAATAAAAGAAGAAGCAGATGGTCCCTTTGTGACTGAATGAAGAAAAAGAGGTTTGAGAACAATATGTGAATAGGTGTAGTCTAATAAAACACTCAGCCACCTGCTGCCTGAATCCTTCAAAAAAGATTCTGTTGCATATTCTGGGGATTAACTATTAATGTATCCTTAGGTTTGATAGAAAACATAAACTTTGAGGGGTTTAGGCCCTCTTCTCCCTTTGTTTTGATTGAGTTGGCTCCTCTATATTTGAAATTGTTTCTCAATTCAATTTATCTGCTCAAGGGTATAATTAAAGGTTTTCTGACTCATGGCTAAATGAAGGAAAGGTAAGAAGAATGGACTTGTGGGCATTTCTTTTCTACCTTTGTTTTAAATTTTCTGGGCTCTTCCGACAGGCTTGCCCTTGCAGAGACAGAAGCAAGAGGCCTAGTGTGTCTGCAAAGAATGAATAAATATTTAGGTGCTTTTCTTCTTAAAATGCATTTTGATCCTTATTTGCGGACTTGCTTTCCCTTTCAGGGATTTACTCTTCAACCCGACTATCAGACTATTATCAATCCTACATCTACAGCTGCACAAGTTGTCACCCAGGCAATGGAGTATGTGCGTTCGGGGTGCAGAAATCCTCCCCCACAACCGGTGGACTGGAATAACGACTACTGCAGTAGTGGGTAAGCGGCCGGTCATCGCCACCTGGTGGTGGACAGCGCTCATAGCATGCATATCGTCCCTAGTTGATCGTTCTCTTGTTTCCAAAAACATGATCCGGGATAGTTTCACGTTCATGAAGGCAGAAGACACCAGAAATTGTTAAGCAGTCTTCTAGCTCTTCCAAGAATAAATGCCTTTAGCTCACTTCTCACTTCAGATGTAGGTTAACTAATTGCAGTTTCCCAGTGAACAGCTCAAGCTGGAGCAAATAATTCAAAGACATCCATCCCCCCATTGTCACCTGTAGCACAGGTTGTCCTGTAACAAGGAACTGTCTTTTTTCTCTTCCTACAGGGGCATGCAGAGGGACAAAGCACTGTACCTTACTTGAGAATCTGAACACCTCTTCTTTCCACTGAGGAATTCAGGGAAGTGTTTTCACCATGGATTGCTTTGTACAGTCAAGGCAGTTCTCCATTTTATTAGAAAATACAAGTTGCTAAGCACTTAGGACCATTTGAGCTTGTGGGTCACCCACTCTGGAAGAAATAGTCATGCTTCTTTATTATTTTTTTAATCCTTTATGGACATTGTTTTTCTTCTTCCCTGAAGGAAATTTGGACCATTCAGATTTTATGTTGGTTTTTTGCTGTGAAGTGCTGCGCTCTAGTAACTGCCTTAGCAACTGTAGATGTCTCGGATAAAAGTCCTGGATTTTCCATTGGTTTTCATAATGGGTGTTTATATGAAACTACTAAAGACTTTTTAAATGGCTTGATGTAGCAGTCATAGCAAGTTTGTAAATAGCATCTATGTTACACTCTCCTAGAGTATAAAATGTGAATGTTTTTGTAGCTAAATTGTAATTGAAACTGGCTCATTCCAGTTTATTGATTTCACAATAGGGGTTAAATTGGCAAACATTCATATTTTTACTTCATTTTTAAAACAACTGACTGATAGTTCTATATTTTCAAAATATTTGAAAATAAAAAGTATTCCCAAGTGATTTTAATTTAAAAACAAATTGGCTTTGTCTCATTGATCAGACAAAAAGAAACTAGTATTAAGGGAAGCGCAAACACATTTATTTTGTACTGCAGAAAAATTGCTTTTTTGTATCACTTTTTGTGTAATGGTTAGTAAATGTCATTTAAGTCCTTTTATGTATAAAACTGCCAAATGCTTACCTGGTATTTTATTAGATGCAGAAACAGATTGGAAACAGCTAAATTACAACTTTTACATATGGCTCTGTCTTATTGTTTCTTCATACTGTGTCTGTATTTAATCTTTTTTTATGGAACCTGTTGCGCCTATTTATGAAATAATAAATATAGGTGTTTGTAAGTAAATTTGTTAGTATTTGAAAGAGGTTTCTTTGATGTTTTAACTTTTGCTGGCAAAAAAAAATTCACGCTTGGTGTGAATACTTTATTATTTAGTTTTTACAGTAACATGAATAAAGCCAAACCTGCTTTTCATTTAGCAGCAAATTAAAGTAACCAGTCCTTATTTCTGCATTTCTTTGGTTGATGCAAACAAAAAACTATTATATTTAAGAACTTTATTTCTTCATACGACATAACAGAATTGCCCTCCAAGTCACACAAGCTCCAAGACTAAACAAACAGACAGGTCCTCTGTCTTAAAAAGGTTACTTCTTGGTTCTCAGCTGGTTCTAGTCAATTCTGAACCACCACCCCCCGCCCCCCGCAAAAAAGTAAAAGTCAAACCAAACTTCCTCAAGCTGCATGCTTTTCACAAAATCCAGAAAGCATTTAAGAATTGAACTAGGGGCTGGAAGAAGTGAAAGGGAAGCATCTAAAAATGAAAGGTGAGTAACCAGATAGCAAAAGAAAAGGGAAAGCCATCCAAATTTGAAAGCTGTTGATAGAAATTGAGATTCTTGCTGTCTTTTGTGCCTCTACAAGCTACTACTCATTCCAGAATTCCTGGGTCTTCCAAGAGGATTCTTAAGGTACCAGAGATTTGCTAGGGAACCAAAAGTGCTTGAGAATCTGCCTGAGGGCTTGCATAGCTTTCACATTAAAAAAAGAAAAAGCTAGCAGATTTACTCCTTTTTAGGGGATCATATCAAGAAAGTTAGTCTGGTTGGAAACCAAGAGAATGGCTGATGTCTCTTTCTTGGAATATGTGAAATAAATTTAGCAGTTTAACTAAATACAAATATATGCATTGTGTAATCCACTCAGAATTAAACAGACAAAAGGTATGCTTGCTTTGGAATGATTTTAGGCATTGTACAACCTTGAATCACTTGAGCATGTAATAACTAATAAATAATGCAGATCCATGTGATTATTAAAATGACTGTAGCTGAGAGCTCTAATTTTCCTGTCTTGAAACTGTATAAGAACTCATGTGATTAAGTTCACAGTTTATTGTTTGTCTGTTTAGTATTTTAGAAATATACCAGCACTACTAATTAACTAATGTCTTTTATTTATTATATTATGATAAAGTAAAAATTTCACTTGCATTAAGTCTAAACTGAGAAGGTAATTACTGGGAGGAGAATGAGCAGCTTTGACTTTGACAGGCGGTTTGTGCAGGAAAGCACAGTGCCGTGTTGTTTACAGCTTTTCTAGAGCAGCTGTGCGACCAGGGTAGAGAGTGTTGAAATTCAATACCAAATACAGTAAAAACAAATGTAAATAAAAGAAAACACATCATCAATAAAACTGTTATTATGCGTGACCGTATTCTATTTGGTGATCCATCAGTCTCTAAAAAGCAAGCCTAGTCAGATGAGAAATCCCAAATAAATTTTATGGTGGAAGTGATCGGGCAGAGTGGGGGTTAATGGCCGCCATGGCCACAAATGTTCTTTCCTGAAACTCTGAGAATGCCCTCTCACTAACCTGAGGCTCTAGTATAGTGAGCTGTTGCCTAGGAAATCCCCATCTTTCAGAAAGCCAGAATCCACCCTGGGCACAGTAGCCCAGCGGCTTGGAGCTTGTAGCTGAGAGGAACAGTGGGGGTGCACGCCGAGTTCTCTGCTGAAGCACTCCGAAGATTTCCAGCACCATCAGTAAAGTCATTCTGAGAGATAACAGCAACACTGTGGAACGACAGATTTCTTCACCAACACACCAAAACCAAAATTATAGCTGATTAGAAAAAGAAAAAATTGCGAGAGTGTGTAGGAGTGGGTTGAGTTGTGTCTCTAACATAATCGAGAAATGATTAAGAAAGAATAATTCAAAAATCCTGATTCCCATTCAAATGTGACCGAGTTGATAAGGCAAAATGAGTCAAATAATGACTTCCAGTTAGTCAAATTATAGCCAAGGATGAAGTTGGTCTCTGTGATTATTTTTATTATTTGTGTTAAACGCAAAGAGGCCTGTCTGCATGGACCACAAGCAGTCCATGGGAAGCCGTGGCCACCAAAGCAATACAGTCAACCCTCGAACAATGCAGGGGTCGGGGCACCAACTCCTCCCCACACCCACGCAGTTGAAAATGCCTATGCAACTTTGACCCCCGCAAAACTTAACTACTAATAGCCTATTGTTGAGGAGAAGCCTTACTGATAACATAATCAGTTGAGTGACACATATTTTCTATGTTTTATGTATTATATACTGTATTCTTAAAGTAAGCTGGAGAAAAGAAAATGTTATTAAGAAAATCATAAAGAAGAGAAATAAGTTATTAACTAGTGTCAATAAGTGGAAGTGGATTATCATAAAGGTCTTCATCCTCTTCTTCATATTGTATAGGCTGAGGAGGAGGAGGAAGAAGGGGGTTAGTCTCGCTGTCTCAGATGTGGCAGAGATGAAAGAAAATTTGCACATAAGTGGACTTGCTTGCTTCAAACCCTTGTTAATCAAGGGTCAATGTATACTCTGGCTCAGATTCATTACTAAGATATTTCTTAAACTTATGAATGCATGACTTAAAATTAGCACATCAACAACCAATCCCTTTTCTATGGATCTCTTGCCCTTTGCAAAAGAGTTGTCCCACTCATTGGAAAAGTGATTAGACTGAACCATATGAAATTGCTAATATTTGACCTGTTTTATCTATGAAATGGTAATTTCATATGATTCAACCAAAAGGTGTGGGAATTAGAGACAATGGGGTTTTGACCATAACTTGATATGTAATTTCAAATGGAATTAGAAGTACTTTACAAAGTCCTGGGAGAAAATGCTCAAAGGAATAATCAATTATGTTTGTTTACAAGGTACCCCACTTAGAATGAGTCCTAGACAGGTATGTTATATTAAACAAGGAATATTTTAAATTACCAGTAAATCCCAATAGCCATTCATATTTCTTTGTTATAGTAAAAAATTCATATGAACATTTGTAATAAATAGGTTATCTGCTGGAACAGAAAGTTTTTGTTAAACATAGACGTCCTCATGTTTATCCGTTAAATAGAGATTTGACCTACATTTTCTTATTCCACTCATAATTGTCATTTTCTTTTTTTTTCTTTTATTTCTTTTTTTTTTTTTTTTCTGGAGACAGGGCCTCACTGTGTCACCCAGGCTGGAGTGCAGTGGCACAATCTTGGCTCACCACAACCTCTACCTCCCGGGCTCAACCAATCCTCCCACCTCAGCCTCCCAAGTAGCTGGGACCACAGGTGCATGCCAACACGCCTGGCTAATTTTTTTCTATATTTTGCAGTGACAGGGTTTTGCCATGTTGCCCAGGCTGGTCTTGAACTCCTGGGCTCAAGCGATCCACGTGCCTCAGCCTCCCAAAAGTGCTGGGATTACAAGCATGAGCCACCGTGTCCAGCCATAATTGTTATTTTCAAGGAAGGATAGAAACAGAAAATTCATCTCTTTTGCTGATTATTAAATATTAAAATAGTGGCAAGGCAAGGTTAAAAATTCGTATCATGAGTTTAACCTCTAAATCTAAGTCACCCTTCCACTTAATGGTTGAATTCATGTGAGTCACCCCATGGTAAAAATCTCTTTGTCTGCCTGAAATTCAACAATTTCCTTATCTCCAAAACAATTTGGAATGTCATAGCACACAGTAGATGCACAAAAAATGCAATGATACAAAGAAAGATCAATAAAACATCATCAATTATCCTCAACAGGAATTGTATGGTGTTTTCTTGATGATTTAAAGGCTCTTTAAATATAGATGGGAATTGAATATTACAGGCAAGCATTAGGAGTGAAGATGCAAATGTTTCATTAAAAACCTAGGGTTACAAAAAGATTGAAAGAATTTCAAAATGAGTTATGCCATATTTTTTTGGCCTACATAGTTGAACAAGAGCTTTTCTATTTGTGACAAAAGTAAAAGATCTAATACACACTAGTCTCACCAAGAAAATAAGAAGGGAGAAAAGAGGTGCTAGACATGTAGGGTGTCAAACACAAGAGAGAACATTCAGGAGACAAGTTTCATGGATTCTAAATTAAACTATTGATGAACAGGATACTGAATTTTTTTTTTCTAATTACCAAGTGTTAGTATGACTTGGTGAAGCAAGGAAAAGACTGTATTTCCTGGTTCTATTTTTTAGGATTTTCAAAGGCGATTTCTCTACTTTTATTTGGAACGATTTCCCAGTGTGGAAAACCTTTCCTAACAAAAAAAAAGTCTCCAAATCTGTACACAAGACCATTGCTTGGAGAAAGGGGATGGGGAGCCCCCTAACCTCACCAACCACGGAGGAGGAAGGCTGGGAGCCGCGGGAGGAAGAGGTAACTTCAAACCCAAGTTAGACACACTTGGCAATCTACGTGTACACAGAGAGATTAGACTTTGCCTTCTCATTTCATACTTAGCCAAACATCTTGTCATTTGTATCCAGCATCAGCCTGCAATGTAGTAGATGAGAAGAAGTGAAGATGAAGTTCTTGTTCCCGGATGAGAGACAACTGAGAACAATGACCTGTTATAGTTCAGCACGGTCAGAGTTGCGCCTAATTAATGAAGCCCACCAGCAGGAATCATTTCACATTTTATTAACAGCTTGCTAGCAAAGACATTTGAAAGTGAAATTTTATTCACACTGACATGAGGCCAGAAGAAAAGAACAGTGACTAGAAAATAAAATGGAAAGACTTACGATACTACAGAGAAAACAAAAATCCCATTCTAAAGAAAGAGTATGAACCAAACTACAGTATTTTAAAGTCTGGAGCGTCCCTGTTTGACAATTGTATGTTTACAATAAGCCCAAACATAATTGCTCTGATAGGCTGTCAGGGAAAAGATTAATTTGGCAAAGATTAGTATTGACTTGCTGTTTATTAAGGCTTTTAAACAGCTGTATCTGGCAGCATTCCTGTAAGTGGCTGTCATATCTGAAAATCAGCCTCACACCCTGGTGCTCGCCAGCTGTTCCTAAACAATCTTCTACCACTCTGAATGTCTTTCTCCAGGCCAAACAGCAAAAGCAAACTATTGCCAAATGAGCTTTTTTCTCCTCCTGTCACTTACTTCTGGTGGGGGTAGGGAGCTTCTGAATGCTGAAATGTCAGCTCAGGGCTGATGGCTTAGCTGATAAGAGGTGCCGGAAGCCAGTAGGTGGTTTTGGGTGCTAGATGAATACATTCCCCACATAGAGAGCGGTAGCGGTAGCACTGTTAGTCACCTCACACAGACAAAAAAACCACAGCTTGCAACTGTTGTAGGCAAAATGTTTTAAAGACAGTTAGAAAGTGATGATCAAAGGTTTAAAGCCATCAGAATTCCAAAATTAATGTTTTGTTTCTTCAGGCCAGGCACATGCCATATCTGCCATATAGCTAGGAAAAGACCCCACAGTGGGATGCTGAGAAGTTCAGTAGTGGCCATTCATCTTTAGCGCTGGAACTGGGATTTCTCCCAAGAACTCTGAAGGAGGACAAGCCACTTACTTGGTAAAGCATGCACCTTGCTTTTTGATTCAGTGGAAACCCGTAGAATAAAACAGATTTGGATGTTTTGAAGTCTGTCAAACACAAGGCAGATTGAGTTTTGTACTGGAGTAAGACCTGGTAGTTTCAAATCCAAGTATAGTCAGAAAAGCAATGGAAAGAATAACATTCCAATGGAATTAAACATCAGACTACAAAGGGCCCAGTGTTGTGGTGAAAGTCACATTAGCCTTTCCAATATGACTGCTTTTGGGGGGATTAATATCAGCCTTTTTGCATTGCATCAGGCAGGACTAAGTTGTCAGAGCAGATGCAAAAGGACATTGTCATCTCTTAACCCTTTCTCTGCCGGCACTTTCCATTACACTCTAAGGCATGGGGTTGGGGGAAGGAGGGAGGTGGCTTAGAAGCTAAGCTGTCTACAAGGACATTTCAAGCAGGTGTTTACCAACGTTTAACTTTTAAATAACTTCATTTTGGTGTCTCTGCTGTTGATGCACTCTGATGCTTGACATTTGAATCAGGATCAAATCCAGCCAGATTCCAAGGTACAGACAAATGAGCCATCCGCTCATCCCTGAATATGTCACTTTCCACCATGAACACCCTAAAGCTGTCTCTCTGGTCCTTTCCACATATCACAATGGGGGGTGGTAGTGGGATGAGAAATAACACTAATTCAGCACTTACAATCAGAGAAATAAAGTGACTATAGACATTGAGAACACAAGAAAGGTGTGCGTTTGCCTCAGCCCCACTGAGTCTGGCTCTGAAGCCCAGTCTGGGGCAAAGAAAAATCAAGAGGACAGAATTTACTTAAAAATTAATCTGTGACCATAAGTCATTGAGTGTTCTAAGTTCTAAAATAGCTCTGGGCTTAAGGGCACTGTGGTCATTTTCTAGGGCAAGAACTCTCTCTGCAGAGGCCTGATCACACTGAGAAATTAGGCCAAGTGCCAGTTTGTACAGAAATACACCCTCTTACTTGCTCCAAAGGTACCTCAGACCTTACAGCAAAGCAAGAGTTCTATCACTGGATTTAAAGCACATTGTTGCTAATCAAATTACAAGACTACAGCTTCAACCTTTAATCCCAAAAATACTCAATACTGCTTTAAATAGAATCAAAGAAAGGCCAGGGTAGGGGCAGGGAAAAAAATCCCTTACATGTATTCCTGTCATGCTTTGTAGGATAGCATGTGGCACACTTATTCTTCATAGCTCTTTTATAAGTTTGGTTGCTTCCCATTGGCCTGTAATTATTTGATTATTCAGACGAGTTAACTAAGTGTGGGAGATGAAGGGGTATACCAATTCCAAGACTGAATCTGATAAAGCCAATGAATTAAGTGAGGGGTCCTCGACAAACTGTTGGGACCCCACTATGATTACCCAAAAACCAACGAAGTTATCCCCATTGCTTGTGGTCCATGGGTAAAGTCCCTCCA
Organism: Homo sapiens; assembly: GCF_000001405.40. Lineage (NCBI taxonomy): Eukaryota > Metazoa > Chordata > Mammalia > Primates > Hominidae > Homo > Homo sapiens. Next base: position 58,799,814 of record NC_000008.11, on the reverse strand, counting down.
GAAACCTAACATCTTGGTATAATGCACAGACGTGTAGAAATTGTCCTGTATAAAAGCAGCCTGTACTTTTATCTTACTAGATTTGCCTTTGCGAGGACTATCTGGTTTCTCTAGCCTGAGGAAAATCCTCAGAATTCATCTCTCTACAAATTTGGAACCAATTCTGGGGTATTTCATATTTTACTTTGTTTTTGTTTTTTATCAAGATAGACCCACAGAAACCTAAATCTTGTCTTAGCAAGAGTTTCATACATGAACAAAAGAAAGAACAATGTGTCTAAATGAAACTGCAATTTCCAGGTACTATTACAAAATACTTACACCTACAAAGCCATTCTAGCTGTTGAGTTGGGCCATTTTTAACATCTGGTTTCATGATGTGGTTTCAGGAGACCAACAAAACAGAAGTGACAGTCCTTTATAGTACTAAGTCTCTGGGAGTTTAGGTCCCCCTCTCTCTTTCTGTCTCTCCTCCTTTCTTTCCTTACTTCCAGGAGAATCTGTTACTTTATACTACCTATTGGTTTACTGAAATGATTCTGGTCTTATGTTTTCAGAACATTTACCTTCGACTTCTGGACAGCTGGAAAAGCCAGATTGCCTGCAACCAGAGCAAGTTGGCCTGCAGCTTCCCTTTGCTGATCACTTTGTTAATTCCCATAGAGATAGAAAGAGGTCCCATTTTTTTCTCCGCCCCTTCTCCTTTCTAATGTAGAGCGATCAGAAGTCTCTAAGGACTTTTCTATATGACTTCCCATTTCACACCACAGATGGTTTAGATAAAAACTATTAATTTTATTTATTCAAACAGCTTCATTTCACCAAAATGAGCCTATTTTTAACATTTTGCCTTAAGGTTTGTTTTCACATTTTTGAAGATGTGAAAGAGTTTTGCTGACGTCTCAGGTTTTAATCATCATCATTTCTGCCACCCAACAAGCTTTTGGACTACAGTGGAGCTGATGAGTCTTTTTAGATGGAGTTTACTTTTTAAAAAATGTCATTAGTATTGCTTTACAAATTTGGTTTATGTATATTTTCATACAACATTTGAGGGTTTGCATTTTTTCGTGAGGTTAGCTTTGATCACTTCAATTTCAGAATAAGTCCTGTATATGCTCTGTCAAACATAATGATGTCAGCTCTCTATCTTGGTTTTATCCTTATGTCATTACTTTGCAGAATATTTCCATTTGGACAACATACCATACTGGAAAAAAAATCTCTTCAGACACTCCACGTTCAAAGAAAGAAACTACAAATAAACAAGTCAAAACTTCATCCACTTTTGGTTGTTGTACAGGGTCAATGTAAACTGCTTGCTAGATGTTACCTGTGTTAACATAAGAAGAAAAAAATCTGCTAAGTTACTTAAAATTAAAATGGCAGGCGGAAGCATATAATAATAGTCTAGTGACCCAAACGAGAACTATAGTGTGGTGTGAAAACTTGACTAATTGCGGAAAACACAGATGATGAAACTATCCAACTTTGCTTTGAACTCCAATCTTCCCCCCACCCTTCCTTATCTCTATGGGAATATTTCTTACTGCTTTCCCCAGAGATATCACATGTGCCTGTGCCTGTGGGCTCAATGAGGAGGGAGAGGAAAAGATTCACACCCTAATTGTTTTCCCTTCAGTTATTCAGTAGCCCTCAAGATCTCCCATTCCTTCACAGACTTGTAAGGCACTAGGTATTGATGTTACGTATTATAGAATCAACCTAGAGCATGTCAGCATCCAAGCCTGACTTTTCTAATGACTAGATTTCCAATTAGCTCTTTAATTGTTTCTTTAACTTATCCAGATATAGGCATAACCATCCATCCCCAGTGGAATGACACAAACTCACTTTCACAGGCTGCGTATAGTGTAGCGAACATGCATGAATCTGAAAGTGGCACAGAAGAATCATAATCAATGCTGTATTTCTCAAACTTCAGTGCATTAAAAGTAGATTTCCGGGCTCCATTCCCAGATAGTCCAATGCAGTTAGTCTATAGGTATGACCTGGCATTTGCATTTTTAGAGCTACCCCAAACTATTTTGATGTCAGTGGCCATAGAATAATTAATAAATGGATGGCAAGTGGATCTTGCCTTCAACTTTAAGTCTCCGAGATTCTTTGTTGTCAATGGCCAGGTTTAATACCAACTTGAGGACTTAGCTTCTGATCATGAAAAGACACCCAACTAATAAAGCCCTAGGTTATCTGATTAAAGCTATTCAACAGTTTGTTTGAGTTACAAAAGAAGGTCTCTAGAGGCAGATTGGTCAGAATCAGTTCAGGGCTCCACAATGCTATCTTTCTCATCACCCTAAATGTGTAGACAATCATTGTCATCTTTGTTGTCTCTTATAGTATTCTAGGACAGAAGAAGCAGGAAGAGCAAAGAGGAAAAATGAAAAGAAGCAATGCCTGTCAAGATCCACAAACTTTCTCAGAAATCTCCAACAGACTTCTACATATGTCTCATTGACCAAAAATATCTCATATGTTCATCCCTAGCTGCTCATGGCCCTTTGAATAAAACCAAGGATCTATTGACAAAGACTGGGAGAGTAGATATTTGCAATATTAGCAGTGTCTACCACACCAACTTCCAGTCATTCAACTAAGGTCTTTTCTGCCATACCACCACTGGCTTTGCTCTTGAAAATTATCTGCAACGATCCCTAATTGCCAATTTCATATGAGTTGTATTCTGTATTATCTTCCTAGATTTCTCTGCTACTTTTGACCATACTGAAACTCTCCCCAAAACCTCTCTCTGAAGTCTTAGCTCTTCTAAATACTAAACCATAGTTCCACTGACCACAGACAGACAACTCTTATTCTGTGCCTAATAAATAATTGACATTAAAAGAGTTGCCTAAACCAAATTTATAACCTTCCAGTAAAGACTTGTTCCTCTTCCCAAACTCCCTTTCTTGGAGAATGGCATGCTGACCTACTTAGCCTTCCAAGTTAGGATTCTTTGTATCCTCCACCCTTCCCTCCTTTCATCCCACACACAGATAGGACCATTGTGTTTAATGATGCTAAATCCTCATTAGTCATCAAATTTTTCTGGATTACTTTTCATCCATTTCTCCCAAACAAAATTAGTTCCATTTCTCTACATTCTCCCCTGGAACACCACAACAGTGACCTAAGTTGTCAGAGTTTACAGACAGATGTTAGTCTTTTCTTAAAAACCCAGATGAAATATAATAATGCCTTCATTTTTAAAACTCTTGTGGCTCCTCCATTGCTTATGGATTAAAATTCAAACAGCTGAACCTGGTGTATACAACCACGCAAAATCTGGCACCAGTTTACCTTACTTGCTACTGCTTCTCAATTTTCCTTCCAAGATTCTGAAATTTGGCAACCCAGTTCCTTGTCAATTCCAAACATATTAGACTATTAGGCTCCACACCTTGTGATTATTATTTCCGCTGCTTCTTTTGAAGACTTCTCATGTTCTCACTAAATTTAACATTCCTTTTTCAATATTTCCACAGTACTCCGTTTCACACTTGGAGGAAAAATTTTTTAAGTATTATAAGTATTTACTTGTATGTTTATTTCCATGACTAGATTAAGAGGTATTTAGATCCTATTCAACTTTGTGATCCTGCCACACTTGTAAGAACAGTGCCAGGTAAACATGTGTATAATAAATGTTGAATGAATAAATAGTGCATTTTATTTTTCCAGACAAAATCTCACAAGCAGAAGATTGTCCCCTAGACCAAGAGATATAGAAAATCATCATCCTATGGATTACTTTCCCAAAAGTAATGAAGAGACCAAGTTTCTTTTACAATCACAACTGCTTTCTAAAGGGAATGGCCTTATTAAAAGAAAGTTTTGTTTTGTTTGGTTTGGTTTGGTTTGGTTTGGTTTTGTCCTGCAGAATGTCCTAATGGAATCACATATGCAAAGATGAACCAGGAACTGAGCTTAGGGTGAAAGCTAGAAAGAGCTGAATTCCTCGGAAGGAAGGAAGGAAGGAAGGAAGGAAGGAAGGAAGGAAGGAAGGAAGGGAGGGAGGAAGGAAGGGAGGGAGAGGAGACGGATAATTTTGAGTTTCAGGAGATATTTTACATAAAAAGGAGGGAGGAAGAGAAATGAAAAAGGAAGAGATTTGAAAACAGCAAGTACCATGAGTCCAGGGGCTCTGGGAGTGATGAAGCAGCCATCAACTGCTTGGCTTTTAGGTGGCTTTTAGGTATATCCCCTCAGGATGAGATCACACAGGTGTCAAGGAAAAACAAAAAGGAGTTCATTGCAGCATTAAGCGCAGGTACATTGGTCTTCATTTTACTAGGCATTTTTGTCTGTATAATTTAAATATTTCAAAATTTGAATTTTTCTCAATTTTAATCTCAAATACCTGATGCTTAAAGACATTTAAGTTCAGGAATATTATGTGTGAAATAGTTTGAATTCTGAGATGAAGCACATTGTTGTCCTTCAATCCCTACCTACACTTCTGTTCCCCCATAATTTCATGAAATTCTCTACACACAAGAATTTATAAATGTAACTTTTTTTCTTTTCTCAGTTTTTGCTTTAGGTTCACGGGGTACATGTGCATGTTTGTTACATGAGTAAACTGCGTGTTACCAGAGTTTGGTGATTTTATCACCTAGGTAGTGAGCATAGTACCCAATAGGTAGTTTTTTGACCCTCAACCTCCTTCTCCCACCCTCCCCACTCAAGTAGGCCTCAGTGTCTATTGTTCCCATCTTTGTGGCCATGTGTACTCAATGTTTAGTTCCCACTTATAAGTGAGAACATGCAGTATCTGGGTTTCTTTCTTTCTTAAAGTTATTTCAATAGTTTAGGGGCACGAGTGATTTTTGGTTACATGGATGAATTGTACAGTGGTGAATTTTGAAATTTTAGTGCACCTGTCACCAGAGTAGGGTACATTGTGCCCAATATGTACTTTTTTTAAATCCCTCACTCCCTTTCCAGCCTTCCTGCTTCTCTTTCTCCAGTGTTCATTATACCACTCCATATGCCTTTGTGTACCCATAGCTTAGCTCCCATTTATAAGTGAGAACACACAGTATTTGGGTTTTCATTCCTGAGTTACTTCACTTGGAATAAAGGCCCCCAGTTCCATCCAAACTGCTGCAAAAGATATTACTTTATTTTTTTCAGGGCGGAGTAGTATTCCATGGTGTACATATTCCCTGTTTTCTTTGTTCAGTCATCGGTTGATGGGCACTTAGGTTGGTTCCACATCTTTGGTATTGTAAATTGTGCTGCAATAAACATACACATGCAGGTGCCTTTTTAATATAATGACTTCTTTTCCTTTGGATAGATTCACAGTAGTGGATAGAATTGTAGATTTGCTTTTAGTTCTTTGAGAAATCTCCATACTATTTTCCATAGAGGTTGTACTAATTTACATTCCCACCTGCAGCATATGAGTGTTTACTTTTTTTTTTTACCACAACCATGCTAACATCTATTGTTTTTTGACTTTTTAGTAATGGCCATTCTGGCTGGGGTAAGGTGGTATCTCATTGTGATTTTAATTTGCATTTCCCTGATGATTAGTGATGTTGAGCTTTTTTTTTTCTTTTTTTTTTTGGTCATTTGTATATCTTCTTTTGAGAAATGTCTACTCATGTCATTTGCCCACTTTTTAGTGGGATTATTTGTTTTTATTTCTTGCTGATTTGTTTGAGCTCCTTGTAGATTCTGGATATTAGTCTTTTGTCAGATGCATAGTTTGCAAATATTTTCTCCACTCTGTGGGTTGTCTTTTTACTCTGAGGATTATTTCTTTTGCTGTGCAGAAGCTTTTTAGTTCAATGAGGTCCCATTTATTTATTTTTGTTTTTGTTGCATTTGCTTTTGGGGTCTTAATCATAAATCCTTTGCCTAGGCAATGTCCAGAAGAGTTTTCCTAGATTTTCTTCTAGAATTTTTATAGTTTCAGTTTTAATTCACCTTGAGTTGAATTTTGTGTATGGTGAGAGACAGGAATCAGTTTTATTCTCTAAATGTAGTTATCTAGTTTTTCCAGCACCATTGGTTGAATAGGATGTCTTTCCCCAATTTATGTTTTTGTAGGCTTTGTTGAAGATCAGTTGGTTGTAAGTATTTGGCTTTATTTCCGGGTTCTCTATTCTGTTCCATTGGTCTATGTATCCACTTTTATACCAGTATCATGCTGTTTTGGTTACTATAGCCTTGTAGTATAATTTGAAGTTGGTAATGTGATACCTTCAGGTTTGTTTTTTTTGCATAGGATTTCTTTGGCTATTTGGGCTCTTTTTTGGTTCCATATGAATTTTGGGATTTTTTTTTCTAATTCTGTGAAAAATGATGTTGATATTTTGATAGGAATTATATTGAATTGGTAGATTGCTTTGGGCAGTATGGTCATTTTCATGATGTTGATTCTTCCCGTCCATGAGCATGGAATGTGTTTCCACTTGTTTGTGTCATCTATATGCATGTAATTTTTGTGGATATAATAGGAAAAAGCTAAGTTCCACATCTGGGTCAGCATTATGGGAAACAGTGACAACTTGCATTAAGTGAAAAGTTAATTAAAAACCTACCGAAGTTCAGCAGATGTATGAGACTGAAATGAAAAGCCCATGAGGTATAAGCACCATTCCCTCACCCACTTTCCAAGAACCCACAGGAAACATGGAAAGCACTTTGGATTTCCACAGGACATGGGAAGGGGGCTTTGTGCAGATCTTATCAGCACTTTAGGAACAAGTAAGATTTCAGATGACACACACATATGCTATCAACATTATTGTATTTACTAATAAAGACCTCTACATAATCTTTGGGCAAACATCCAAATATAGTTTTGATCATCAGAGCTCCCTTCTTTTTCTGTTTCTTCCAATAACATTACAATTTTTCCTTTTTATATATTGTGGCTGGGCTGAAGAAGAAAATGACAGGAAATTTTCCTAGTTATTTTCTGTCCCAAGAAAAGTTTTAGGGTGACTCCAGTAGTCCTTGCTATGTGCTTCACAGCATCCCACATGGGATAAAGGCTTATCTTCACAGAAAGAGAAGGGTGCCAAAAAGAAATGTATATCAAAAGGTGGGGTGACCCCTGACAACCAGCTTGGAACTTTTTACACCATGATTTCTTGGGCATATAATTCTTTTTTCTGTAAACTGACTTATTCTGAAGCCAGGCATTTGGGGAAAAATAATTTAAATCAGTCATATCAAAACGTGGGTGAAAATGAAAAGGTAAATCTTTGTTACCAACTAAGGTACCCTCTAGATACACTCCATCTCCAAATCTTTCGCAGAATCCAAGGTTGGTACTAGAGAATGGGAAAGGTTCAGAATGAAGTGAAATACCAGAGAATGGGACAGGTTCAGAATAAGGTGAGAATATCTGTTTCACATGTTGTATAGTAATGTTAAGAACTTGCAGTTTTACAGTTTTTAAGCCCTATCAAAAAGTCTCTCTTGAAAATGGCCTCATCACACAGAATTGATCCAAAAGGCCACATTGGAAGGGCAGGAACCCACACATTCTAGGTGTCTGGGAGGATAGTGAGAAAAGAAAGAAAGAAAATGTCTTGAATATGCCACCGAAGACAGAAAATTCTTAAATTGGAATGGGAGAAATGGTGGTGACTGAAATATTTTATATCCTCACAGCCCTGAGTAATTCAGATAAGAAATCTCCCAGTGAGACTTTTCCGTACCTATGTCAAGCTCAACCTGAGACTTCTCTACTCTCTTCTTCTAAAGCTGCCAGGCAAGGAATTCAAGGGGAGAACAGCAACAGTTAACAGATTTATTTTCTTTCTTTTTTTTTTTGGCCTTTTCCAGTGCTTTTAATTCTTAAGTGAGTCATTTATTTAACTGAGAATTCTATCTGATGCAGCTGTACAGGAAAATGTTACTTGGAAACCAAAATGATACCAATTGTTTTTAGAGAAGAGTGGCGTTTTCTGTTCATTTCTGAACCTCAGCCAGGAGGGTCACTGGCTGGTATGATGGGAGGACCTCTATGGCCCTTGGATTTTGCTTTTGGCACATTTGTTAGTTTTTAAATTGGGAGCTTTCTAATTCTGTATTTTAATGAAAAGTGAAAGCTCAAAGAGACTTTGTTGTTTTCACACATTTAAGAGACCCCAGTTTCTCTCTCTCTCTCTCCCCTTCATATCCCAGTAGGTTAAAATGTCACTTAGAAAAATAAATCTCTCTCTCCTCTTTCAATCATGTGATGGAGAAACTGTTAAATGGCATAATTTTAAGGTTGTTTTTGAAAATTAGTGGCTCTTAAAGACCACTCAAATTATTCCAAACCAAATTCGAACCAAAAGGCTTCTTTGTTTATTCCATTAACAAGGGAAGGGGAGAATATCATTATTAACAAAAATAGCAATTGATGCTTACTGCTAAGATGAGCCTGATGTCTGTAGGGTGATGTCCAAGAGGAGTCATAATTCCTGCAATGAATAGACTTTGAATGTTGAGCCAATCAAATAGTTGCTTTGAAGTGTGAGTCATATTAAACTATTATAAAATATTTTTTCTAAAGACATGCTCAATCATTGCTTTTACAAGTATCAAACCAAGGTGGTTTGATAATACTTCGGGTTATTTGGGGTTGGGGGAATTTTTGAGCTGTTGATGGCTTTGAGTGTTATGATATATCATGCATGAGCAGCCTCACGCAGAATGCATTGGATGTTAATGCATTTCTGACTATTCAGATATGGCTCCAACCTCACACATAATCCTGCCAACCTCACACCTAATGCTGCTATCAAAAGGTGCCAACAGCCCCATACCGGAAGAGCAATATAGGTTCTTCTCACTGGGGCTGTATTCACACTGCTATTTCCTGGGTAAAGACCAAGTATCTCACTGGGAAGAGGGTTGAAGATGACTGGCAGAATCTAACCTGCTAATTCACTTACCAGAAAGCATAACTCAGTAATAAGAATCAGCACAGGTCCAAGTTCCCCTAGTCTAAAAAGGAATGCAAAAAAAAAAAAAAAAAGAATCTTAACCTAATAAAAACTCTGCCTTACATCTGTGTTTCTTTTGGGCCAGATTTTTGTGATCATATATGTTTGAGAAAAAAAATCCCTTAGTGGAAAATACAATAGATTCTGGTTTCTCCTAACTGGTGTTGTGGAAGACAGTGGGCAGAACCCTGGCAGAGCCAACACCTGCTTGGTGGAGAAGAGACTGTTCCAGGTCCCAGAAGCCACATGAAGTTGAGAAACTATAACTTTCTAAGACCACTGCAAGGTGTTAGAGAAAGCCTGAGAGGCAGATTCAGTGTCAAGAAGCCTGAGCCCAAAAGCCAGATCATGTATCATCTGAACCAAGAAACTCGTGTGAATAAAAAGGAGGTACAACCAACAATTACACTGAAACAACAGAGGACCATTTCGAACAAACCGGAATGTATGATTGCCTTACTTCTAAGCCACACAGAACGTGGGCAACTGGCTTAATCTCATGAGTCCTCTATATCCTCATCCATAAAATCATATTGGAAGAAGTTGCAATAGCAACCCCAAACAGGATAATGAAAATGTCAGGTCGGAAACTATACAAATTTAAGGCACTGCACAGATTGATTAATTTGGAAATGTGTCACTCAACAGCAGGATCTAGTCAACCCTGGAACAGCCTGCAGGTCTCCAGTTTTTCCCCCACAGCCCTCTAGAACTTGGCCATTCTCTTGACCAAGGTTTCTGAGCCAACACTCCTCAGCAAGGTGTGTGCTTCTCTGGTCTAAGAACACATTTTACTGTCCAAGTTCCACAAAGTGGTTACAAACCACTCTCAGAGGGAAAATGCTTTCTTTGTCATCATATGACTACGAACACTTGGACAACCAGAGCTGAGGACTCTGTGGTCCTTCAGGCCACACCTAGACCTGGCAGATGATTTTCAAAGCAGACATGTTTTTTAAAAACTTATTTCAAAAGTACTTCTCTCCAGTATTTTGTCTGCCTCTAGATATCCATAAAGACCTATAAAATCCTAAGCACACCAGCATAGCCCACTAGGGTAGATATAAAAATAGATCATGTATATATTGTATTATGATATATGATATAATGTATATATGTTATCATGTGATAGCTATATGATATATGGCTTACACACAAACACACACACACAGACACACTACATAGAGGAACTTTATCCCCAAAATCAACCAAACAAATATGTTGGTAGGAAACAGAGAGTACCACGGGAAAGAGCTTCATCACGTTTTTGCATACCTTAAGAGCTAAGCCACATAAGGAGAGTGGCGTGGCTGCCGTGGTGTGACACCCAGATGTCTCCCTTCAGGACTAAGCGACTCATTGCCCCAGCTGTTGGGAGCATTAGGTCAAGGCTCTCAGCTAAGACCCTCTCTGGGGGCTACTCTTAACCCAGGGAAGCTGCCCTGCCAGGTCCATGCCCACACCCCAGGGGCAGTACACAGCCGGTGGTTTGGCACACATGGTTGGATGAAGGCCCTGTCTCCTTGCCTCAAGCCAGGACAACTCTGCAGGGCTGTTCCAGCCCAGAGCTCTCTGTGGGATCAGGACAAGATGCAGCCTTCTTGGTGATTACATTGTGGTTCTCTGTCTGGTCCTCCTTCCCTCTTGTTCCACAGGTGTTGATCCCAGGAACACTCCTCAGCCATACTCCTTTGCTCCAGTCCAGAGTCTGTTTCCCAGGAAACCCAATTTTAGGCAATGCACCGTTCCTCTTTTTGGCTTCTTGAAGGAAAAAAAAAGTACTAATAAATATAAAGAAAATGTGTTAAAGATGCCTTGCAAGGCCAGGTGCAGTGGCTCACGCCTGTAATCCCAGAACTTTGGGAGACCAAGGTAGGCAAATCATTTGAGGTCAAGAGGTCGAGACCAACCTGGGCAACATGATGAAACCCTATGTCTACTAAAAATACAAAAATTACCTGGGCATGGTGGCAGGTGCCGGTAATCCCAGCTACTCAGGAGGCTGAGGCAAGAGAATCACTTAACCCGGGAGGCGGAAGTTGCAGTAAGCTGAGATCGCAACACTGCACCCCAGCCTGGGCAACAACAACAACAAAAAGATGTCTCCCAAGATGAGCAAGGCAAGGTAGGTCTCTTAGGGTGAGCTGCTGAGAGAGACACTCCACAGCCAACTTTCAGCCATGCAAAACTCAAAGAAGACACAGCCACAATTAACCCATAGGAAAAGAGCTTTATCCTACCAACAAGCACAGAATCATTTAACTGTTATTTTAATAAAGATATTTTTAAAACTTTTTATAATGTATAAAGCCGTGTGTTTTAAAAACTGCCTATTTTTCTAAATTTCTGACATGCCATTAATCATCCCTGGGGAAAATCTATCCAGTTATTATTGTCTAACTGCTCATGTGGGGAACCCTATCTGAACTGCAGACAGTTCCAAGGAGGAAAGGCCCATTTATGAAGGTCTGGCGGGAACACCAGAAAAACCCCGTTGTATTTTGGCGATGCAAACGTTAGAGGAATAGTTCTGTATTCCTGGAACCTAATTCCTAATGCATTTCTGTACTGAAGAGTTTACTCATAGCTCAATTCTTTGGCTGAGTGCTGCTGAAAAGGGAAATCCCTCTCATATTTGACCTTTAATTTTTCTGCACAGATCTGTATAAAGAATCTTGCTGGAGAGCTTCCCTAAGGCTTCTGATTGGACAAAAGTTTCACTGTCTGACAATAGGAATTCTCTAAAGCTGATCAGTCAGAAAGGTAGCCCTCCGGACAAGTCAAAAAATACCCTTCAAGATATACTTTCTTATCATCTACAAAGGCCTGTGAGCTCAAGGGCAGAAAGACACTATAGAATAATAGATACCAAGTCCCCTTTTGAAATTACTATATGCACATAAATCCTTCCTTTTAAATTATGAACCAAAGTATGTTAGTAGTGAAATTGAAACTAGGTGAATGAAATTCAAAGAACCAGAAATTATTACTTAGGATTTGCTACACAGGATCTTGGTCTATCTTGAAGGCCTAAAGGGAATATGAACAAGAGTTAAACAGGTGAGGCATTAGCATGGACCCCTGGGATCTTGTCTCTGCAGATATAAAACCCTCCTTTATATTCCCAGGCAGGTACCATATAATTCAACAACGAACTGCAAAAGCACATGCATTTGAAAGGTGGCCCCTCTCTCTAGCTGTCCAGGATGGCTCAGGATTCTGGCTACCCTCCAAGAGTGGTATAGGCATTGAGCTCATTTGCTTCTGTGGCATTTAATCTTCATATTCTCTTAATGGCATGAATACAAACTCACCTTTAAGAAAATCAAAATAGAGGCCTCTCACCTACATGGGATAGCAAATGCCCAAATCCCTAGATTTCGTGTACCTAATGGAATCTATAATTCAGAGGTATATTCAGGAACAGCACTTGGAAACCATGTGCAAAAGAAACCCGAAATGCCAGAAATGGAAAAATCAAAGTGGTCCCTCGCAGCAAGCCTCCAACTCCATGTGCGGCCTCTCTCTGTATACCCATGCTGCTTCCCAACTTTCCCCACGCGGCTAATGGAGATCTTGAGTCACAAGCTGTCAGAAAGACTGTTGAAGGGAGAATAGCCTTTTGAGAAACAGATTCAATGACATAGCCAGAAGATCCTGAGTGGTACCAGTCAATGTACTGAAGCATACTTCCCCCCTAACTCCAAGCCCATGTGACATCCTAAGCAGCATTATGTTGTCAGAATTCAGGTGGATTCCTGCAGTGCATATCAAAAATTTGAAGGCTATGGTTAGATTCCACCTGGTCAGACAAACTGATAGAAACAGGGAGAACATTTTCTACGGAGAGGTCACTGCAACAGGAATGAAGTGCCCCACTCAGCTCCATCACAGGACAGTAAGACAATCTCTAGAATTCTAACCAGCAGAAATTGGGACTTGAATTCCTGTTGTCCTTTGGTTATATTAAAATCTTTTATTTCTGTAAAATTTTGAATTGTTCAGAGGATTTCCATCTATGATTTCCTTTCACTATAAGACAAACAGCACCAGAAGTGCAACATGAAAATAGATATAAATCAAAATATCTGTATGCATATGCTGCTGAGAAAAGACTCCTAGTGACCCCAGATGCTCACAGACACTACCCACCCAAACCACAATGCCCGACCACGGCATCACCTAATGGACTAAGACTGCTTCACCTCTCGGCAAGGCACAGGCACAGGCAGTTCACTTTCAGGTGCATTTTTAGTAACGTGGGGCCAGGGTTTACTCCTATTTTTGATGGATTCTGGCTTCAAGTCTCTAGGGTTTTGTTGAACATCTTTTTTTTGTTGTTCTGTTTGACTTCCACTTGAACCCCCATCTGAAATATAACCTGGAAATAGGGAAGGTAGAGGGAGCTATGAGCCAAAAATTTTTAAAGAATTATGTGAATTTCTCCTGTCTACTCTCCTGGCATTCAGTTGATTCCAGCGGCATCCTGCTGCAAATAGAACTAATTTTTTTTATTTAGTTGACAGGCAGACACCATTTTATAAACCTCAGAAAGGAAATGCCAAGGAATCGCTTACATTTGCTGTTCATTTAAATCACAGTTTCTCAAGCCATTGTGCCATATAGCCTAGATGGTGGCTTTCAGCAGACTGGCTATGACTTGGCAATGCAACAAGTGCTAATCTCATTGAAGGGGTAAAGTAAAAAAAAAATTTGCTGCCATCAAGGAAAATGAAGCTGAAAAAGGAGTGATTTGAAAAGCAGGAAAGCTCTGGTTGGGAGAGTGGTCTTTACACAATACTATTACCTTCAGCAGCGGGATTTTCAACTACAATGTGTTAGCATCGCATTACCACTCTGTTCTATATTCTGAAAAGGACTGCTTTTGCAATCTCTGGTCAACATAAATTATGTGGCTCACAAATAATTTCTAACCTATGTTTTATTTTAGCCTATGACTTAGAGTTAAGGTGATATCTTGGTCCCAATCCGCTCACAATTTTAGCTTTGCAAACAGAAAGGGAGAGAGGGAATAAAGAAATGAGAACAAGGGGAGTTTCTCTATGAGTAGTAAATTTACTACACCAGGCAGGAGCTCTGCGCCCCACAGCTCTGATTCGCATCACAGAAGCCTTGGTAGGTAATGACAGGGTGTGGGAAGAAGCTTCATCCTAAGTCATAATCCTGTCATCACTAAGGGAGTCAGTAAGGAATGTTTACATTCCTTGGGGAACCTGAGCATGACATTTTGGAACCAAGGAAAATCTAAAGCTTCTCTGTCTTTCTTTCTCTTTCATAAATCAGGAGGAAATGATAGGTTTCTGAAACTGATAGGGATCCATTTATAAGGCTCACTCAATCGGTTGAGTGCAACAAAACTCTGGTTGCTGCAGGGACCACTACTGTTTCACAACCACCTAAAATTGAAGGCTGGAAATTAGAGATGTAATAAGAAAAATGCCAGCAGGAGGTAATTGTGTGCTGTAATCATGAAAGCTCAAGTGCCATTCAGTTGTGTTGCACACACCAAATATTTATAGCCTATCATGTACCAGAGTGATGGAAGGCCAACAGATCCCTCAACTGGTCAAGGAATGAAACTCCAGGAGCCACAAGAGAAAAACGCTAAGGAAAAAAGGTTACAAACAGGGAGAATCAGTTGCTTCTGCCATTTTTGTTATCATGCATAAATAAGGTGAGTGATTTGAACATGAGTAAGAATAACAGGAATGGTCCATGATGTGCCTGGTTCAGGCATGAAAAGAACAACTGGCAAGAGTGCCAGTAAGAAAGAGGAGGAGTGTGTTGGCATCTTTCCTTCAAGGCTTCCAGCAAGTTTTCATGAGGTGGTTCATCTCAAATTACTCAGTGACAAAAGTGAGCATTGCCGCAGCAGCAGGCGAGCCCACCAAAGGAAAGACAAGAAGGTGCCAGATGGGGCTCTTGTCTGGACAGGTAGGTCACGTGTGGCCGTGTGCTGCAAGGTGCTGCCAAGGTGACAGCACACTGTGCCTGGATACACTAAATCCAAGTATCATTCCGGAAGAGAGCAGTTGCCTGAAGGAAACATCTGTTCCTGATCACTCATGGGCTTAATTGTGAGGCTCTTATCACCCAGAAGTGTTTGTCTACACACCACATGCCATTCCTTCTGTCCAACAGCAGTGGATACCCACCCAATTCAGAGCAATCAGAAAAGCTGATTAGTTAATTGACTCATAGCCTGATACTTTCAACCAGCTGGTTAGCTTCCTTTATAAGGAGGGCAAACACAGAAAGATGGACTTTGGAATTTGAAAACGTTGCCTTGAATTTTATTTTTAAAGGACAATATGAATCAGCCAGGAGTTTGAAGGGGGGCGGGGGGGGAACTATTTTCTTGTTCCTGTTCCCTACTAGTAGTTTTCTCCCTAGACGAATCTACAAGTCTTCACTATAGAATGTGCGATTGATAGGTACATCCACTTAGTCATTCCAATAATATCCACATGTTTTACCAAAAACCAAGCTGAGGTGGAATAAAACTGTAAGCCATTCTCCTCTTGCAGCTCGCTGTCTCTTAGGTATGCTGCACCCAACTCCATGGTACACTGGGCACCAGGCATTTAAACTGAGGGCATAATTCCTGCCCTCACTAGGCTCACATTCTCACCAGAGACCCACAAAGGAAGCAGCACAGGCTTCTCTTTTCTTCAGCTTTTCCTGCTATCCTGTCAAATCAGCAGGAAGCTCTGGCCCCAGAGATGTACAGCAAATTGCTAGTGACCAAGCAGGGAGAAAGGCTTACAAATCCTGCCACCTGTTGTTTTTGCTGTTTTAACCCAGATAAACCTTTGTCCTGCCCTTTAACACTGGACTCTACAACCTACAAACTGTGTACCACATTTCAAATATCTACCTGGATTCTCTGTGCTTAACCCAACATAAGAAAATGAAAGCATTCACTAAATTCATTTACTTGCCTGTGAAAGAATTGGATAGCCATCTCTTTCTAGGGTAGTATCTTAGTGAGATTAATTGAATCAAATCAATCCCACGGAACCCTAAGAAAATTTTGATGAAAAAGAGTCTAACTGCACCATAGCAGATGATGTTTTATATGCCTACCTTCCCTAGGATTTCCATAGTGTGAATATAATTTTGTTGATATGGGTACTTTGGGTTTTTTTTTTTGCCTGATTTTCATATTACTATATTCTGCCTTCATGCTCCTTTTTAGATAAAACCCCTGCTATGGAGGATAAGAAGTTTTGTAGGGATACAAAAGTCTTTCATTAAGAACATCTGCTCCTCAAGAGGGCTTCTTCAATCCTGGAAATTATTCCAAGAACAATTACAAGTATGTCTCCATTTGGAGAACTGAGTTGTTTCTGCATTCAAATGAAGGCCAACTTCTGAGCATGTCAAGTCAAAGACAAGTGGCTTTTGTTGGCTTCCAGGGAATGTTTCTGTATCAACCTTTCATTTATTAAAAACAACAACAACAAAATTATTCACTGTATTTTTAATACTAACACTGGGATAAAATAATGGCCAGGTGGCCAGATGTTCATTCTTTTAAATCTCCAAATTGCATTTATGTGACTTATTCCCTTAGAGTAACTCTTAAAGGATAATATCATAGAGACTCTGGATTTCTTTTAAGTTGTGTAAAGTTTCAGGCAAGTATTTCTGGTGGGATTGAGCCCACTTCCTAATTGGGTTTTAAAATTGCCACTTTACCTTTCCTCTTTCTTAATTTGATTTATGATTCGTTAGATAGTTACAATGAGGAAGGAACTTTCTTAAGAATTAAATTTCTTAAGGCTGAAAATAGGCAATAAACCAGAGAAAGACAGTCCTCTTTCCCACAGTTTCCTGTTCATTCTCTGTTTCTCTTTTCTCTGTGTCTCTCAGACTCTTTTCTTCTTTCTCTCCCTCAGTTTCTTCTCTGATCACAAATGCACTTCACAATCAAGAAATCCAGTGGTAATATTTTTGTTACATACAAAACTGAACTCATCATGTCCGCCTTCCCTGAGTCTACTGGTTTTCTCATAGGCCTCAAAACAATTAATAACATTGCCTTTGCTCTCTTCTCATTGATCCAAATCAAAAAGTGGTCATTCTCAACTCCTCTATCTCTTCCATCTCTTACAATAAATTGGTCACTAAAATCCATTGCAACCTTCAAAAGATGTTCTTAATCTATCCCTTCTGTCCATTTCACCATCATTGTCTTAGCTATTGTTTCATTGTGTCTCACTTGGACCTTTGTAGTAGGCAAATGGAATTCACACTAGCTATTCCTTTACTCAGATCCATCTTCTTGTATCACTTAGGAGATCTTTCTAAAATGGGAAACTGGCCATTCACATTCTGGCTTAAAATGTTTTCAATGGTGCTTTACTCCCTGCAGTTGAATTCAAATTCTTCTGTGTAGCATATACACGTGGCCCTTTTGTGATCTGTGCTCTTCTGGATATTTCTCCTCTGTGCATCCATATTATTGAGCCATACTTTATCCTTCCACGAGCACCACAGTCTTGTGGTTTCACTTCTTTACTCATGTTCTTCATTGGTCTGTAATGCCCATACATCCCTTTTCTGCATGGAAATTCCTTATCAAGGCATCGCTCAGTATTACTTTATCCGCAAAACTTTTCATTATTCCTGTTCTTCTTGCCTCTTCTTCACTTCTACCACAGCGCATAATTATAACAAGCCATTTATCTCATGCACTTAAACTATTGACATGTCTCTCTCTCACACCAGATTGAGAGTTATGTGAAGGTAAGGTATCTTTTCGATTTTCTTTGTATTCCTGGCATCCAGCACCATATACCACATATAATATGCTGTCATTAAACAACAGGTAAGTGAATGCTGATCATCTTCTGTGTGGTTCTGCAGCTTTCAGCACAGTTGGCTGTCAGTTCTTCTGGAATTCTCGAAGCCTTTGTTTTCCAAAGCATTGCTGTCTTCTTATTTCTCTATACCTTTCTAGACCATCTTTTATCCAGATCATGAGGAATCAAGGAATCAAAGGTCTAAAAAGATTTACAGACCATAATAATCACGAAAACAAATAATATCGTGTTTATATCGGAACATAAAACTCAGTGTGGAGCTAGGAGAATTTAGACAGAAATTAAAGTTAGGCTACTCCTATTTCCTGTTTATGTCTAGGAAGCCTTTCAAGGCAATTAATGTGATTGCACAACTCTTAGAGTGATAATTCCATTCTAAAATATGAATCCCACTGCCTTGGCCTCACCTCACTGATAGGTATGTGGAGTCCAGAGCCCAAATGGGAGGCAAATGCTTAATTTAGTGGAGATAATGCTTGCTGCCCTTTGGAGACACTCTTTTGGGAAGGCAGAAATGGGAATTCTCCTAGAAGGACAGGCTTGCTGCTTCAGTGATTGTTTTCGTTTGTTTGTTTATAGTCCATCCTTCACCAACTTCCCTATTTGTCTTCTTGGGATTAGAGAAGGCAAGAATCATGTTCACTTCTCACTCAATTCATAGCCTTTTTATTGGTGGCTTATTTGGCTTTGGCATTGGGTTCAGGCTTTGGCCTTATAGAGGAAAATTTCATTATCTTAAAGGATGGGGATTATCTCATAATTCTGCTTATTTCCCATGATGGAAAGAACACAATTTACCAAAACTTCTTTTAAAAAGTGTGTGTGTGTGTGTGTGTGTGTGTGTGTGTGTGTGTGTGTGTTTTCAAACAAACTGCTTCCCCCTAACTACACGGATTGAAGATTAAAGAAAATCACAGATCCTCTTTCTGACTCATCATAAATTGTGCCTTGCCCTGGCCATACAGCTATCTGAAGTTTGATTTGGTACAATGATGAGGTTCCTTAATGTTCGCTTAAAAATTCACTTATCTTCTCTTCCTGGATGTCCAGTGTCCTCAACTTTGCCCCTTTTGATAAAGGTACCAAGAACATACATTGGGGAAAAGTCATCTTCTTCAATAAATAGTGCTGAGGAAACTGGATATCCATGAGCAGCAGAGTAAAACTAGATCCCTATTCCTCATGATACATGCAAATTAACTCAGAATGTAATAGAGACTTAAAGTTTTGAGACCCAAAACTGTAAAACTACTAGAAGAAATCTTGGGGAAAACACTCCAGGACATTGGTCTAGGCAAAGATTTTATGGCTATGACTTCAAAGGCACAGGCAACAAAAATAATGGTACTATATTAAACTAAAAAGTTTCAGCACAGCAAAAGAAAAAGTCAACAGAGTGAAGAGACAACCTGCAGAATGGGAGAAAATATTTGCAAACTATGCATCTGACAGGAGAGTAATATCTAGAATATATAAGAAACTCAACTCAACAGCAAAAGAATTCCCATTGAAAAGTAGGCAAAGGCCATGAACAGACATTTCTCAAAAAAAAAAAAAAAAAAGACCCATACAAATGGCCAACAGGTATATAAAAAAAGGCTCAATGTCACTAGTCATCAGGGAAATACAAATCAAAACCACAATGAGATAGCGTCTTACCTCAGTTACAATGGCTATTATAAAATGGACAAGAAAATAACAAATGCTAGCAAGGTTGAGGAGATTAAGGAACTCAAACACTGTTGGCGGGAATGTTAATTTGCATAGACATTATGGAAAACAGTATGGAAGATTCTCAAAAAACTAAAAATAGAACTATCATATAATCCAGCAATCCCACTGCTGGGTATATACCCAAAGGAAAGGAAGTCAGTATGTCAAAGGAACACCTGCTCCCCCATGTTTACTGCAGCACTGCTACCAATAGCAGCGATATGGAATCAACCTAAGGATCCATCAATGAATGGATGGATAAAGAAAATGAGGAATATGTACGCACACACACACACACACACAAACACACAATAGCATACTATTCGGCCATAAAAAAGAGTATAATCCTGTCATTTGCAGCAACATGGATGGAACTCGAGGTCATAAGTGAAATAAGCCGGATGCAGAAAGGCAAATATCATATGTTCTAACTCATATGTGGGAGCTAAAATAGTTGATCTCATGGAGGTAGAGAGTAAAATGATAGTTATCAGAGGCCAGGAGGCATGAAGGAGGTGGAGATGAAGAGAAGTAGGTTAATTGGAACAAACATACTGTTAGATAGAAGAACTAAGTTCTAATGCTTGCTGGCACAGTAGAATGACTACAGTTAATAACAAAATATTGTATATTTCAGAATAGCTAGAAGAGAAGATTGGAAATGTTCCTAACACAAAGAAATGATAAATGATCAAGGTGATAAATATCCTAAACACCCTGATTTGCTCATTACACATTATATGCATGTATCAAAATACCACATGTACCCCATAAATATGTACAATTGTTATGTAGTAATAGAAACTTTTTTAAAAAGAAGTCCTTTTAGTTATGGAACACTTCAACTCTAGAGTGTGTTGGCAGCTGCTCCACATTTCAAAAAGAAGTGTCCTGGCCGAAGACATTAGAGGCACAGGAAGTATTAGGAAAAGACTTCCCAAATGATGGGCCAACTTTATGGTATCTCATTCTTTTACTTCTGAGTGGGTAAAAAACTCAATGAAACATGCACTTCCTCATGCCCTGCCTTCCTCTGAACTTCTATCTTCCTTCCACGGCCTGCTGCTCCTTGTCAGCTTTATTCTCCCTCTCCCCAATAGTTCCCAAAGGGAGAGAGATACCAAACCCATGCCCAGGATCAGAATGGGGGCAGCCTGGGCATTCCCTTTGCCCAAATCCTTGTCCTACGGAGCAGAGAGGCAGATTCTGTATTTCCTACAAAGGCTAACCCTGAAGACACCAGTGCTTTCCCTGTTCACTTGGTGACTGTCCATCATGAAGAAAAATTATACTCCTCATGATGGTTAATCTTACGTGCTAACTTGGCTAGTCGATGATACCCAGCTTTTGGTCAAATACCAGTCTGGATGTTGCTGTGAAGGTATCTGATGTGATTAATATTTTAATCAGTAGACTTTGAGCAAAGTAGACTATTCTCCATAATGTGGGTGAGCCGTATCCAATCAGTTGAAGACTTTATGAGAAAAGACTGATGTCTCCCGAGGAGGGAAGAAATCTCCCCCAGTCTGCCTTTGGACTCAAGGCTACAACATCAACTCCTCTCTGGGTCTCCAGCCCACTGTCCCGCCTGCAGATTCGTATTTGGGTTAGCTAGCCTTCACAATCGTGTGAGCCAGTTCGTTAAAATAAATACCCCACCCCTGTATACACACACACATGCACACACACATTCTTTTTTTTAAACTTTTACTTTAGGTTCTGGGGTACATGTAAAAGTTTGTTACATAGGTTAATTTGTGTCACTGGGGTTTGTTGTACAGATTATTTCATCACTCAGGCATTAAGCCCAGTACCCAATAGTTATCTTTTCTGTTCCTCTCCCTCCTCCCACCCTCCTCACTAAGTAGACCCAAGTATCTGTTGCTTTCCTTTTTGTGTTAATGAGTTCTCATCATTTAGCTGCCACTTATAAGTGTGAACTTGCACTATTTGGTTTTCTGTTCCTGCATTAGTTTGCTAATGATAATAGCCTCCAGTTCTACTCATGTCCCCACAAAACACATGTTCTTGTTCTTTTCTATGGCTGCATAGTATACCACGATGTATATGTACCACATTTTCTTCATCCAATCTGTCATTGATGGACATCTAAGTTGATTCCATGTGTTTGTTATTATTGTGATTTGTGCTGCAATGAACATTCACATGCATGTATCTTTATGGTAGAATGATTTATACTCCTCCGAGTATATACTCAGTAATGGTATTATTGGGTTGAATGGTAGTTCTGCTTTTAGCTCTTTGAAAACTCACCATACCGCTTTTCATAATGGTTGAACTAATTCACCAACAGTGCATAAGTGATCCCTTTTCTCCACAACCTTGCCAGCATCTGTTATTTTTTTGACTTTTTAATAATAGCCATTCTGACTGATATAAGTGGTATCTCATTGTGGTTTTGATTTGCATTTACCTAATGATCAGTGATATTGAACTTTTTTCATATGATTCTTGGCCACATGTATGTCTTCTTTTGAAAAGTGGGTCTGTTCATGTCCTTTGCCTACTTTTTAATGGGGTTTTTTTTCTCTTGTAAATTTGCTTAAGTTCCTTATAGATGCTGGACGTTAGATCTTTGTCAGATGCATAGTTTGCAAATATTTTCTCCCATTCTGTAGGTTGCCTGTTTATTGACAGTTTCTTTAGATGTGCAGAAGCTCCTTAGTTTAATTAGATCCCATTTGTCAATTTTTTTCTTTTGTTGCAATTGCTTTTGGTGTCTTTCTTACGAAATGTTTGCCCATTCCTATGTCCAGGATGATATTGCCTGGGTTGTCTTCCAGGATTTTTATAGTTTGGGGTTTTACATTGAAGTCTTTAATCCATCTTGAGTTGGTTTTTGTATATGATGTAAGAAAAGGGTCCAGCTTTTATCTTCTGCATATGGCTAGCCAGTTATCCCAGCACCATTTGTTGAATAGGAAGTCTTTTCCCCATTGCTTGTGTTTTTTTTTTTTTGAGTCATAAAACCTTTTATTGACATCAAAATAAACACGTTTATTTTCCATAATCTTCAGTTAAGATTGGAATTATGTGAGAAGTCTCTGGAATAATGGAATATTCCAGGGGAGATCTCTGTCAGTTTTAGGGAATTTTACCTGGTTATACCACTGCATAATATCCATTATTTTTTTTAAAATTTTTTTAGTATTTATTGATCATTCTTGGGTGTTTCTCGGAGAGGGGGATTTGGCAGGGTCATAGGACAATAGCGGAGGGAAGGTCAGCAGATAAACATGTGAACAAAGGTCTCTGGTTTTCCTAGGCAGAGGGCCCTGCCGCCTTCCGCAGTGTTTGTGTCCCTGGGTACTTGAGATTAGGGAGTGGTGATGACAGATGCTGCCTTTAAGCATCTGTTTAACAAAGCACATCTTGCACCGCCCTTAATCCATTTAACCCTTAGTGGACACAGCACATGTTTCAGAGAGCACGGGGTTGGGGGTAAGGTTATAGATTAACAGCATCCCAAGGCAGAAGAATTTTTCTTAGTACAGAACAAAATGGAGTCTCCCACGTCCACCTCTTTCCACACAGACACAGCAACAATCCGATCTCTCTATCTTCTCCCCACATTTCCCCTCTTTCTACTCGACAAAACCGCCATCGTCATCATGGCCCGTTCTCAATGAGCTGCTGGGTACACCTCCCAGACGGGGTGGCGGCTGGGCAGAGGGGCTCCCCACTTCCCAGATGGGGTGGCCGGGCAGAGGCGCCCCCCACCTCCCAGAAGGGGCTGCTGGCCGGGCGGGGGCTGCCCCCCACCTCCCGGACAGGGTGGCTGGCCGGGCCCCATTGCTTGTTTTTGTCAGCTTTGTTGGAGATCAGATAGGTGTAGGTGCGTGACCTGATTTCTGGGCTCTTTATTCTGTTCCATTGGTCTATGTGCCTGTTTTTGGACCAGTACCATGCTGTTTTGGTTACTGTAGCTTTATAGCATAGTTTGAAGTCAGGTAACGTGATGCCTCCAGCCTTGTTCTTTTTGTTTAGGATTGCTTTGGCTATTTGGGCTTTTTTTGTTGGGGGATTCCATATAAATTTTAAAATAGTTTTTTCTAGTTCTGTGAGGAATGTCACTGTTAGTTTAATAGGAATAGCACTGAATCTGTAAACTGCTTTCAGCAGTATAGCCATTTTAATGATATTGATTCTTTCTATCTATGAGTATGGACGTTTTTTCATTTTTTGTGTGTCTTCTCCGATTCCTTTGAGCAGTGTTTTGTTATTCTCATTGCAGAGAACTTCTACCTCCTTGGTTAACTGTATTCTTAGATATTTTATTCTTTCTCACACACACATTCTATTGGTTCTGTTGCTCTGAAAAACCCTGACTAATATATCCCTAAAGGCACAAGCCCAAGACTCCTGAAACCAAAGGAGAGGATGTGTAGAACCAATATATTTTCAGGCTCATTCGTTCCTCATTTGGTTTATATACACCACCAATTACATTGCACATTTTGCAAGTGATTACCCAGAGGGTTTCTAGGATATCCCTGGAGTGACCAGATGACTGCAGCGGGACTAAGGTGGCAAATTTGATTTTATATCTAAATTCGTTTTTCAGATTTGTTGGTATACTAAAGCTGCTTCTCCTTTTTGTACTGTTTCCTTGGTGATTCTGTCTAAAATGTGCATTTTGTTTCTCTGTTCTGTTGTAAGGAACAATTCCTCTTTGTTTTCTGTAAAATCATCCTAGTTAGTCTTAGTGTTTTGCCTGGGGTCTGGCACTCCTTTTCACTGATTACCTTGGTATAGAGTCAACAGATATATAAACACACACACACACACACACACACACACATAATGGATATATGAAATCTAAGAATCTAGTAAAAAATTGATTTCATTGCTTGGAACACCACTAAAAGTAATCAGTGAAATCTTTGACTTCCTTAACTCCTTTCTGGATTGAAATGAAAAATTAATAAATTAACACATAGAGTGTGCCATATTCCAAGAGGACCTAGTAACAGAAGCTTCAGGAAAGTAAGATTTATGAAATATTCCCACATATCTGCTAATTCACATTCATGTAATTCTCCCCCCAATTTTTTGCAAAGTGCTATAGAAAGGAGAAGGCTAAGTAAGAAAATGGCAATGAATTTTAATAAAAGCATTAAAATTAAGTCAACACTAAGATAGCTGGAAGCTGTTCACTATTCCGTTTGGTTGAACTAGTTTCTTGGAAAATAATAAAATGAGTCAACATGAGTACATACACACAAATGATCTATTAGATGGATGAACCATATTGGTAGCATCTGTGCTTACGTAAGACGACTCTGTATTTTGGTCTTTAAAATATATTCTTCTCATTTTTGACCACTGCTAAAAGCAAACAAACAAAATGGTAAATAAAATGTGACTTCAAAATGCCTGTCTCTTTACAAAAATGATCCAAAGAGGAACTGAAAGTTTTGAGCTCTTTGGGTCCTTGGGTTTATTCTTCTGTCTATAAAGGGGTTGGACAAGATCAGAAGTTTCTGAACTAAACCAATCACCAGGGAACCCTGGAGATAATAGCTGCACATTCCCAAGCTCCTACCTAGGCTAATTAAGTTAGAATCCCCAGAAATAGAGCTCTGGAATCTGAGGTTTCAAAAAGCTTTTCTACTTTAATCTACGATAGATATATAAATCTTCTTACAGTCAAAACATCTAGGATTTTATAGGGGAAAGATGGCTGGGCTTTTTCTTCCATTTAAAAATGTATTGTAATGATAGCACTAACACAAATTATTGAAAGGGAAAAAAGGTCATCTTTATTAGCTCCATTTAATATGTTGTTTTAATTCTTCCATGATGGCTAAAGACTTTTAGGAATTCCAACAACAAAAAGTAAATATTAGGAACTGATTTTATTTCAGTGTTTGATAAGATTTAGAATATTTTCATTGTTGCAGACTCAGACTTATTCACGTCCCTGCCCTACCCCAAGGAAACTTCCATAGGCTCCCTGTCTTTCAGCATCAGGCCCACCCTACTCCCTGTAAGGGAAGGCTGTGCTCACTTCCCTCTGGGGTACAGCATTCATTTGGCAACTCTGACCCTGCGTCAACGTCTCTGCAAAGTCTGATTCTTCAGTTAGAAACCACCCCGCTCTGTATGAGTTCATCTCTGTAGGAATTGATTGAAAGTGGGGTACGGAATTGATTGAAAGTTGCATATTGGCCAGGCGCAGTGGCTCACGTCTGTAATCCCAGCGCTTTGGGAGGCCGAGGCGGGCGGATCACGAGATCAGGAGATCGAGACCATCCTGGCTAACACGGTGAAACCCCGTCTCTACTAAAAATACAAAAAATTAGCCAGGCGTGGTGGCGGGCTCCTGTAGTCCCAGCTACTTGGGAGGCTAAGGCAGGAGAATGGCATGAACCCGGGAGGTGGAGCTTGCAGTAAGCCGAGATTGCACCACTGCACTCCAGCCTGGGCGAAAGAGCGAGACTCCGTCTCAAAAAAAAAAAAAAAAAAAAAAGAAAGTTGCATATTGAAAGTTGGTACCAATGGAATTCACATCTTATATTTATTTCTATTGCATGTCCTCAGAGTGCCTGGCTTAGGGTGCTAAGCCATGCTGTGAAGTAAAACACAAGAAAAGGAGCACAAAAGAAGGCCACATTTGGTCTGCCAGGGCCAGCAGCCCAGGATTGAGCCTCTGCACACAGCCCATGGAGCTCTCAAGGCTATTATTTTGAAACTCTGGTGTTCAAGGTCTCTTAAACATCCTTACTTCACTTAAAAACTTCTGAGTAGCATAGATATAGTCTCTCTAAAATTACCTGAATCCTCCTTGAGTTTATTCATACTTTTAACTTTTCCTACCTTCATGCTGGATGTTCCAAAGATGTCCTGTGACTCACCTTGTAAAGCCCTGTATCCTTTTGTTGGATTAGAAGCAATATTTTTTCTTTTTTTAATTTTACTTTAAGTTCTGGGATACATGTGCAGTGCAGGACATGCAGGTTTGTTACATAGGTATACATGTGCCATGGTAGTTTGAGAAGCAATATTTTTTCAAGTTTTATGTATTGACATTCCAGAGTTTAAGTCATTCTTTATCCTTTTTATCTGAGGGCACTAAGAACACATAAGGAAGAGAACAATGTCCTCACTTCAGTGGAGCTTATTAATGGGGGAAGGAGACAGAACATTAAAAATCAAATAAATACATAATACAGTGGCTAGGCAAAGTTTACATGGGGTGGCCAGGAGGGCTTTTCAAGGGCTTAGGCCCTGTGCAGTTGTAGAGGGCCCCAAACTCAGAAGGGCCCACACCTGGGGCTTAATGCCCTGTGGTTATTGTCCTGATAGTCATAATCTCATCTTTGCATCTGGGTTTTGTAAGTGAAATCTTATGGGACAATGGGGCATGGAGTGGAGACTTGGAGCCTCAGCCCCATCGTGCCTCCTGCCACCTCCCAGGACAAGTTCCCAGACACCTGCTCCCGACCTTCTGGCACTCCAGGCCCCATGGGGCCACCCCATTCATGCATCCACCCCTTGATCGCTGCCACCCTGTGGCCCCAGCTGGGACATAAACAAAAGCATGGGAAGGGTCAGGATTGGGCACATACGCTCTGTGCCATCCCAGATGGGGTGTGGCCAGGGCTGTCTTCATCCCAGAGTTGGTAGCACCGCAGTGCATTCAGTGGGTGACTCAATGAGGGCAAGCCTCTCTCCCACCCTGATCTAGGTACCTAGGGCATCGTGGTGCTCACCTGCAACTTGGTGCCTTGTGCAGCTCTCTGGCTGCCAGGTTCCCCTTCCCACTGATTGCCAGATGACTGATGTGCCATGCCCAGGAAGTTGGGCCAGGCATCTTTCCTTCCACCAGGCCCACCACAGTGGATGGGCACCCCATGTGCTTCTGAAGGTCTACCCTCAGTCTACAAGCATCCTGCGTTTTAGAGCACAGCATTAAATGGCAAGTTAAAAAACAAGTTGAGAAAGAGGTCACGAAGAAAAGAAAAAAGTTTCCTATTTTAGTACTTTTAACAGCATTTTTCCCCTGCTTTTTGAACCTCATATTTTATTTTGTACTGGGTCCTTCAGAATATGTAGCTGATCTGGGGGTCATGGGAGAGAGAGCAATGGGTGAAGAAGCTCTGGTTTATTCAGGGTGGTCAGGGACAGAGGGCCTTTCTGATACGATGTCGTTTGGACAAAGTCTAGAAGGAGGTGACAGTGAGCCGTGTGAATATCTAGGTGAGAGGGTTTCAGGTAGTGTGAAGAGCCAGTGCAAAGGCCCTATGGCAGGAGTGCGCCAGTGTGTCGTAGGAGGTGCTGGGAAACCATTGTAACTTAAGCAAAAGGAGCATGGGTGGAAAGGTAGAAAATGAGGTTGCAGCAATTGTGGAGTGGGAGCCTATTAGGTAGGACATGGCAGTCTATTGTAAGGACTTTGGATTTTACTTTAAAATGAAGAATGACTAGAGATATTTTAATATGTTAAATCACTGAGGGACCTACTAAAGAATGGCTTGGTATGATTTATATTTTAGAGGAACTGTCCACGGAGTCTCACTCTGCATTTGCATATAACAGTTCTGTTCCTCTCCCATCCAACATCCTTCCCTATCCCTTTGTCCTGTGCACTCCTCCTTCATAGAGCACTTATCATCACCCTGCATATTACATGTGCCTTTATTTATCTGTCCCCTCAGACTAGAATATAAACTTCACGAGAGCAGTGACTTGTTCACCAGTGTCTCTGAAGCCTAGACCATTGTCTGAGGCTTACTGAGTGCTCAATAATCATGTGCTGGTTGAAGAAATGAATAGATCCATTAGGACACTGTATAGAGCATCTTGAGGTTGGATAACCTAGTGCTCCCTCACCTCCACGGCCTCTGCAGATCCTCCCCCAGAGTCTCCCAGGTGCTCCCTCACCTCCACGGCCTCTGCAGATCCTCCTCCAGAGTCTCCCAGGTGCTCCCTCACCTCCACGGCCTCTGCAGATCCTCCTCCAGAGTCTCCCAGGTGCTCCCTCACCTCCATGGCCTCTGCAGATCCTCTCTCAGAACCTCCCAGGTGCTCCCTCACCTCCATGGCCTCTGCAGATCCCCACCCAGTATATCCAAGGTGCTCCCTCACCTCCATGGCCTCTGCAGCCCCTCCCCCAGAGTCTCACAGGTGTTCCCTCACCTCCACAGCCTCTGCAGATCCTCCCCCAGAATCTCCCGGGTGCTCCCTCACCTCTGTGGCCTCTGCAGATCCTCCCCCAGAGCCTTCCAGGTGCTTCCTCACCTCCACGGCCTCTGCAGATCCTCACCCAGAGATCCCAGGTGTTTCCTCACCTCCACAGCCTCTGCAGATCCTCATCCAGAGCCATCAAGGCCACCCGCTCCACTCATGGAAATGTGTCACCATTAGACAGTTCTTCCAGATACAGACCTAAATCTAACTGCATTAACCTCCATCCATGGTCCTTCCTCTGCCTCTTTGTCTTTCTGTTTGCTTTCATTTTTAAATGTTTTCCCTGGATATCCAAGTAATGTTTTTGCTTATTACAGAACATGTGGAAAGAACAGGGGCTAATAAAGTGTGCTGGTCAAGAGCACGGGCTCTACAGCCTCACAGAGCTGGATTCAAACCCTACTTCCTTCACCTACTAGCTGTATGACCTCGGAAAAGACAATTACCCTCCCTGGCCCTCAGTTTTCCCATCAATAATATGGGGACATACTATTTTCTCACCAGATTGTTCTAGGAAATAAGAGAGGCAACATTTGTGAGGTGCTTGAAATAGCGCTTAGTGGAGTTCATGCAGTCTAAATAGGGTAGATTTTTTTTTAATTAAAGAAAAAGAACAAAACAAAACTATTTTATAATCCCCCCACCCAGATAGAATCAAAAGCAGTTTATGACAACGTTCCTTATATTTGAAGATGGTTTCGTATTCCCCACAAGGCTTCATACCTCTAAGTTAACTCTCTCCAGATCCCTGAGCCAGCACTACATAGAGCAATAGCAACTGAGTTGAACCAGGTACTGGGCCATCTTAGTCATCTTCCTGAATCCTTTCTACATTATCAATGGCCTCCTTTCTACATATGTCTCCCAGAACCGGTACAACATGGGACTATCACCTCGACCTAGATTTAGACTTTTAAGAACACAGCCTGGGTTGCTGTGACTCATTTCCCCCAGGATTTTTTCTCAACTTTCATCCTATCTTATATAATGTCTTCATCTTCAGTAATGGATTGTACATTTATCTGGCTGAATGACATTTCATTAGTTGAATCCATAAATCTAGCCCGTAGGTTTCATTTTGAATCTTGATTTTATCATCCAGTATATGAGCTGCACACTCCACAAGTATGTTTTCTATGTTTATAACTATGTTCTTAATGAAAGTGTTAACCTAGACATGCTACCAATGACCTTTCTCATGTTCGACAATTACCTATTAATCTACACCCATCTAAATTTACCATTTTCTAGGATATGTATTCAATTGATCTATAGTGATATCATAAAAATATTCTTGTCAGATGCTATGTTAAAAGCAAGAGTCATCATCTCTATGGACTGAATTGTGCCCCCCACCCCACCTGGAGTTCATATGATGAAACACTAACCCCCAGTGTGACTGTATTTGGAGATGGGGACTTCAGCAAGCAATTAAGGTTAAATAAGGTCATAAAGGTGGGATCCTAATCCAACAGGATCGATGACCTTCTCCTACCCCCTCTTTCCACACTCAGGCATCAAGGAAAGGCCATGTAAGCACACCATGAGAATGCAGTCATCTGCAAGCCAGGAAGAGAGACCTCACCAGGAAATGACCATGCTGGCACATTGCTGTCAGACTTACAGCCTCCAGAACTGTGAGAAAATAAATTGTTGAATCTAGCCAGTCTGTAGTATTTTGTTGTTGCAGCCCAGTAGAATTTGAATATTTGTCCCCACCAAATCTCGTTGAATTGTAATTCCCACTGTTGGAGGTGGGGCTTGGTGGGAAGGGTTTGGTTCGTGGGGGTGGGTCCCTCATGTTTTGGTGCTGTCCTTGAGATAGTAAGTGAGCTCTCACTAGATCTGGTTGTTTAAATATGTGGTGCCTCCACCCACCCCACTCCGCCTCTGTTGCTCCTGCTGTCATCGTGTGAGCAATAGGCCTGCTCCTGCTTTGCCTTTTGCCATGAATAAGAGCTTCCTGATACATCTTCAGAAGCTGAGCGGATGTTGGTGCCATGCTTGTACAGCCTGTGGAACCGTGAGCCAAATAAGTCTCTTTTCTTTATAAATTACCCAGCCTCAGGTATTTCTTTATAGCAATGCAAGAACAGCCTAATACACAGCCCAAGCAAACTAAAGCAACCATCTTTGTAACATTTTCCATAGCTTGCAGAATAATAATCCCACTCAAAAAGGGGATAAATTAAGTTTAGTGAAATTTTCTCTTAGTGAACCAATCCTGACTTCCAGGAATGATTTCTTCTTTTATAAGTGGTCACAAAACCTTTGTTAAATGATGATTTCTAAGCTTTTTCCTGGTATCAACATTAAATATACAAATTTCTAGTTTCAAGAAGTCATATTATTTTCCTTTTGAAAAGTCCAAACTTTTGATCATGTCTTATCTTCTGGCATTATTCCAGACCACCACTATTTCTCAGAGATTGCTCTTGGTAGAGATACATGATATCACCCCTGCCATTTCTCTTAGCAGCCTGTAACTTGGTAAATGTGTAATGATATGAGTCAAAACATTTGTAAGTTTCCATTTCCCCATGTCTCATTTTTGTATCTCCTGGGCCCAGCACAGTGCCTGGTCTGTGGTAGGAGCTCAATAACTTTTTACTCAGATGAAACCAAACTTACTGAAGAGTGAATGGGGGTATCCAGTGCCAAAAACGCAGAGTTGTTAAAAGGTTTAAGGGATAATGAATGTGACTGTGGGCATGCCTAGTAAACTCTACAGCACAATATAAAAAGTCTCAAATTCTAATCATACCTAAGGGAGTCTACCAGGAAACATAACTGGGTAATACCTTAGGGGTATAAGAGATAATAGGGAATGGATCTTGCCATACTAGAGGTTGCATGAACCCGGCTACAGAGCATATTGAGTAGCATCTGCTAACTGTTGTGTCTGATGAATGCCAACATACAAAACGGCTCAAACATCACAGACGATTACTTCTTGCTCACCCAATCTTGTTTTGGGTTGGTGCAGGGAAAGAGGAGGAAAGAGTGGGAAAGGAGACTCTCCTCCACACTGTCATTCAGGGAAACAAAAGGGCAAAGAGCTGGGAGGGCTGCTCATGGTCGGTTTGCATGGGCCAGACCTGTAGGAAGCGCCCATCGCTTTCATTCACATTTCACATGGTGCGGTGGAGGCTGAGAAATGCAATCTAGCTGTGTGCCTGGGGGATGAAGTGAAGCAGTTTGGTGAATAGCCAGGCTGTTTCTAATTTTAAATCTGGGTAACTACTAAAAATTTTTACAAACACTATCTGGCCAATGCTGTGTGGGCCAAACAAAACATATTTGGAGACTGAATGCAGCCCAGGGGCCTCCCATTTGCAACTCTGCACTGTATAAATGTTAAGTACCATATTATTACCTAGGATGTAATTCTTGGGGGTATTGAGATCCGAGCTCATTTAAAGTGGTGGGTTTAGAATGTGGTGGGGTTTTTTTAAAAAAACTTTTCATTCTTCTCATATGGAAACCTCTCTAGCTCTTTTATTGTTTTATACACTGTTTTCTTGACTCCCGTTGTTTAAAAGCAGCATGTAAGAAAGTATTTTACCTGCACCTCATTTTCCTCCGAACTTTTTAATAGTAATCGCCAGTCACCTTCTCTCACTTTTGCCCCGGATGATTTTCTTGTTGGAACAGCCACCCTTGCCAAGTCTTTTCTAACAAACTGACCAGACTGGTTTCACTTTTGTCTGGTAGGGGACAGTGGAGCCAAATGGGAGCCCTCCTAAGCCTGCCTGGCAGCCTCTCAGACCTCCTCTCGTCCCCTCTCTATCCTTCCTCTCTTTACCCACAATGCAGCACTCAGGTACTCCAGATCTATTATACCAACAGGGAAATACCAGCAGGGAGAAAAAGGAGTTATATTTGAAATAAAAGTAAATTCTAAAAATAAATTTTAATTTCCAATCACTTGAAACCATCTCCCTCCCCAACAACCCTTTAATGAACAAATACGTGACTTTGCTTAAGGCCTTGATCTACTTTAATGTTGCAAATAATTGCTGAGGAAAGATATGTACTTGCTCCAGATGCAGGGAAATGTATCACTGATTAGTGGAAACTACCAAAATGAATGAAGGTTGTTTTTCTCAAGAAGCCTGTAGTCTAGAGGAAATAAAAAGACATACATTAAAGAGCCTGTGTTAGTAGGAATATATTGATAGGTTTAAAAAAGAGATGAAAAAAATAAATCTTGACAAAGATGTGCAGAAATTGACCAAAGCCTAGTGTTTATTTAGTAATGGTGTCTAAATACTTGGTGATGTCTTGGTCCATTCGGGCTACTATAACAAAATACCATAAACCGAGTGGTTTATAGACAACAGAAATGTATTCCTTACAGTCCTGGAGGCTGGAAAATCCAAGATCCAAAGTGCCAGCCAATTTGGTGTCTGGTGAGGGTCTGTTTCCTGGCTCATAGGTGGCGTCTTCTCACTGTGTCTTCACATGGTGAAAGAGGAAAACAGACTCCCTTGGAACTATTTTATAAGGGCATCAATCCCATTCATGAGGACAGAGTCCTTGTGATTTAATCACACCCCAAAAGCCCTACCTGCTAATAACATCACACTGGTAGTTAGGTTTCAACATATGAATTTTAGGGGGATACAAACATTCAGACTACATCAGAGAGAGTAGTAGTTGTTACAACCAACCAGGAGAGCGATTTATCAGGATGCATAAAAATCTTGATGTACATTTCCTTTGTAAAGCAATTTTACTTCTAAATGCTTATCTTAAAGAAATAATAAGATAGGTATAGTAACATATATCTTTATGTAATTGATTTAATTATAGCATGGTATATAATGGAAAAACTTGGAAACACTTGAGTATACATTTGTAAGAGACTGCTTAAATAAATTATTTCTATACACATATAGAAAGAAGCACCACATAATCATTTTAAAAGATGAGGCACATCTCTACAGGTTGAAATTTAAAGACATCTACTATTTACAGGAAGCAATAAAAGGAGATTAATTAAACACAGTATAATCCTAATTAGGGAACATTGTTTTTATAGTAGCATTAGAATATCTAAAAGGACATTCACTAAATTATGTATCATAGTAAGTAGAGGGGATCCTAGAAAATGTCAGAATGATAATTTTATCACTGTCTCTGCTCATCATCATCACCATTATCACCTTCATCATCGTTTGGG
Source organism: Homo sapiens (assembly GCF_000001405.40). Classification (NCBI taxonomy): domain Eukaryota; kingdom Metazoa; phylum Chordata; class Mammalia; order Primates; family Hominidae; genus Homo; species Homo sapiens. The sequence continues at coordinate 58,765,873 of NC_000008.11, read as the reverse complement.
AGGAACATACTACGTATCAGACAATAAATTAGGCCATATACAAATACGACCTCATTAAATCCCTGTGACAACTCTGTTAGGTATTGCTCTGCAGAATTTAAATATGTAAAAAGTAAGGTACAGAAAGGTAACTTGGCCAAGGTCTCACAGTTAATGAGTTGCTGAGCTGGACTCAAACAGCTCTATCTGACTTAAAAGTTCACACTAACCCCAAAACACCATAACTGTAAGCTATCTTACCCAGCCTCAAAAAAGTATATAAATCTAATGTGGGGGGAATATACAACCAAAAATGACAGTGGCAACAATAATAATAATAATAACTAAAGCTTATTTAGTGCTTACTGTTTACCAAACTCTATTCTAAGTGTTTTGTATTTAATAATGTGTTTAAATTTGACGGCAACTGTGTGATAGGTACTATTAATAGCCCACTTCACAGAAAGGAAAACTGAAGCCCAAAGAAGGTCCAAAACTTTTTCAAGGTCACAGTTTCAGGATCTTAATATTTAGTTACTCTACTTACACTACCTCTAAAATTAGCACAAGAAAAGAATCAATGGATTTTTATGAGTGATCAAGGGACAAGATTACTTCCCAATAGAGATTTGCAAATCTTCTGAGGCTGAGGACCTTTTCTGCCTCTTCTCCTCTGTGTTTCCAGGGCCTAGGAAAGAGGCTGATGAGTAAGACCTGAAATAAATGTTTGTTGAATGAATGAATGAGCATCCTGGAGGAGGCGTTTCAGCAGGACCTTGCAGAACCGTTAGATTTGGGCTGTACATATGTATGTCAGGTGAGCAGGTTCACTTCAGACAGAAGATACGACGTGAGTTAATGCACTGAGGCTGTGAAGCGTGGGTCCTATAGAGGCAACATAAAGAATGCGTATTTGGCTGAACGTTAAAGTTCACGAAAGGGGAAATGAAAGATCAGTCTGAAAAAATAGGCTAGAATCAAGTCATAAAGAGCTTTAAATGTCAGTCAAAGGAGTTTGGGTTCTAATTCATAAACAAAGAGGGATTTGTTTCAAAATTTTTTTAGCAAAAGTTTAACAGATTTTTAAAGCTGGCCATTAGGTAACCATGAATAAGACGAAATAAAGAAGACAGAAATTAGAACAGGGGATCAATTAAGAGTATTCACTAACAGTACAAATGAAAAATTGTGAGAATCCAAGCTAATGACGTTATACTAAGGATAGAGAGGACAAGGATGCAAAAGATATTGAGAACATAGATGTGTAAAATGTCTACTTGGAATTGATCCAAGTAGGGCATTGAGGTTTTTTAAAAATGGCTGCAGATTTTTTTACATCCCTCCCACTGGGCAATGGGGTTTACGTTCCCTCTTCTTGAACATAGCAGGCTGTGGCTGCTTCAATCAATAGAATGAGGTGGAAGAGACACTAGGTGACTTCCAAGGCTTGGTCATAGAAGTCATGCAGCTTCCACCAGGCCAGCCACCTCATTAGAGGGTCATCTAATTACCCTGAGATGTCCACTGTGGAGAGGCCACATGGAGGTACTCCAGTCAACTATCCCAGATGAACCCTGTCTCCCAGCTATCCCCAGCAAAGTTCCAGAGTTTATGAGTGGACCATCTTGAACCCTCCAGATCAGCCCATCTGCCAGTTTAGTGCCTCCAAGTGACTGCATTCAAGGCCAGTAGAGCTAAAAGAATTGCCCAGCTGAGCCCTGCATGAATTCCTGACCCATAATATTGTGAGCTATGTTAAAAATTTTTATTTTAAGCCATTAAGCATTGAAGATTATTTGTTACAAAGCAATAGATAACTGGAACATGGAGCAATTATGTAATTTATTACAAAATCCAGGGCATCTGGGGGGGTGCAAGTGAGTGTTAACAATTTTGCCAAAACAGATAGATATGGTTTGTAGAGACGGTTTTCCTATCTATAAGCTTCTTGAGATCCTGTTCATTATTACATCACCAACCCCCAGCCTTGTGCATTAGTAAACCTTTATTGATGAAATAAATCAGTTTGTTTTTCTTTCTTATTAATGTATACCTTACATAAAGTTGACAAATGTTAAACTAGATGAAGATTTAAATGTAGATTGACCCATGTAACCGCTACCGAGATCAAGATCTAGAACACATTTCCATCTCTCCCGATGGCTCCTTTGTGCCCCCTCCTGGTCTATAACCCACCCAAAAATAATCATTATACTATTGTTTTAATCTCTAACACCACGGATCAGTTTTGTCTGTGGATGAACTTCATAAAAATGAAATCAAAAAGTATAGTCTTGCTAAAACTGTGACTGTGAAAGTCAACCCTGTTATTATATGCAGCAACAATTTGTTCTTTCTCATTGCTGTGTAAGATTCCATTGTATGGATATAGCATGCAACTTTTGATAGAGATTTTGGGTAACAACTCTTGGACTATTATGAATGATGCTGCTATAAACATTTTTTATGTCTTTTGATCCATCAGCTGACAATTCAATAAGACCTTTTGAAACAAAGTTTTAGAAATCACTGGCTCATTGGATTTATTTACTTAATCAATTTCTGGGAAGAATACTTTTTAAATTTTACCACTTTAGCAAGTGATTATTAATTTACCTGCTACTCTTTCACTTAGAACCACCTTTTTAAACCCAGTATACTCAGAAGGGGAGAGGAGAATGGTGATAGTGTTATCTGAATACACCTTTGTGAATTATATTGTCGCAAGTTAACTATTTTATTTATTTGTTTATTGAGACAGGATCTCATTCTGTCACCCAGGCTGGAAAGTTGTAGTGCAATCATGGCTCACTGCAACCTCAGGTAATTCTCCTGCCTCAGCCTCTCAAGTAGCTAGGACTGCAGGAACGTGCCACCACATCCGGCTAGTTTCTTTCGTAAACATAGGGTCTCCCTAGGTTGCCCAGGCTGGTCTCGAACTCCTGGGCTCAAGGGATCCTTTCACATTGGCCTCCCAAAGTGTTGGGATTAGAAGTGTGAGCCACTGTGCCTGGCCCCAAGTTAATGATTCATAGAGCCTACTTTCACTCTCAAGAATGCCCTTGTTCGATTGTAGGTTTTATGGTCACCTGAGTTTCTACACTCCAGGCAACACACCATAGTGAGAACCAGGCTGGGTGAGAGACGTGCCTTTCTTTTGTAAAGTGTAAGAAACATGATAATGACAGTGGAGGTGGTTTACCTGTGTGTTCTCAGTTGAATAAATTTTAGAAAAGAGTATATGTGGAAACTGAAGATCTGAATGTTGATTTCCTTTAAGTGTTTTTGTCTGTGAATCACCTGAAAAATCTTTGTCTATCCCCAGAAATACTTATGCCCCAGTTTGAAGACAGCACTGGCTTATTTTACCTAAAGTGGAACTCCTAACAAGAATAGACAATTGAATTTACTAATTAAAAAAAAATTAAACCAACTGATTATTCAGGAACTTTAATTCATTATGGTAAAGGAGTCCTAACACAAGAGCTTTTGTTCAATTGTGATAGTTTCCAAAAATTCACTCATTAATTTATTCAACAAATATTTCTGGAGCTCCAAATATGGACCAAGCATGGTTTTATGCCCTGAGAAGGCATCAGTGAATACAGCAGACATATCCCCATGTTTGTAAACTGGGAATTTACAGTGAATGGAAAATGGCAGTGATGTAAATAAGGAGGACTGACGGAGCCAAAGAGTCCCACAAAAGGAACCATGGAAAGAGACTTTGTGATAAATCTCAACGCATGTTTTCATTGCTTTTACAGTTTGAAGGAACTTGTTCCCAACTTCTAACTGTACTGCAGGGCTATAGTAACCAAAACAGCATAGTACTGGTACAAAAACAGGCACATAGACCAATGGAACAGAATAGAGAGCCCAGAAATAAGGCCGCACACCTACAACCATCTGATCTCCAACAAAGCTGACAAAAACAAGCAATGGGGAAAAGGCTTCCTATTCAGCTAATGGTGATGGGACAACTGGCTAGCCATATGCAGAAGATTAAAGCTGGACCCTTTCCTTACGCCATATACAAAAACCAACTCAATATGGATTAAAGACTTAAATGTAAAAGCCAAAACTATAAAAAGCCTAGAAGAAAACATAGGTAATACCATCCTGGACATAAGAACAGGAAAAGATTTCAGGACAGAGACACTGAAACAATCCAACAAAAGCAAAAATTGACAAACGGGATCTAATTAAACTTAAGAGCTTCTGCACAGCAAAAGAAACTATCAACAGAGTAAACAGACAACCTACAGAATGGAAGAAAATATTTGAAAACTATGCGTCTGACAAAGGTCTAACATCCAGCATCTGTAAGGAACTTAAATTTACAAGATAAAAACAAACAACCCCATTAAAAAGTGACAAAGGACATGAGCAGACACTTTTCAAAAGAAGACATACATGCAGCCAACAAACATATGAAAAAAAGTTCAATATCATTGATCATTAGAGAAGTGCAAATCAAAACCACAATGAGATACCATCTCACACAAGTCAGAATGGCTATTACTGAAAAGTCAAAAAATGACAGATGCTGGCAAGATTGCAAAGAGAAGGGAACACTTATACACCGCTGGTGAATTATTAGTTCAATAATTGTGGAAAGCAGTATTCCTCAAAGAGCTAAACGCAGAACTACCATTCAATCCAGTAATCCCATTAGTGGGTATATAACCAGAGGAATATAAATCATTTTACCATAAAGTAATATTAATGCAAATGTTCATTGCATCTGTGTTCACAATAGCAAAGACATGGAATCAATTTAAATGCCCATCAATGACAGATTGGATAAAGAAAATGTGGTACATATACATTATGGAATACTATGCAGTCATATAAAAAGAACAAGATGATGTCTTTTGCAGGAACATGGATGGAGCTGGAGGCTATTTTCCTTAGCAAACTAACACAGGAACAGTAAATCAAATACTGTGTATTCTCACTTGTAAGCAGGACCTAAATGATGAGAACACTTTAACACAAAGAAGGAAACAATAGACACCAGAGTCTACTTGAGGGTGGAGGATGGGCGGAGGGGAGGAGCAGAAAGGATAACTATTGGGTACTGAACCTAATACCTTGGTGATCAAATAATCTGTACAACAAACCCTCATGACATGAGTTTACCTGTGTAACAAACCTTCACCTGTACCCTAGAACCTATAATAAAATTTCTTTTTTAAAAAAAGAAACTTGTCATATTCAAGTGTTTATATGAACATATGTTTAAATGCACATTGCTAATTAAAGTCATTAGCCCTATGAGAGACCGAGAGCACAACGGACCAATAATGTGAACCCCAGATCCTGAAATGCTATTGTTTAGAGGCCTGTTTGCATTTCTACTGGACTCTCTAATTGCATTGCCTGTCAGTGAACTTGATAGACAAGTTTGAATTTTGCACTTACTTTTTAAGTTAGGAATAGACTAAGTCAATATTTCACATATTAACACTTAAAAGGAAAGTCATGGTGTTTTATTTAAATTTACACATTATGATCCTTCACAGAGCTATAAACAGACCTCTGGTTCATTAAATTGGTAATGACTCTTCCCTGCTGAGAACATTTATTTCTATTTAGTTGTAAGCCACAGGTTCATTTCTACTCATAAGTAAAGGCGATTTGGATGAGCTGTTGCACAAGGTTTGCCAAAAGGTTTGTCCCTAAATAACTGCTCCCTTTAGACTGTGGAGATCTCTGAAGTAACCAACATTGCAATTAGTGTGTTTCCAAGAGACAATGATTCTAAACTCACCTAACATATGTCTGTCACATAAATGTTTATAAAATCTGAATGGGGGAAGAAAGATCCTTTAATATTACAAACTTACTAGTAAGAAGACCAACATGTTAAGTAAGCTCTTATCAATTTAAATGAGCTCGTATTTTCATTTTAACTGTCCAGTTACCTAAGAAGGACCCAAGAAAAGGAGACAGAATAGCCCTTTTCCTAAAATCTCTCTTTCTTAATGCAACAACCCTGATTTGAAAATTTGAGAGCAAACTGGGACTGTTCAGGGGTATTGAAAAAAAACACCCATAATAAATGTTCTACAAACAGAGCTGCACCTTGAACTCCACTCCTACAGCCCCCCAAGTGCTAGAGAACTACAGAAAGTTTTGTTCTCATGGAGAGTTTTTGTGATGGCTGCTCCCTGGGCTATGACAGAATGGATCCTGACCATATCTGGGCTTGGCAGGTGCTGTGGTCCTCTAGGACTGCCTGTCATAGGCATAGGGAGGAGGAGAGAGAAGACAGATGGATGCATTTGCCATTTCTGTGCCCTGCCATGACAATGACTGATAATGACGTGTCTGGCAATGAAACTTTGAGTTGGGTGAATTTCAAAGCTCAGGAAGTTAAAACCATCATGTCCCTAGTAATTGAGATTAGATCATCAAACAGATCATTCCACCATTCTCCCCTTTAGCTGAGTCATCCAAAAAAACTATTCATTGACTCTCACTGGACTGGTGTTTTGTTCCTTAAATAAGACTGCAAAGTATATTTTTAATGGAAAGAAATCTTAAAAGTTGATTTAAGTGTCTTATTGTCTTTTAATGAAAATCTGTCGGTCCAAAATAATATGATTCCATGATTTAAAACATTTAATTAAACCATCGATTCATACAACATGAACAAAACTTAACAAGTTATTCAGTGAACTGGCTGGGCTCATTCATGCGCAGGTCTTTGGAGCTCCAACTCTGGAGCCAGCCTCCTGCTTCCTCCTGTTTCTCTTACTTCCTCCCCATGCAACTTTTGCCAAGTTGTTCAGTTCCTCTAAGCTGTGTCTCTCCTTATTGTGAGTATTATAATAATATAATAATAATTCCCTCTTTGCAGATTGTTTTAAGAAAAAACTGAGATATCCCTGTAAATTGCATGTGGTCCACTATGTTTATTCAATACGTATTAGCTGTCATATCACAGTATAGAAACACCTGGCAGAATCATTTCTTACCGTATTTGAAAGCCAAATGGAAATATAATTAAGTTGGATTTACAAATTATTTCACATTTGTACATCTCTCTTTCTTCCATGGTCACAAACAAGCGATTTCTCATTACGCCTTGAAAGTTTAAAATATATTTATGTTTAAGAAGGTCCTATCATATCCAAATAATTAAAGCCAAAATGAGGTAGGAATTAAATTATATTGTAATTTCTTTAATTCTTTTATGTGTGCAAACATGACCTCAAATTCATGGGCTAACTTTTTCTTCACATTAGCGGAACTATAATGTTCAGAAAGATTCCTCAGATATCTGGAATTTCTCATAGAAATTCTAAGATTCCAGGGGCATTCACAGAGACACACAGAAAAACCAGAGACATGGCTATAAATACTCAAAAGCGTACACTGTAGCTGTATTTAAATGGTGACTACTCACTTATCTGGTAGCTCCCACTGTGGCCATTCAGGGCCATTTTATAGTCCCCTCCCTACAACTGAGCTGGTTTGATGATGGATTGACCTATTTATCCTCTCTTTGTTCAGGCCCATTGATCACTGTCAACAATTACAATGTGGGAGGATTCCCCTAGATGAGGCGTACAAATATTAATGTCTGATCATGCCTGCTTTACAGAAAATAGATTTACCTGAATTACAAACACAGCAAATTTTACAGAGCAGAAGTTTCTATTCATTTTGTAGCACAATTTTTATGTTAGCTTGGTTCTTGTGTGCATGGTTTTGTATGTATGTTTCTTAATCAGAAAAGGACTTCATTTGCCTATTCAGAGCTCTAACTTATTTCATTCTTCAAATGTAATGGCCTTCATCATTTCACTAAGCAACTTAAGCACAAGTTCACTCTTGTTTAGAAATTAGGGAATCTGCTTCCATTAATCTTGATAGTATCTTGATCTGTGTTTCAAGCTGGGTTTTCCAAAATCCAAAACACTGAGATGGAGTTTGGGTACAAAATCTTTATTAGGAATCCACACCTGGGAAAAGGAAACAGGTGGAAGTAGCTTTGGGCAGATGAAGCAGAAGTGCAGTGCAGGCCCCCGTGAGAGAGTCTAGAACAGCAGCTGACCATCAGAGTGTCCCACATCAGGCTGAAAGGGCTGGGCTTTTATGACCCTGCTAACTCTCCATTACTAACACAGGCTGTCCTGTAAGGGCATCACTTCAGCAAGGGGGCTATCTGCAGGGGAGGTGGGTCCCAGAGTGTCTGACGGCTGGACCATCTGCTGGGCACACTCCCTTGGGCGGGCAGTGCATCCTTCCTTGGAGGCGGAGCTGGCAGGTGCATCTCTGTGTCTATCACCTTTGGCTTGTTAGCATGCCTTAAAAGTGATGGGCTACAGAGTGAGGTGATTAAAAATAACCCACTAGAGGCAGGAAAAAATAGTAAGAATGAGCATTTATCTCTTACGTATTTTATTAAAAATTGTGGTAAAATATGTATTACATAAAATTTATCATCTCAACCACTTTTTTTTTTTTTTTTTTGAGATGGAGTTTCACTCTGTTGCCTAGGCTGCAGTGCAGTGGCTCCATCTCGGCTCACTGCAACCTCCACCTCCCAGGTTCAAGCAATTCTCCTGTCTCAGCCTCCCAAGTAGCCAGGATTACAGATGCCCAGCACCACGCACAGCTAACTTTCTGTATTTTTTGTAGAGATGGGGTTTCACCATGTTGGCCATGCTGGCCTTGAACTCCTGACCTCAAATGATCTGCCTGCTCTGGCCTCCCAAAGTGTGGGATTACAGGCATGAGCCACAGCGCCCGGCCAATTTTAACCACTTTTAAGCATACAGTTCAGTAATGTTAACTACATTCACATTTGTTGTACAACCACCACCACAACTCTTTTTATTTTGCAAAACTCTGTACCCAGTAAACAACAACCCCCATTTCTCCCATTCTCCATTCTTTGGCAACCACCATTCTACTTTCTGTCTCTATGAATTTGACCTAGGTACCTCAACTACCTCAAATAAGTGGAATCATACAGTATGTGTCTTTTTGTGTCTGGCTTATTTCATTTAGCATAAGCTCCTAAAGCCTCATCCATGTTGTAGCATATTCTGAACTTTCTTCCCTTTTAAGGCTGAATAATAATATTTCATTCTAAGTATATGCCACATTTTCTTTATCCCTTTGTCTTTGACTGTCTGTGTTGCTATAACAAAATACCTGAGACTGAGTAATATATAGAGAACAGAAAGTTATTTCCTACAGTTCTGGAGGCTGGAAATCCAAGAACAAAGCATCTGCAAGTCTGTTTCCAAGAAGGCACCTTGTTGCAGTGTCCCCTGGAGGGTATTAACACTCTGTCCTCACATGGCAGAAGAGACGGAAGGAAGGGCAAAAAGGACAAATGTGGTGTCCTCATAAGGTAGAAGACATGGAAGAAAGTGGCAAATGCACTCCTCAAGCCCTTCCGTAAGGGCATTAATCCCATGTCTTAATCGCCTCCTAAGGGCCCCATCTCTTCATTCCATCACTTTGGGAGATAAGTTCCAACTTATGAATTGTGGAGGGACACATTCATCTGTTGATGAGCACTTGGGTTATTTCCACCTTTTGGCTATTGTGAATAATGCTGCTATGGACATGAGTTACAAATATCTTCTCAGGACCCTTCCTTCAATCCTTTTGGAGATACACCCAGAAGTGGAAATGCTAGATAATGTAGTAATTTTATTTTTAATTTTTTGAGGAACCTCCATACTGTTTCCCATAGCAGCTGCACCACCTCACATTCCTGCCAACAGTGCACAAGGGTTCCAATTTCTCCATGGCACACCAACACTCGTTATTTTCTGATTTTTTTTAATAGCAGCTATCCTCATGGGTATAAGGTGATATTTCATTGTGGCTACTTCATCTTTCTAATGTTTGCTGGTGATATATAATACAAACTCTCTGTTACTGCAGTGGCAGATGTATGAACTCGTTCACTCAGCAAGGGGCTCAGAGCAGAAGAAGGCTGAGAGCACGTTCAGCCTTGGGGGCCCTGAGAAGGCCATTTCAGCATAGAACTGTGAGATGGTAAGTCTGTAAACATGTACTGGAGTGGGGCTTAAATATTTTATAAATAAAAGTGTAAGATTAAAAGAGCTTACAAACTGTTTGAAGAGGACTTCTTCTGTATTCCAAAAGTTAGAATCTAGAATCCTCAGACAGTGTCTATTTCCTAGGTCTCAGTCAAAAGCCCATACACAACTGTTATCATTTGACTTGTACCAAAAACAAACAAACAAACAAAACCTAAAACCTAAACATTAAAACCAAAAATCAAAATGCGCAAAACTCAGGCTGGGCGCAGTGGCTCACACCTGTAATCCCAACACTTTGTAAGGCCAAGGTGGGAGGATCATCTGAAGTCAGGAGTTCGAGACCAGCCTGGCCAACATGGTGAATCCCCGTATCTACTAAAAATACAAAAATTAGCTGGGCATGGGGGAGGGCACCTGTAGTCCCAGCTACTTGGGAGGCTGAGGCAGGAGAATCGCTTTGAACCAGGAGGCAGAGGTTACAGTGAGCCGAGATTGCCCCAGCCTGGGTGACAGAGCAAGACCTTGTTACAAAAAATAAAATAAAATATGCAAAATTCATTTTGGAGGGATGAGTAAAAGTTGAAATAAAGAGTAATAAAACTGAACAGAATCTAAAGATGTTAAAAGTAACATTTAGGAATAAAACCTGTAGATGAGAAAAGAGGCATCGCTCCTTAACACCATTCCTGGTTGTTCTCAAAAGCAAAAAGCTGAATTACTGCATGGAAAATGTCAATGTTGAGGTGTTTAGGGCAACTTGAAGTGATTGGCACAGGATTATCCATGGTTTTTTTGGGAGACTAGTGACTTCCATAACTGTGTGCCAAAAACAGCACTGCAAGATGATAACAAAAAATAAATAGAATCAGACAGTCCTATTAGACACGGCTCTCTTCTGTGTAAGTTCACCTACTGAGTGAATGTCAAAATATACAAGAGCACAAATAAACTTTCCAAGGGCTCTCTAGTGGGTTTTGTACTAAAAGCCAAGTCTTCTTTTTCCATCCAATTCCTTTCAAACAATAGAGTGCCTGGGTAAGATGAAAACCAGAGATTTCTAAGAGATACTTAAAAAACTTAAATGTTAGATATCATAATGATGAGTTACTTATAAAGATGTGAAAGACTAATTTAGATTAATCAATGTCTACATTAAGTTCTACAGAGAAATTACATTTATCCCACCACAAATCAAGAAAGTGACTTGAGACTTAGATGACTTGAGACTAACAGAAAGTACGATGTGTTCCAGAGGGAAGCCTTGAACTTCAATGGTGACCATCACAAGCCCCAAAGATTTGGCCAATCTTTGAAAAGAGTGGCAATGCTGAAATAAAGCACTAACATATTAGGAGGTCTAAGATTTGCATTTATTTTCCACATGCTTTTAGAAACCCAGCTAACTCAAATGATCTCTAACTTCAAAAAGTTGTATGAATAAAATGCTATCAGGGAGGTTTAAACCATTCATGAATATCCAGGTGTCTGAAAAGTGCCTGGAGTTATTGAAAACATTGTAATAATAAAGTAATCTGGATGTCTCCTAGGGTGCAGAGCCGGATTTGTTATTCTCCACACTACCAGATGCAAAGCCAAATGTTCCATGTTCATAAAAAATGCATCTAGAGTTGCCTATATTCATAAACAATATTTGCATGCATGAATTTTCCATTTCTTGTGATATTAGAGCTGGGATAAAGTAGCAAAACTACTCTCCTAGACCATAGTTAAAAGAAGATAAACCTTTACAATTAGAATCTGCCATTTCCCTGAGATAAAGGGGGGTTTCGTTTCTGTTGTGTTTTTGTTTTGTTTTGTTTTGTTTTGTTTGTTTTCTTCATTAAGTTGACACAGTGTGGGAAAAGCAAATGTAAGCCCAAAATCTGAGGTCAGCTCAGCTCCCCAAGGGTTAGCATATTGTGCATAAAAAGATAGACTATTTAGCACTGAATATTTTGTATTATAATCAAATTGTTCCAATCTGTTCTAAAATAGTAGAGAAAGTAACTTAATAAAAGTGAAGTCACAGATTGTCACAAAATAAAAGATTTTAAAACTAGCCTAAAAGCATTCTTATATAAATACCAAAAAGGATGGCCTAGACTTGTCATATAAAATTCAGCTAACTCATGTGCTTTGGCCCCCAGCCAAGGGATATTAGCTACCAGAAGAACCACAGTGGACACGGCCTCGCACCAATGAGTTCTTAAGCCTGAATCCAAAGGCAGTGACGACCCCAGAGTACCGTTAGTTTCAATTTAGAGATGGAGTTTTGTTTACCAAAGGAATCAAGATATTTTATATTGTTTATTAATGGTCACATTTAATATAATACCATTAATAATAATATCTTCATTTATTATGAGTTTTTTACTATGTGCTAAGCAATAAGGCAATATGCTAAGCACCTTTATACAGGGATTGTTTAATTTAATTCTAAAAAAAAGATGTGTGAAGTACTGTTATTATTTCCATCTTACCAATGAAGAAACTGATGCTTAGAAAAGATAAGTAATTAGGAGGTAATGTTTGTTATTTTTTGATCTTTCTATATTTATTTATCTTTTTTGATCATTTTAGATTTCTATTTTACAACTAGAAAAAAAAAAAGAGAGAGAGAGAGACACCAGGATCTAAAGCCCTGGGAGTTTTGTCAAAGCTCCAATTTTCAAAATGCTCCCTAGAGACCAATATATACATTACAAAACAAAAACAAAAACAAAAACAAAAAGCACCTTGTCATGGGTAGAAGTTCCCTTCAGGAAGGACTGCTAGAACATTTCATGTCAATCTGGGTGATCTTTTCATTTTGAAGTCCCAATGATGATCACAATTTACTCTTTCTTTTTGCCACCAATATCTCCAATTTCTCATGTCCAAGACATCCTAAATTCTGTCTCCAAGGTATCAAAATATATTTAGCTATATGTCAAGCCCATGCCAATTTCCAAGAGCTCCAAATTCACAGCACACTGTGCCTGGGCTAGGACTTGGTGCCGGCTTGCAGAGGGCCATGGAAATCAGGCACAGTCAGCCAGAGAGCTGCCTCTGTCCCTCACATCCAGTCCTTAATGTCTTATAGGCTCTATCTTATTACAGAAATCAGAGTAATCAGAGATGTTCTTTCTGTTTGATCTGTTTGTCTGCATGCCACACCTTGAAACAAACTTCACTTAGATCCAGTGGAAAAATCCAGTAGATGAGAAGGTGAAGCTTTGGCTTAAGAAAAAGAAAACCTGGGTTTTCTTTCTGAACCTTTGGGTAAGCTGTGAAATGTTCTGGTATGACAGCAAGAATTCAAGGGGAATATTGAAATTATAAGCCAGTTTTTCAGATATTTTATCTACACACCACTATAGGCTTCCCTTGCTACGCTGAAACACCAGAAGGAGATACTGGAGGGAATCTGAACCCAAGGGTCTCAGAGCCGACCTGGAGAGGAGACTTCATGTCATTGTGAGTCACACCAGCTACATTTGGGAACTAAGCCAAATGGGGTTGCTAAACACATGGGATAATGATTCAGAAAGTCTGGATCCAAGTCTGTGCTCTGTCTTGATTTGGGGAAGATAATCTTTCAAATCCTCAGTTCTCTCATCCATAAAATGGGAATACAAGCATCTCATAGAATTTTTGTGACTAATAAAATAGATAGTGCATGAAAAAACTAACAGAAATCCTGGCATGTGGGAAGTACTTTAAAAACATTACTTTTCTTTTTCTTTGGGTTTTTTTTTTTTTTACTTTAGCTCTGTGATACAAGCTTTGGCCTATTTTCCCTCAGTCAATCAAATTGATTGAAGGCTTTGGCATCATTGTGGCACAGACTTTATCTTCCTTTTGCACAACTGTTAGTGTCTTGTACTTATGTTTAAAATAAAGGAGAGATCAGCTTTAAACGCATTTTTAATAATGTATCATTTCAATGGTAGTAATTACTTTGGTCCTTGACTGTTGAATAATTTCATATAGATCAAAGAAGATAAAAAAACAAATGTTTAGAATTTTTAAGAGGAGTCCTACCAGTTTTTGAAAATTCTATAGAAAAGATTTGCTTTTTTAAAATTGATAAGGCCCTGTAGGTTACTTTTAGCTTTTCAGAAATAGTACTGCATACATAAAAGATGTTCGCTGAAACATTTTTGTCCTCAAGGGCAAAAAAGAGAAACCACCTCCTAGCTTCCCTCCCCCCTCCTCCAGGACCCAATGCCTGGTAGAACAGTGGCCATTAGAGGGCACTCGGTTGTGTTCCTGACACACACTTGACTCATTCCCATGCCCCAAACACCCCCTACACCACCTTACATTTCCATTTCCCAAATCCTATTTACTTTCCCAGACACACTCTCAAATAAGCCTTCCCCTACTGCTGAACTCACCTTCTTCAACCCCTGCGGTGTCTATAGTCTGCACTCTGCCTTGCGTGCTGTCTTCCACAGCTCTCAGCAATTTAGCTTTATCTTCCAAAAGTAGATTCTAAATTCCTCAGTGGCAAAGACTACGCCCTTCTTTTGCTTGCCACTGGTACAACAAAGCATAATTGTTAAGCACCTGTACCCTGAAACAAGACTGTCTGGGTTCAAACACCAACTTCCTACTTAGCAGCTGTGACCATAAGCAGATTTCTTGACCCCCTGTAACTCAGGAATCATAAAAGTCTCTACTTCATTGAGTTGTTGTGAATTAACACTATAAGATCTTAGAAAAGGGCTCCGCATATCATAAGTGTTAAGAAATTGTTAGTTTTTATTATAGTGCTGGGCCAAGTATATTAAGCCTCTGCATCAGTAAACATGAGAGGTGGTAGATGAGGCAAAAGTGTGGGATCAATAGATATAGGAGAAAAGTGGCCCCTAGCTGCCAAGAATTTACAGTTATCCTGTTGGTTATGGAGTAAACAGAGAGTACCTCACAGGCCAGGACTGTTTAAGACTCATCTTTGTTTCCTGGGGCATGGTAAAGTCCATGATACATGGCAGGTATTCAACAAATGCCTGTTGATTTATGTGGGGTTTTTGTGTGTGTGTGTGTGTATATATATACATATAAATAATACTATTACATATTATTGTATTATTATTTTATAATATAATTTTGTCTGTTTTTACTGTTGTTTTACATTTTGTCATAATTAAGCAAATCATTGGACTGTAGAGTGAGGTCTGTGCAGTAGACACCTGTAAATACACATTGCTTCTACATGATAGTCCAAAAACAGTTGTAAAATAAAAAATTTCATAGAACTGAAAAATATGGTGGCATTTAAAGTGAACCATCAAATTTCTTATTTCACACGCTTTTGTGTGGCTCCATTTGTGTCCTTGGATTGGTTTCTGCTGGCTGACTGGCATGAATTTGACCGATGCTACAGCATCAGTCTGTTCCCCATAATGGCGAAGATCATAGAGTAGCAGAGATCCCAGAGACGCACAGCTGGATCATAGCATTACCGCCTTCTCACTTTTCCAGTCCAGGCTTACCAGGCTTCCCCACCCATGAGACTTTTGATTAGAGACAGAGCTTGGATACACCCTCTTGGTTACATCGAAGAGAGCTGTGGATCCAGTTAATGAGGTTTCTGAATGATGAGTCTAAATTGTCACTCCTTGCCTTACCTGTTCTGAGAAGAAGGCTCTTGATTTTCAAGGTCAAATTCCCACACCTCTCTACCCCATGTACTCCACGCTTAGATAACAATACAGTGCCTCTCTTTCTTTACCTCTTTCCCCACAATTTCTTCCTTTTTCTTGAATCCCAGCCCATCCTTGAGGCCTGCCACCAATTGGAAGATCTTCAGTTCCACCTCTTTCCTGGACATCTGACTGTATTGCCCATCATTGTCTATGCTCTGCCCACCGAGAAGATGCATCTGGATCCCTGGTGTCACTTATTGCTGAACTGTTTGAATACCAAGTTATACCGACCTGAATCTCCCAAGTACCAACAGCAGCCTGGTGAGTGACTCTCAGGCCAGGCCCTGGTCCCCTCTTCATTTTCCTGCCTCAAGACTGAATCTTAATATTGAACTAGAGCAGCTTCCTGCCTTTGCTAGAGCACCAGGTATGGAGTACTTCTGAAAGCCCAGAGCCAAAGCTTTAGTCAGATGCTACTGATTGTGAATTTCATTGCCGAAAATCTTATTGACCAGAACAGTTTGTCTATTCTTTTTTTAGCCATGCCATTTAATAAAAAGGAAATATTGCTGAGGCTGACATAGAAATTTTTTTTTCAAGCCTATGAATATACCATCACATATTTACATATAATCACACATGACTATTTTTATTGCTTCCAAAATATTATTATAAGCTACTTTGTAATAAATATCTTGTACATACATATTTGCATACATTCCTGTTTATTTCCTCAAGATATACTATTTAAAGTGAAATTGCTGAGTCAAAATATATGATCATTTCTAGGGTCTTTGATATATTTGATATATATGGTCCTTTGGAAAGGCTGTACCAGTGGAGAATTCCATCAGAGTATGTATGAGTCCTGGAATTCTAAAGATAACAGGAATGTAGAGAATCATCTGCCTAATCTTTCACTTTGAAGATGAGGATACTAAAACGAAAGATGGCAAGCCATTTACCCAAAGATAGAATGCAAAGTGTAATTTTTGGTGAATGCATTTTTCCTTGTGTTCATCTCTTTGTATTCTAGCACACTGCTATCATTAGAGATAAACTCTTGAATGGTAAATACAAGGATTTAAATGTGGGCAACAGTCTCTGTTCCTACCATCATTCCTATTTCTGATTTTTCATATTCCATATCACATTATAAATGCATGAAATGGAGTTTCAATATTCAGGGACTGTCTCAAGCTTCAAATTACCAAGAAGGAAATTCCAGTTAGAAAAATGCCTGTAGCTTACTCCGTGGTCCTGCCTTCTGGTCTCTTTCAAACCCATCTGTTTTCTTGATGGACAGGGCTGGGCTCAGAAACCAGATGTGTTTTTCTTCTAGATGCCATTCTTCTAGAGGACCGAATGTCTGACACATGACAAAAGGCAGGAATTTGCTTATTTATGTTAGTTGTTAAATGTGGAACAAATCAACAGTATGTCTCTTCTTAAAAATACTTTGGCAGGCTGCAGCTTTTCTTTCTGTTTACAAATCTTTGCTAACATAATTACAGGATTGCTTTCCTTAAATATCTTATCCTGAAGTTAGCTAGCCTGTGGCTCCCACAGCAGACCCCAGAATCTTGGTGTACCTGTGGAAATTGTCACAAATATAGCACTTACAGCAAACAACTATAGCTTCTCAATTTTGCTCTCAAATAATAGGCTCGAAGCCAGAAGGAATGACTGGATATCCCAAGTACCTGATGGCCACATAAACATTTGAAGTATCAAGCATTAGAAGAAAGGTAAGCAGGTTGCTATCAAGTACTGTGCCAGACAATACGACTACAATACAATGGTGAGCAAAACAGATATGAGCAGAATTTACAGTGGTAGAGTTTTCTTGTTTGGGGGTTTTCCAATTACTTTGCTTACGTCCAATTTATAAAGAACTTTATCAATTTAGCTCTAGTTTCTTTGCAGTGACAAATATAACATCCTGAACCCTGAATAAATCCTCAGTGAGGTCCGTGGTGGACGCCTTGCCCTCTTGCAGCATAAAAGCTTGAAGGTATACTCTTTCAGGAAAAAAGTACGCAGGGCTTTAAAAAGTCTTCTCCAGGGCAGTTCTATTTCCCCCCTGAGTATCTTCCAGTAAGACCAATAAGATTCCATTCAATGATGCCAGGCTTGATTTGCATAGAATGGAGAATCCCACTGTGCTAAGAAGGAAGGAATCTTAGAATGTAACCACTTAGCTTATTATACGCTGCCAAAAAAATCTGTAATTTCAAAATATATTCAGTAGGCCTTGGTTGATTCACGCTTTTTTAAGTCCTAAGATTTCTTTTTCTAAATTGATACAAAATAATTGTACATATTTATGAGGTACATGTGATATGTTGGTACATGTCTATAATGTGTAATAAGTCCTAAAATTTATTGTAAGAGCTCTCTCTGTTTATTAATTCAATAACCTGTTTTGTTCCACATAATGGCCCTTTAAAGGTAGTTGCAGTCAGGCCAATTAGCAAATGTCATACAGGTTCAGACTTAAGTACCGTATAATCAGACCAAATTACTCCTTGACTTAAATTCAGACAATTTCATTTTGCTTTATCCTTTAAAAAATTTAAAAAAATACTTCCCCTATCCCCCCAAAAATCCATACAAGCACTTGCAACAGGAAGGAGGCTAGGTCTGAAGAATTTCAGGAGTCTTCTGCCCCTGTTTCCTCTCTTTTAGCCAATCAAGATACCTGGAAATCCACGACTAAAGAGTCACTCTTGGGTGTTTTGTTTCTTTTAATGTCTTCTGGTGATTCACAACTGACAATAGGAAGAAAAAGTCCCCATTCATTCACTCATTCATTTTTCCATTTACTCTCTTATTCATTTATCCTTTTATTCAACAAGTATGGGGGGGAGCATTTTTATATACCAGGCACTGTACTACCTTCCATGGCACTCACCTTACTACCTGACATAGCACACAGGCTCAGATTGTCAATAAAGATGCCAGAGAACCTGAGATCTCACCCAGCATCAAGCTTTACTAGTAATTTCAGGAGTCATTGTGAGCCACAGGGGAAGCAGAGAGAGGTCTGCCACCCTCAGAGCAGCTCTCCAGGACCTTTCCTGCCATGGGTCATGTGTGACCTCTAAGGTCTGCATGCAGTTCACATCACTTGCACAGAAGAGGGCCACATCAGGCATGAAGGTTTTCCATCTTATACCCACAGTCACATAGCATATATATGTGGTGTATTCTAGGAGGTCATGCTCCATCTATTTGTAGATTCCAGGTCTGGTTACCACAAACAATCCTACACAAACAGGTACATCCTAAACACCATTTAGCTGTTTGCCAAGTCTACCATTAACCTGTTTATAGAAAGATTACAAAGAAGTCTCATAGGAAGAGAATGGATTGCAAAAAACCTGCTGTTTTATCAATTAACTTCCCATTACCCAATCTGAGCAGGCTCTAAAAGGGAGAGGGTGGGCTACCAGAGAGCTATAGGCAGGACTTGATGATTTTTGTCCAACACTGACACTGACAAAATCAAATTGAAGCCACAGTGTACTTGCATGGAAGTAGAGGAAAATAAAAAAGAATGTGTAGTGTCACAATGGAAGGGTATTTTATCAAACATTTCCATAGCCAAACCCCCAAAATGTCAAGCATTTCCTTCCATAACTTAGACAACTACCATGGATGCCACTGCTGCAACTTGCTACTCTTTATTGAGCACTTACTATGTAGCAGGCACTGTGCTGGGCATTTATACATAAAATCTCATTTAATTGTCACTTTCCTATGAGATGGATACTATTAATCTTATACAATTTACGAGGAGCTGAGACTTAGCGAAGTTCCACACACCAGTTTAATGAGGAAGCTAGCATCCATTCCATCCAGCCAGTGCTGAATCAAAGTCTGGAATCTCTATTACCACCCTCTCCCTGTCAGGGTACAGGGCGATTGAATGAGGTGGCTCAAAAGGTCAGGAGTCCTCTTCTAAAGACCCAGAAGCTATGGGACAGAACCTTCCACAAGGAGTGAGTTCCCTTTTTAGGCCATTCTCTGGGTGGAGCAGTGCCCCAATTCCAGTCCACTTTCCTGGAGAGAATGTAGGTTAAGGAGCTCAATAGCACATAAGGTCTGTGAGGGCCCAGACCAGAGATGGCAAATTAAGGTTTTAGAGGAACATCATGTGGTCTATTTCAATTAGGAAACTTTATTCACTTCAAAAAGGTCCCCAGAAATCTTTCATAACTTCCTTTGTTCAGGTGTCTCCTGAACTGTAAATTCATCAAGGGGCATCACAATTCTACAAACGGTGTTTGAGGGAACAGATTTCCTAGGGTGGCACCTAGCTGTACTGAGGATCTTCTGGAAAATATTTAGGGTGTGTTTTTGTCCTCTCATGGACACAAAGTGTGTGGTGGCCTCTTTGTACAAATGAGCAAAAATAGAAGCTCTTCTGTATCTTTTGCTAAAGTGAGGGGAGTTTCAGATCATCTCCTTGCATTTAGAACACTAGGTATTGAATTAACTCCTATTACCCTGCAAAAGTCCCTTCTGGAATTACTCTTAAGTTTCAACCAACAGTAGAACTAAGAATTTTTTTGAAGTAAATGATAATACATTTCCAGTGTTAATAAGAAAACAATTTTAATCATATAAATGATATCATTGTATTTGGATTTTTTTTCCTCCTGTAGCAATAGAGGCAATTTTTAAAAGCACCTTCAGAAGGAAAATGGATGTATGCAACCAAGACAAAGAACATTTTGAGGCAACACACATCTGTGGCTACTGAGTGCCTGTTTTGAATTACATTTAAATTGCCTGAAGAGCATTTGGCAAATGCAAAGTTTGAAGTTGGTTTAAGCTTTTCCATGGACAATTTAGGTTTTGTACTGTTATTGTTATATCTATGCTTTAGCATTCAAATCTTTTCAACCAGCATGGAAAAGAGAAAAACATTGTGTTAAAGGCTTTTTAATGACATAGTAACTCCTCTTGACAAACAGTGGATCTGTTCCATTATCTTATCTGCCAAAAAAGAAATATCTTCCAGGAGAATAATATGTGCTTAATCATGAAAGCCTTCAGCTCTGAAAGCTTCAAATGATAGAATCAGCAACAGAAACAAGTACTCCACATCCCCAAATTAGATGTGTTTTTTTGATTATCTTGCAGTAACATCTGTGGTAATAATACTTTCTGGAAACCACTGCTGATATACTCAAATAGCTTTACCAAGCTTGCCTGGTTTGTCATGTCAAAAATCTAAGCATAGGATCGCCCCTCCCCTCATCATTTGCCCTTTGGCTTTGCCCCCGCAACCCCGGAAGCTCAGAGAGGCTCCTGTGAGCTATGACTTTGGAACACGACCATCCCCTAATTTCCACACTCTCCTTAGAGCTGACCATCCTACCATGTGCAATGTGGCCAGTTAGCTCTAGGGAAGTCATCATTGCTTCGCTGCCTTGAAAATTACAAAATTACAATCAAAAGATAATATAAATTTAGAGAACGTACCTACTTCAAATGGATGTATGGTCCTGCCTATAGACAATTCTTAATAGGACTTCTCTTATACCCAAGGCCAGACTACTTTGCAGGTGAGAACTCAGGTTAAAGAGTTCTAAGCTTATCTTACCTGCCTGGGTCCAAATTAGAGGTAGCACAAGTACATGTCTCTCTGGCAACCTCTGACTGTGAACAGGAAATCCTACTATTTGACCTCGTTAGGAAATAGAACCTACTCTTCCTCTGCATTTGTGGGGTTTTGTACTACATGTTGTGCATTTATTAAAACATTAATGTTATAATGGTAGAATATAGAATCCACTTAGATCAGCCTCAGGCTTGGTGTGTTTGCAGAGGGCCGGGTTGCTTATTTTGGGAGCAGGGGTGAGTTGAGAATCTGATGAGAATATTAAAATATCAAACATTTTGGAATCAAATGGGCTCTTGGTTGTCAAAATGCTGACAGATATTAAATTTCTGAGAGTTATTGAGTTTGTAGGATACTAAAGAAGAGAATGCTAAGAATGTTTCATGTCACTACTTTAATACATTTTATTTTTTACCGTGTTTCACCTCTCCACAAGGGAGAGAACCTATGTTGCACAGCAGAACTAGAAAAAAAGCACTTATCCTTCCAGAACCACTAAGTAGTTTACTATATATGGTCCACATTGTCCCCAAGAGACAGAAAAAGCTGTCCTATATCTTAAATAAAATATTATTAGTGCTGGAACAGAATCACATAACTTCGTTCTCATAATGTGATACTGAAAGTCATATGAAAAGTATAGAAATAGAAATAGAAAAATAAAACCCTAAATAAATGATATAATCTGAAAATAAAATTTTATATACTTTTCCTCCTCCAAAAAAAAAACATAATATTACCAAATTTAGTAATATGTATGAGAAGATAGCAGTATTCTCATGCATGCCTCATTGGTAAGATTAGCTACAGGCAGTTTTGCAGAAAGACAGAACTTTACTATGAACTCATTCTGATAGTATATTAGGTTTTTAAATAGCATACAAAACTTAGGTTTTAAGTATGTTCATATGTGTTAAAATTTTGATCACTT
Organism: Homo sapiens; assembly: GCF_000001405.40. Lineage (NCBI taxonomy): Eukaryota > Metazoa > Chordata > Mammalia > Primates > Hominidae > Homo > Homo sapiens. The sequence continues at coordinate 58,743,658 of NC_000008.11, read as the reverse complement.
TACTGGAGAATTTTTTACTCCTGTGTAGTGCATAGTAAACAGTTCAATGACGGCGATAGTGGTAGTGATGTTTTGAACAGCTGTGGTACTATATTCATACACTGATTTTATTGGGCCTATGTTATAACCCAGATACAGAAGGATTCCACCCAAATTTGGGGGGGGAATGTAAAGCCATTAAAATGAACTGAAAGACTTTTTTTTGAAAAGGATATTAATGATGCCAATGCCTTTTATATCTGAATTTTGAAAAGTAGAATATCAATGAGACCCATTAGAGAACATTTGGGGAAATTTAGATGTTGAAAACCTGCCTTAATTGATTGCAAAACAGAGAGACAGCTAATGTACGACTTCAGTAAGCATTTATTTTAATGAAGAAAGAGCTAGCTGTCCTAATGATTTTGAAGGAATCTCTGCACATGAGCAGGGTTAGTATGGACAACTGCCAACATTTGTGCCTTTCACCAAATGGACATTTCTAGCAGCATGTTGCCACAATACTTTCAAGGCTCAACTGAATTTATGACAGTTTGGTTGTATTTTTCTTGGTCCATAGAAGCTGATCAAAGAATCCTCAAGTCACTAGCTAACGGTCAATTTGATAAGAACGCTAAAATTATCTGGGTAAACTGTATTGTGGCCAATTATTTTAATAATTGGAATTGGATGAATTATGTGTTAATATAAACAACTGTGCTCAACACAGTTGTGTGTAAACCCTCAAGACGATTGAGCTCAGGGGCTGTATAGACATGGACATGCTCATTCAGCAGATCACGCTAAGCAATCAGGAGCCATGCTGAGCTGCACGTAGCTCATCAACTTCAAGGTTCTGACTCATATCAACTGCCTTTGCCCCAGATTCTCAATTTTTAGTGGTAAAATCAATGTAACATATTTCCTTGGTATTTTTTTCTGATTAAAGGTAGCTCTTCTCAATAAAACTAGTTTTCTGCTTACAGGAGAGCTAGCTTAAAGAATGCCTTATGGCAGATTGTAACATTGTCTCCTGTCTTTCGAGCATTCCCCAGAACTGAAAAATTGGATTGTTTTAAGGCTGTGTCAGATTACCCCACAAGTATTTAGCACTATCACTGGAGATGGGGCAAAGGAAGGAGAGAACATTCACCACCACTCAGGATCTTTCTGGGGCAAGCTGAGCCTGTGCAGCAAATTCATTGTCATCTGAAGAAGGCCAAGGATAAACATGAACTGAAAAGTGAAACGCCAACAACCCTTCTTTCCTTGGCCCAGAAGGATTTTTAGATAGTAACTCAAGTGAATTCTTCTCCCACTGCTATTCAGTTTTGTTGTCCACAATAAATTAGGACAACTGTGGACACGGAGTGTGATCTAGTTTATCCTCCTTGTTACATTACACTCACACGGGAAGCCATCAGAGTTGAAAGTGACATTCTATTCTGGCTCCAGAAGTCATAGTAAAAAGTGAACCTTGGAATTTGTGATAAAGAAGGAACATATCTTTAGAGGAGAAATCTAATAGCATCTTCCCTCCATGGGACAGGTAGTCAATCAAACGGCATCTAAACCCAGTATGGAGAGAGAGTAAGGAGGCATACTCTAAACTCACTCCATGTGATTGAATTCCATGAACTATCCTATTTTGTTAGATCGGCTCTTGGAGAAAGAATGAGTTAAACCTCAAGACACATGCTGCACATTATATTATTTTTTGTACTTTCTTACATTATACATATACTACTATGAATTATATATTGATGTGTTTATTACAAATACACATTATATATACTAAGGAAGAATAGATATATGGTATATATATATTCTTTCATATTCTGTTTCATCTTTCATCTTACCTTGTGAATGTGTGATTTAGATAAAATTAAACATGTAAACTAGATGAGTCAGCTGTCTTTTACTCTTCCTTAATTATGCTATGATTAATCAATTGAAAGAGGATCAAGAAATTTATTTTCAGTGTTGAATAACTACAAAATTAAACAGAGTGAGAGGTGGCTGTCTAATCTGGTATAATAACCCTCCTAAGAACAGCCTTATAAGAGAGGCTTCACGATTGTCCTCAGGGAAATGTCTGAAACAGGTAACAATTCAGAAAGGGGAAGAAGCCCAATAACAAGGGAAGGCTTTCTCTTGAGACAGGTTACTGAGTAAGAGGGGGAGATTAACTAGTGTTTATTATCCCTAAGATATAGACGCTTATCTGAGTACTGAGATAACTCAATAATCAGCCAAAGAAGGAACATGCTCCCATGTCCTAGTTTCAAATTCTTGTGCCTTACCAGTCATAGCAAAAAACACTTGAAAAGGATAAAGAGATAGAAAAAGTATTCTAAGAGTTTTTTTTCCAAGTGGACAAAGTTAGTGGCCATAACTGGGTCCCATCCCGCCCCTTCCCCTGGACATATGCTAGGTAAATCCTGGATGTTTGGCCCAAGGTATATCTAGCACAGAGGGAAGAAAGTCAGAATTTATCTCTGGGAGCAAAAGTTAGTTCTAAGGAAGAAATATTTATCTTCCAGGTGGGCAAATATCTAAGGGGGAGTCCTTATCTTGGCTCATATCTGATGTGGTCAGGGATATGAATACATGAAAGAGGCAACTGTACAACCGGACTCAAGGAAGGAGTTTCCTCTGATCAAAAGGAAACAGCTCCAAAATGGAAGTGTGTTTGCAGAAGCTGCCTGGTTATGGAAATCCAAGACTAATTTATTGCAAGTCAATGTTTAGAAGTTAAACTAATTGTTACCTTCTTTGGGAACTAAGCAAGATCTCACCACGGACTAGTAGTCTCTTGTACATGTTTAATACTATATTGTACATATTATTTGTAGGTCTGTTCCCCATCCTGACTTTGAGCATGCTTCATGGAGAAACTGCCTCCCATAGACTATCTGGCTCGAGCTCCCCTGCCCTCCAGTGGATTTGGCCAATAGGAGGCATCAGCAAGAGATGAGAGGGCAAGAGAAAAGAGAAGTGAGGATATTTCTCTCCCTTCTCCCCTCCCTGTATTGGTGCCCCATGCTGACAGGGGCTGTTTCCTTTGTTACTACATCTCCTGCCAGACTACCCCTCCCTGGCTCCAGCCTCATAAACTCTGCTGAAACTCAATCTTCCCTTTGCCCTTTCAGGCCTAGGGGTATGAACAGCTGTCTGTTCAACTTGGCTCCCTTAACCATGCCCACACCTCTGTAAATGATCCCTTCATTAAACTATCTTCCCTTAAGTCCTTTTGTTTCTTGCTGTAACCTTAATGGATACACAAAGCTTCATTTGCAACCTCCTTGCCAACTTTCAGAGCTTCATATCCACCTGAGACCCTGTTCTTTTGTTCAAACACATATATTTGTTAGATGTTTGGTAGGGTTTACATGTGCAACAGTTAACAAGACAGTCTTTGCCTACAAAGAATTTACAGTCTTGTTCTGAATACGTGTAAGTAAAGAGTTCATCAAAACAGTGGGTGAACCATACATTAGGGCTGTGTGACTCTGTGCTGGGTATTTCTTCCTGGATGTCACCCTGGCCTGAATCTTCACATCCAACATTTATCATTCTGAACTCACTCCCCCAAGCCCACTCTCTACTACCTTTGTTGATGACACCAACATACCATCTACTCATTTGTCCAGGTTAGAACCTATGGAGTCATCCTACATGCCTCTGACTTTCTTTTATCGGTGTGATAAAAAATTTATAAATTTATAGCCTAAATTGCTTTCAGTCATATTCTCCTCACACTCAGTGTTCCTTCCCTGGTCCAGATATCCACAGCTTTTCTCTCCCAATCTCAAATCCTGCTCCCTTGAATTCATCCCCGACTGTGCCATCCTGTCAGTTACTGACAACATATAAAACCGATTGGAATTCTATTCTGGCCACAGCTTTTCTGGCCCCTTCACAAGTGAGTTTAAAATGTATACTCCTTTGTAAGTCTGACAAGGCCTTTTATGATCTGGCCCCTACCTGCCTATCTAGCCTTGTTTCACCCAAGCTGCTCAACTACCACCTGACCCCAGCAATGCTAAAGTTATTATGGTTTCCCAAACATTCCATACGCTCTCCTGTCAGGTCCACTGAGAACACTCTATTTATCTTTCTTTCTTTTGGAGTTTCACTCTTGTTGCCCAGGCTGGAGTGCAATGGCACGATCTTGACTCACCACAACCTCCGACTCCAGGGTTCAAGCAATTCTCCTGCCTCAGCCTTCCTGAGTAGCTGGGATTACAGGCATACGCCACCATGCCCAGCTAATTTTGTATTTTTAGTAGAGATGGGGTTTCTCCATGTTGGTCAGGCTGGTTTCGAACTCCCGACCTCAGATGATCTGCCTGCCTCAGCCTCCCAAAGTGCTGGGATTACAGGCGTGAGCCACCGTGCATGGCCTTATCTTTTCCTCAAATGCTGCCATTTCTGTGAAGCCTTTTCTGTGTTCTACAGGCACCTGTAATTCTCCTATTACATTTAGTAAACTTCTCCCATACCTGTGCTCTTATCATAATTATTTGTTCAGACATCCATCTCCTCCTAAGGCTACTAATTCCTTAACTACAGAAACTATGTATTTTCTTCCATGAATCTAAGACATGGGCATTCAGTAAATACCATTTGAGAAATGAATAAATGCTTCACAATTTTCAAATCACATTGGTACCTTTTGTCTCATTGAACCCTCCCCAGAAGTGGCAGCTGTAACTGATTAATGAGGACTTACCTGGAGCCAAATTGTCAGTAAGCCTCAGCATACGAAGTGTAAGTTGACTTCACAACTCTGGTGCCCCTGTCTAACTTTATGGCTTTGCTGAAGTTACTAAATGTCCTTGAACCCTGGATTCTTGATATGTAAACTAATAGCGATAATAATAGTAACTATCTGAGAAGCTATTGTGAAATTTAACAAGAAAATGTATACTTAGCACAGCATCTGATACGTGGTGAGTATCTGCAGATGTTACCTCTTTCTATCCTTTCTTTCACAACCCCACCACTGCTAAAAATATTCCTTGTAACAAAGGCCAGAAGATGCAGAGACCCATAGTCATGTAGTTAATTTATGCAGCCAAACTATATTGCCTTGATTTCTCCTATTTTCAAACATATGTAACTACTAGTGTCAGCAGTATTTCTAACCTGTCCTGAGCAAGAGTTCTGCCTCATTCATCTGGCATAAATCTGCTACATGAACAGGGGAAAAAAAAGTGGTAGAAAGTTGAGAAGCAGATAGCATAAAAGAGAAAGGGAAAATCAGTTGCCAGTTCTCCTAATCTTCCTTTTAAATAAGAAAGACTCAGTCAAGTAAATAATGCATTTACCCTGCAGCTTAAAGGCATCTCTGCAATTCCTACTGTCAGAACAGGGAAATGTGGTTAGTTGGTAGAGCACCAGACTGGCCCACTGAATTCAGATTGTGCAGGCATGTGCACTCTCATTTTACGTAATTCACCTTTTTTTTTTCCAATTGTCAACATTTATTACAGCTATCTTTAGCACCTGTAGCAATTGCAGGAAAAGCTCTTTGTTGAAGAAGCAAACATAATATGAAAAAATGAGGCTTTTTCTTGAACACTTGCATTAGGATAGTGTGCAATTAGAAACTTTATTACCACAGCTTTTGTATATCCTCCTCAAACATACTTTAAGAATTTATTTAAACTTTTAGAGCAACTTTCCATTTTTCTTTGTCAATATAAATGTCTCTATTACACTTATGGATAATGATCTTTAGGAGGTAGAGAAGGAGGTGATAGTAACATCTGACATTAGGTGATAGGATTCCATTAAATGTGCTATTAGAGTGAGCTGAGATGGTTCAAAGGATGAGTAATAGGCCACAAAGCCTTTCACCTGTGTGTCAGTGGGTCCAGCATCTCAGTTAGCAAGGCCTGATCGCTTGACTATTTTTCAGTAATGCAAAAGCATAATTCCTGTAGGGTTTCCTGCACAATAGACCATTCTTCAAATGGTCACTAAGAGGACAGAGCACTAGATTAGGAATTATAAGACCTGAATTCTAATCTCAATAATTACTACCTTATTTCCATATCATTTAACTTCTCAAGGGCCTCAATTTCCTCATCTGCCAAAAGAATGCACAATAAAACAAAAAAATCTTTCATGGTTTTGATGTTCCTCAGACGTTTGAGTAGATCCAGATTTTTATCTGGTATTATATTTGTTCTACCTGAAAGATTTTCTTTAACATTTGTTATTGTGTGTCACAGAAGCCCTACACATCTCACGAAAGCAAGTGCTTTAAAAAGTATTAATTGCTATACAAATTCTAATCCTGTTATCCCAGAGCAAAATGATTCTGATCTGCTCCACTAGTCCTTAAGGTCTTTGAGCACCTGAGCTGTGTCTCACAGGTTGTGTCAGCCACCTTCCTGAATGCATACCTGGAACCCACTTTGGCTAGTTTATGCAAAGATAATTGAGTAAGGAGTATATCTGGCTCAAAAAATTGTTGGGAGGGCTGAAAAGCAGACATCAGGCTGAGCTTCTGAGAATAATTTACCTACCTGTGGCACCAAGGTGACTGCTGCCTCTCCTACAGTGCAGTAGAGATGGGAACATCGGGGTCTGGGTACATGTCACCTCAGCCGCATTCACATACATAGCTCAAATGCCCCACATTCTGCTTCTCCTCACTGGGACTCCTCTTTCTAAATTTTAGATTGACAAACAACAATTATATATATTTATAGGGTTCAGTGTAATGTTATGTTTTATGTATGCATTGTGGAATGATTAAATCAAGCTTATTAACATGTATATCAACTCATATACTCATCATTTTTTGTAGTGAGAACGTCAGGCCTGTAATCCCAGCACTTTGGGAGGCAGGTGGATCGCTTGAACTCAGGAGTTGGAAACCAGCCTGCGGAAAATGGTGAAATCCCATCTCTACAAAAATTACAGAAATTAGCCGGGCATGGTGGTCCATACCTGTAGTCCCAGCTACTTGGGGGTCTGAGGCAGCAGGATCCCTCCTTGAGCCCAGGAGGTCGAGGCTGTGGTGAGCCGAGATCACGCCACTGCACTCCAGCCTCGGTGACAGCGTGAGACCCTGTCTCAAAAAACAAACAAACAAAAACGCAAACAAAAAACAACAACAAACCTCTATTCTTTCAGGAATTTTGAAATATACAATACATTATTATTAACTAGAGTCACCTTGATGTGCAATAGATCTAAAACTGATTCCTCCTGTCTAACTGAAACTTCGCATCCTCTGACCAACATTTCTCAGACCATAATCCCTGGTAGCCGCCATTGTACTCTCTACTTCTACAAGTTTGACATTCTTAGCATCTACATATAAATGATACCATGCAATATTTTTCTTTCTGTGCCTGACTTATTTCACTTAGCATAACGTTCTTCAAGTTCATGCAGGTTATCAAAAAATTACAGGATTTCCTTCTTTTCTACGGCTGAAAGGCTGAATATTATTCTATTGTGTATACGTGCCACATTTTCTTCATCCATTCATCTGCTGATGGACACTTAGGTTGCTGCCTTATCTTGGCTGTGGTGAACAGTGCTGCAATGAAAATATCTCACTGATGTACTGAGCTCAATTTCTTTGGATACATACCCAAAAATGGGATTGCTAGACTATATGGTAATTTTATTTTTAGTTTTTGAGTAAGCTCCACACTGTTTTCCATAATGGCTGTACTAATTTCTATTTCCACCAAGAGTGTACTTTTCTTCCACATCCTTGCCAACACTTGTTATATTTCATCGTTTTGATAATGAACATCCTAATAGGTATAAGCTGGTATCTCATTGTGGTTTTAATTTGCATTTACCTGATAATTAGTGATGTTGATGACTCTTTTTGTATATATCTTGGCAATTTGTATGTCTTCTTTTGAGAAATGTCTATTTAGGTCTTTTGTTCACTTTTAAATCTGTTTTAAATATTTTCTTTTTATTGAGTTTTTTGAGTTCCTTATGTATTTTGGATATTAGCTCCTTATCAGATGTATGGTTTGCAAACTTTCCTCCTGTTTTTTACAGTTTCAGTTAAGCAAATTGATAAATGTGATTCACCATATTAATAGAAGAAAGGACAAACAACATATGATCATTTCAATAGATGCAGAAAAAGCATTTGACAAAATTTAACATCCTTTCATGAAAAAACCTCAGTATATTAGATAAGAAGGAATGTTCCTCAACATGATAGAAGCCATATATGACAAGTTCATAGCTAACATCATACTCAATGGTGAAAAGTTAATACCTTTTTCTTTAAGACCAGGAAGAAGACAAGGATTCCCACTTTCATCACTGCTATTCAGCATAGTACTGGAAGTCCTAGCCAGAAAAACTATGCAAGCAAAAGAAATAAAAAGCATCCATATAGGAAAAGAAACAGTGAAATTATCTCTATTTGCTGACAACATAATCTTACATATAGAAAACTCTAAGATTCCAAAGTCAGAACTGTTAGAAACTAATAAATGAATTCAGTAAAGTTGCAGGATATAAAATCAGCATACAAAAATTAGTAGCATTTCTATGCACTAACAATGAACTATCTAAAAAAGAAATTAAGAAGACAACTCCATTTATGATAGCATCAAGGAAAGACAATATAGAGGAATAATGTTAACCAAGGAAGTGAAAGATCTGATCCTGAAACCTACAGGAAATTGATGAAAGAAATTGAAGACAACACATATAAATGAAAAGATATCCAGTATTAAAGGACTGACAGAATTAATATTGTTTAAATATCCATATCACCCAAAGTGATCTACAGATTCAATGCTATCCCTATCAAAATTCCAACGTCTTTCTTCACAGATTTAGAAAAATAATCCTAAAATTTGTATAGAACTACAAAAGACCCAAATAGCCAAAGCAATTTTGAGCAAAAAGAACAAAAAGCATCACACTCCTTGATTTCAAAATATATTACAAAGCTATAGTAATTAAAACAGCATGGTGGCTGTGCCCAGTGGCTCACACTTGTAATCCCAGCACTTTGGGAGGCTGAGGCAGGTGGATCATGAGGTCAGGAGCTCGAGACCAGCCTGGCCAAGATGGTGAAACCCCATCTCTACTAAAAATACAAAAATTAGCTGGGCACGGTGGCAAGCACCTGTAATCCCAGCTACTCAGGAGGCTGAGGCAGGAGAATCACTTGAACCCGGGAGGCAGAGGTTGCAATGAGCAAAGATGGCACCACTGTACTCCAGCCTGGATGACAGAGTGAGACTCCTTCTCAAAACAAAACAAAACAAAACAGTATGGTGCTGGCATAAACACAGACACATCAACCAATGGAACAAGATAGACAGCCCGGAAATAAACCTATATGTTTACAGTTGATTTATTTTTGACAAAGGAATCAAGAACACAAAATGGGACACGGATAGTGTCTTCAATAAATGGTGTTTGGAAACTGGATATCCACATATAGAAGAATAAAACTGTAACCTTATCTCACCCCATACACTTTTCAAGCCAAAGTCCTGTGTATTGCATGTGATTGCTGGAAAATAAATCATAACCTTTGTCTTAGTTCATGCTGCTGTAACAAGAATATCATAGACTTAACGGCTTAAACAACAAACATTAATTTCTCACAATTCTAGAGGCTAGAAGTCTGAGATCAGGGTGCCGGCAGGGTCAGGTTCTGGTAAGGACCCTCATCCTGATTTTCTCACGTGCCAGGAAGGAGAGAGAGATAGAGGGATAGAAACAGCAATCTCTCTTATGTCTCAAGTCTCTCTCTCTTTTTTAAAAAAAATTTTAGAGACGGGAATCTCTGTCACCCAGGCTGGCCTGCAGTGGCACGATCACAGCGTACTGCAACTTTGACCTCCTGGGTTCAATTGATCCTCCCACCACAGCCTCCTTAGTAGCTGGGACTACAGATGCATGTCACCATGTCTAGATAATTTTTTAAAAAATTTTTATAGAGATGGGGTATTGTCATGTTGCTCAGGCTGGTCTCAAACTCCTGGTTTCAAGCAATCCTCCCGCCTCTGCCTCCCAAAGTGCTAGGATTACAAGTGGGAGCTACCACGCCTGGCCACATGTCTTTTCTTGTAATGGTACCAATCTCCTCATGGGGATTCCAGCTTCATGACCTTATTACCTCTCAAATGCCCCATCTTCAAATATCATCACATTGGGAATTAGGGTTTCAACATATGAATTTTGAAGGGACACAAACATTTAGTCCATAGCAAGCCTCTTAATAGAGTCTGAAAAATGTTTTAATTTTTAGCACTTTAGAAGGAAGTTGGGGTTTTGATGGATATCCGTACAGATTCTGCCACTTATGCCTGTAAAATCCCTGTAATATCATGGACACTCAAGAATATTTCTTGGACTCAATTTAACATAATTAAAAACATAAATGTGATCAGGCGACAGATAGTGATTGGATATCTACTATGTGCAATCAACATCCTACCCATGTGAGAAACGCTTGTCCTATCTCAAACCTTCCATATTGCTCTGTGTTTCTAAGCTTTTGCACAAGCTCTTCCCTGGAGTGGCCTGCTCCCATTCTTCCACCCATCAACTCCCAAAGGTGAATATCTTTGGCCCTTTAAAGCACGAACTAATCTTCACTACTTTGGGAAACCTTCTGTATCCGTTAGAATCTTTTAAGTCCATGTAACAGAATAATGGAAAGTGGCTTAAACAAGAAAGGTGTGTTATCTTATATAACAATAAACAGCAAAACATACAGAGACAGAAAAGAAGGGCCCAGGTTTGTACTTCAGGAATGCTATGATATCAACAAGGACCCAACAGCTTGCCCTATTTCTGCTCTCCCATCCTCACTCTGTTAGGGTTCATCCTCAGGCATGTCCTTTCATGATCACAGCGTGGATACTATACATGTTTTCACACAACTGTAGTCAAAGCCAGGAAAGGAGGTGTCTCCTTGCTTGTCTCCTTCTATCCAGAGACAAACCTTTACTGAGTTCTGTCTAAAGAATGACTTTTAAGTCTCATTTCCCAGGACAGTGTTACAGGCCCACACCTAAACCAATCAGTGACCAGGAGAAGGGAAGCACTTCGATTGGCTTAGACTTGTGAACATTCATTTTCTGGCCCTGGAAGAGAAGAGTGAATACCAACACTGAATCAAGGTGGCTCTTCCAGCAAGAAAGAAGGAGAGAGGAGTAGGTAACCCCTGGCATCAGCTACACCCCCTCAATCACAACCATCACATCCTCCTGAGCTGTGGGAGGTGGCCCACCTCAGTGCTCTCATAGCAACCCATAATTAGGGTAATTGCAGCACTTAGCATATTGTCAACTCACGTCTCAGCTCTGCCTCTCTGTGAGCTCCTCTAGGGCAGAGGCTGTTTCTTATTCATCTACCTCTCTAGGCTTAACTCAGTGTTCACCACATTGAATGCACCCAGCAAATATTGGTTGAACTCGAATAAGTTGAATTACATGGATCATGATTCTATCCATGCAAATAGGTATTAGCTATTTAGAAGAGTTATTATTGTACTATCTAACTAGATCACATTTAGAAATGTTATGTGAAAATATTTTTGGACAATTAAATGTGGTTATTTCAAAGTGCCAGGGAAGAAACTGGTAGGGTGGACAGGCACGAGCAAACTTACAACGGTCTTGCTATCCTGATCCTGTTAAGTAGCTCATCTTTGTAGTTAACTATTTCATTTTCACTCCTTTCATTTATATTGTCTCTTCTTAAATGCAAACGTAAGTGAGGTAACTTGACTGAATGAAAACAATTTTGAATTAAGTTCAGAAACATGTAAACAGTCACACTAAGTTTGTGTTCCATTATGTGGGGCAACATGAAAGGTAGAACAGGGCTGGGCATGGTGGCGCATGCCTGTAATTCCAACACTTTGGGAGGCAGAGGCGGATGGATCACAAGGTCAGGAGTTTGAGACCAGTCTGACCAACATGGTGAAACCCTGTCTGTACTAAAAATACAAAAAGTAGTCAGGCATGGTGGCATGTGCCTGCAATCCCAGCTACTCAGGAGGCTGAGGCAGAAGAATCACTTGAACCCAGGAGGCAGAGGTTGCAGTGAGCCAAGATCATGCCATTGCACTCCAGCCTGGGTGACAGAGAAAAAGTCCATCTCAAAAAAAAGAGAAGAAAAAAAAGGTAGAACAAACATTTTATTGACATTTATTCAACACATTTTAGACTTACACTTACTGCTAAAATAGAGAAACCAGGACTGGCCTTATCCTCCACCTGAAACAGCCAAAGACAACAACAAAATGATATAATGACTCACAAGACACTAGGTGGACAACAAAGGCCACAGGTATTCAGATGGGTACAGATTGGGGCACACAAATAAGAAAACCACCAGAGGCTGGAGGAAAAAACACACAAAACATTAGAGGTAATGGTGCCCAGGGTTTCCACCAGCCAGAATGGAAAGCCTCATGATTCAAGGAACATCGGGTAGAGTACCCAGAAGAGTCTTGCCTCGGCATTAGGGAAAAATGTCCCTAAGCTTAGTATAGCTCCAGTCTTGCTCAATAACATTGAGATCAAGACCTGAAAGGATCAAACTGTTTCCAAGTAACTTAACTGTGTCCTAGAAAAAAAAAATCAAGAACACTGATGGGAGTAGAAAAAAAACCTAGCACCCCAAAAGATAAGTTTCATAATGTTATACATCTAATAAAAAAAGTACCAGGCACACAAAGTAGCAGGAAAATACGACTTTCAGTAAGAAGATAAATCAACCAATTGAAATTGACCGAGGATGGGCACAAATATTAGAATTAGCAGGCATGATGTTAAAGAATCATTACAAATGCATGCTGTATGCTCAAAAAGTTACAGAATGCTATATATATATATACATATATATATATTTTATTATGCTTTAAGTTCTAGGGTACATGTGCACAACGTGCAGGTTAGTTACATATGTATACATGTGCCATGCTGGTGTGCTGCGCCCATTAACTCGTCATTTAACATTAGGTATATCTCCTAATGCTATCCCTCCCCCCTCCCCCCTCCCCACAACAGGCCCTGGTGTGTGATATTCCCCTTCCTGTGTCCATGTGTTCTCATTGTTCAATTCCCACCTATGAGTGAGAACATGTGGTGTTGGTTTCTTGTCCTTGCGATAGTTTGCTGAGAATGATGGTTTCCAGCTTCATCCATGTCCCTACAAAGGACATGAACTCATCATTTTTTATGGCTGCATAGTATTCCATGGTGTATATGTGCCACATTTTCTTAATCCAGTCTATCATTGATGGACATTTGGGTTGGTTCCAAGTCTTTGCTATTGTGAATAGTGCCGCAATGAAAATATGTGTGCTGTGTCTTTATAGCAGCATGATTTATAATCCTTTGGGTATATACCCAGTAATGGAATGGCTGGGTCAAATGGTATTTCTAGTTCTAGATCCTTGAGGAATCGCCACACTGTCTTCCACAATGGTTGAACTAGTTTACAGTCCCACCAACAGTGTAAAAGTGTTCCTATTTCTCCACATCCTCTCCAGCACCTGTTGTTTCCTGACTTTTTAATGATTGCCATTCTAACTGGTGTGAGATGGTATCTCACTGTGGTTTTGATTTGCATTTCTCTGACGGCCAGTGATGATTTGCATTTTTTTATGTGTCTGTTGGCTGCATAAATTTCTTTTGAGAAGTGTCTGTTCATATCCTTTACCCACTTTTTGATGGGGTTGTTTGTTTTTTTCTTGTAAATTTGTTTAAGTTCTTTGTAGATTCTGGATATTAGCCCTTTGTCAGATGAGTAGATTGCAAAAATTTTTTCCCATTCTGTAGGTTGCCTGTTCACTCTGATGGTAGTTTCTTTTGCTGTGCAGAAGCTCTTGAGTTTAATTAGATCCCATTTGTCAATTTTGGCTTTTGTTGCCATTGCTTTTGGTGTTTTAGAGATGAAGTCCTTGCCCATGCCTATGTCCTGAATGGTATTGCCTAGGTTTTCTTCTAGGGTTTTTATGGTTTTAGGTCTAACATTTAATTCTTTAATCCATCTTGAATTAATTTTTGTATAAGGTGTAAGGAAGGGATCCAGCTTCAGCTTTCTACATATGGCTAGCCAGTTTTCCCAGCACCATTTATTAAATAGGGAATCCTTTCCCCATTTCTTGTTTTTGTCAGGTTTGTCAAAGATCAGATGGTTGTAGATGTGTAGTATTATTTCTGAGGGCTCTGTTCTGTTCCATTGGTCTATATCTCTGTTTTGGTACCAGTACTATGCTGTTTTGGTTACTGTAATCTTGTAGTATAGTTTGAAGTCAAGTAGCATGATGCCTCCAGCTTTGTTCTTTTGGCTTAGGAGTGACTTGACAATGTGGGCTCTTTTTTGGTTCCATATGAACTTTAAAGTAGTTTTTTCCAATTCTGCGAAGAAAGTCATTGGTAGCTTGATGAGGATGGCATTGAATCTATAAATTACCTTGGGCAGTATGGTCATTTTCATGATATTGATTATTCCTATCCATAAGCATGGAATGTTCTATTTATTTGTGTCCTCTCTATTTCGTTGAGCAGTTGTTTGTAGTTCTCCTTGAAGAGGTCATTCACATCCCTTGTAAGTTGGATTCCTAGGTATTTTATTCTCTTTGAAGCAATTGTGAATGGGAATTCACTTATGATTTGGCTCTCTGTTTGTCTGTTATTTGTGTATAAGAATGCTTGTGATTTTTGCACATTGATTTTGTATCCTGAGACTTTGCTGAAGTTGCTTATCAGCTTAAGGAGATTTTGGGCTGAGACGATGGGGTTTTCTAGCTATACATAATCATGACATCTGCAAACAGGGGCAATTTGACTTCCTCTTTTCCTAATTGAATACCCTTTATTTCTTTCTCCTGCCTGATTGCCCTGGCCAGAACTTCCAACACTATGTTGAATAGGAGTGATGAGAGAGGGCATCTCTGTCTTGTGCCAGTTTTCAAATGGAATGCTTCCAGTTTTTGCCCATTCAGTATGATATTGGCTGTGGGTTTGTCATAAATAGCTCTTATTATTTTGAGATACATCCCATCAATACCTAATTTATTGAGAGTTTTTAGCATGAAGAGCTGCTGAATTTTGTCAAAGGCCTTTTCTGCATCTATTGAAATAATCATGTGGTTTTTGTCTTTGGTTCTGTTTATATGCTGGATTATGTTTGTTGATTTGCATATGTTGAACCAGCCTTGCATCCCAGGGATGAAGCCCACTTGATCATGGAGGATAAGCTTTTTGATGTGCTGCTGGATTTGGTTTGCCAGTATTTTATTGAGGATTTTTGCATTGATGTTCATCAGGGATATTGGCCTAAAATTCTCTTTGTTTGTTGTGTCTCTGCCAGGCTTTGGTATCAGGAAGATGCTGGCCTCATAAAATGAGTTAGGGAGGATTCCCTCTTTTTCTATTGATTGGAATAGTTTCAGAAGGAAGGGTACCAACTCCTCCTTGTACCTCTGGTAGAATTCGGCTGTGAATCCAACTGCTCCTGGACTTATTTTGGTTGGTAAGCTATTAATTATTGCCTCAATTTCAGAGCCTGTTATTGGAATCTCCGAACCCTATTCAGAGATTCAACTTCTTCCTGGTTTAGTCTTGGGAGGGTGTATGTGTCCAGGAATTTATCCATTTCTTCTAGATTTTCTAGTTTATTTGTGTAGAGGTGTTTATAGTATTCTCTGATGGTAGTTTGTATTTCTGTGGGATTGGTGGTGATATCCCCTTTATCATTTTTTATTGTGTCTATTTGATTCTTCTCTCTTTCCTTCTTTATTAGTCTTGCTAGCAGTCTATCAATTTTGTTGATCTTTTCAAAAAACCGGCTCCTGGATTCATTGATTTTTTGAAGGGTTTTTTGTGTCTCTATCTCCTTCAATTCTGCTCTGATCTTAGTTATTTCTTGCCTTCTGCTAGCTTTTGAACGTGTTTGCTCTTGCCTCTCTAGTTCTTTTAATTGTGATGTTAGGGTGTCAATTTTAGATCTTTCCTGCTTTCTCTTGTGGGCATTTAGTGCTATAAATTTCCCTCTACACACTGCTTTGAATGTGTCCCAGAGATTCTGGTATGTGGCCTGCCTTGCTAGGTTGGGGAAGTTCTCCTGGATAATATCCTGCAGAGTGTTTTCCAACTTGGTTCCATTCTCCCCGTCACTTTCAGTACACCAATCAGATGTAGATTTGGTCTTTTCACATAGTCCCATATTTCTTGGAGGCTTTGTTCCTTTGTTTTTCCTCTTTTTTCTCTAAACTTCTCTACTTGCTTCATTTCATTCACTTGATCTTCAATCACTGATACCCTTTCTTCTAGTTGATCAAATCAGCTACTGAAGCTTATGCCTTCATCACATAGTTCTTGTGCCATGGTTTTCAGCTCCATCAGGTCATTTAAGGACTTCTCTACACTGATTATTCTAGTTAGCCATTCTTCTAATCTTTTCTCAAGGTTTTTAGCTTGTTTGCGATGGGTTCGAACTTCCTCCTTTAGCTCGGAGACGTTTGATCATCTGAAGCCTTCTTCTCTCAACTCGTCAGTCATTCTCCGTCCAGCTTTGTTCCATTGCTGGCAAGGAGCTGCATTCCTTTGGAGAGAGAGAAGCGCTCTGATTTTTAGAATTTTCAGCTCTTCTGCTCTGTTTTTTCCCTATCTTTGTGGTTTTATCTACCTTTGGTCTTTGATGATGGTGACATACAGATGGGGTTTTGGTGTGGATGTCCTTTCTGTTTGTTAGTTTTCCTTCTAACAGTCAGGACCCTCAGCTGCAGGTCTGTTGGAGTTTGCTGGAGGTCCACTCCAGACCCTGTTTGCCTGGGTATCAGCAGCAGAGGCTGCAGAACAGTGAATATTGCTGAATAGCAAATGTTGCTGGCTGATCATTCTTCTGGAAGTTTCATCTCAGAGGAGTACCCGGCCGTGTGAGGTGTCAGTCTGCCCCTACTGGGGGGTGCCTCCCAGTTAGGCTACTCGAGGGTCAAGGACCCACTTGAGGAGGCAGTCTGTCCGTTCTCAAATCTCAAACTCCTTGCTGGGAGAACCACTACTCTCTTCAAAGCTGTCAGACAAGGACATTTAAGTCTGCAGAGGTTTCTGCTGCCTTTTGTTTGGCTATGCCCTGCCCCCAGAGGTGGAGTCTACAGAGGCAGGCAGGCCTCCTTGAGCTGTGGTGGGCTCCACCCAGTTTGAGCTTCCCGCCACTTTGTTTACCTACTCAAGCCTCAGCAATGGCAGGCACCCCTCCCCCAGCCTTGCTGCCGCCTTGCAGTTCGATCTCAGACTGCTGTGCTAGCAATGAGTGAGGCTCCATGGGCGTGGGACCCTCCAAGCCATGTGAGATATAATCTCCTGGTGTGCTGTTTGCTAAGACCATTGGAAAAGCACAGTATTAGGGTGGGAGTGACTCGATTTTCCAGGTGCCGTCTGTCACAGTTTCACTTGGCTAGGAAAGGGAATTCCCTGACCCCTTCAGAATGCTATATATTTTTGAAAGACACATATCAAACTTGGAGAGATAAAAAGTATAATGTCTGAGGCAAAAATTACACTGGATATGATTAAAAGCAGATTAGACATTGCAGAAGAAAATTTGTAAACTTGAAAACAGGAATTAAAAACTATCCAAAATGAAGCAAGGAAAGAAAACATAATTTTTTAAATGATCGAGAACGTCAGTGAGCTGTGGGAGTACTTCAAGTGGCCTAATGTAGTTGGTGTCACTAAAGGGTGAAGGGGATAAGGACAGAGAAAAATATTTCAATAAATGGTGGCTCAAATTTTTTCCACGTTTGATGAAAACTATGAACTCTCAGATCTAAGAATCTCAAAGATCATTAAGCACAAGAAACATGAGGAAACTCAGTAAGTCACATAAATAATTAATTTGCTCCAGGCCAGACGTGGTGGCTCATGTCTGTAATCCCAGCACTTGGGAGGCCAAGGCAGGCAGATCGTTTGAGGTCAGGAGTTTGAGACCAGCCTGGCCAATGTGGTGAAATCCCATCTCTACTAAAAATACAAAAATTAGCTGGAGGTGGTGGCAGGCAACTCTAATCCCAGCTGCTCAGGAGGCTGAGGCAAGAGAATCACTTGAACCTGGGAGGTGGAGGTTACAGTGAGCCGAGATGGTGCCATTGCACTCCAGCCTGGGTGACAGAGCGAGACTCCATCTCAAAAAAAAATAATAATAACAATTTTCTCCAAACCAATGACAAAGAGAACATCCTGAAAGCAGCCAGAGGACACATACAAAGATAGGTTATATAAAGGGCAACAAGGACAACAGCTGATTTCTCATCAGAAACAATGCCAGCGACCAGACTATAGAGGAAGCGCTTTAAAATACTGGAAAGAAAACCTGTAATTCTGTTTCTTTCCATTTTCTTTCAAAAATGAAATTTTAAAAAAGATATTTCAGATACACAAAAGCTGAGAGAATTGTGACCAGCAGAGCCACACTGTAAGAAATGTTAAAGGAAATCCTTTTAGGCAGAACCGAAAGAATACCAGCTGGAAATCTGGATCCATACAAAAGACTGAAGAACATGAAAAAATATGCAAGATTTTTTTCATGACTTAAATCTCTTTTAAGAATAATTGACTGTTTATATAACTGTATTAACAATTTAATATGAGGTTTATGATATATAAAAAAGGAAAATCTATGAATAAATACCACAAAAATGGAGAAGGGAGAAATGAAAGTATACCATGGTATTCGTCCATTTTCATGCTGCTGATAAAGACATGCCCAAGACTGGGTAATTTATAAAGAAAAAGAGGTTTAATGGACTCAGTTTCATGTGGCTGAGGAGGCCTCACAATCATGGTAGAAGGGGAAAGGCATGTCTTACGTGGCAGCAGGCAAGAGACAGAATAAGAACCCAGCAAAAGGGGTTTCCCCTTATAAAACCATCAGATCTCATGAGACTTATTCACTACCATGAGAACAGTATGGGGGAAACCCCACCCCCATGATTCAATTATCTCCCACCGGGTCCTTCCCACAACACATGGGAATTATGGGAGCTATAATTCAAGATAAGATTTCAATGGGGAAACAGCCAAATCATATCAAGTGTCATGAAGCTGTTTAACTAGATGTAGGATGACTAACTGCCCCTGTTTTCCTTGGACTAAGGAGTTTCCTATGCAATCAGACTTTCAGTATTAAATTAAGACAAACCCAGGAAAACTGAGGTCATTAGTCACCTTAACACATCAAGTGGTGTGCTATCACTTGAGGGTACACTGCAATAGCTAAACTGACATTGGCAAAGCCACTTAACTGCTCTGTGCCTTGGTTTACTCATCTGTAAACATTGGAACAACAATACTTCCTTATTAGTGTCATGGTAAGAACTTAATAATATGATGTATGTAATGTGTATGGTACATACTAGGGATTAATAAATAGTAGCTTTATCATGATCTAAGTTCACTTTGGGAAAAAAAATCAAAGTTACCTGTAGAGAATGAATAAAAGAAAACATGACTGAAAGTAAAGAGACAATTTAGTTGGCAAGTACAGTAAATAGAGCAGAGATTATGTGCTCCAGCACTGTGCTGGGAACTGAAGACACACATCCGGATCAGGGCACTGTCCTCTACACTAAATCTGTGTTTAGAACATATTCCACATTTCCATTTTGACCCAGAAATTCCGGAAATTGACTCAGCCAATGAGCAACTTTTCTCCCCTGTGCATTGAAGCTTTTTTTTAATGTAGAGAGAAAGAAGGAACATTTTGACTCAAAATATGAAAATATTTTGCTCTTTAAACCTGGTCAGAAAGACCCATATGAAGCATTCGTTCTTAGCAATTCTTCTCTTTATTTATCTAGTAAAGTTGTTTTCAATTTTAGATATTCATAAAAGCATACGAGGGCACTATTTGATTTTGTCTGTGAAGACAGTTTTCTATATCGGGAGAGACTACCATTAAACAGGGAAGATTTTGATTCATAGCTTTTAAATTGTATTTTGTTAAATTTCAAGAAATCCACATTGTGATGCTCTCCTATTGTTCTGATATTTCATAAAATTTGTCTGGGCTGCATGAAATACAAATTTGGCTTATGGAACTCTTCCTGGCTGAATTAAGGTTAAAATGAATATTCCTTCTGTGCAGGATATTTCTTTTGGCATTTTGACAAATGGCTGATGATTCAAGAAATATAAAGATGAGTCCTACATTAAAAAAAAAGATTCGATTTTATGTGGGGTTTTTCTTTAGCCTCGTTGGGTTTTGCTTTCTTTTGTTTTTTTTTTATATTTTTAAAAAGTCCAACAGATCTGTCTACTTTTAAATTTCTATTACTGGAATACAACTAAGTTTTGCTTCTTATGGGTAATATTTAAAAATTAATAGACAACTAAAATTGCTTAAGACTGGCAAATAATGCTGAAGGAATTCTCACTTAAACTTTTTTTGTTTTTGAGAGAAATAAATGCAATCTGAAGTATTTTGGACAAAACTACTGGTCCTTCACAGCAAAAGAGGAAGGAAGTGGTAAGGAAAGCACAGAGTAGTGCTTTATTTGACAAAATAAAGCATATAGATTTAAAACCATGTGCACAGTTTATTTCATTTTCTATCAAATTTTCTATCTTAAAGAAAATTTATTTATGGACATATAAGAAAATCAAATCTTCACAAAAGGAAGAAAATATAAAATCAGGTCTCAAAATGAACAGAATGACGAATTAGTCATCATATTTATGTTTATTGTATATTCACCTCCCTAAGCCATTGAGTTTTCTTCTGAAAACAATACAGATGAAAATAAGACATAGCCCCTGCCCTCAAAAATCCTCCTCTCTCCCTAAGGAAACAGAGCCTGCTATGTGCAGAGGGTACTTACAGGCAAAAGGACCCTGAAAGTCCTCACATAGAAGAAAGCCCTTGCAGAATTTTTAAAAAAGAATTTTGGTGATTGCAAACCAGGAAAAGGGCCTGTTAAGATTAATCTAAGAAGAGAAATTCATGCAGATTTCTTTGATGATCATTACTGGTATTTCATGCAGCAGTAACAAGTTTGTCTACAGTTTTGCAATTCCAAATAAATTCTGACACACTCAAAGAAAGATTATTTCACTCAGAGAACATGTAGGCCAATTCCTTCTTTGTAGCTATATGTAATTTCAAATTAGAAGTGAAGACTTTATTGAATGTACCCCATTTTCAGTAAATGCATCCTTAAAAAAACAGTAGCTTCTCATATTTCTTCTACCAATTCCCTTCACCTGCCAAGAATTAGTTCCCATTGCTTACAGCTAAAGAGTCATAGCAAAGAAACCTTATTTCCCTTTAAGATCTGAGCGAAGATGCTCCTTCAAAAAGGCAACCAGCATCCTTCCTTAAACTGCAGAACCCACGCCAGCTTAATTGAATTCTTGCTGCCAGTGTGCAAAGCCTCTGCCGCTTCCTAGATCTGCTATGAAGGGCACCAACCACGGCCGAAACTTCTCCATCTCTTTGTCCTCACAAAAGAATTCAGTTTCAAATCTTGTGATTCACATATATCTGTCAAGCCTCTATTATCTTAGGCCAAAATGATTTCTTTCCCTAGGGTTCATAATTGGAGATGTAGAAGAAGCAAGAGGCAAGAAGACATGAAAAGCTCAGTTTGTCTGCCCTAAAGAGTTTTAATGTATCTTTTCATAATTTAAAAAAAAACTTTAATTTTTTAAGAATTTTTAATCCCTTTTCCCCTGCTGCATATCTCCAAAGTGCTAAGCCAAAAAAGACCTTTAGAATTCACAAGGTCTAAAATCATGAAAACACATTAATGCACCAGACTTCCATGGAGGATTAGCCCGTATTCTATGTTAGTTTAGTGCCATCTAGTGGTCCAGTTGAAGAAGTAACATTTCTGAATGTTTTTATTACTGTCTAACTTGTAGGCATTAGGTCCTCTTTCATGCCTGAAGGCATTTACTGAGAATGAAGTAAATTTAAAAAAAGCCTGACTTTTAGTTTCATATTCCATATGTTTATAATAAAAGAAATTGGTCCACATTTTCTGCAAAATTTGATAAAACAGATTGGGACTGTCAACAAATTTTATTAAAAGTCTGTCTACAACATTTACAATAAAAAATGACTGCATCAAAGTTCAACAAAATTTTAACGTTCATGATTGTAAAAATTACTTAGGCACACTACACCCTTCATTAAATATTCTGTGGAGCTAGGAAACTATGATTTGTCAAAAAAAGTCTGAATAGATATCATATTCTTTCTTTTTGCATAAATTTAAAATTAATTAGTTATTATGAAATAAACAGTCGTATTACCACTACCTAAGTTAGAAACTAGAACATTCTCAAGACACCTGGTTGCCCCTTCGCTTTCGTTTATAACTTAGCCTCAGATTAAGTATCCCCTAAATAAAATGTTCTAGTTTTGTCTAATTAGAATCACAGAATATGTGGTGTGTGTGTGTGTGTGTGTGTGTATACCTTGCTCCTTCCACTAAGCCATAGGTATTTAAGACTCATCTACATTGAAGAATGTAGCTTTTGTGAGCTCATTTTTTTTGCTATGTAATAAGCCATTGCAAGAGTTATTAATTTGTTCTGTTGTAGGTGTATACCTGGGTGCTTCCACTCTTAAGATATTATTGATAATGCTGTTGTGAACATGTTCATACATGTATTTTGGTGCTTCTTACCTTACAATTCTGAAGGGTAGATACATCTTGGGGATGCATATCTTCAATTTTACTAGTAAGAATTTTTCTACTAATCTCTAATTCTAGAAATTTATATTTTTTTCTACATACACTATCATATGATTGGCAAATGGTGATAGATTAATTACTACTTTTTTATCCCCTTCTATTTCTTGCTTTGGTAAACTAGCTTGACTCTCCAATACAATGTGCTGTGTATGTGCTATGAATAACAGCAGTGATGATGGACATCTTTCTCTCCTTCTTGAACCTAATGAGATTTTATAACATTTAATCATTAGGTATAATGACTGCTGTAGTTTGCTTTATGAGATACCATTTATGAGATTAAAGAAGTTCCCTTATATTTCTAGTTTCTTAGGAGTTTTTCTTTAATTATGACTAAATGTTGAATTTTATCAAACACTTTTGGCATGTAATGCATTGTTTATATTTTTTTCCCTTATTCTGTCCATGTGGTTAAAATAATACATTTTAAAAATTGATAGTCTAATGTTAAACCAATTATTCATTCCCAGAAAAAATTCAAACTGGCTATGATATATCATCATTTTTTACATGGATACATATGGATTTATTTTTCTAAACTTTTTACAAAATTTTTATAGACGTATCTAATTGGCATGTATTTTCTTTCTTTCCTTATACTGTTGTTATGGGGTTTTGGCGTCAAAGTTATGGCAGTCTCCTGGGTTGGAGAGCACATCTTCTTTCTCTATACTCAGGAAGAGTTTGCTTTAGAATTATTTCTAACATAAATGTTTACCAGAATTCACTGTCAAGATCTGTACTTTTCCTTGTGAAAACATATTTAATTCAATATTTCACTTATTTCTTTTTTATTTTATGTATGTATGTATTTATTTTTAGGGATGGGGTCTGGCTCTGTCATCCAGGCTGGAGTGCAGTGGTGTGATCACGGCTCACTGCAGCCTTGACCTCCTGGGCTCAAGCAATCCTCCTACCTCAGCCCCCAAAGCAGCTAGGACTACAGGTGTGTGTCAACATGCCCAGCTAATTTTTGAAATCATTAATATTTTGTAGATACAGGGTCTTGCTATGTTGCCCAGGCTGGCCTCAAACCCCTGGCCTCAAGCAATCCTTCCACCTCAGCTTCCCAAAGTTCTGGGATTACATGAGCCACCTCATCCTTCTGAAATATTGTTAAGTTGTATTTTTCTCAGAACATGGCCATTTCCTCTAAAATTTTCAAATATATGGGTTTACTATTATTCATAATAGCTTCTAATTATCCTTAATGTTTTTAGAATTGGCTGAGAGATCAACTTTTTCTGTATTCTGAATAACAGCTATTTGTCTATTCTCTTTTTTCTTTCTTATCAGTAGTGTCAGGAGTTTGTCAATTTTATTAATCTTTTAAAAGATCTAATTACCAGCTCTGTTGATGCGCTTCCTATTCTATTTGTTTTCTAAATGATTAATGTCTGCTTTTATCTGTATTATTTCCTTATTTCTATGTTCTTTGTATACATTGTGTTATTCTTTCACCAACTTCTTAAATGAATGTTTAGCTTCGTTCTTTTGTTCCTCTAGGGAAAAGTACTGTAAGTACTGATTTTGCTATGTAAGTTTTGATGTATAGTGTTTTTATAATTCCATTTAAAATATTTTCTAGTTTATATTCTGAATTCTTCTTTTATTCATGAATTCTTTAAAATAATATTTTAAATGTATAAACCTCTGAGGGTTTTTTTTGTCTTTCATTGTTTATTTCTAGCATTACTGCATTGTAGTAGAAGAATACACTTTGTATTATTTCAATCCTTTGGTATTTTTGGGGTTTGCCTGATAGTCATTCTATTATCACTATTTGTAAACATTTCTTATGCTTAAAAGATTTCAGTGTTCTGCAGATGTTAGGTGCAGTGTCCTGTGTTTGTTAACTGTGTAGTTCAAGTAGTTCTAGATCTCCACAGTTTTTTGTTTTGTTTTTGTTTTTTAATTAATCTAGAAGCTACAGAGAAAGGTAAGTTAAAATCTCCTGTTATGATTCTTAAATTATCTATTCCTCCCTGTAGTTTGTTATTCTTCCCTTATAAATTTTGAAAGCATACAAATGTATGCCTTTCTGGTGAAGTGAATATTTAGCATCATGAAGTAATTCCATGTACCCCTAGTAATGCTTCTAACCTTAAAAATCTATCGACAGACCATCCTAGCTTTCTTTTATTACTATTTGAGTTGCATGCAGTTTTTCATCCTTTTACATTCAAACTTTCTGTATGTTTAAGTTTTAGATATATTTCTTGTAAAGACTACATAGTTGGATTTTATTTATTATCCAGCATAACATTTTAATTCTATATTTTGAACTAACTTTAGACTTACAGAAAAGTTATAAAAATTGCACAGTTCCTTATATCCTTAATCCTACTTCTAATGCTAACATCATAGGTAATCATAGCATAATTGTCAAGAACAGGAATATAACCTTGGCACAGTGTTATTTACTAAACTATAGACTTCAGAGAGAATGTCACCAATTTTTCCACTATTGTCATTTTTCTGCGCCAGGATCCTGTCCAAGTTCCAGCTCTGCACTTGCTTTTTATTCATCCTTGGTCTCCTCTATCCTGTAACAGTTCCTCTGACTTCCCATGTCTTTTATGATCCTGACACTTTTGAAGAGTGCTGGTCAATTGCTTTGTAGAATGTCCTTCAATTTGGGTTTCTCTTATTTTTTTTATTATTGGAATGAGGTTGGGCATTTTGGGCCAAAACACTACTAAAAATTATGTTGTGTCCTTCTTAGTGTATCATATCAAGTGTGTCATGATGCCAGTATGTCTCATTACTGGTTATGTTTACCTTGATCACTTAATTAAGTTTGTGTTTTCTGGGTTTCTCTACTGTAGAGCTACTCTCTCTCTCTAAAGTAGACACATGTCTTGGAAGAGATAACTTGAGAACAGGCAAAGCCTACTTTTTCTTAAATTTTGCCCACCAAATTTAGCCTCTGTAAGTGGATATTGTCTGCAACATTTATTACTACAGTATTTGCCTAACAGTGATTTTCCATTTCCCACTTTTCTTTTTAAGTTTTTTGTTGGAATTCTCTTTGGAGGAAGACCTTCCTCTTATCCCTGATTTGTTTATTTATTCAATTGTTTATTTATATCAAGAGTCACTCTACTATATTCCATTTATTAGAAATGAGTTATTAGCACTATCCCGTACTCTAGAGGAGGGAATTATAGAATGGCCTAGTTACCAAGAAGTGTGGTCAGTGAGACCATCTTAAACAGCCTACGATGCCTGATATTCCAAATGTACTTGTCCTATTTTACATTTAATGTTATCATTAATGCCATCTGAGATTACAATTTTGAAGAGATCTACAGTAGCTACTTCTCAGTACAGTCCTATAATAAGGGATCCATTTTACAAATGAGGCACAAAATGAATGACTTTTTTTCCAAATAACACAGCCAAACTATACACAACTAGGTTAGTAACATCAGTCATTTAGTCTAACACAGTGGTCAAGTGTCTGGGCTCTGGAGTCAAACATAAGTGAATTAAAATCCAGGTTTTGCTGCTCACTAGTTGTGTGATCATGTACAAATTAGTACATCATAAATCAAATTTGACATCATAAGTCAAATGGGGATAATATTAGGATCTTCCCTAGGGGTTGTAATATTGGACCTTTGTCTTTTGGAGTATGTCCAATATCTACCTGGTTCCTAGTTGGAATCTAAATGTTTGGAGTCTCATATTTATTCTAGAGAATGAAAACTCTTAATGTCCTAAAGCATTGTCTTGCCCCGTTTTAACACTTACACACTGTGATTTAATTTAATTTCTGTATTCATCTTCCTCATTATATTTATGTCTTCCATGGGATAGGCTGATAGGGTTCAGCTTTATGTCCCCTACTCTTACAACAATCCCTGGTTTATAACTGGAGGGCCATATGTATTTGTTGAAGAAATGAATGAGTGAATGGACAGAATGAAATAGAGCTCATAGATTCACTTTAGTATTATCTTTCAGTATCATAAACAAACTTGGAGTTGAAAACCAGCCTTAAATATTTGGCTATCAGTTTCAATAAAGTTCAAATATATGCAGAAAAGAATTTTGTACATATAAGAATTGAAACTATTAAACCAATATTTTTAACCTCAACAATTTTATTAATATATATGATACATACATATATATGATACATACATATATATGATACATACATATATATGATACATACATATATATATGATACATACATATATATATATATATATATATATTTTTTTTTTTTTTTTTTTTTTTAGACAGAGTTTCACTCTTGTCACCCAGGCTGGAGTGCAATGGTACCATCTTGGCTCACTGCAACCTCCGCCTCCCAGGTTCAAGTGATTCTCCTGCCTCAGCCTCCCGAAGTAGCTGAGATTACAGGCGCCCACCACCACGCCCAGCTATTTTTTTGTTGTTGTTGTATTTTTAGTTGAGACAGGGTTTCACCATGTTGGCCAGGCTGGTCTTGAACTCCTGACCTCAGGTGATCCACCCACCCCGGCCTCCCAAACTGCTGGGATTACAGGCGTGAGTCACCTCGCCCGGCCTAAAATATATTTTTAATGTTAAAATTTATATTTTTAGTGGTATTTGGGAGTGAAAATAGAATGTTCTGTTGCCCATCTTGTCATGTTCAATTGTGCTTAAAACTAGCTTCTACAGGTGTTAGTAAAAAATCCATACAGTATCACATTTTCACAGTGTGATGTGTGTGAGGAAACCTACAGGTTTCCTCCAAGGTGAGCAATAAAGGGAAAATCTACGAACATGGAGAGGGGCAACTGGACACAATCACCATAATTTCTGACCCTCCTGTTCCTTCAGACTTTTTGCTAACTTTACCCTGTTACCACTGTATTTGCTCTCGCCTTTTCTCACTCCAGCCTCAGTATGAACGCAGACACGTTCCTTAATCTCCCATAGCAGAGCTGAGACTAGACTGAAATAGTAGATCAGTTCTGATTAAGGTCCTGAGACTAACAGAAGAAAGGCAGTGACAAGTTAGAGTGCAACGTGCAACGACCCACAGGATGTGGCTGCTCTCTGCACCCACCAGCACAATACCCCAGTCCTGGGGCCCCCAGCATGACTGCACCCATGCTGCTGCATCTGCTCTTTGCCTCCATGAGGCAGGAGCCCCTGTTTCTCAGGAATGCTCTTAATGACAGCCAGATGCCCAGAGTCCATGTCTGAAAGAGATGCCCAAAGAGAAAAATGTGACTTTCCCGTCTACAGTCTACCTCCAAGGCCTCACTTTCTGTCCAGGATATTCTAATTCCTAGGATAGTTGTCAATTACTCTTTCTTTTCCCTTCAAGAGACATGACAGCATAACCACAGGGGTGTGACCTTATTTTACAGATTCAACAGGACAATTTTCTCATCAACATAATAAAAGCTAAAAAGTATTTAGTAGTGCAAAGACTTTATGTATAGTAATTACATTTGCTCTTCAGAACAACTTTATGAGGTCAATAATACTGCTACCCTATCTCCAGAGGAGGAACCTGGAGTACACCTAAGTGACTTGCCCAAGATTACACATGTAGTAAGTACCACAAACCCATATCGGACTCCAGCATTCAAGTTCTTAACTAAATGTTCAACATTAGCGTAAGCGCTATACCTATAAATCAGCCAGGGCTACAGTGTTAGCAGAAAGATAACCTTTTATTCTTTTGGGTATTATAGAAAAACCTTAGATTTGGGAAATGGATACTCCTGGTTCAAACCTGACTCTGTCACTTACTAGGTATTTGGTGACATTAAACAACGTTAAACCACATGTGTAAACTCTCTGAGCCTTAGTTTCCTACTTCATTAGCTTATGGGTGAATTAAAAAAGATAGTGCTGGCCAGGCACGGTGGCTCACGCCTGTAATCCCACCACTTTGGGAGGCTGAGGCAGGTGTATGACCTGAGGTCAGGAGTTCAAGACCAGCCTGGCTAAAATGGTGAAACTCGTCTCTACTAAAAATACAAAAATTAACCAGGTGTGGTGGTACACACCTGTAATCCCAGCTACTCGGGAGGCTGAGGCAGGAGAATTGCTTGAACCCGGGAAGCCGAGGTTTCAGTGAGCCAAGATCGTGTCACTGCACTCCAGCCTGAACCATAGAGCAACACTCCGTCTCAAAAAAAAAAAAAAAAAAGATAGTGCCTGCAATGTTCCTAATAGTGCCTGGTACTTGGTAGGTGTCTGATAAATGCTGGGTAATATAATATGATTGATTTGCTTCCTGATTTTTGTTTTCTGTATGCCCATTAGCATTTCTGCCTGTTTGAAAAGTTCGCATTCAGTATACTTACAGAGAAATAGCTCAAATAACTTGAAATCCATACAAAATATATTATTTCATTTGTGACACTAACCAATATCCTTACACATAGGATGACTGTCTTAGTCCATTCAGGCCCCTATAAAAAAATACTGTAAACTGGGCAACTTATAAATAGCAAAAGTTTATTTCTCACAGTTCTGGAAGACAGAAAGTCCAAGACCAACGTGCCAGCAGATTCAGTGTCTAGTGAGGGCCAATTTTCTCGTTCATAGGCGGCATATTTTCGCTGTATCTTTACATGGTAGAAGGAGCAAGGCAGCTTTCTGGGGCCTCTTTTATAAAGGCAGTAATCTCATTCATTAGGACTCTGCCCTCATGGCCTAATTACCTCCCAAAGGCCCCACCTTCTAATATCATCACAGTGATGGTTAGGTTTCAGCCTATGAATTTGGGGGAGGACACAAACAGATCAATAATCTTATAAATGGAAGCACTTGAAGTAAAAGGAAGTAATGTTATATGATTTAAAAAAAACACTTTCAGTTTCAGATTCTAAATATGTTCCTGTGATTGGAATAAGTAGTAAAAAAAATTTGATGACATGACTGGTAATTTCAAGAAACCTAGACATATTCCAGTATAATATATCTGTATATGAATGAAATGATGTTTAAGAGATTGCCCTGTTCTGTAATTACCCTGTCCATTTACCAGAGTATACGTTTCCCAGCCTGTTAATCTTGGAAGGCATGCTCAAAGATAAGGATTTTATGACTCTTTTACTGGAATTTTTTTTTTTTTTTTGAGGTGGAGTCTCACTCTGTCACCCAGGCTGGAGCGCAGTGGCATGATCTCGGCTCACTGCAACCTCTGTCTCCTCGGTTCAAAGGATTGTCCTGCCTCAGCCTCCTGAGTAGCTGGGATTATAGGCATGCACCACCATGCCCAAGTAATTTTTGTATTTTTAGTAGAGACGAGGTTTCACCACGTTGCCCAGGCTGGTCCTGAACCCCTGACCTCAGGTGATCCGCCTCCATCGGCCTCCCAAAGTGCTGGGATTATAGGGTTGAGCCACCACACCCAGCCTGGAATTATTTCTTTATGAAAGGGTAAATGCTTGTTTAAAATTTCTTAAAGAATTTTTCAAGATACAGTGCTGCAGCCACATTCTTTGGGATTTTGATTGTGTTATAGGAGGTACAAAATAATTTTTAAATATTTTTCACAGTATTGAGTAGATTAGTTCACTAGAGACAATATAGATATGCAGAAAGAGAAAAATTAAAATATCCAAAATATCACCAACAAAGATAACCTTTGTTTTTGCTGTTCGTTTTTGTTGTACTTTAGGGGGCTTTCTTTTGAGATAGAATCTCACTCTGTCCCATAGGTTGTGTAGTGGCACAACCATAGCTCACTGCAGCCACAACCTCCCAGGTTCGAGCAAGCCTCCCACCTCAGCCTCCTAAGTAGCGTGGACAACAGACATGTGCCACCACGCTTGACTAATGTTCTTTTATTAATTTCAATTTTTTATTTTTAGTAGAAACAGGATCTCACTATGTTCCCCAGGCTGGTCTTGACCTCCTGGGCCCAAGTGATCCCCCCACCACTGTTTCCCAAAGTGCTGGGATTACAGGCATGAGCCACCGCATCTGACCAATAACCACTTTTAACAACTATCCTTACATATATTTTTCTATATACAGGTGGTCCTCAACTTACAATCGTTCCATTTATAATTTTTAAACTTTACAATGGTGTGAAAGAGATATGCATTCACTAGACACTGTACTTTGAGTACCCATACAACCATTCTGTTTTCACTTTGAGCACAGTATTCAAAAAATTTCATGAGATATTCAATACTTTATTATAAAATAGGCTTTGTGTTAGATTATTTTGCCCAACTGTAGGCTAATGTAAGTATTCTGAGCACATTTAAGGTAGGACAGGCTAAGCCATGATATTTGGTAGATTAGGTGTATTAAATACATTTCTGACTTATGATATTTTCAATTTATGATAGGTTTATCAGGACATAACCCCATTATAAGTTGAGGAGCATCTGTATAGAAATATCTTTTTGCAAAAATAGAAACATACATATGGTTTTATAGATCATTTTGCTTAACAAGATATTATAAACATAATCCAGTATAAATAAATATTCATCTACAAAAATTATTTTTACTAACGAAACAGTAATTCATACTGTGTCATAATGGACTACTTCTGATTTCAGCTCCTACGTATCAAAAGCAGGGACGTCATGACTCTCATCCTTTGCTTAACAGCTTTATTGAGATATAGTTCACGTACTTTGTAATTAATCTATTTAAAGTGTACACTTGAATGATTTTTAGTATATTTACAGATATATGCAAGCATCACCACAGTCAATTTTAGAATATTTTTATCACACCAAAAACAAATCCCATACACTTCAGCTATTATCCCCCAGGCGTGTATCCTCCCTCTCCCCACCAGCCCTAGGCAATCATGAATCTGCTTTCTGTCCTATAGATTTCCCTTTTCTAGACATTTCTTATGAATGGAATCACATAATATATGGTCTTTTGTGGAGGGCTTCTTTCAATTTTCAGGGTTCATGTATGTTGTAGCATGTATACGTACTTCATTTTTCATGAACGAATAACATTCTATTGCATGCACATTGTGTTTATTCATTCATCAGCTGATGGACATTTGGGTTATTTCCACCTTGGGCTATTATAAATAATGCTGCTATAAGGATTTGTATATAAGCTTCAGTATGGACATATGTCTTCATTTATCTTAGGTATATACCCGGGAATGGATTTCTATATCATATAATAGTTATACATTTAATAATTTGAGAAATCCCCAGACTGTTTCCAAAGTGACTGCATCATGTTACATTCCCACCAGTAGTGTGTGGAGGATTCCAATTTCACCACATCCTCACCAATACTTGTTATTAGCTGGCTTTTTTTTTTTTTTTTTTTTTTTTGACAGAGTCTCCCTCTGTCGCCCAGGCTGGAGTGCAGTGGCGCGATCTCGGCTCACTGCAAGCTCCACCTCCCGGGATCACGCCATTCTCCTGCCTCAGCCTCCCGAATAGCTGGAACTACAGGCGCCCGCCACCACGCCCGGCTAATTTTTTTTTTTTTTTGTATTTTTAGTAGAAACGGGGTTTCACCGTGTTAGCCAGGATGGTCTCCATCTCCTGACCTCGTGATTCGTCCGCCTCAGCCTCCCAAAGTGCTGGGATTACAGGCTCGAGCCACTGAGCCCGGCCATTAGCTGACTTTTTAATTCTAGCTGTTCTGGTAAGTGTAACGTGGACTTGTGTGTTTGATTTGCACTTCCCTGATTAACGATATTGTGCATCTTTTCATGTGATTATTGGCCGTTATCTTTCTTAGAGAAATGTCTGTTAATTTCCTTTGCCCATCTTTTTTTCTTTGGGTTATTTATCTTTTTATCATTGAGTTGCAAAAGTTCTTTTTATATCCTGGATACTAGGCCCTTATTCTATTACAAGGACCCTTGTGATTGTATTTAGGAATGTAATTCACTTGGAATGTCCAGAATAATTTCCCCATCTCAAGACCCTTTACTTAAGCAAATCTGTAAAGACTTTGGCATGTAACATAATATTCACAGGTTCCAAGGATTAGGACATGATATATTGGTGGGAGGATCACGACTCTGCCTGCCACAATGGCCCCCAATAATCCCTGTCTCCTCGTGTTCACAACCTTGTGTAGTTCTCTACTATATTAAATTCAGGTTGATTTATGTGACCAACAGCCTATGACACAGTGATGTTATATATTTCTGAGATTAGATTAAAAAAGACTAAAGCTTCTGTTTCAGTTATCTCTCTCTCTCTTTCCTTCCACCCTTCCTCCACCTCCCCCTACTCTCTCTGGAAAGATCTAGTACCAAGTCTTGAGAACAATGAGATAGCCTCATGAAGAGGTCCATGTAATGAGGAAATAAGACTTCCATCCAACAGCCAAAGAGAAACTGAAGACTCCAGCCAATAGCAATGTGAGTGGGCCTTTTTGAAAATGGACCCTCTGGGCCCAGTTGAGCTTTCAAACAACACAAAAAAAACCCCACGGCACCTCAAGCTAACAGATTGACTGCAGCTTTATGACAGACCCTGAGCTAGCAGCACACAGTAAACCTTTTGCCACATTCTTGAACTTCAGAAACAGTGAGAGAAAATGTTGTTTAAAACCATTAAATTTTGAGAGTAATTTTTCATGTAGTAATAGAAAAGTACTACCAAAGGAAAATATTAGTGTGCAACTAAAAATTAATGGAAGTCTGTTAATATTATCAGGGGCCTCACAATTATCAGTACAGTCTGTATTATTGTCCAACAATTTTATGAAAGATAGGTAGAAGAGTTATAACAGGAAACTTGTCATGATAACAAAGGATTTCAAGCAACTAAAAGGACAACTGCCAATATATGATGCTAGGACCACACTGACACAGGGATTATGCTATAATGACTTTGCGTTGTCCAAATTAAATCTGTGTTACTGTATTTTGGAAGTGTCCCTTGTATGAGTGCACATATAATCTAAGAAATGCACACTTTAGCAAAAATAAGCTCAAGACAAATTAATACTTGATCTTGACAGGATGCATTTCTGATACAAATGTAAACCGGAACATTATTTCTTTGAGATAACTTAGTAATATATTTTGAAAGCCTAAAAATATGCTTAATCAGTAATTATACTTTTATATATATTTTTTAAAAATCTCAATAATTAATTAAGATTCACCTTGTTTAATGTAGCATTGCTGCATGCTGGAAATAATTTAAAAAATAAAAAATTGAAATATCTAAACATAAGGGCTTGATTACATACATGTGACATATTGTATTTAATGCCATAAATTTAAGTACTACTTTCATTGCACCCCACAAATTTTTCATTTTGGTTTAGTTCAAAATATTTAAAGACTTCTGAAACTTTTCTTCTTTGTCCAATGTTATGTAGAAGTGTGATGTTTATTCAGGGATTTTTTACTATCTTTCTGTTAATGACATCCAACTTAATTATATTATGGTCTGAGAATATACTTTGTATGATTTCTATTATTTTAAATTTGTTAAGGTGTAGTTTATGTTCTCTATCTTGATGAATGCCCTTTGTGAACTTGAGAAAAATGTGTGTTCTGTAGTTTGTTGGATGAATTAACATATAAATGTCAGATCATTTTGATTGATAGAGCTTTTTAGTTCATCTGTGTCGTTACTGATTTCCTGCCTGCTTGATTTATCAAGGACTGACAGAGGACTGTTGAAGTATTCAACTATAATAATGGCTTTGTCTATTTCTCCTTTCACTGTTATTAGTTTTTGACTTATGTATTTTGATGCTTTTTTATTAGGTGCATACATGTTTAGAATTACTATGTCTTCTTGGAGAATAGATCCCTGTAGCATTATGTAATGCCCCTTTACGTTCATGATAATTTTCCTTGATCTGAAGTTTGCATTTGCTCTTTGTTTCTGTTTTGCCTTTCTTTCCTTTTCAAATTTTGAGTATTTTATATAACCTCATTTTGTCTTCTCCTTTAGTGTATAAATGATATTTCTTTCAGAAATTTTGTTAATGGTTCTCCAAGAGTTTAAAGTATACATTTTAAATTAATCTAAGTCCACTTTCAAATGACACTATTCTACTTCATGTGTATTACAGACATCATATGACAGAATATTCCCAATTCCCATCTGATATGGTTAGGCTTTGTGTCCCCACCCAAATCTCTTCTTGAATTGTAATCCCCAGGTGTTGAGAGAGAGACCTGGTCGGATGTGACTGGATCATGGGGGTGGTTTCCCCCGGCTATTCTTATGATAGTGAGTGAGTTCTCTATAAAACAGGACCTGATGGTTTTAGAAGTGTCTGGCATTTCTCCTGCTTGCCCTTCTCTCTGCTGCCACCATGTGAAGAAGGTCCTTGCTTCTCCTTCACTTTCTGCTATGACTGTAAGTTTCCTGAGGCTTCCCCAGCCATGCAGAACTGTGAGTCAATTAAACCTCTTTTCTTTATAAATTACCCAGTCTTGAGAAGTTCTTTATAGCAGTGTGAGAACAGACTAATGCACCATCCCATCCATTTTGATATTGCTAGCATTTA
This sequence comes from Homo sapiens, assembly GCF_000001405.40. NCBI lineage: Eukaryota > Metazoa > Chordata > Mammalia > Primates > Hominidae > Homo > Homo sapiens. Next base: position 58,708,503 of record NC_000008.11, on the reverse strand, counting down.
TTTCACTTTATTTATATGGCATCTTCACCCAGTCAGTTTATCATTACTTTGATTAAACAATTAACTTTTAGGTCAATTGAGAATAAGAGATGTTTTTAAATTTTACCTTTATTTATTCCTTCCCTAGCACTCTTCTTTTTTATTAATTCAAATACTTGTACATATTTTTGGGGTATATGTGATATTTTGTTACATGCATAGACTTTGTAATGATCAAGTCAGGGCATTTGAGATGTCCATCACTTCAGATATTTATCATTTCTATGTGTTGGGAACACCTCAAGTCCTCTTTTATAGGTGTTTTGAAATACACAATACATTGCTGTTAACAATAGTTACTCTACTCTGCTATTAAACATTATAAATTATTCCTTCTTGGCCATATGTGGTGGCTTACACCTGTAATCCCAGCACTTGAGGAGGCTACAGTGGGAGGATAGCTTGAGGCCAGGAATTTGAGACAAGCCTGGACGACATAGCCAGAATCCATATCTACAAAAAAATTCCTCTCATGAACTGTGTATTTGTATACATCAATCAACCTCTCTTTATCCCCTCACCACCTTTACACTGAAGTATATCATTCTACTCTCTACATCCATGAGACCAAGTTTTTAGCTTCCACATATGAGTGAGAACATGAGGTATTTGTCTGATGGTGCCTGGTTTATTTCACTTAGCATAATGACCTCCAGTTCCATCCATATTGCAGCAAATGACATGATTTAATTCTTTGTTATGACCAAACAGTATTCAAATAGGTATATATACCACATTTTTTTTATCCATTCATCTATTGATGGACACTTAGCTTAATTCCATATCTTGAATATTATGAATAGTGCTGCAATAAAAATGGGAGTGTAGGTATCCCTTTGACATATACTAATTTATTTGCCTTTGAATAAATACATAGTAGAGGGATTGCTGGATTATATGGTAGTTTTATTTTTGGTGTTTTGTAAATCTCCATACTGTTTACCATAGTGGCTGTACTAATTTACATTTCCGCTGACGGTGTATAAGAGTTCCCTTTTCTCCATATTGTCACCAACAGCTGTTAATTTTTCTCTTTTTAATCTAGCCATTCTGAGGTTAGATGTTATCTCACTGTAGTTTTGATTTCCATTTTTCTGATGATTAGTAATTAGTAATGTTCAGCATTTTTTCACAAACCTATTGGCCATTTGTATCTTTTTTGAGAAATGTATATTCATGCTATTTGCCCACTTTTTAATGAAATATTTGTGTTGCTTAAATTTTTTTTTTTTTTTTACTGTTAGGTTGTTTGAGTTCCTTATATATTTTAGGTATTAGTCCCCTGTTGAATGAAAATTTTGCAAATATTTTCTCCCATGCTGCAAGTTGTCTTTTCAATCTTTTAATTGTTTCTTTTGCTGTGAAGAAGCTTTTTAGTTTAATATAGTCTCATTTGCCCATTTTTATTTTCATTGTCTGTTCTTTTGATGTCTTAGTTATAAAATTTTTGCCAAGACCAAGCTGACATCTTTGTAGAAATTAACAGGCTAAGCCAGCTGTGGTGGCTCACACCTATAATCCCAGCACTTTGGACGACGAAGGCAGGAGGATCGTTTGAGCCCAGGAATTTGAGACCAGCCTGGACAATGTAAGGAGACACCATCTCTACTAAAAATAAAAAAATAGACAGGTGTGGTGGTGGGCGCTAGTGGTCCCAGCTACTTAAGAAGCTGAGGCGGGAGGATCACTTGAGCCCAGTAGGTTGAGACCGCAGTTCGCCATGATTGCACCACTGAATTCCAGCCTGGGAGACAGAACAAGACCCCTTCTCAAAAAAAATGAAATTAACTGGCGAATTCTAAAATTCACATAGAATTGCAAGGAACCCAGAATAGCCAAATAATCTTTAAAAAAAGAATGAAGTATGATAACTCACATTTCTCTATTTTAAAACTTACTATTGTATAAAACTATGGTAACCAAGAGAGTGTAGTACCAGCTCAAAAACAGACATATAAATCAATGGAACAGTATTGCTGTCCCCAAAATCAACCAATACATATATGGTTAACTGATTTGTGCCAACCATCCAATGGGAAAAAACCAACTTTTTAAACAAATGATGCTGGGATAGCACAACTTGCAGAAGAATGTAATTGGACACCCACTTCATGCCATATGAAAAAGTTAACTCAAAATAGACCAAAGACCTAAATGTAAGAGCTAAAATTACACAATACTTAGCAAAAAACACAAAGGGAAACTTTCATGACCTTGAGTTTGGCAAAACATTTTTGATCTGACACCAAAAATATAAGCAAAAAAAACAAAAACTAGATACATCGGACTTCATTAAAATTAAAAACTTCTGTGTTTCAAATGAGTGAAACTATTGTCGCTGATGAGTGAGTTTAGAGGGTGGAGAGGACTAGATTGTTGGCTGCATCAAAGCTGTTATCACTATTTGATACTTTACCGTACGGATGTATTATGCTGATTGATCTTCTAAAATATTAATCAAAAGTCATTGAAAAAAAGCTATGTTTGTGGAATATTGCCTAAAGAATAGGCAATCTGGCCAGGCGCGGTGGCTCATGCCTGTAATCCCAGCACTTTGGGAGGCTGAGGCAGGTGGATCACGAGGTCAGTAGATCGAGACCATTCCTGGCTAACACAGTGAAACCCCGTCTCTATTAAAAATACAAAAAATTAGCTGGGCATGGTGGTGGGCGCCTGTAGTCCCAGCTTCTCAGGAGGCTGAGGCAGGAGAATCGCTTGAACCCGGAAGACGGAGGTTGCAGTGAGCCGAGATCGCGCCACTGCACTCCAGCCTGGGCAACAGAGTGAGACTCCATCTCAAAAAGAAAAGAAAATAATAGGTAATCTAACACTTTCTCTATACATATATATTCTTGGACTAATGCTAGTGCTAGGTACATGGGCTGTGTTGCTTAGATTCTCCTCACAGAAGTTGCTTTTGTTGAATTGTGGTTAAGCATTATAGCATGAATCTCTACTGAGCAATGGTGTAAGACTCAGCACTGAGAAACTCATTGTGTTTACTGCATGGGAATTTTTAAAGGCACTGTTTAGTCCACTGCTCCTTCCCTACTCATGAGAACCCTCAGAAAAAGATTTCCTCTAGACTTAATGCCAGAAATAAATATGCTTCTTCTAAGAACTGATTAGCACTTATCTTATGATCACTGACTCAGCTTATACTTCACGTTTCCTTCTCTGTGTTGATCAGAGTCCTATAGGTGGGCCACTTCTAGACCCTCAAAGCATACATGGCTTCATTTCAATCTCTCTACCCTTATTCTCTTTTTGCTCAAATTAACTCACTTAGTTATCTTTACTTTTGCCTTGTCTTATCTAATGCACTTCTGTAAACTGCCTTAAATCCTTTTTGTAAAGAGATGGAGAGAAATGAGGCAGGGAGGGGAAGAGGGAGGAAATTTAGTATACAAATTGTGTAGGGTTTTTAAGAAGACCTTAACACATTCAGGAAATTATTTACAAAGAGAGAATAAAAAATGTTCTTTAAAACTTGTACAGGGTATTAATTTAACTTTACCAATTATGACATTATAATTCTAATACATAAAAAATAAACTTTTATAGTTGAAAAAACAAAGTCTCAGAAAAAAAAATAACAGGAATAGGTAATGTAGGACCTATGAATGGTGTTCAAAAAACTCTCTAAAACTACAAACAAAATTTTGAGAGCACACACATTTCCCTGGTAAAAGAGTTCACAATTTTTATTAAAATTTCAAGAGATTAAAATAATAGATCAAATATCACAAAAAGTCTAACCTCACTGTACGTTTTTATTCAGTAAAAAGTTAAGAATAATTTTTCTTGTTAATATAAACATTTTCAAGAAATCATCCATAGCTAAAAAATTACTGATTGTAGCTCTTCAAGTGAAGTGAAATTGTAGCTCTTCAACTGAAAAGTTAAGTTCTAATATGGGAAACTTTCTCTTTCTTTCTCCTTCTTTCCTTCCTGCTTTCTTCTCTTTCTCCTTTCTTTCTTTTTTCTTTCTTTCTTCTTTCTTTCTTTATTCTCTTTCTTTCTTTTTCTCTTTCTTTCTTTCTCTTTCTCTCTTTCTTTCTTTCTTTTGGCTCTCCCTCTGTTACCCAGGCTGAAGTTCAATGTTGTGATCACAGCTCACTGCAGCCTCAAACTCCTGGGCTCAAGTGATCTTCCCACCTCAGCTCCCAAGTGACTCGTAAAACTTCTTTAAAGAAACTGCAAATTGTGAACTCAGCAATTAGTTCTTTTAAGAGTCATTTTATAAATAACACATTTTTCTGATTATCAATAAGTATATGTTTATTGTTTTAAGAAGAAAACAAAACCATGCTACCATTTGACTGTTAACATTTTTGTAGAAATATTTTTCTATTTTTTTCCCATCCATTAATTGTTTTAATGTTACAAGATTTATAGGTTGATGATAAGAGGTATCTGTTTTCTTTATAAAACAAAAAAATCTTAAGTTATGTCTCAAAAAATATCCTCAGAAGAGCTATTCACTGAAGGGTTGTGGTGGAGCCGAACATGGGTTTTGATGTCTAGGCCCAGATTTATTGCTCCCATATCAAATGCTATACCATCTTCAATGAGTCACTTTACTTTCCCAAGTCTCTATTTTCTCATCTACATGTTGGGGGCAGGAATAGTTTATAATAATATCTATTTCATCTATTCTTCCAGCTTGTAATGGAAATCAGATGAGAAAATATAAGTTGAAATGCTTTGTAACCTCTAATTGGATTGCAGATATTTTTTCCTTTATTCCAAAAATGCTGCTATTTCTCAAGATATTTTTAAACTTTCTCTTTTGGAATTGCCTGGAAAATTCATTTACATGTTATATAGGAAAAGACATTAATTAACAGTGTAGTTTTATTCTGTACCTAACTGTATATTACTCAGTGTATCTATTTTATTAATCACATTTCCTCAAATCTACTTTAGAAGATGATTTTGCTACACAACTAATATACCTAACATTCTATATGCTCACAAGGCAAAGTCACTGTTTTAGATAAAATCTTTCTAGTAAGTGTTCAACTTGCCAATATTGTGACTTTGAAAAGGAAAACACTCATTTTGATACATGTCTAATTTTGTTGTTGCTATTGTTGGTAAGTTATTCATGTGGTTTTCTGGTCATATTTCCTAATTTAGAGCAATTTATCACTGTAATCCTTAATATGTTTTATTTCATTTCAATGTCTGTATTATCTTAGCCTACTCAGGATTCTATAACCATGGACTGGGTACCTTATAAACAACAATAATTTATTCCTTACAATTCTGGAGGCTGGGAAGTCCAAGATCAAGGTGCTGGGAAATTCCATGTCTGGTGAGGGCCTGCTTCCTGATTCATAGAAGCCTATTCTCTGTATCCTCACGTGGTGGAAGAAGCAAGACAGTTCTCTGGGACCTCTTTTACAAGGGCCCTAATCCCATTCATGAAGTCTCCATCCTCATGATCTAATCATCTCCTAATACCATCACCTTCCAGGTTAGGATTTCAACATGTGAATTTTGGGAGGACACAAAGCTTTAGACTATAGCAAGTGCTTATGTTTTACTTTATAAATGTCATGATGCACAAACAGAAGGGCATGATTGAGCAGATATTTTAAAAATGCGAAGTCAGAAAGGCACAGATATTAAATATAAACTTCAAAATAGTTAAGATGGTAAATTTTACGCTATGTGCTTTTTATCACCGTATAATGAGAAGGCACAGAAAGCTAGATCATGAGGTGAATGGCAATGGTGAACTCAGGTCACTGAGCTCTTTCTACCAATGTTTCACCACCAAGTAATAAAAAGTCTTTACAGGAGGCTGGACACAGTGGCTCGCGCCTGTAATCCCAGCACTTTGGGAGGCCGAGGGGAGCAGATCACTTGAGGTCAGGAGTTCAAGACCAGCCTGGCCAATATGGTGAAACCCCGTCTCTAGCAAAAATATAAAAAATTGACTGGGTGTGGTGGTGGACGCCTGTAGTCCCAACTACTTGGGAGGCTGAGGCAGAGGAATAGCTTGAACATAGGAGGTAGAGGTTGCAGTCAGCCAAGACCATGCCACTACACTCCAGCCTGGGTGACAGAGCCACACTCCATCTCAAAAATAAGTAAATAAAAGTCTTGACAGGATCTAATAATTAGTCCTATCACCCCACACTCATACACCTGTTCTCAAAAATGATATTAATAGGAGCAAAAATATAACACAAAAACCAAAGCTCCTTCTTCATTTCTGTACCAAAAATTGGCCAAATTCAGCCAACAATAGGAATATTAAATGCATCCTTTAGAATATGTTACATGCAGAAGAATGTCCATTTACTACAGTGGTTGTAACCTACCTCCCAAAAACTCTCCTGTCCTTTTTCTGACAGCCACAAATCAAGTAATTATGCTAAATTTATAAATCTGAACATTATTCTGCTGCATGGTATTGCAAACATAACTTCTATTATTTTGTTGGATGAACAGGTCCTGGCCATCGCTGTGAGGCTGAATGGATACAGATGCTACGGATGGACGTGTCATAATAGTTTTAGCCACCAGAAGGAGCTCTAAAACAGACTACAGGGAAGTATTAGACGTTCTGGCAAAGAGGAGGAAAATAATATATTGTCTACAGATGGAGAGTGTAAACCACATTAAAACTTAATAAAGAATTACAGAGTGGCTGAGGGAATTATAACACTAAAAATTCTTCAGAAGACAAAATACAAGTGCCCAAAGGCATTATGCTAGTACTGTGGTTTTGTTTTTTCTTTTTTAAGGGGAAAAAATACACGAGAAATATTGATTCAATTAGTGAAGCCAAACAAGGCATGAGATTGTAAATGAGAATAAATTTACACAGAGCTTCTCAACCCCTCCATCTGCCAAAATATTCCTTTCAGTGGAGTCAGCCTTATAGATGAACATTGGAAGATGATTCAAAAGATGCTGACAGCTTCCCTTCATCAGAAATTTCTCTTCTGATTAACCTCTAGTGCCTGAAATTCTTAAGACTTGCGCTCCACCTTAAGAACTTTAATTATGTCTTAACATTCTTGCTGTCTGTAATTGAGTTAAGGCTTCACCTCAACTTGGATGCGTAACATTGACTATTAGCAGGATTTAGCTTAAATGGCTTAATCTTTTACTAGACATCATCATATACTAGGAAGGCAAGACTTTGAGGATTAAAGTGATAACAATTTCTAACTGTGGAAGGAGTCCAGGTGTGGGAAACACAATCTATAGCCAAGGAATATTGTATTGGGGAGGCTGCCAGGGCCATGGGCACCTGTAGAAGAACAGTATCAACCACAAAGTCATAGTGAAGAAGCAAAAAAATGGTAACAAACTCCCTCTTAGTCTGCTGTGGTTGCCGTAAAAAGTATCACATACTGAGTGACTTAAACAACAGAAATTTATGTTCTCATAGCTCTGGAGGCTGGAAGTCCAAAATCATGGTGTTGGCAGGGTTGGTTCCTTCTGAGACCTCTCACCTTGCCTGTAGGTGACCATCTTCTCCTTGTGTCTCCACATGGTCTTCCCTCTTGTTCATATTTGTCTAAGTCTCAATGTCCTCTTCTTGCAAGGACACCAGTTACGTTGGATTAGGGCTGACCCATGTGACTTCATTTTATCTTAATCATCTCTGTAAAGACCCTATCTCTAAATACAGTCTCATTCTGAGGCATAGGGGGTTGGGGTTTGAACATATGAATTTTGGGGGGGCTGGGGGCTGACACAATTCAGTCCAAAGCACTCCCTTCTTTCCTTCCTTCCCAGGGTTGTTCAGATGTCTTCAAATCCACCACGCAATGAAGTGGCTATGAGGCAGCGGAGAGGGCCTGAGTGTTGTGACCTTTGCCTAGCAGTGTGACCTGGGGATGTTCTTTAGCCTCTTAGCCTTGGTTTTCCCATTTGTAAAATAAAGCTAGAAATACCTTCCTCACCAGGGAGTGGTGAGATCAAAGGAGTGATCAACAGGAATAAAGGAGGTGATAAAAGGGAACAAACAGGCACAGTATTCCTCAGGTATGGACTGAAGCCCCGCTAAGGCTCCTACCGCCCTGGAGAAATGAATCAGAATCCTTCACACAGCCAACAAGACCCTGTGTGACCTCATGCCCATCTAGCCCTGGCGGAGCTCCTCTGAGGTGAGAGGGGCCTGAGCCACATAGAATTTCTGATACCTCTGATAGGAAACAACAACAAAGAGATAAACATAAAAATGCCAAAACAGAGAATCAAAAAATGTTATATATTTTAAAATATTTATTTAATAAATTAATGCTTTAAAAATTAAACAGGCAATGACTGTATATACAACCTCAACTGGAGATCAGTCAAGAGTTTAAGTAAGTCTGGGTGCAGTGGCTGACATCTGTAATCCCAGCACTTTAGGAGACCAAAGTAGGAGGATCACTTCAGGCCAGGAGTTGTAGACCAGCCTGGGCAACATAGCAAGACCCTGTTTCTACCAAAACTTAAAAATTAGTCAGGCATGATGGTGCGTGCCTGTAGTCCCAGCTACACAGGAAGCCGAGGCAGGAAGATCACTCAAACCCAGGAGGTCGAGGTTGCAGCTAGCCGTGATCATGCCACTGTGCTCCAGCCTGGGTGACAGAGCAAGACAGTGTCTCTAAAAAAATAAATAAATAAAAATAAATGTTAAAAGATCTAAATTTGAGGCTCTGGCAAACATGAGGCCAGGGCCCTCCGCCATACCTCTAAGCGCCTTCCAGTGAGTCTGCACTCCGGAGGCCCCAGACTCTCCACTTCATTTTACCAGGCTCCTTCCTGCCTCAGGCTCTTCCTTCATCATGCTTGACAATTAGTTAATCTTTCAGGTCTCAATTGCAACTGCATTTCCTTAGAGAATAATTTCTTCACCAATCAAATCATTTCATTTCCCCAGTGAAGGAGCATCTGAGTGTTTCACACATGCACTATCTCAGTCACATTACATAATCTCGTGGTGCTCTGGACTTCGTCTTCATAGCAGTGACAACAAGTGTAATTAAATAATTCACTATGTAACTTGTGTTTCTCTCTGCCTCTTCTCTAGAATGTAGGCTGTCTGTCAATAAAAAGCAAGTCTATCTTTCTCAACTCTGTACCTAAGTCTGACAAGGACTCAGCGTGTACTCAATAACTATACAATGAATGAGTTTAAAGTGAATATCACTATTCAAAACTCCTTCCTCCGTATATAGACTTCTTGTGCCCTTTTCTGTAAATGTCAAGGTATATCTACTTCCATTTACTAAAAATTTATCCCTGCAAAACCCTGAAGTTTGAAATATTCATATTATATGTATTTGTCCACATATATCATTTACTGTAAAAACAGGTTGTTATGATAAATGGGGTAAGGGATGAAATATACCACCAATACAGTTGGTGTGACTTTTTAGTCACTAATGATAAAGCTTTCTGAAAATGATATCGTTCAGTCAAAGTCATCTTCTAGCATCTGTCGAATGATGTGCAAACAAAAAATCATTTTCCAGACACTGTGCTCTTTCAGTGGTTTCATTTTTATAGTGATAAACTTGACCAACAGGCACATATATCTTATTTGGCCATTTTTCATGAAAAATCCATTTATGAATGTAGCAGGATGAGCCACAGACAAAACTCCTCAGACACCGAGTTAAAGAAGGAAGGGGTTTATTCGGCCAGGAGCATCGGCAAGACTCCTGTCTCAAGAGCCGAGCTCCCCAAGTGAGCAATTCCTGTCCCTTTAAAGGGCTAACAACTCTAAGGGGGTGCACGTCAGAGGGTCGTGATCGACTGAGCAAGCAGGGGGTATGTGACTGGGGGCTGCATGCACCGGTAATTAGATCAAAACAAAACAGGATAGGGATTTTCACAGTGCTTTTCTATACAATGTCTGTAATCTATAGATAACATAACCAATTAGGTCAGGGTCGATCTTTAACTACCAGGCCCAGGGTATGGTGCCCGGCTGTCTGCTTGTGGATTTCATTTCTGCCTTTTAGTTTTTTACTTTTTCTTTTTTTGGAGGCAGAAATTAGGCATAAGACAATATGAGGGGTGGTCTCCTCCCTTATTCCCCCCCTTTGAGACTCTCACTCAATAGTGCGAGTTCTCACTTTCATTCTTACTACCCATGTCTTCTTGCAAGACAGATTGATAGTGATTCATATAGTACACTTGTGCTGAAGCATTTTGGTGAACTAAGGTAGTGATGAAGCTTTTTATCATTTGAAGAAGTACAGGTAGCAAACAAGGGAGAAGTAAGCGGTTCCTATTACTATTATAACTGTTATTATAAGAGTTTTAAATTCTCCTAGTGCTGGGAACCATTTTCTAAACATGGCTCCAGGATCAAATCCATGCCACACTTGCACAGGCACATGTGCCACTTTTGTCATATCTCTAACTATGTCCTCAACTACTTGCCCTTGATTATCTATATGTAGGCAGCAATTAGTAAGGTTAAATTTCCTACAGGCCTCTCCTTCAGCTGCTAGCAAGTAGTCTAGAGCTAATCTATTTTGATAGATAGCATTTCTCATCTGAATTTCTTGCCAGGCCAGAATAGTCAAGGCTCTGCAGGTTTTATTAGTGATTATTTTTAAGACAGCTTGTAACCGTATGATTTGGTTGATCATGTAAATGGGGGTCTGGTATCCCCATGAGCCATCTTGTGCCTAAGTAGCAGGTCCATAATATTGTGTGATTTTCTCAGGGGGCCATTTATCATTTTTTAAAATTTCCTATAGCTATGCTTCTCTTTTCGCAGGAAGCATAGACAGGGGAGCCCAGGAGTTCGCCTGTTTTTATGGGCAGTAGGAAGAAAGATGGTTTAATAGTGCCAATAACAAAACTGCCTGCCTATCGGTCAGGTAATTTGGCGTAAGCTCTATGCCTATATATCCAGTACAATCCAGTGGGGGCTGTCCAGTCCCGGTGGGACTCCGGGTGGGTCCACACAGTTTGCAACTTTGGGAATCGACTGAATGGATTTCTCTGTGTGTGATTTGAACTCCACCAAGTGACTGCTTTTGTGGTACCATTATACACTTTCTGTCCCAGACAACTAAGTCTTCCTACGGGGTGCACGAATTATTTTCCTTCTCTAGCTATGCAGTATTGTCCAATAATTGAGGCTTTTAGGACCCAGAAATTATCAGGGTGATTCTTTTGAGCTGGGAATTCATCAGGAACTGGGTCTGTAGGTACTAACTCTCAGGCTTCTCATGGCCATTGATCTCCTATTACAGTTCCTCCACGTACATAACATGAAGTGACATTGAGAGACTGGGCTACATGCTCAGCTAATTGCAAAAACGAATTTCTTGTTTTTCCTAGAATTTCTGGTACTGGCACATTTAGTTCATCATAGGAAGTTTGAAATACTGGCTCAGGAGAGCGTTTGTAAACTTCTCCTCAAACTAAGATATTTACTCAAGGATCCAGTCCAGCCCCGTTGATTCCTAAGGTCACAAGCTCCTCTTTTTTCCAGCGAGGGTCAAGGGTATTGGTTATTACTAGCTGTAAGGGGTTACATTGTTCCTTAGTAAAGGAAGGGCCATTTTTTTCCTTTCTGAAGGTGGGCTGGATCCTTTTCATTTTTTTTTAATCCAAGTGGCCTAATGACACAAGACCAGTACTTACATTTATTTCCACACACTCCTAATTTATGACAGATGTACTTATTTTCTGCCATATAGCCTCTTTTCTAATTAAGAGAACCACACCTTATTCCTAACTTATTAGTATTAATGACAGCACAGGCATCAAATTTTAACTTGACTTGTTTGGGCACCCCTTTTTCTTCTGTTTTGGTTAACACTTTACTCGTATCGTTTATGAGCCCCCACCAGTCCTCAGTCCTTAATCTTATTTTAAAACTGTGGTCATGGGAGGCTCAGATGGATCATAACACACATCAGGTTGGTCATTTCCTGGGCTACATACCTTGTATAGAATAACATTATACAAACAAGTTATTTTTAGAGTTCCAGTACACTTATAATAACCATAAAATAATAGGACCATAGCAATCTTTTGTCGTACCTCAGGGACTTGATGTGTACACTGGGAACAGTCCTCAGTCTGAGGAAGGTCAGTTGAAGTCCTTACTGTAACAGTCCAAATTTTAAGGAAAATGAGTCCCGCGATGAGTTTTCTCATGCTTTGGCTGTGCGTGGACCAGTCAGCTTCTGGGTGTGACTGGAGCAGGGCTTGTCGTCTTCTTCAGAGTCACTTTGCAGGGGTTGGCGAAGCTGCTCCCTTCCATGTACCGCTCACAGTCTACTGATGATTAAGGATGGTCTTGGAGGTTGGGCCTGCTAGAATAAACTGAGTCCAACACCTCTACACAGTTGTGTTTAACTGGGCTCTCTGATACCAGGAGCAAGGTGGCGGGGTTTAGGGTGTTGCAAACTTCAGTGGTTATGTGCGGATTTTCACATAGCAAGCTTTGGTACTTGGTTAATCTAGCATTTGTTAACCAATGATGTCCTTTGGTAGTCATTAAAGTTACCACAGCATGGGGGGCCTTCATATTCAGGTTTTGCCTAAGCGTTAGTTTATCTGCTTCTTGTGCTAACAGGGCCATTGCTGCTAGGGCCCTTAGACCTGGGGGCCAGCCTTTGGAAACCCTGTCTAGTTGTTTTGAGAGATAGGCCACTGGCATTGGCCGGCCCCACAGTCTGGGTTAAAACTCCAACTGCCTTTTTTTCTCTTTCTGACACATAGAGTGTAAAGAGTTTAGTCAGGTCAGGTAGCCTCAGGGCTGGGGCTGACATGAGTTTTTCTTTTAACTCATGAAAGCTCGTTGCTGTTGGTTGTAATAGATGTAGTTTATCTAATCTACATTTTCATTAACTGTCACCCACCAAAATATTGACTCAAATCCTGCAGCTATTTGATTTCAAGCTTTAAATTAATCTGGTATTCCTCGTGGGACTCCAATTGCGTCTAAATAGACATGAGAGTAGAAAGACCCATAAGGGGCTTTTCTTGCTTTATGATACCTTATTTTTTTTTCCTTCTGGCTGATGAAATGCCAGGGTGAAAGGGATAGCCAACTGGACTAAAGTACAAGTGCCACTCCACTTATTCAGCAGAGTGCCCAGTAAAGGTCCACCACAACACCACCATACATCCGCTCAGGGATGAACAAGGGCTGACTGATTGATAAGCTCTTGAAAATTCTTAAGCTCACTGCAACCTTTCAGATCTCCAAGGAACGCTAAGTTTCCTCCCTGCCGTGAGAGACATGAAGTGAACTTAGTGTTGGGAGACGGAGGCTGGATGGCCCTCGGGGGCTGACCTGCAGGGTGCTGGACTTTGGGATATAGCAGAGAGAGCTTGGCATGACTTATTACTCCAGGCTCTAGAATCCTGGAAAAGAACTACCATGCAGCCTATGCCTGGTCGACTGGAGGACCACCTTAGTGGAAAGGGGACAATCGGGGCCTCTGGTCTGCCATGTGCACAAGCATAACAATTGCTTTTGTTTAATGTGCAGATGGAATATTTGATCCATTTTAACCAGGCATTTGCATCTTGGTATCCTGTCTCAATTGCTAAAGTTTGTTTTAAGTCTTTAACTTCTATGATCCTCTAGTAAAATGAATGTATGGTTTTAGGAAATTACAAAAACCAGTTGGGGCAGTCCATCCTTGATCTTTAGTGGTCCACAGAACATTGGACCAACTATGGTATGAAAGCTCTACATCGGGGGGCAAGAATCCTGGTTGGCACTGGGGTCTTTATCGACATCTCCCCAGATTAAATGGTCCTAGTTTACTAATGCCCAGTCTGAGAAGAGTCAGGAGGGACAGAAGTACTTTTCTGAGGTAGAAAGCTGTCTTTGACTTGGCAAGTCCTCACAGGGTATAACAAGGCAAGCATTAAATGCAATAGTTTGAGGCAAAATTGACTTGGTTATGTTAGTAACTAGATGGTCAGCAATAGAATGAGAAAAGAAGGAAGAGTAATAGAATAGATGAAAAGAGTTAAATTTTTCTTAGCTTTAGTTTGGTAGGGTTTTCTGCTGGGACTATGGCCCAGGACTCTGGAGGGGGTGGCGCTTTCTTGACTCGCATGTGATCATGTGATGAGTCCATTCTTTTTTTTTTTTTTTTTTTTTTGCTGTACGAACAGCAGTCTTGGTGGTTAGCAGCACAAGGTAGGGTCCTTCCCAGGCTGGCTCAAGTTTTTCTTTCTTCCACCCTTTGATGAGAATGTGATCTTCAGGCTGGTGCTGGTTTACCGGAAATTCTAGGGGTGGTACATGTGCTAAAAGACTTTTAGTTTTTGAGAGAAAGGAAAGTGGAAGATAAACCAAGTATATGATTTTTAAGAAATTGACCTTTTGTTTTAAATGTGGGGACCTTGGTAGTGGACTTTATAGTCCTTAGTGCCTTTTTACTGAGAAATTTCCTTTAGCACATATTTTTGTTAGTTTTTAAACCAAAGAAAGCCAAATACCGTTTTACATTTAGCAACGCTTCTCATATGATTTTTATACCAGATAAGCTAAATTTTATCTTTATATTATTGTTATTAATGTTAAATCTAATTTTAATAAAAACTTGTAGACATATTTATCTAATTTTTAATGTTTGACCATAAGGTAAGATTTTATAGACTCTTTTTAACTTTTTATAATTTTTGCTAAAGAGCAGGTTGGTGCTTTAAGAAAAACCTGTTATGCTTTTACTTTAATGTCCACTTCACAGAAAAACTGGGTGATACTTCTTTAACTTTAGCTAATATGTTTACACACAGAATTTTCTTTACAATTAACGTTTTAAAACTCTCTTAAACCTTCAAAACAATAATTTTTTTAACTTTTTAATGTAGGTAAAAATGTACATTCTTATGCCACCTTATAATCCTTTTACCAAACGTATATTTTACTTTTCTTATACACCTTGCACATAAACTGTTTGTTTTTTTTCAATAGTTTTACACTCAGGAGGCCTGGTTACTTTTAAATTATACCACATTTTTTGCGTAAACTCTTTTTTATAATATTTTTTTCTTTCATGACTTTCGCAGACAATTCTTGGACATGCCTCAACTTTTTGACTTATTACAAATATTTCTTTCTTTAAACAACCAGTTAATTTATTTCAGGACAAGAATTTATCACATAATACTCTTTTTATATAAATTCTGCCCCTCCTTTTTTTCCTTTTTTTTTTCTTTAGGATACTTCTGAACTGGTGAGGTATGCGCTCACAATGAGGTTTCCTCTATAAGTTATTTTTTTTACCTTTTTTTTTTTTTTTTTTGGTTAGCAAAGCAGTTGCCGCTACAGATTAAATGCATTTGGGCCATCCGCGGGTTACTGAGTTAAGGATTTTTGATACGAAGGCATCAGTGCTTTCAGGATATGCCCTTGTTTACACTGAAAACAAAGTGGTATTGGAGTATTATAGGGTTATGGAGAATACCTTCAATTATCAATTATAGGTTTTAAATTTACCTTGGTTTTTAAAGGAATAGGGTACACTTTTTTTTAACTACTTGTATATCTCTCTCTTTCTTTCTCTCTTTGACTTTGTCTCTCTCTCTTTGACTTTCCTTTTGCCTCTGTCTCTTCTTCTCTCTCTACCTCTCTCTTTTTTTCTCTCTCTCTCCTTGACTCCCTGTTTGTCTGTCTCTTCTTCTCTATCTCTTCCTCTCTCTCTTTGCCTCTTTTTCTCTCTGTCTCTTTCCTTTCTCTTTCTCTCTGCTGGTCTCTCCTTGCCTCTGCCAGCCGCTTACGCTGCTGTTCTCTCAACCACTGTGTGTTGGGGGCAGGGGGTTTAAAACCAGCTGTAACCAAATGTCTATGTACTGGAACTGGTCTGGGTTCCCTGGCTTACAGGCTACCTTGTGCCATGCCTTTGAAACAAGGGACCTGTCCAGGCTTCCTTCTAATGGCCAACCTACCTCTAATGCTGGCCAGTCTATCTTACACAAAGTTTTCAGTTTTCCTAGTGTCATAGTACTCCATAGTCTCCTTTAAATTCTTTTCTGAAATTTTTCAACATAGTTCCTAGTAGCGTGGGCTTATTTGTGCCTGACCTATGCTTCTTTGAGACAAAATACCACGCCCATACCACACGCAAACCACAAAACAAAGAATGGGTAAAAAGGGCACACACACAGTTTTGCAGTTTGCACCAAACCAAAATCAAAACCAAAATCAGAGTATCCAGAAATCCAAGCCAGGTCAAAACCAAAACCAAAGTATCAAGCAATCCAAGTCAAGTCAAAAACAAAAACCAAAGTGCTGGTACAGGCACACTGTGGGTGATCAGGCCATGCTTCCACTCAAATGGAGTAGGCAAGTTCCCAAGACCAGCCCTGTCAAGCAATTCAAACCAAGTCAAATCCAAAACCAAAATGCTGATAAAGGCATGCCATGGACTGGGTGCAGTGGATCACGCCTGTAATCCCAGCACTTTGGGAGGCCGAGGCGGGCGGATGATGAGGTCAGGAGATCAAGACCATCCTGGCTAACATGGTGAAACCCCATCTCTACTAAAAATACAAAAAATTAGCCAGGCGTGGTGGCGGGCACCTGTAGTCCCAGCTACTTGGGAGGCTGAGGCGGGAGAATGGTGTGAACCCTGGAGGTGGAGCTTGCAGTGAGCCAAGATCACCCCACTGCACTCCAGCCTGGACAACAGAGCCAGACTCCATCTCAAAAAAAAAAAAAAAAAAAAGGCATGCCATGGTTGATGAGGCCATGCTTCCACTCAAATGGAGTGGGCAAGTTCCCAAGACCAGCCCTGTTAAGCAATTCAAACCAAGTCAAAACCAAAACCAAAACCAAAACCAAAGTGCGGATAAAGGCATGCCGTGGGTGATCGGGCCACGCTTCAACTCAAATGGAGTGGGCAAGTTTCAAAGACTAGTCTTACCAAGTTTTAGATGTCCAGACTCCAAGTGCCCATTCCTTCCCGGTGTTCAGCCACTGTGTTGATCCTCCACGGGGGCCTGCCACACACTGCTCTGGCGAGGCGTCCCACAGGGGCAATTGCCTACCGGGGAGCGCTCTCAGGATCCGCGTCACTCCAGCTGATCAGAGTCCCCCGTAGGGATGTTCCACAGGGCAGGCTTAAGCCACCTGAAGAGCTGCCTCAACCTTCCACCAATCATCTCGCTTCCCAGTCAGGAAACCAAGAAATGTAGCAGGAGGAGCCACAGACAAAACTCCTCAGACACCGAGTTAAAGAAGGAAGGGGCTTATTCGGCCGGGGGCATCGGCAAGACTCCTGTCTCAAGAGCCGAGCTACCCGAGTGAGCAATTCCTGTCCCTTTTAAGGGCTCACAACTCTAAGGGGGTCCTGTGAGAGGGTCGTGATTGATTGAGCAAGCAGGGGGTACGTGACTGGGGGCTGTATGCACCGGTATTTAGATCAAAACAAAACAGGATAGGGATTTTCACAGTGCTTTTCTATACAATGTCTGTAATCTATAGATAACATAACCAATTAAGTCAGGGGTCCATCTTTAACTACCAGGCTCAGGGTGTGGCGCAGGGCTGTCTGCTTGTGGATTTCATTTCTGCCTTTTAGTTTTCACTTTTTCTTTTTTTGGAGGCAGAAATTGGGCATAAGACAATATGAGTGGTGGTCTCCTCCCCTATGAGTACAGAAACCAAGACCAAGCTGCTGGGGACACTATTGCCACAAAACAGCTTTTTATTCTGGTTTCTGGTACCCACCATACACTCTGTGGACAGAATGTATCCTCACACTATTATTAGCTCTTTGAGCCAGATAGCTCACACGGATGAACCGGGAGCCCCCGAGGGCCCGAGTAACTGCCCACTCTATTCTGCATCAGTTGCTGTGTTAACGAGTATCAATTAAAAACCATAATGGAAGCAAAATGAAGTTAATTACATAATTCTCAATGGCTCAAGTTGAAGTCTACTAAAATTTAAAATCAAGAGCCTGGGACACCACCAACATAAGAAAAATAGACAGTCTGCCTCGTGAGGCCTACGTGATTAGAATTATCTGTAGCTAACCAAAGAAAAGAGGGTAAGATTCAAGACCTTGGCAACATATCCGTTCATCAAATATCTGCTCAGGGCCTACAACATGCTACCTTAGGTACAAGAGTGAAAATATGGCCCAATGATCCACGCACCACATCAGAGATGGGCAACCATGACACCAGAGCAGTCTCAAGGCTCTCTCTCTCTCCTAGCTGCCACCCAGGACACTCGGGGCAGGCTGACCCGCTGTTTTCCTATGCTTGCATTCCAGGTGTCTCAGAAGTTCCCAGTGGCTAGGATATTTTCCCACCCTAAACAGAATCATGATTTCCTTCTCCCAAATGTGCACGTTATCCTGTGTTTCTTGCCTTCTTTAGTGGCATCACCAGTAATGTATCTACTCGAGTATTCCCAGCTAGATATTTGGTGGTGATTTTGTCTCCTTTCTGTCTAGCCTTCATTTGCCGTAAGTTATCTTTTTACAATATAGGATTGATCATACACTTGGCCCTCTTTTCCAGTCCGAAACTGTGTCCAAGCTCATATTAAAATTACATCCTCTGGGTGCAGTGGCTCATACCTGTAATCCCAGCACTATGGGAGGCTGAGGTGGGAGGAGTGCTTGAGCTTAGGAATTCAAGACCAGCCTGGGCAACACAGCAAGACTCTATCTCTACAGAATGTGTACCTGTAGTCCCAGCTACTTGAGAGGCTGAAGTAGGAGGATCACTTGAGCCCAGATAGTTGAGGCTGCAGTAAGCCGAGATTGCACCACTGCACTCCAAGCTGGGCGACAGAGAGTGACCTTGTCTCGAACTAAATAAATAAATAAATAAATAAATAAATAAATAAATAAATAAATAAAATTATCCCCAGGGGATTTTAATTTACGGAGGTGACTGAGTGCCATCATAGAGGGGTCAATGACATTGAAAGAAGCTTATTATTTAACATTTTGCAAGAGAAGTAGACTCACCAAGCCACACAGGACTGCAGAAGCACCAAGTTTGGGTGAGAGGAAAAGGAGGGGTGAGGGAGAAGCTGAGGCCAGAGATGTTATCAGGGTTTCTGTGAGAAAGGCAAGGTAGGATGGAGTAAACAATTTAGGATTGGTTAGTTTGAATAAGTGTGGCGGGCTTTGGAGCAGAGAGGGTGCCTCTAGTTGCCTCCTTCCTGGCCCTTGGTTGATTTAAAGCAGGGAAAATATTGGCTTAGTGTGTGAGTTAGATAAGGAGGCAGGTAGGGGCCCAGCCTTGGATCAACCAGTTTGCCCATGGAAGGTGAGCTCCAGGCAAGCCATCCACCACCCCCAGGAATCATCCAGGCCTCAGGGGGCAGCCTTTCTCTGGATCTGCAAGTCTCTTGAGAGATGTCAACATAAGATAAGATATAGATATAGAAAATACCTACTCCAGTATTCCCAGCTAGATAGCTGGTGGTGTTTTTGTTTCCTTTCTGTCCAGCCTCCATTTGCCGTAAGTTATCTTTTTACAATATAGGACTGATCATACACTTGGCCCTCTTTTCCAATCCGAAACTGTGTTCAAGCTTGTATTAAAATTATACCCACATTAAAATTATAGAAAATATCTATATCTTAAGATGTAGAAAATTTAAAAGTTGTAACTAATAGAAGGTTCTCCCCAGCCAATTGCATAAACGCAAAACTGATCATCACTCCTGCATCCATGCCCACAGATGCCCCGTCACCCTCTCTCCTTGTGTATTCTGCATTAAACCAGTGTGAGCCTCTTGTTCTTCCCCCAAACAGGCCACAGGTCTGTTGTGAACCTGTGTTAATCTCCCTATGTTCGTGCTGCCTGAGTTACCTTCCTCTCCCTGTCCAGCTGGAGAAATCCCAATTATTTTGGGTCCAACTCCTTGAACTACTTGGCAGAAGGAAATTGCTGCTGCTGCTTCTGGGCTTGCACGGTCCTTTGCTCATATCTTTATTGTACTACTTATCACATGGGTTATATTTAATTGTTTGTGTGTGCATGACTATTTACTACATTATAAGTCCTTTGAAGACAAGCAACCATTTTAGTCTTATCTCCATATTTCCAATGTCTGGCATAGGGCACAAAGTAAGTATTCTTCCCGTGATTGTAGAATTAATTCCTTCGTTTCACTGGATGCTTGAAGTCTTGAAGGAACTTTGGGATATTCATGCAATCACTCTCTTACACACAGCTAAGGCTAATGTTCTTTGTGTAGCATACAATTACAAAGCCTTTCAGCAAGTTTAAATACAATGACACATATATGGACACTTGTTTACATTGGGGTTCTCTGGTTACAAGCCAAAAACCAGATGTTGGGGTTCTGGCTAACTTAAGCAAAACTGAAGTTATCTGGAAAGCTCTTAGGAGTACACAGAATCAATCAGCAGGCTGGACAAGTGGGGTTTGAAGGGGCAGGAACCCAGGTATCTCAAGGGACTAGTAAACAAGAACAGGAATGGTGTGGTAGCAAGAACAGTTCTTCCTGGGCAGTACTGCTAAAATAAATCAACTTGGCCCTTCTTAGTCTCTGCCACTCCACTCAAGATTTAAATCTTGTGGATGATACATCAGTTGGCATAGCTTGGGTTATGTGCCCAACCATCAGCTTGCTGAAGCAAAAATGTCTGACTAACAAACAGTTCCAGCAGACTAAATCCAATGAGACATGACAGTCCTCAAAAGGAAATTGGTGTTCTATGAGAAAGACACATTAGACTCTGCTTGTCATAACCGCACAAGCCTCCTCTATACTTGCATCCTAAAGTCAAATTTAACTCGACGTAGTAACAATTGTTACAATGCAATCACTATTAAGTCATATCATTTTTAATCTACAGTCACTCACTTGGAGAGAATAGACGCTTAATCCAATAAAAGGGCTTTGTTATTTTTCAAAATTACTAATTTATGAGACACTAGGCTGAAAGAACATAGTGAATGAGTAGTAAAACAAATAGCCAGTGATACAACAGCATCAGAAAGCTCAAGCCATCACCACCCATCTGGATCACCACAGACCGTGATCGTTGTGATGGCACAGTGTGTAGCAGTGGAGAAAGTGACATGCTCTCGGGCCAGAGCTGCATTTCAGCCCACAGAGCTCCTGCATGTAGCTGCTGCAGCTGCAGTGTTGAGGGAGTCGTGGCTCAGTTAATGAGCATTAAAATACCGTTCCTCTAGAATTGTAGCCGGGGAACATGATCATTTACTCGGGAAAATATCTGAAACATTTTCCCTGCTGGATAGAGAGAGAAAATTAAATGATATAAAATAAACTCCTAGTTCTCCATATGTGAGCTCTCCACATTACGGATTGTCAGATCAAGAGCTATTATTTGTCACCATGGCCCTGAAGCTGGTCTAGATGTGACAGTTGAAAAATTATATGGATGAAAAATTATATGGATAAAAAATATGTTTCTCTGCTTATTTACATTGTGTGCTCCACAAAAGCTACAGGAATAAAGAATGTTTCTTAAACTTGAGGCTCTATTTTAGTTAGCACATTACTTTTCTTGTTCCAAATATATCCCTTCAGCCAAGTTAGAAATCCATCTTTTCTTTTCACGGTCTGTTATTGTGTTCATCACCAAGTTTCTTAGTGGCTATTTTCTCCAGGATGGTCCCAAAACTTTTACCTTCTCATAACAATCTCCATTCATTTTTCTTTTCTCTTTTTTTAATAAGGTATCATTTTCTCTTGTAGCAAAGGGCCAAGATGTCTTTCCTACTTTTGCACCATTTATTACTTATATATCTTAGCAAAATCTCTTTTATATTGAAGTGATACATTTAAGACTCAGGTTATCAAAACAGTCAGAAATCTGGCCAGTCATGTGGATAATTAGAATTGTTTTCAGGACTGTGATATTTTTACCCTTTCCTGAAATGACAGGTATGTCAAATAAGACATGTATTTCTCAAAAGCTCTGTCGGAAGCTTCTGGATTCTAGAATGTACTCATAGTTTTGTTTATTTAGCAGTTCTCAAACTTTTTCATCTCTTAAACCCATTACATTACCAAAATGCAGTGAGAACTTTTGTTTATGTAGGTTACATCCATTAATATTTATCATATTAGAAATAGTGAAGAATTTTTAACGCATTTAAAGTCTTTTTTAATGTGACAATGAACTCATTACTTTTTAACATAATCGAATTTAAAAATGTTTTTCGTTTTCTTTTTTTGGGGTGTGGGGGTGGGGGTGTGGACAGGGTCTTACTCTGTCACCCAGGCTGGAGTACAGTGGTATGATCTTGGCTCACTGAAATGTCCACCTCCCAGGCTCAAGCAACCCCCCAACCTCGGCCACCCCAGTAGCTGGGACTATAGGTGCTCACCCCCATGCCTGGCTAAATTTTTGTTTGTTTGTTTGTTTGAGACAGAGTTTTTTTGCCATGTTGCCCAGGATGGTCTTGAATTCCTGGGCTGAAGCCATCCTTCAGCCTCGGCCTTCCAAAGTGCTGGGATTATAGGCATGAGCCACTCACCGTGCCTGGCCAAAAACATATTTCTAAAATAAAATGAATTAGGAGACTGGCATGCATTGTTTTACGTTTTGGTTGTTTCTTAGTGTCTGGCTTAGGAGAAGAAGGCTAGATTCTAACAATCTGCTTCTGATCTATGTCATTTTGGTTGAAATATATGAAGAAAATCCAGTCTTACATGAATATGTGGTTAGAAAGGTGAAGAGTATGTACTAGCCTTCTCAGATAACTGGATAATCTTCTTGGGTATGACACTGAAATTCACCTAGTGTTAACTTCTCAAACAACAGCTGCAGTGGGACAACAAAAACTGAGTCATTGAACTTTCCTTCCTCTGTTACATCAAAGCCCACCTGTCTACCTCAGTCATTAAATGGCTCTTTACCCATGTGTGATTTTGTAACTTGCAAATGTTGACAAATTTTATTATAACAATGTCAAAAAATCACACTTGTTAATATCTCCATTGATCTCAACATTAAGTACAGGGAGACTGTGAAGCTCATAATGGTATATACAGATTTTTTAAAATTCCGATTTTTGCTTAAAGCTATCTGTGTGCGTGCACACACACACACACACACACACACACACGTGCGTGCATGTTCAGAGGTTGCTACTTTAGAGTCTTAGAAACAGAATTTCTTTTTTTTTTTTTTTTTTTTTTGAGACAGAGTTTCACTCTTGTTGCCCAGGCTGGAGTGCAGTGGCACAACTTTGGCTCACCACAACCTCCACCTCCCGGGTTCAAGCAATTCTCCTGCCTCAGCCTCCCGAGTAGCTGGGATTATAGGCATGAGCTACCACAACTGGCTAATTTTTGCGTTTTTAGTAGAGAAGAGGTTTCACCGTGTTAGCCAGGCTGGTCTCGAACTCCTGACCTTGTGATCCACCCACCTCCGCCTCCCAAAATGCTGGGATTATAGGCATGAGCCACTGCACCCGGCCCTAGAAAGAGAATTTCTTAGTGATTGGAAAACATGATCATAGGTCATGATTCCTAGTATAAATGACCAGGAATCATGATCAGATCTTTCTGCAGGTAAATCATTTCTTCTGCCCACTTTCATTTTCTTGTTAAATATTTTATTATGAAAGTAATATAAGTTCACTAAAGACAAATCATAAAAATAAACAAATAGACCATAATCCTACTAACAAAGGTAACATTGTTAACCTTTTTCAGTACATGGTACTCTTTTTCTTTATTTATTTTTTATTTTTTATTTATTTATTTATTTATTTTAGACGTGGTCTCACTCTGTTCCCCAGGCTGGAGTGCAGTAGTGTAATCACAGCTCACTGCAGACTAGATCTCCCACGCTCAAGCGATCCTCCTGCCTCAGCCTCCCTAGTAGCTGTGACTACAGGTGTGTGTCGCCATGCCTGGCTAATTTTGTTGTTGTTTGTAGAGATGGAGTCTTGCTATGTTGCCCAGGCTGGATCTACTTTGTCTTAAGTATTCATTAGACCTATCTAGGAAGAGAATAATAAAAAGTAGTGCATGTGCTAAATTCACTTTCACATTGCCCATTTCGATTACAACTCTTAGCCTGGTTTTTAATTGTTCTTTCTCAAAAACAATCCCATTACCACTTCCATACTGTCCTATAATAGTTATGGTTGCTGTATCAAATTACTATAAATATAATTACTTAACACGGCACAATTTATTATTTTACCATTGTGTAGGGTCTCACTGAGCTACAAACAAGGTGTTGGCAGGGCTGTGTTCTTCTCTAGAGGATCTAGGAGAAAATCTGTTTCTTTGGTTTTTCCAACTGGAAGATGCCTGCACACCTCAGCTCAAGACCTCCTTCCTCTGTCTTCAACGTCAGCACAGCTGGATTGACTCTTCACACTGCCACCTTTCTGGTTCTCTCTCCATAGTCATGTCTCTCTCTGACCATAGTAGGAAAAGATCCGTGTGATTTGATTGAGCGCACCCAGATATTCCAGATTAATCTCCTCATCTCAAATTCCTTAACCATATTTGCTAAGTCTCTTTTCCCCATGTGAATCAAAATTCTTGAAAAATAAATTTAAAAAGGACTTTATTCCAATGAACAGTTTGCAAACCAGGGAGACACAGCCTTTGGTGTAAACTGAAGGTGTGTTCTAGAGAACAAAGAGAAAGTTTGTCTTTTATTGAGATAGTTCTTACTTAGGTTCCCACTCAAGTCTACTTATGCAAATAAAGAATTCAAACTTGCTTACTTTTGATTGGTTGGCATTTGCTGAGTTCTGATTGGTCAAACCAGGTCACAGCCTATTGATTGGTTCATGGGGATGTAAACAGGAACAGCCAACTATGAAGTTCCCAAAGTTAAGCAGATGTGTGGGTTTTCTGGGAGTTCAAAGTACATGTGTGACCTCTAGTCAGCAAATGGCTGCTTGGCTTTAATTTGAATTTAAGCACGGTTAGCCACTCAGGATTCATTCTGAGGGATTGAACCATTCAGGGTTCACACCATGTAAGGTAAGTATTCACAGGATTTGAGAATTCAGGTGTGGACATCTTTGGAGATCTACCGTTCTGCCTTCTTCCTTTGTTGGCAGCATTCTGAGGAAGTTTCATTATTCTCAAAAGTAATTTATGTAATTTTAAAAGTAATATGCTATAACTTCAACGTCTTCACTGGATATCTTATTCATCAGTCAGTGCTCAAGCAGAGATGTATGTCTCATTTTGTCCTAAATATATTATTTTAAGGCTTCTGTTCTAATTTCCACACTCTTTATGTATCTAGAGACAGATAGTACATACATCCCTTACTTTTATTTTGTACCTTTCGTTTGCCAATACCCTTTAAATAAACACATTATTTATGACCATCTTCAATGATCCAAAAAAGGTCTTCTTTATTTTGCAACTAAAATCTCTTAAATGTTAAGGCCACATGTGGTAAAATACATGTCACATTAAAATTACCATTTCAACCATTTTTAAATATACAGTTCAGTGACATTAAGTGCATTCACATTGTTGTACAACCACTGCCACTATCCATCTCCAGAACTCTTCCATCTGATAAAACTGAAACTCTGTACCCATTAAACAATAACTCCCCACTATTCTCTCCTCTCAGCCTCTGGCAACATCCATTCTATTTTCCAGCTTTATGATTTTGATGACACTAAGTACCTTATTTAAGTAGAATTATACAGTTATTTTTTTTTTGACTGGCTTATTTCATTTAGTACAATGACCTCAAGTTTCACCCATATTGTAGCGTGTATCCGAATTTTCTTCTTTTTTAAAGCTGAATAATATTCCATTGTATGTAATACCGTACCGCATTTTGTTTATTCAAAGTGAATACTTTCAGTGAACCCTTGTATTGCTTTCATATTTTAGCTGTTGTGAATAATACTGCTGTGAATGTGGGTGTATAAATATCTCTTCGAGGTTCTGCTTTCAGTTCTTTGCAGTATATATCCAGAAGTGAAATTGCTGAATTATATTGTAATTATATTTTTAATTTTTGAGGAACCACCATTCTATTTTCCACTGCAGCTGTACCATTTTACATTCCCACCAACAGTGCACAGTGGTTCCAATTTATCCACCTCCTTGCCAACACTAATTTTCTGGGGTTGTTTTCATTCAAAATCTTTTTTTGTTTGTTTTTTTGAGACAGAGTCTCTCTCTGTTGCCCAGGCTGGAGTGCAGTGGCACAATCATGGCTCACTGCAGCCTTGACCTCCTGAGCTGAAACGTTTCTCCTACCTGAGCCTGCCAAGTAGCTGGGACCACAGGTGCATGCCACTATGCCTAATTAATTTTTTCAATTTTTTGTAGAGACGAGGTTTCACTATGTTGCCCAGGTTTGTCTCGAACTCCTAGGCTCAAGCTATTCTCTCATCTCGGATCTCGGCCTCCCAAAGTGCTGGGATAAGAAGCATGAGCTACCACTCCCTGCCTTTTTTTTTTTTTTTTTTTTTTTTGAGATGGAGTCTCACTCTGTCGCCCAGGCTGGAGTGCAGTGGCACGATCTTGGCTCACTGCAACTTCTGCCTCCTGGGTTCAAGCAATTATCCTGCCTCAGACTCCCGAGTAGGTGGGACTACAGGTGCCCACCACCACCCCTGGCTTAATTTTTGTATTTTTAGTAGAGGCGGGGTTTCACCATGTTGGCCAGGCTGGTCTTAAACTCCTGACCTCAAGTGATCTGCCCGCCTTGGCCTCCCAAAGTGCTGGGATTACAGGTGTGAGCCACCACTCCCGGCCCTTTTTTTTTTTTTTTTTTAATAATACCTGTCTTACTACATGTGAGGTATCTCATTGTGGTTTTAATTTGAATTTCTCTACTGATTAATGATACTGAACACCTTTTCATGTGGTTATTGGCCGTTTGTATATCATCTTTAGGGAATTGTCTATTAAAGTTCTTTGCAGCCTGGCGCAGTGGCTCACGCCTGTAATCCCAGCACTTTGGAGGGCTGAGGTGGGCAGATCACCTGAGGTCGGGAGTTTGAGACCAGCCTGACCAACATGGAGAAACTCCCTCTCTACTAAAAATACAAAATTAGCCAGGCGTGGTTGGTGCATTCCTGTAATCCCAGCTACTCGGAAGGCTGAGGCAGGAGAATTGCTGAACCGAGGAGGTGGTGGTTGCGGTGAACCGAGATCACGCCGCTGCACTTCCAGCCTGGTCGACAAGAAAGAAAACTCCATTTCAAA
Source organism: Homo sapiens (assembly GCF_000001405.40). Taxonomy (NCBI): domain Eukaryota; kingdom Metazoa; phylum Chordata; class Mammalia; order Primates; family Hominidae; genus Homo; species Homo sapiens. The sequence goes on along the minus strand of NC_000008.11, from coordinate 58,681,322 downwards.
AAAAAAAAAAAATTCCTTTTTGCATATTTTAAAATCAGGTTGTTTGGGTTTTTTTTTTTTTGGTGTCTTTTTGACTTTTAGGAGTTCTCTATATATTTTGAATATTAATCTCTTATTAGACTTACAATTTGCAAATATTTCTTCCAAATTGTGGGTTGTCTTATTCTGCTGATAGTGTCTTTTGATACATAAAATTTTTCAATTTTTATGAAGTCCAATTTGTCTATTTTTTCTTTTGCTGTCTATGCCTTTCATGTCATAGCCAAGATATTACTGCTGAACACAATGTCATAAAGTTTTTGCTCTATGTTTTCTTTCAAGAAGTGTTATGTCTCACATTGATGCTTTTCATCCATTTGAGTGATTTGTTTGTATATGGTGTTAGTTAAGGGTCCAACCTGATTCTTTTGCATGTGGATATCCCATTTTCCCGGCATTATTTATTGAAAAGATTATCTTTTCCCTCCCTATTGAATGGTCTTGTCACCCTTGTCAAAAATCATTTGACCATGTACATAAGGGCTTATTTCTGGGCTCTCCATTTTATTCCATTGGTCTATCTGTCTTTCTTTATACCAATATATGCTGTTTTAATTACTGTAGATTTGTAGTAAGTTTTGAAATCAGGAAGTGTGAGTCTGTCCGCTTTGTTCTTCTTTTTCAAGATTGTCTTGGCTATTTAAAGTTCTTTGATATCCTATATAAATTTTAGGGTAGAGTCTTCTATTTCTGGAAAAAAACATCACTGGGATTGTGATAGGGATTGCATGAAATTTGCAGATTGCTTTGGGTATAATGGCATCTTAATACTAATTCTTCAAATTCATGAACATGGGATGTGTTTCTATTATTTATGTCTTCTTTAATTTTTTTCAGCAATGTTTTAAAGTTTTTCATTTAAAGATTTAATACAAATCTTTCACCTCCTTGGTTATATTAATCCCTAAGTATTTTATTCTTCTTGATGCTATTGTAAATGGAATTGTTTTCTTAATTTTGCTTCTGGATTGTTTATTGTTAGACAAACATCGCCTTTTAAGCAATGAAAGAAAAGGAGTCTATATTGTCTGGAGAAGGGCAACTGAAGTGGCTGAAACAATGGGAAGAGAAACTTCACTGACAAAACAAGCCACAAAGTAGGGCATCTTCAGTTTGTCAGTGTGTGGATTGGAAAGTCACGTATCAACAGAGCACACATAATTCAAAATCACCTGAATAAGATAAAATGGATTTGTCAGCCAATCTCAAAATGCTAGTTTTAGGAGCAGTCTCTGAAACTTGAACAAGGTCAGTACAGTAAATAAGAGGAAGTCCAACCTCACAAAGTAGGTAATAGACTAATAAAGTTGTAATTTTCATTCTTTCAACCAGTACTTACTGATGAAATACACGTGAGACAGACACTCTGCCAATTGCTAGGAATAACAATTAAGATAACCTCTGTGCTTAAATAGCTCTTATTAGAGTAAGGTAAACAAACATATAAATAAGTAATTACATTATAGTATGATCTAAAACTAGTTCATGAGCAGGAAACTATGAGAATGCTGGAGGTTCAATACCTACTTTGTTCTGTTTAAGGTGTGAGTATATAAAAAATGGTGATTGGAAATGGCTCAAAGAGAAGGTGAATTTTGACTTGAATAATGAATGATGAGTTGGTTGGAGGGGAATTACCAAATTCAAAATAGCTTGGCAAAGTCTTAGGTGTGTGAGTGTGCACAGGAGATTCAGTGCAGCTCATGCCCCCAGTAAAGGCATCCCTACCAGCCTTCTGCATCTTGGAGAGATGCAGAAAGTGAGCAGTAACCATAGCCATTGAGCCATAGATTCAGGACCAAAGATTACATATTTTTTTGCCAACTTTCTCCCCATGCCTCATCTCTCTATTTACCTCTGCCATCATTAGCAGTCCAAGCTTTTCAGGCCATTGGCTGACTCAGGACACTCATTCCCAGTCTGGTCCCATCTCTCATACTTCCCCATCCTGCCCCAACTTTTAGTCCTTTGTCCCGTGTAACCCTGAGTTCTCACACCTCAAGTAACTTAGTACAAAGAGATAACTGTCTTCCTTGCTTTGCTGCATCCAACCATTTTTTTCCTTCCTCCTTTAAAAACTAGAATTCCTTAGAAGTTAATGACACCAGGCTATACCATTTGATATCCAAGTTAGTTGTTATAATCTACTGGCATCTTGGGAAACCCACCTGATTCACGAAAGGCTTTGGCTCTGGACTCAGTGAGTTTCTCTCCTCCTTATTTCATCATTATTCTTGATGACATTCACACCCAATGGCTGACCCATCTAATATTTTAGCTTATTGGCTCTTTCATCTTGTCACCTCCAATTGTGTGTCTTATTCTTCTTGGACTGCCATAACCAAATACCATAGATTGGGTGGCTTAAACAACAGAAATGTATTTTCTCATGGTTCTGGAGTTTGAGAAGTCCAAGTCAAGGTGCCAGTTGATTCATTTTCTGGTGAGGGCCCTCTTCCTAGCTTGCAGACAGTGCCTTCTTGCTGTGTCCTCACATGGCAGACAGAAATAACAAGATTTCTCTTTATTCTTCAGTACTATCAGATCAAGGCCTGATCCTTATGACCTAATTCAGTCTTAATTACCTTCTAAAAACTCTATCTCTAGATACAATCACATTGGTGTTTAGGACTTCAATATATGAATTTTTGGAGGCGGGACAACACAATTCAGTCCATAGCACCGTGTTTTCCTCTACCTTTTGGTGCCATCTTGGTTGCCAGTTATTTTCTTTGTAGCATTCATCATGATCTGCAATTATTTTATATTGCTGTTGTTTATAGTCAGTTTTACCTAGTAGAAGTTCTGTAAGAACTGAAACCATATCTGCCTTATCCATGCTTATCCCCAGCCCTTGACATTGTTCAGGTGCACAAATGTTGAATTAATAAATGAATGGACTAAAATTTCATGCAGGAAAAATATTTAGAAACAAAGTACAAAAGGTAATCAGAGAAAGGTTCTTAAAAGACATCATGTGCCTCTCTACGGAGCTAAATTTTCCCTTGGGGCTTTTGTGAGCATCCAGGAGATGGCCCCAAGAGATGGGAGAAAACATGCATTCTGATAAAGACTTGTATTCAAATGTTGATAGGAGCTTTATCCATAATAGCTAAAAACACTGAACACAACTCAGATATTCATAAACTGTTGAAGAGATAAATTGTGGTATCTCTATACTGAATTACTGCTCAGTGATAAAAATGAATAAACTACTGGTCCACATAGCAATGCCAATAAATCTCAAAGCACCATGCTAAGTGAAGGAAGTCAGATATGAATTATTGCACACTGTATAATTCTATTTGTGTGAAATTCTAGAAAACGTAAGCCTATAGTGACAGAAGGCAGATCAATGGTTGCCAGGGACCAGGAATGGAGGCAGGGACTCCTTACAACATGACACAAGGAAACACTGTAGGATGGTGAAATATTCTATATCATATTCATGGTGGGGGTTACATGACTGCACACATTTGTCAAAACTCATCCAACTGCACACTTAAAATTGATCAATTTCACTGTATATAAATTATACCTCAATAAACCCAATTGAAAATGGATTTACAAATGTATAAACATTATAAATGGCTACTAACAGAAACTAAGGAAAAGCAAACCTTAGGATTGATGTCAGAAACATCAAACTTGTCCTCTACCCTCTTACCCTCTTCCTTTTGAGGCCACTATTTCCTAGGAGGACTTTTGAGATAAGAACTGTGAGATAAGATTGTTCTGGAGCAGCTCTTCTCCCTTGGGTATGGACAAGAGTGTAATGATTTATTTTCTTCCCATGAGGTCCCTTAGAGCTTTACTTCAAGTAATGAGAATTTCTCATTCTTATCAGTTTCTTTGAAAGACCTCAGAATTGCCACTGGAAACATAATTACAAAGAAAGTAGACTCTGAGTCAGGCAGCCATGGGATCAAATCATGTCACTTTTACTTACTAATTGAGTGGATTGCTTATGTTATTAAACTGCACAAAGTCTCTCCCCCTCCCCCTCCCTCTCCCTCTCCCGCTCCCTCTCCCTCTCCCCTCTTTCCACGGTCTCCCTCTGATGCCGAGCCGAAGCTGGACTGTACTGCTGCCATCTCGGCTCACTGCAACCTCCCTGCCTGATTCTCCTGCCTCAGCCTGCCGAGTGCCTGCGATTGCAGGCGCGCGCCGCCACGCCTGACTGGTTTTCGTATTTTTTGGGTGGAGACGGGGTTTCGCTGTGTTGGCCGGGCTGGTCTCCAGCTCCTAACCGCGAGTGATCCGCCAGCCTCGGCCTCCCGAGGTGCCGGGATTGCAGACGGAGTCTCGTTCACTCAGTGCTCAATGGTGCCCAGGCTGGAGTGCAGTGGCGTGATCTCGGCTCGCTACAACATCCACCTCCCAGCAGCCTGCCTTAGCCTCCCAAAGTGCCGAGATTGCAGCCTCTGCCCGGCCGCCACCCTGTCTGGGAAGTGAGGAGCGTCTCTGCCTGGCCGCCCATGGTCTGGGATGTGAGGAGCCCCTCTGCCTGGCTGCCTAGTCTGGAAAGTGAGGAGTGTCTCTGCCCAGCCGCCATCCCATCTAGGAAGTGAGGAGCGCCTCTTCCCGGCCGCCATCCCATCTAGGAAGTGAGGAGCGTCTCTGCCCGGCCACCCATCATCTGAGATGTGGGGAGCGCCTCTGCCCTGTCGCCCCGTCGGGATATGAGGAGCGTCTCTGCCAGGCCGCCCCGTCTGAGAAGTGAGGAGACCCTCTGCCTGGCAACCGCCCTGTCTGAGAAGTGAGGAGCCCCTCCGCCCAGCAGCCGCCCCATCTGGGAAGTGAGGAGCGTCTCCGCCCGGCAGCCACCCCGTCCGGGAGGGAGGTGGGGGGGTCAGCCCCCCGCCTGGCCAGCCGTCCCGTCCGGGAGGTGAGGGGCGCCTCTGCCCGGCCGCCCCTACTGGGAAGTGAGGAGCCCCTCTGCCCGGCCACCACCCCGTCTGGGAGGTGTACCCAACAGCGCATTGAGAACGGGCCATGATGACAATGGCAGTTTTGTGGAATAGAAAGGGGGGAAAGGTGGGGAAAAGATTGAGAAATCGGATGGTTGCCATGTCTGTGTAGAAAGAGGTAGACCTGGGAGACTTTTCATTTTGTTCTGTACTAAGAAAAATTCTTCTGCCTTGGGATCCTGTTGATCTGTGACCTTACCCCCAACCCTGTGCTCTCTGAAACATGTGCTGTGTCCACTCAGGGTTGAATGGATTAAGGGCGGTGCAAGATATGCTTTGTTAAACAGACGCTTGAAGGCAGCATGCTCGTTAAGAGTCATCACCACTCCCTAATCTCAAGTACCCAGGGACACAAACACTGCGGAAGGCCGCAGGGTCCTCTGCCTAGGAAAACCGGAGACCTTTGTTCACTTGTTTATCTGCTGACCTTCCCTCCACTATTGTCCTGTGACCCTGCCAAATCCCCCTCTGCGAGAAACACCCAAGAATGATCAATAAAAAAATAAATAAATAAATAAATAAATAAATAAATAAAGAATTACCAGACATCTGGTATAGAAATTACCGTAATGTACCTTGCATACTAAATTATGAATATGTTAATTGCATTATTAAAATATTTTAATATATGGTTAACATTAAAAAAATAAAAAATAAAAAAAATAAACTGCACAAAGCCCAACTTGTCCTCTTCTGAAGATTGGATATAATAGAACAATCTCACCAAGTGATCTTAAAGATTTGCTAAGAAGTCAAGCAGTTCCTGAGGAGCAGCTGGTGACAACTGTTAGTCTGGCTTCCAAATATCCTTGAATTTAACTGGTAAGGACACAATGAACCCAAATGGATTTAGACAGTTTATTACTCACGACAGGGCAGACATTGTGAGCTTCATCCAAGCACCAGCTTCCCTTGCCTGTCAGGTACATGGGGGTGATAAAGACACCCAGGTGGGTGTTGCACACACAGCGGTTTGGAGCACTCCTGAAGAATGCCAAGCTTAGGACCCCCCTGGCATTATATGCGGGCTGGCAAACCTGTCCCTCCTGCCCTTCAGAAACAGAAATTATATTTGTTATTCTGGGATGTTAGCAAATCTTCCCTGGGAGGGGAGGGTGAGGTTTTTATCTTTACTACCCAGGAATGGAAAGAGAGAGAGGACAGATAGACAGAGGCGCTGTCTACCTTTACTAAACTGGAATGTAAATAAATCTGCACAAATTGACTATTGATGCTTAGACATGGAAAAATGTAGATTCATGGAGAATTTTCTCCCAACAAGATTGAAGGAGAAAAATGAATGCAAATTACAGAGCTCAGTGTATGCTACAGAGTAATCACATAATAAATTCAGAGGGTAATAATATTGACAATTATGAAGATGAGGTAACAGTGGCAAAAATAGCATATTTCTTTAAACCTGGCACCACCATTCCTCTTAGGAAATGAATTATATTTGTTGGAAAAATGTGTTAATAAGTGTTTGCAATAAAATGTGAACCAAAGAGAAGCAGATGGAACTGCTGTCTTGGAGACCTGGGAAGAAATGTGTTGTTCTAAAGTAGTATTTCTTAAAGAGTGGTCTCAAGATCAGCATCAGCAATACCTGGGAGCTTAGCAGAAATGCAGATTCTTTCTGGGGACAGTCAGGGGTGCTTATAGTCCCATCCACTCTAGAGACTGAGGTGGGAGGATCACTTGAGCCCAGGAATAGTGCCATGGTGAGCTATGATTGTGCCTGCAAATAGCTGCTCTACTCCAGCCTGGGCAATATAATAAGACTTTGTCTCTAAAGCACTTTTAAAAATTGAAAACATGCAGATTCTCAGTTCCTACTTCAGTCCCACTCAATCACAAACTATGGGTGGGCTGAGAAATCTTGTTTTAAACAAGCTGGGTGATTCTGGTGCACACTGAAGTTTGAGAACTGTTGCTCTAGAGAGGGAAAGACGGGGAGGTAAGAAAAGAGGAGAAAGGAGAGAGGGAGAAAATGGGAAGATGTGAGACTGGATTCTTTATGGATGAGCAGCATGAGGAATCATCAGTGGTAGACTTAAGATCCTAAGTAGTAGGCTGAGAGAAGAATTCATGTGGAATTTTTTACAAAGCAGTTTGTACAGACGTTACTCCTCCCTGGACTCACGGCTATCCAGTAAACACTAATACCGTGGGGCTGGGAGGGAGGTCAGCCAGGAAAGGGGCCTCACATGGTGAAAACAAAGACCAGAGTAAAGAACCAGACCTTGGGAGACAGAGGAAGCCATGAAGATAGAAACCCTGAGAGAAATGAGGCCCATTTTGGAAAGGACTTTGAATTCCATGAGGCTTAGAGCCAACTTTGTCTACAAGACAATGCACTAGAGCAGAGGGCCCCAACTCACACGTGAGCCACAATAATATTATGGTGATGAGCCCAACAGATGTCTTGAGTACTGCAAGAAAATACCAAGAGAGGATTACTCTTTCATACGACTAAAGCCTAACGAACGTGGTAATACCGTGTTTAAAAATGATCAAAGATACATTTTCCACTTGACCTACAGGGGTTTGGTTGTTCTATTGGCTCAGCTTATTCATATCTTTATGTTGTAAGGAAGGACTATAAGGAATAAAAGCAGCCATATGGCCTTCATTAAAGGTAGGATCAGATGAGGAATGAGAAAAGGATTTTATAGTTCTTTTTTTTTTTGAGATGAAGTCTCGCTCTGTCGCCGAGGCTGGAGTGCAGTGGCACAATCTCGGCTCACTGTAAGCTCCACCTCCTGGGTTCACGCCATTTTCCTGCCTCAGCCTCCTGAGTAGCTGGGACGACAGGCGCCCACCACTACGCCCGGCTAATTTTTTTGTATTTTCAGTAGAGACGGGGTTTCCCCATATTAGCCCGGATGGTCTCGATCTCCTGACTTCGTGATCCACCCGTCTCAGCCTCCCAAAGTGCTGGGATTACAGGTGTGAGCCACCGCGCCCGGCCAAGGATTTTATAGTTCTTATCCCCAAGAAGATGAAAGCAGAAAGTGAATGCCCATTCAGCTTCATTTGTGATTTTTAGGAGTGTTGGCCTAAAGAAAGAAATTGAGCCAAAATTACTATAGGTAGAGGGTTTATTTGGCCTAAAGTTAAGGACTGCAGCCCAGAAAATACTTCTAAGTTACCTTGGGAAGTGCTCTGGAGAACAAAGGAGAGACTGGAGCTGCTAAAGAAAAAAATGATGAATTGGGAGAGGGAGTGATGATGAAAGTATAAAAGTGGTTTGTCAGGAATCCTCATTAGCTTACAAAAATGACATTGTTAGTAATTGGCTATACACTGTTGAGCTATTAGGTATGAATTATGGTGTCCAGCATATGGCATTATTAGGCTAATTTATAGCTACTGGAGGCATCAGCCAGTCTAGAGGCCATATGACAAGCAACTTCAAAATGATTACTTAGCTCAAGGGGGTGAGAGGATGGGTGGAATATGACTGCAGTCTCATTCCAACACCCCGCTGGGTCCGTTTTTTTTTTCTTTTTCTTTTTTTTTTTTTTTTTTGAGACAGGGTCTTACTCTGTCACCCAGGCTGGAGTGCAGTTGTGTGATCACTGCTCACTTAAGCCTCAATGTCCTAGGTGTGGGGAAAAGAAAGAGAGATCAGATTGTTACTGTGTCTGTGTAGAAAGAAGTAGACATAAGAGACTCCATTTTGTTCTATACTGAGAAAAATTCTGCTTTGAGATGCTGTTAATCTGTAACCCTACCCCCAACCCTGTGCTCCCTGAAACATGTGCTGTGTCAACTCAGGGTTAAATGGATTAAGGGCTGCGCAGGATGCTTTGTTAAACAAATGCTTGAAGGCAGCAGTCTTGTTAAGAGTCATCACCACTCCCTAATCTCAAGTATCCAGAGACACAATACACTGCGGAAGGCCGCAGGGACCTCTGCCTAGGAAAGCCAGGTATTGTACAAGGTTTCTCCCCATGTGATAGTCTGAAATATTGCCTCGTGGGAAGGGAAAGACCTGACCGTCCCCCAGCCCGACACCCGTAAAGGGTCTGTGCTGAGGAGGATTAGTAAAAGAGGAAGGAACGCCTCTTGGCAGTTGAGATAAGAGGAAGGCATCTGTCTCCTGCTCTTCCCTGGGCAATGGAATATCTCGGTGTAAAGCCCAGTTGTATATCCCATCTACTGAGATAGGGGAAAACCGCCTTAGGGCTGGAGGTGAGACATGCTGGCAGCAATACTGCTCTTTAAGGCATTGAGATGTTTATGTATATGCACATCAAAAGCACAGCACTTTTTTCTTTACCTTGTTTATGATGCAGAGACATTTGTTCACATGTTTTCCTGCTGACCTTCTCTCCACTATTACCCTATTGTCCTGCCACATCCCCCTCTCCGGGAAACGCTCGATAGTGATCCATAAATACTAAGGGAACTCAGGCCGGTGCGGAGCGGGTCCTCCGTATGCTGAACACCGGTCCCCTGGGCCCATTTTTCTTTGTCTGTACTTTGTCTCTGTGTCTCTTTCTTTTCCAAGTCTCTCATTCCACCTGAAGAGAAATGCCCACAGGTGTGGAGGGGCAACCCACCCCTTCACTAGGCTCAAGTTTTCCTCCCACCTTACCTCCTGATGAGCTGGGACCACAGGTGTCCTCCACCACGCCTAGGTATTTTTTTACTATTTTGTAGAGACGAGCTCTCACTATGCTTGTTGTCCAGGCTGGTCTCAAACTCCTGTGTTCAGGAGACCCTCCCACCTCGGCCTCCCAAAATGCTAGCATTACAGGCATGAGCCACCGTGCCCTGCCTGGGTCTGGTCGTTTAAAGGAGGCTTCCATTCCTCACATTAAAAGTTTCTTTTCTTTCTCTCGAGGCAATGTGATCTAGTAGTTACGTGACCGGGCTTTGGGTCTAAACTGAGAGATTCCAATCCCTGCTCCTCGACTTTCCAGATGTGTGATCTCATGCTTCAGTTTCCTCATATACAAAACGGGGATGATTGTGCCTGCGTCATAGAATGGTTATGATGACTAAACAAGTTAACATACAAAAAATACTTTAAAAGTAGTACTTAGCAAATGATAACCAGTGGTACTGGTGGCATTAGCAGTAGTGTCCCAGGACCAGTACTGTGGGAAAACAGCCCTTGAAAGAAAAAAGGCAATATCAATGTGTTTGGGGGAAAATAAGTGAAGAAAAGAGCTGAAAGCTTTGTTTTCTGGAGTGGCCAAGCTTAAGGAAAAACAAATCCCAACGGGTAGAGTGTGTGCTGAGAGTCACAAAGGAAACCAAACCAAGCTGAGTTCTCAAGACCATAGCAAAAGAGAAATTGGAGAGGCAGGAGGCAGGCCTGGGCTGGGGAAATGATCCTGGGCCAACGGTGGCTCCTTGACAGTGGTTTCTTGCAAATCATGAAGTAGAAAATTTAAAGGAACACACATTCAGTGTTCTCCTAGTCCAGAAATTGACCAGAGAAAAATGGAAAAAGAGAATCCTTTAGGATGTGCCCTCCAAAAATGCTGTTTATACACCAATTTTTGCATAAGAAAATGGGTAATAAATGTGATTTGGTTTTCAATTACGAAAGTAGTACAGTCCACCCTTAGAGACACGGTTGATTGAATCCATGGATGAAGAACCCACAGATACAGAGGCCGACTATAAAGGACTTGAGCATCTGAGAATTTGGTATTTGCACAGAGAGTATAGGCAAGTCCTGGAATATCCCCAAAACACTGAGGGAAAACTTATACAGAAGTCTCCCCATATGTGTGAGGAATACCTTCTGAGGTCCCCAGTGGCTGCCAGAAACCTCAGATAGTACCGAACCCTATACACACTATGTTTTTCCATCTGATAACTGAGGTGGCTACTAAGTGTGTAAAGGGCAGGGAACATCTGTGGCATGGAGATGCTGGACAAAGGGAGGACTCACATCCCCGGTGGGACAGAGCCAGACAGCAACAGAGAGCATGCAATTTCATCATGCTACTCAGAACACCTAGCAATTTAAAATGCATGAATTGTTTATTTCTGAAATTTTCCATTTAATATTTTTGGCCTGCTGTTGACTGCAGGTAACTGAAACTGCAGAAAGTGAAACTGTGAATAAGGGGCACTTCTATATTCTTTGGGAAATACGTAGGAGTATAAAGAAGAAAACATAATCTCTGTATTCAGAAATAACTGCTATAAACACTTGCTAAATTTTTAGTACACTTAAGATATGTTGAGATAATATAAAATATATCATTTCCAAATATTTCACAAATTCATTGTAGTCATTTCCCTAAGTAATTAAATCTTCTTTAGAAACAGGATTTTAAATGACCACATATTATTTTACTGAATAGATAACAATTTACTTAACCATTGACCTCTTAGTAGAAACTGGATTACTGTTGGTTGTTTGTTTTTGTTTTTTTAACCGAGACTAGGTAGCAGGTATCTAGAGGTTCCCTTGATTGTCTCTCTTAGTTCACATGACTTCCCCAAATCCAAGACTGATGAGGGAAATGAAACGTTCTGTTGCCCAGGCTGGAGTGCAGTGACACGATTTTGGCTTACTGCAACCTCTGCCTCCCAGGTTAAAGCAATTCTCCTGCCTCAACCTCCCAAGAAGCTGGGATTACGGGCACACACCAACACACCCAGCACATTTTTGTATTCTTAGTGGAGACAGGGTTTCATCATGTTGGCCAGGCTGGTTTCGAACTCTTGACCTAGTGATCTGACCCCCTCGGCCTCCCAAAGTGGTATGAATACAGGCATAAGCCACCGCGCCCAGCCCTACTGTTGGTTTTTAACTGATTAAACATAAAACTGGGACAGACACTGTGGCTCACGCCTGTAATCTCAGCACTTTGACAGGCCAAGGCAGGAGGATCACTTGAGCCCAGGAATCCAAGAGACCAGCCTGGGCAATGTAGAAAGACTCTGTCTGTACAAGTTTTTTTTGTTTTTTTTTTTTTTTTAGCTGGGTGTGGTGGTGCTTACCTGTACTCCCAGCTACCCAGAAGGCTGAGGTCAAAGAATTGCTTCAGCCCGGGAGGCAGAGGTTGCAATGAGTTGAGATCATGCCACTGCACTCTAGCCTGGGCAACAGAGAGAGACCTTGTGTCAAAAAACAAAAACAAAACAAAAACAAATTTTGTTGAATCCTGTGATATATTTAAATTGCCTTCCAGAAGAGCCAGTTCACCTGTATACATCTCTTCCCAGCTCTGCATTCAGTGATTTCACGTTGGTAACATGAAATTGGCCATAGTGGGGGTATTTTACACGACAGAAATTGGCAAACACTCCAAATCAGCCTGTTTTCTTCCAACTTGCTGGTTACTAAACATTTACCAGTTTACACTAGAGAAATTTACCAATTTTACTTCCATCAATAGTGTTTAAGCACTTCAGCACTGGACACGACCATTGACAGTACTGATATTTGTCACATCGATATCTGAAAATAGTATCTCATTTTGTTGTAATTTTCACTTACTTTTTATGAAGTTGACATTTCTGTATTTTAGGGCATACAATGTATGTATATCTTAAAATTATGGTTTTATTTATAATTTCCTGTTTATCTTCTAACCTAATCTATACTAATCTCCGATTAGCAACATGCAGAGTAAAAACATTGCTGGATTTATAAAGTACAAGGGAGAAGATCTTAAATGAGGGATGACTTCAGCAATTACCCTAATCTTTACCCAAGCAAGGAAGATAAACTGTGCAGGTGACAGATAACAGATGCCCTCTGGAAGCTGTATAGAACCCATGGAGGAAAAATTGATGCCAATATGGGCATATACAGCTCCTATTTAATTTTTTCCCACTGGACATAAAAAACAGAACCTCAGAAACAGTATTAACTGCATGGGAAAAATCATCTAAAAAAATCCTCTTAAAAAAATGTGAGGTCTTATTCCTCCATTAATTTCAACACTAACTCACATGCCCAGATAACTATGAAAGGGAGAAGAGGAGGCTTGCACCGGCATTGCCAAAATGAGAAAACATAAGTGATTACACGCAATGTCTGCTGTGACTTAAATGTCTCAAATCTCATTACTGCCCCAGGACCTGCTCCTACTCACACACGCATTTTCATTTGTCTTTCCACCCCTTTCTTACTTAACTCATGTACTTTGGGGAATGCTAACTTCTACCTCCAATTCTAGAGATGGCCCAGAGTCTCAGAGAATGTTTCATTTCCCTCATCAGTCTTGGATTTGGGGAAGTCATGTGAACTAATAGGGACAATCAAGGGAGTCTCTAGATACTTGCTAGCCAGCCTGGGCTGGATGAGGTCTCTCACCCTGAGGGAGAAAGTAGGCAGCTGGCCAAATACCAGAAGCTACCTATTACCAGCCATAGGGGAAGGGAACCAGACTTAGAAGGCAGCTAACTATGCGGAAGGCCTAACAGAAAGATGATGAAAAACTGTGTCTCTGATGAACTTATTGAGCCACTGGATTAACGAACATTGATGTATACGATACTTCGGATTTCCAGGTACCTGAGCTACAAATTCCTGTGATGGCTAATTTTGTGTGTCAACTTGACTGGTCCATGGGGTCAGATGTTTGGTTAAACATTATTGTGGGTATGTCTGTGGGGGAGGTTCCTTTTGAGTTGGTGGACTGAGTAAGGCATACAGCCCTCCCAATGTAGAGAGGCCTCAAACAATCTATTGGAGGCCTGAATAGGACACAAAAGTGGAGTAAGAGAGAATAATCTCTCTTTGCCTGACTGTCTTTGAGCTGGGGCATTGTTCTTCTGCCTCTGGGCTTGGGATGAGACTGGAGATTATACAACGGGCTCTCCTGGTTTTCAGGTTCTTGGGCTCAGACTTGGATATATACATTCCAGACTCCTATATATAAACTCCTATTAGTTCTGTTTCTCTGGAGAACCCAGACTCATACAATTCCCTTTGTTATTTAAGCAAAATGTGCAAGAGGAAAGAGCTGATCACAGTTCTATCTAAATTTTCCTGCTGTCCATGTAAGTTTTGAGCTTCTTTCAGGCTTGTAACGCAGTGGTCAAACTTTAAAATGTAAAACATATCATGTCATTTTCCTGCTCTTACCCCTCCAGTGGCCTGTGTCACACATTAATAAAAATAATAAGAAAAAATCCAGTGCTCACCTTTGTCCTGTGGTCTGGGCCCTGCTGCCTCTATCTCTCACCGTTAGTGTGCTCTAGACACTAAAGTGCTGGCTCAGGCTGTTGACCTTGCTATTCCTTCTACCTGGAATGCCTTTTCTCAGGATCTGCACATTCAAGTTTCTTAATTCATTTAGTTGTCAGCTGAAATATCAGTGATCAGAGGAGACTTCTCTGACCCCCTATCTAAAGAAGTTCTCACCCTCTTCATGCTCTATTCCTTACTGTGGTTCAGTTTTTCTTGTGATACTTATCCTTACCTAAATTTACATTATTCACTTTTTAAATAGTCACTCTTACCAGAAGGTAAGTTCCAAAAGGGCAAGGACTTCATATCATTTATGGCTGAGTCTCTAGTACCTAGAACATTTCCTGGCATACAATAAATAGTCAATACCTTTTAATGAAGACGATGTAAAGAAAAAAATAATAGTCTCAGGTGTCATCTTCCTTAAGAATAAGTATCAATATGTATTCCTGGCTAGTTTTCATTTTAGTAATGGGGTACACGTTGCAGATTGACTGACCCGGGAGCCATTCCCAACCTGCTTCTGCCTGGCGGCTTGGCAATATTGAGGCTGTAAGAGTGAAGCACTTGTTTGCCCAGTCTCCACTGCTGCTATGCAAGAATTCTGGCCTGGAAGATTGGTGTGCATTTCTGGGAGTGCTTTTGGTTTACTAATAAGAGAAACACACAAGGCTGGCCCTGCCCTTCCTCCTTATTTCTCCTCAGAAGCTAAGTACAATCATGGTGATGGAACGTGATCTTGTGATCAAAAGGCTACAAGTCTAAGAGAAAAGTCAGGCTTCTATTAACATCTGTGCCATCCATGCCAATGATGAGGAAATGTACTCCAACTATTGACTGAGTTTTCTTTTATTTACAGTATAACAAATCAAAATAGATACACATGCTGACAAAAGAAAGCACAATATTCAATTCAACAAACATTTACTGGGCAACTGCTAAGTGCAAGACACTGTATTTAGTGGCAATGTGGATATAAAGACCAACAAGTCACTGTTTCTGTTCCCAAGGAGATTCTAACCCAAAGAGGGAGATAGGCCTTATAAGGTAAAATGGGGTCACTGTTCACATCCCTATCCAACCATAGTCTCAAAGGCACCTACCCACTAATGCCCAGCTGAATGCGTGACATACACTGATGTGAAATAAATATGTACTGAGTAAGTGAATGTGAGATAAATTCCACTTGGGTGCATTAAAAAGACTTCAAATAAGTTTTGAATGGGAATTTAAAGGACAGGTAGGATTTTCACAGGAAGAAATGGTGGTAGAAAGGTAGGAAGGCATTTTAGACAGAGAGGACAGGAAGCTTAAAAGCATGAAGGCAGTCATAACATGTGTAAGGGAATGGCGATTGCCCATTTTCTTCAGGTAAGAAAAGAATGTGCTACTACAGGGTGAGTATCCCTTATCTGAAATGCTTGGGACCAGAAATATTCTGGGTTTCAGAATTTTGTTTTGGATGTTGAAATACTTGCAGAATACATACTGGTTGAACATCTCTAATCCAAAAATCTGAAATCCAAAATGCTCCAACGAGCATTTCTATTGAGCATCATGTCAGCACCCAAAAAGTTTTGGATTTTGGAGTATTTTGGATTTGGAATTTTTTGATTTGGGAAGCTCAAACTGTATCAGAAATTTTTTTCTCAACAGCCCTCTGTCATGGCACCAGTTGAAATTACCTGGAGATTGAGTACAGAGAATCAACATTAAGAAATTAGTCAGGAGAGAAACCAACTAAGGAGACTGACAAGAAGAAAGAATCAAGGTAGGAGAAAAGCAAAGAAACTGTGGGCTCTCAGAAGTAATGGGAGCAAAGCCCTCCAGTGAGGAGATACGTTAAATGCTATGTTATACTACATTTGATTCTGCTGGTAGCTCAGAAAGATGAAGCTAGAAAAGTGATCAATGAATGTAGTGATTTGACAAGAACCATTACAGTGGAGTGGTGGAAATAGAAGTCCAATTATTATTACTTTTGGAGGCAGGGTCTTGCTGTGTTACCCAAGGTGGAATGCAGTGGTGTAGTTAGAGTTCACTGCAGCCTCAAACTCCTGGACTCAACCTATCCTCTCACCTCAGCCTTCCAAGTAGCTGGGACTACAGGCACGCACCACCATGCCCGGCTAATTTTTTAAAATTTTTTTGTAGAGATGAAGTCTCACTATGTTGCCCAGGCTGGTCTTGAACTCCTGCCTCAAGCCATCCTCCTGCCTCAAGACATCTTCCTGCCTTAGCCTCCCAAAATGCTGGGATTATGGGTGTGAGCCACCACATCTAGCCTGGACGTCCAATTGGAATGGACTCCAGAAAACACAAGGTGAGGCCGGGCACGGTGGCTCATGTCTGTAATCCCAGCACTTTGGGAGGCCGAGGTGGGCAGATCACGAGGTCAGGAGATCGAGACCATCCTGGCTAACACAGTGAAACCCTGTCTCTACTAAAAATACAAAAGATGAGCTGGGCGTGGTGGCGGGCGCCTGTAGTCCCAGCTACTCAGGAGGCTGAGGCAGGAGAATGGTGTGAACCCGGGAGGCAGAGGTTGCAGTGAGCCGAGATTGCGCCACTGCACTCCAGCCTGGGCGACACAGCGAGACTCCAACTTAAAAAAAAACAAAAAACAAAAAAAAAACACAAGGTGAGAAAATGGAGCAGCATGTATAGGCAGATGTTTCAAGAAGTTCCTCTGTGAATGGGGAGTTGGAGGGAGATGTAGGATAAAGGGAAAGTTTTTTGAAAACTACATTTATATTCAAATAGAAATGATCCAACAGTGAGAGAGAAATAGAGAAAGCAAGAGAGAAAAAGAAAGAAGAAAGGGTCATCGCAAAGGCTAAATTGTTGGGAAGAAAGGAGAAGTTGGCCTTTGATAGGAGCAAATATACCTTAAAATAGCAGAAATGAAGACAAAGCATAAGAGGGCAGATGCTAGTAGGGTGGATGCTTTGGTGAGGGGAGGATGAGGGAGCTCCAGTCTCAGTTCTCTCAATTCTCCACGAACACAAACTGTTAAAAAGGAAGCGTGTCTCTTCTGAGTTATTGTTCAAGACAATCCCTTCGATTGTGTTTCTTCCCTTCTTTCTGCCAAAGATAGACAAAATCAGACACTAGTTCAAATGGTAAGGACAGATTTTAATCAGTAATACATTATTGCAATAGGGGTCAGGAGTCAGCACGAATTCAACTTTGATTTGTGCAAAGGTGGACGGACATTTTTGAAGTGAAAATGAGGGAGTAGGGAAGGGGAAATCGGGCTGAATAGAGTAAGGGAATTAAAAATCTAGAAAGGAATGGTCTGTGTAAATGTGATTAGGTCAGCTGTGTCCGCTAGCTGGTCATTATTGAAGTTGAGATTCTATTTTCTCACAGAGCCTGTAAGACAAGGTCCTATACTTCCTAATGATTACATTTCAAAGGAATAGATTTCAGGTCCTTGAGAAAGACACTGTGAGTTGTAGGAGACACATATACATCTTAAAGGGACAGAGGAGTGATTCACAATTGTAAGCCCTTTTTGGTAAATGTTCTAAGAAAGGGTGGTCAGAGTACACCCTTTACTATGTCAGATGTTGGCTTTACTATATCAGATGGGGCCTGTGTCAGATGTTGGCTGGAATGAATAGTAAATTCTTTTTTTTTTTTTTTTTTGAGATGGAGTCTTCCTCTGTCACCCAGGCTGGAGTACAATGGTGCTATCTCGGCTCACTGCAACCTCCACCTCCTGGGTTCAAGCGATTCTCCTGCCTCAGCCTCCCAAGTAGCTGGGATTACAGGTGCCCGCCACCACGCCCGGCCACTTTTTTGTATTTTTAGTACAGATGGTGTTTCACCACGTTGGCCAGGCTGGTCTCAAACTTCTGACCCCAGGTGATCCGCCCACCTTGGCCTCCCAAAGTGCAGGGATTACAGGCGTGAACCACCCGTGCCGGGCATAAGTAGTAAATTCTTTTAATTGCTTTGAGCTTTCTCAGACAGGTACATTAAGTGGGGCTGGGTTATGCTAGGGATGTGGCCTCAAGCTGTTAGAAATTATGTTTGTTTGTTTAAGTCTTTTAATGTGGGGGATGGGGACTGGACTAAATTATTCGTGCTGGGAGTCTGGTTTTTATAGGCCAAGGTTGAGGCCTAGTTGAGAAGTGGGCTCAGAGGAATTTGGCTAGAGTTGGGTTAAGGAGATTCTTTAACAGTCTCTGCCTATTCGATCACATCTAATCTTCCTCTAATGTTTAACTTCAAGAAGATAACTTACATTCTGGGTTTTTGTTGTTGTTTTTTCCTTATTCCAGCCAAATTAATCTCTCCTCTGAACTCACAGAACCTTTTGTAGTACTTCTCATAAAGAAATTTATCATGTACCTTTTGACAAATTTTATTATCTTATTTCATTGTGTACCTGCTCATGTATTTATTTCTTGGCTACCAGACAGCATCACAATTTCCTCCAGGAATGTTGACCTAATGTGTTACAGGTTCTGCACTGCACTTGGACACGTGGAAGGGACTCAGTCACAGTCAAAGGGTACCCAGGCACCTTCATTCATTCCCAAAATTTTTAATGGGTGTGCTCAGTATACATAGCATTTTGTCCAGTGCTGCTAGGGGTCAAATTCAAAAGACCCAGCCACAACTTTTATTCTTGGTTTCCCTACCTTCTCTTCACAGTCCTGCGACTTACTAGAGAAAGCTGAGATGTACATTTACCTTGAAGCTTCTAAAAATGTAACCCTGCAAAACCTGATCCTTAAGACAGTATGAGATATGTTTCCACAAGCATACAATTTAGAGGTTTGGATCCTTTTGTAGTTCATAAGTGTGATGATTGGGTGTTCATGTGCAGCTGTGTGATGTGCCGCCCTTGAACCTTGTTACGAGTTTGGCACATTACCTGTTTAACGTGAAAAAGAAACTTAGAGGCGTGTTATTCAAGAATCCCTCAAAGGTAAACAATCAGAGGCTCATTCTCAGCATATATTAAGAAGTTATAACCACACTGAGATACCACTCATACCACTAGAATAGCTCTAAACAAAAGTCAGGTAATAATAAATACTGGTAAAGATGTAGAGAAACTGGAACCCTTCTACGCTGCTGGTGGGCATGTTAAATCGTACAGCCACTTTGGAAAACAGTCTGGCAGTCTCTCAAACATTTAGACATGGAGTTACCATATGACCCAGTTCCATGGTGGGCAGGCCTATACAAATCTATCTCAAAGTCCTGGGATGCCGGGAGGTGGAAGAAAGAGGCTGACAAATAAAGTTCCTTGGGAAGAAACATTTAATAGCGACTAAGGAACAGAAGCCATGTCCATATCTGTGTCTTGGGCAGCAAGATGAGATGGTGGATTGCTGTGCTATTAACCCCCAGACTCAATGTTTTTTTTTTTTTTTCTTTTGAGATAAGGTCTCTCTCTCTCTGTATTGCCTAGGTTGGGGTGCAGTGGTACGATCATGGCTCACAGAAGCCTCAAACTCCTGGACTCAAGTGATCCTCCTGCCTCAGCCTCTCCAGTAGCTGGGACTATAGGTGTGTGCCACTGCACCCAGGTAATTTTTATTTTTTATTTTTTGTAGAGACAGGGTCTTGCTTTGTTGCCCAGGCTGGTCTCGAACTCCTGGCTTCAAGCAATCCTCCTGCCTCAGCCTCTCCAGTAGCTGGGACTATAGGTGTGTGCCACTGTACCCAGGTAATTTTTATTTTTTATTTTTTGTAGAGACAGGGTCTTGCTTTGTTGCCCAGGCTGGTCTCGAACTCCTGGCTTCAAGGAATCCTCCAGCTTCAACTTCCAAAAGCATTGGGATTACCGGCATGAGCCATCACTCCAGCCCCTTAGGGCTTATATACCATAGGGGAGGGGTGGTTCAGAAGGGATGTGTAGGACAATTGAAGTATAATAACATCAAGTTGTTTGAATTAAGGACAGAACATACTGGGTAGATACCTGCTCTTACACAAGGAACAATAGATAAAGTAGAAATCTTAGAGGCCTTCCCAGAACTGGGGTCAATCAGAAGTCAACACGGAGGATTAGCTTCCAAGATGGAGCTGCTTTCGCCTCCACATCCAGCAATTCCACTCTTAGATTCCAATTCCACTCAACAGAAATGGAAACATAGGTCCATAAAAAAACTGTACATGACTGTGTACAGCAGCCTTATTCACAATAGCCAAAATGTGGAAACAACTGAAATGTCCATCAACTGATGAATGGATAAACAAAATGCAACAGAATATGCTCCAGCAATCTAAAGGAACGAAGTACTGTACAGATACATGCTACAACATAGATGAACCTTGAAAGCATTACGCTAAATGAAAGAAGCCAGACACAAAAGGCCACATATTGTATGGCTCCATTTATATGAAATATCCAGAATAGGCAAACCCATAGAGACAGGAAATTGATTATTGTTTGCTAGGGCTGGGGTTTGGAGGGTAGAGTTAGGAAGAGTGACAGCTAGAGGGTATGGGTTTCTTTTACATGTGATGAAAATGTTCTCAAATTGTGGTGATTGTTGAACATATCTGGAAATATACTAAAAATCGCTGAATGGTATACTTTAAATGGTTGACTTGTTTGGTATGTGAGTTATATCCCAATAAAGCTGTTATATAAAAAAAAATCATGCGAGCAATTATCTCAACAATCAAGAGACTGTGTTAAAGATTCTTTGCTTGGCCAAACTTCAGTTAGGCTTCTGAATCTTCTCCCAGGTCCTTGTGTGCACTTCCTTGTAAATGCAGTGTTAGGAAGTAACACTGCCACGGCAGTTTAGCAAGAATCCCCCACCCTCCATATGTGATCAAAATTCTTTACTCCTACCCTTAGTATCTGACCCCCTGGCCTGCCTTCACTGGGACTCCTGTTAGGTTGGTTCAGCCAGAATTTCCCCCAGAATTGATGTTTCCTCTTAGCAGTTTTCCGAACACCTGCTCCTTGCTCCTTGGCTATAAATCTCCACTTATTCCTGGTGTATTTGGAATAGTTACGACTGAGTTGCCTTCACCCCTTTAACTTCCGTCTTTTTTTTTTTTTCACAATGGAGGACACAAAACGTTGTTATTTCAAGTCTTTGTGGCCAACAGATTGGTGGTTTATGGGCCAGCATCCCTTTTTATGCGTAAAATATTTAAAACGCAGCCTGCAATGGTTGGTAAAGTGGTGAAACGTTTAGTGTGTGAGGTCGGATCCTGGTCTGGCCGCTGGCCCTGGCGATCCTCTGAGGCGGCCTGAGTTTGGGGCGCCTCGTGTCACCGCGCGCCCCTCCTCCGGGCCTGAGTCACGGTGCCGCCGGAGTCCCCACGCGAGGATGCTGCGGTGAGCGCGGCCGGGACGCCGCGTCGGGCTCTCGGCCGCCCAGCGGCGCCGCAGGGGAAGCCAGGCCGGCAGCCGCGCGCTCCCCAGCCGGCCACCAATCCCGCCCTCCCCGGCTCCTCCGGACCTCCTCGGCAGGCGGCGGCGGGGCCTGCCTGTGCGCTCTGCGCCCGCCCGCGCCTACCCTCCATGGCGTTTATCCGGAAGAAGCAGCAGGAGCAGCAGCTGCAGCTCTACTCCAAGGAGAGGTGCGCGCCCAGCTGAAGAAGGGCCCAGCCGGGGGCCTAGTCGGGGCCGGTCGTGGGGACGCCGGCCGGAGATCTGAGGGACGGGAGGCGGCGTGGGGGCCGGGCACGGAGGCAGGGGCCGGACGCGTGTCCAGGGCCTGGGCTGGGGGCTGTGGCGGAAACCTGAGGTCGGGGTGAGAGGCCGGGGGCCTGGTCTGGGCCGGAGCCTGCCGGGGACAGGAACTGGATGACGGGCCAGGCCAGATTCCACCGCGGAGCCGAGGCATGCCGAGCTATCCGGCAGTGCAGGTCCCGGCGGCCGCGGGCAGCTCACCCGGAAGGCCGCGCGGGGTCCGGGCGTGGATCCCGGCACGCGAGCCCGGGCGTTCGCAGGGGAGGGTGAGTACGCTGCCCGGCGGGCACCCCCTTTCTAATCCTTCCCCTTAATCGGGTCCAGGCACTCGGCGCCGGCGCCGCAGAGTTGGTCGCCGGGCGGCACCGAGCAGGCCGGCGACCACCCACTCGCATTGCCGCGCCTTTTTCCTGCCGACTCCTTTAGACACAGGACTAGCTCCATGCCCTGGAAGGCTGGGAGGGGGGCCGCCGGAAAGGCCTGATTCTGAGGAAAGCCAAGGTCCTGCCTCCCAAACACTTGCTCCCCGCGCAGTGGACCTTGTGTTGGAAAGCTTTGCAGTCGAAATCGCGGTGCGGCAGCGGAGCACTCATTCTCACCAGCATCCCAGTAAGGATTTGGGATCCCTTGAGCTAAAATGGTCTCACAGCAGTTCCCTTTCAGATATGCTGGACCTGTCCCCAAGGGAAGTCTCATAAGAAAGCTCACTTCGGCTCTATGTATAGTTCCCAGGGCATTTTTGGTGACAGAAACAACTTGCTCGGTCTGCAGCTCAGATGCCAAAAGGAAAGGGGGGCTGAATCATTTTACAGACACACTGTTTTGATTGTGAGAGCCACAGATCTTCCAGTGCTGCTAGCCTGTCACGTTGTCTCATCAGTGAATACCAGCAAAGCAGGTTACACGTGGGAATACAAGTGCAGACTTCAAGATTTGTCTACACTTGTTTTATAAGGGTTGACTCGACCCCTTTGATCCAGACATTCATCTTTCTCTAATCTGTAATGTTGGTCTAACCAGTGTGTCCACAGTACGAAATGTCATTTTTCTACTGTAGAGAAGAAGATACGATACACAGAAAACGTATCTCAGATATGGCTTTCAAAAATGTTTTTGGTGATGTGATTAGGTTTTAGTCACAGAAAGGGTTGTTTATTAAATAACTGAGCCCTAACTATGTAACTCACACTTGGGGATGCCCTTCTGACTGAATTTGTAATGCATTTTTCTTGTGGAAAGAGCTTGAGTGGAGATTCTTTGTTTAGTACCAACAATATTAAGACTTGTTGGTGCTCTGTATTGAGTGGGTGAACATTCATATTTAAATTGTGAGAACTTTGACACACTTGAATTGGCATCATGTTGTATGATATGAGTCATTCGTGCCAATACTCATATTGGCCTTTTTGATATACAGGGAAACGTTTTTTCCTTGGTTCTGGCTGTTATTTCGATGAAGTAATTTGTGTTCAATTTGGCTAGCTCATACAGCTCCGTGGTGTCACACAAACCTTGAAACCTGTACTTGCATTTCCATGTATATGCTGCTTTGTTAGAATTCATTGATTAGACAACAACGTGATAGGCTGGCAGTGTTCAGAGAGAACTCTAGCTCTTGGCAACCAAAACATTTATCTATCCAGTCAGGAGGCATCAACTGTTCCTGAGCATCAGTCATCTGAAAAAGTTGGCGCCATGTGTTTTATATTTATTTGAATTATAACTTGCTGAGTGCCCAAATTGTTTAGTGCTCTGCCCCATGGCTTTGCAACCTGGGCTGATGGGCATACTCCATTCAATGCATAGAATATGCATTTGAATGACAGGAATCTGTCTCACATCAGGTATGCACTGGAATCAAGGAGTCTCTTTTATAAATCTTAGAATTCATTCTGAAACAGAGGAATATTTTAAGGCAACTTTATTAAGCCCCAAATTTACCATTTCTGCCCAGATTTTTCCGGGTTTATCCCCTTGCATCAATAAACACAAATTAGCAAATGGATTGGATTCGTCATTGGCTCCAGCATACCCAGGAAAATTGTTACTTTTCTTGGAAAACTTGAAGAGGGGTTGTTTCAGAGGTTACCCATGAGAGGCCTCAACCTGTTCATTGTAAGTTCACTGGCGGCTCTCATGCTAATTAAGGGATTTTAGATTTCCAGAGCTACCAAATATTGACCCCAGAAAAGAAACTTGAAATGAGCATTTATTTCTCTTATTGTTAGGTTGATGTACTTTGATATTCCTGCAAAAGCAGAAGCATAGAGACTGACTAGGAGATTCTTGCATTGGTGGTTTAAACCAAGGTGGTGGCAGAATAAATGGAGGAAAGTGGATGGATTCTAGATGTTTTTAGGACGTGTGATTGACAGGTCTTGGTGTGGTGTATTGTCTGTGAGAGGTGATAAAGGAAGAATTCCAGCTAGGATTATCTGATAAAATACAGCACACCCAGTTAAGTTCGAATTTCAGATAAACAATGAATAATTTTTTAGTATAAGTAATTGCGATAGTATATGCAATATTTGGTATGTACTTATACTAAAATTTTTTTAGTATAAGTAAATGCAATAGTATATGCAATATTTGGTATATACTTATACTAATTTTTTTTATTTTTATTTTTTTGAGACAGAGTCTCGCTCTGTTGCCCAGGCTGGAGTGCAGTGGCGTGATCTTGGCTCACTGCAAGCTCCGCCTCCTGGGTTCACGCCATTCTCCTGCCTCAGCCTCCCAAGTAGCTGGGACTACAGGCGCCTGTCACCACGCCCGGCTAATTTTTTGTATTTTTAGTAGAGACAGGGTTTCACCGTGTTAGCCAGGATGGTCTCGATCTCCTGACCTCGTGATCCACCCACCCGCCTTGGCCTCCCAAAGTGCTGGGATTACAGGCGTGAGCCACCGTGCCCGGCCCTTATACTAAAATTTTTAAAAGTATATTATTTATCTGAAATTCAAATGTAACTGGGCATATGATATTTTTATTTGCTAAACATGGAAATTCTACTCTCAGACTTCTGGTTTGAATAACTATAAAGTGGTGCCATTTATTGTTGATGTTTATAAATAAATGTTTTGGTAATTTTAAGGATTAGAAAACAGACACTTGGCCATTCGAAATAAGTATACTTATATCCTGGTTAAGATTTAGGTGGCAGGCCAGACACAGGGCTCACGCCTGTAATCCCCAAATTTTGGGAGGCCAAGGCAGGCAGATCACGAGGTGAGGAGTTCGAGACCAGCCTGGCCAATCTCTAATAAAAATACAAAAATTAACCAGGCATGGTGGCGTGCGCCTGTGGTCCCAGCTACTTGGGAGACTGAGGCAGGAGAATTGCTTGAACCTGGGAGGCGGAGGTTGTAGTGAGCCGAGATGGTGCCATTGCACTCCAGCCTGGGCGACAGAGCGAGACTCCATCTCAAACAAACAAACAAAAAAAAGATTTAGATAGCAGGAACCATATTGATTTTATTGTTTTTTAAAAATGTCCTGTGCAGGTGTTGGTGAGGGTAAATTGAAAACATTTTTTATTTTTTATTGTTTTTTTTTATTGAGACGGAGTCTCACTCTCGCCCAGGCTGGAGTGCAGTGGCACGATCTCAGCCCACTGCAAGTTCCGCCTCCCGGGTTCACGCCATTCTCCTGCCTCAGCCTCCCGAGTAGCTGGGACTACAGGCGGCCACCACAGCGCCCGGCTAATTTTTTGTATTTTTAGTAGAGACGGAGTTTCACCGTGTTAGCCAGGATGGTCTCGATCTCCTGTCCTCGTGATCCGCCCGCCTCGGCCTCCCAAAGTGCTGGGATTACAGGCGTTAAAGGCAATTCACATGTCTTCCTTGGATTTGTCAGGGATGGCAGGTGTATACATTGGGTTAGTAGATGAGGATATTATACAGACTTTCTATTTAAGACATTTCTATTTTAATATGAAATATATTAAAAGGTGGGAAGATCACTCGAGCCCAGGAGTCCAAGGTTACAGTGAGCTATGGTCATACCACTGCACCCCAGCCTGGGTGACACAGTGAGACCCTATCGCAAAGAAAAAAAAAAAAAAGACATTTCTATTTTATGATTTAGAAGTAGACTAAAGTAGGCAAATTGTTAAATTTTTTTGCTTTACTATCCACCGTGGAGTGTTGGGATGACAGCTATTTCTTGGGTAATGTAGAAGTTTAGATACTTGCCTAGGTGCCATGGCTTACACTTGTAATCCCAGCCCTTTGGGAGGCCAAGGCACAAAGATCGTTTGAACTCAGGAGTTTGAGACCAGCCTGGGCAACATAGGGAGACCTTTTCTCTATTTAAAAAATAAATAGGCCAGGTGTGGTGCCTCATGCCTGTAGTCCCAGAACTTTGGGAGGCCAAGGTGGGTGGATCACTTGAGGTCAGGAGTTCGAGACCAGCCTGGTCAACATGGTGAAACCCTGTCTCTACTAAAAATAAAAAAAAAAACTAGCCGGGTGTGGTGGCACACACCTGTAATCCCAGCTACTCGGGAGACTGAGACAAGAGAATCGCTTGAACTTGGGAGGCAGAGGTTGCAGTGAGCTGAGATTGTGCCATTGCACTCCAGCCTGGTCAACAGAGTGAGACTTTGTTTCAAAAATAAATAAATACATAATAGAAAAGAAATTTAGATAGTTGAGATATGTTTCCTTCTGAGGAAGAGTCATAGTTTTATCTCTGTAATGTCATAGAATAAATTCTTAATTGTGCTTTGTAAGTTCCACAGATTTCCACTCAAGGATGGAAATTAGTGATCTTGAATTCTGTATTTGGTGCCTGCATATTACATTAATAGTTTAACAGGCACTTTGAGATTTCAACTTTGTTTCAGACATTCCATGAGTGTATAATATTCTTGATTATGCTAGTATTAACTTTCTTTCTTTTTTTCTTTTTTGAGAAGGAGTTTCCCTTTTGTTGCCCAGGCTGGAGTGCAATGGCATGATCTTGGCTCACCGCAAACTCCGCCTCCTGGGTTCAAGCGATTCTCCTGCCTCAGCCTCCCAAGTAGCTGAGATTACAGGCATGCGCCACCATGCCTGGCTGATTTTGTGTTTTTAGTAGAGATGGGGTTTCTCCATGTTGGTCAGGCTGGTCTCGAACTCCCGATCTCAGGTGAGCCACCACGCCCGGCCCAACTTTCTTTTACTCAATATGTTTGTTTAATCAATTGTGTCTATATTTATTTTATAAAAAGCACTTGGCAAGAGGGCAAAGTGATTGTGGTACTTCGGTTTAATCTTTCATTTCTAAGGCTTATCATCCCAGTCTTTTCAGATCTGTTTGTGGGATATACCAGGTGTTGAAACTGGAGATCAGTGGAGATAAAGTCAGGACTTAATTCGTCAGGAATGCCGATAGGTCCCAAGAAATCTATCCGACTGTGACTTAAAGAAATAGGGTTTTTTTTTCTCACATGAAAAACAGCGGGAGAGGAAATAAATGTTGCAAATTTCTTGGTTAATTTAGACTCTATATTGACTTTACCCAAAATGTATTACTAGCCTACCCACTTACTTTCCTTTTATCTCAAATTAACCTCTTCCAAAGTGTCTACCATTGAGAAGTCACAGGAATCTATCCATAAATGGATTTTGAGTATGTAAGCTATATAATATTCATTAAAAATTTTTTTAGTGTGATATAAAATAGGAATGGTCATTTAAGGAATTCAGTGCTATTTTTCTTCTAAATACCATTGTCATTTCATCTTTTAACCATCAGATATTTAGAATTGTGTCTTAAAATGTCCAACTCATAGATTTTGAAAATTATCTTTTTGTTATTTTTTTTAACTTGTATTCAGTAAGTAACTTAGAATTGTTATCTTCTTGGTGAGTTGAATTTTTTATCAATATATAATGACCTCTTTACTTCTAGTAATTTTTTTTCTATTTTGTCTGATATTAATATAGCTATATCAGTTTTCTTCTGGTTATTTGCTTTGTATGGGATTTTCCATTGTTTTACTTTTCACTATTCTGTGTCCTAAGGCTTTAGGCCTGTTTCTTATAAATAGCTTATACTTGGACTTTTTTTAAATGATTCATTTTGATAATTTTTATCTTAATGAATTAGTTTAGTCTGTTTACATTTATTATTACAAATATATCTGAATTCACTTTTATTTTTTAGTTTTGTTCTTTTATTTTGCCTTCCTTCCCTTCTTCCTTTGGATTAAATAAGGCCCCCTTGCTCCCTTTCATTTTTCCCCAAAGAGTATGGAAGTTATATATTTTATTTGTTTTTCTAATGCTTATCCTTAAAACATAAGCATATTAAATTTAAGATCTGAAGCTAATCATTATCTTTACTCTCCTCTCTACCAGTGTAAGAACCTTGGAACACTTAACTGCTGTGCCCCCATCCTCAGTTATAGTCTGTTATTGTCCGGTATTTTTTATCTCTATTTTAAACCTACAGATTGTACATTACTAATTGCCTGGTTAATGCTTCTGTAGTTTTACATGCATATTTACCATTGTTTTTGTTCAATATTCCTTCTTACATGTCATATCCTCGTTACGGAATTATTTTCTCTTTCCTGAAGAATATCCTTTAGAAGTTCCTCTGATCAGGGTTGGATGATGATAAACCACCTCTGTTTTTGTCTGTCTGAACATATCCTTATTTTCCTTTTGCTTTGAAAATCCGTTTTGCTAGATGTTTAATTCTCAGCATTTTGAAGATTATCCAAA
Organism: Homo sapiens; assembly: GCF_000001405.40. Lineage (NCBI taxonomy): Eukaryota > Metazoa > Chordata > Mammalia > Primates > Hominidae > Homo > Homo sapiens. Next base: position 58,652,749 of record NC_000008.11, on the reverse strand, counting down.
CAAAGGCAAAGGGCCAGGGAATATGCATCAGACTTGCTGGAGTGCTCTGGGGTGTTGGGGGGGTACCTCACAGAGAAAGGTCAGTGATAGTTGTGCCTTGTCCCCCTGGGGTAACGTTCAGCTACCTGGCTGGGCCAACTTCAGACTTCAGGAGAAACCAGCACTCCAGGGAGTGACCAGGGGCCAGAGTACAGTAGGACCATACTGTGATGGAACCTTGGCTCACTCATCCCAGCTCAGCATGTGTGGCTGCAGGATATCCTTACCTCCTTGCTGGCTTGATTGGGGCTAAGTCTGTATAATGTGGCAGAGTTTGTTCTTGATTGGGGAAACACCAGCCTTTTTCCTGGCATGGTCAGGGGACCAGGGTTCAAGCCTTGTGGTTGATGAGGTTTGATTGCCTTAAACACAATCATAGCAGTTTTCCCTGAAACTTTGCAGGAGGCCACCTTCTCTTCTGGGAGACCAGCCTGCAACAAACCAATATTGTTAAGTCTAATTGTTCTTTGTAGGTAATCTCTCTTTTCTCTGACTGCTTTTAAGATCTCCTCTCTGTAGTTTTTTGCTGTCTAGATATAGATTTTTTTTTCTTCATCTATCCTGCTTGAGCTTCCTAAAGCTAAAAGTTTTGGAAAATTTGGAGCCAAGCTGAACTAAGGCTAGAACAAATGTTCTCTGATCCAAGTCCAACCTCTTTTCCACTGTACCATACTGCTTCTATTTTAAATACTAGGTTGTGGGCTACTGGCCAGTGCTTATTTTTATGGTATCCTTGAAGTTTAGACTGATTCAGGAATGAATGAAGCCTGTTTTATGTAGATATCAGAATCTTGTTAGTCAAAGTGTTGTCCACAGGCCAGCAGCGCATGTGTGCCTGGAGCTTGTTAGAAATGCACATTCTCAGGCCTCACCCTGAAGCTGCTGCCTTGGAATGTGCATTTTAACAAGATCCCCAGTTGATTGTGTGCACACTAACCTTTGTGAAGCGCTGCGCTAGATAACAGTAATTCAGCATTCATCTTGATTTTTTATTTGTTTGTTCCTTCCAACTGAACTTCCTTCTTTAACTTCTTGATAGTACATATAAAAAGGCTGAGGGAAGCCTCCTGCCCTGCAGTATGACACTTGATGAGGAAACTGGAGGACTTTGAGAGCATAGATGACATTTTTACCATTTCTTCTCATAAATTGCTGGGACTTGAAAATAGAATTGACTGGCTTTATGGATGGTGTCAGTGAAAGGGATTTTGATATCTGAACCATCTTGGCTGGAAGTCACTGCATCTCACATAGTCAGGGAGAATGTAATTTTCTAGAGTCCAGCTGAGTGATAGAAAGCTTTAACCTAATTACTGAGGGGAAGGGCTAAAAAGGCCAGATGAAATAGTGAAATTGTTTAAATTCATGAGAACTCTTTCTGGGAGGGAAGAAGGGCCAGTAATTTATAGGAGAAAACAACTGGTACAGGAACTAGAAATGATACTTAGTCCCTCAGATGTCTCTCTGCAAATGTGTAGAACATGGATAATAAAATGAGCCAGGTCTTTTAACAAAAAAGGATTAATGTGTGTTTTAGGTGTCACTGGAGTTGGGTAAGATGAGACCCAAGATTGGAATCTAGTGTTGAAAAGCTGCAGACCTATTGAAAAGGAAAGACCTGCCAGGAGGTGAGGCAGTGGGCTCTGAATGTTAAGAAGGTATACATCTGAAGGGGAATCCATGAAACCCCAGGAAAAAATCCCAGAGAACACAATTGGAAAGAGGAACAAAGATAACATGATTGTGTTCTTTTGTTACAGGCCACGTTAAGTGGGTGGAAGAAATGGTGGCTGTGTACCTGGTGTAAATGGGAAAACAGGAAGTGGCAATAGAGATACTGGCTGAAATGCTTAGTGAAATCTAAGTACAGTTTATTGACTTCCTTTCTTAAAGTTTTAATTTATCCTAAACTTGAGAACTTTACTTAATTCTGAATATTAAAGACAAATTATTAACCAAGTAGCAATGAAATGAACCATCATAAAAAGCAGTCATATCAAGTTGTTTATTGCTGGAGCTCAGGAGAGTTGAGAGGGATCCTGTCATACATAGAACCTAGAATTTTAAGAAAGCAGATATTGAAAGTTCCAAGGAACAAAAAAGATAGGTGCTGTTACTGGACAGTTTGGAAAGCATATTGACCCAGGAAGTTTGTGAAACTGTCAAAAATACAATTAAGAACATCTAATCCAAATGATCTTTTGTGAGGAGTTACAGAAAATCAGGCAAGCTTGCATGTTGGAAGGAAGCTAAAAAAGAAAAAGAAAATCAGGCTAGCAAATAAAGAATGGTTGTACAGGTAGTATTTCTCTGAGTTTATAATTATTAGTTTTAATATAAAACAAGAAGGTTATACATAGTTAATTTCAAAAAGGTTAAAGCCCCAAATGAGTGGAACCTTTGAAAAATGGTACAGATTAAAAAAATAAAAACAAAAAAACTTCCAAAGTTGCCCTTGGAACTAGGAAGTACTGGGCTGCTGCCTAGGCCTAGCCTGGTACCAGGTGTAACATTGATTTATGACAGGGAAAGCTCTTATTTTGTACTCTATTAATAATACTAATCTTCAGACTGAAAGAGGATGAACTTTCGCAAGATGGGTGAAGATGCAAATGGTACCCAAGTGCTTATGTCTCCTGGCGTAAAATCCTGGGAGAGTTTGAGTGTAGAACCACAGAATTATTTCAATGATCTAGGAACTTTGAAAGGTGCTGAAAGAACATGTGTGCATAAATAGGTTTAATGCAAATTCTAGATCAGACAGATTATTTATAAACCACTAGAAGAGGAAGTTGTTGTCACCAGTCCCCAGCATGAACGTCATGCTGCTAATTCAAGAGAGGTTTAATGGGCTCACAGTTCTGCAGGCTGTACAGGAAAGAAGGATGGCACTGGCATGTGCTTGGCTTCTGGTGAAGCCTCAGGGAGCTTTTACTCATGGTGGAAGGTGAAGTGGGAGCAGGTACATCACATGGCAAGAGAGGGAGCAAGAGAGAGGAGGAGGAGGCTCTGGACTCTTTTAAACAACCACAACCGGATCTCATGTGAACTAACTGAGCATGAACTCACTTATTACCAAGGGGATGGTGCTGAGGCATTCATGAGGGATCTGCCCCCATGATCAGGTCACCTCCCACTGGACCCTACTTTCAACATTGGTAATTCCATATTAACATGAGATTCGGAGGGGACAAACATCCGAACTATATCATTCTGCCCCTGGCCCCCTAAATCTCATGTTCTTCTTACATTGGAAAATACAATCATTTCTTCCCAATAGTCCCCCAAAGTGTTAACTTATTTCAACATCAAGTCCAAAGTCCTAAGTCTCATCTTACACCTATCTCTTTCCACCTATGAGCCTGTAAAATCAAAACAGTTGATCTACTTTCAAGATACAATGGTGGTACAGGCATTGGGTAAACATTCCCATTCAAAAGAGAGAAATCTGCCAAAAGAAAGGGGCAGTAGGCCTCACTGAAGTCTGAAACCCAGTAGGGCAGTCATTAAATCTTAAAACTCCACAATAATCTCCTATGACTCCTTGTCCCACACCCAGGGCCAGCAGTGTAAGAAGTGGGCTCCTAAGGCCTTAGGCAGCTCTGCCTCTGTGGCTTTGAAGGGTGCAGCCCACTTGGCTGCTTTCACAGGTTGGAGTTGAGTGCCAGCAACTTTTCCATGCTGAGGTTGCAAGTTGCTGATGGCTCTACCATTGTTGAGTCTAGAGGGCAGGTGGCCCCCTTCTCATAACTCCACTTGGTGGGGACTATATATGGGGACTCCAGCCCACTTTTCCCCTTCATACTACTGTCGTAGACGTTCTCTGTATGGGCCCCATCCTTGTAGCAGGCTTCTGCCCGGGATTCCAGGCCTTTTCACACATCCTCTGAAATCTAGGGGTAAGCTGCCAAGGCTCCTTCATGCTTGCATTCTGTGCACCTGCACACCTAACACCACATGGAAGCTTCCAAGGCTAATGTCTTGCACCCTTTGGAGCAGCAGCATGAGCTGTACTTGTGGGCCTTTGAGCCATGGCTGGAGGTGGAACAGTGGGTCTGCAGGAAGCAGTGTCCCTAGGCTGTATGGGGTAGTGGGAAGCTGGGCTTGGCCCCCTAAGCCCTTCTTTCCTCTCCTAGGCCCTCTGTGATGGGAGGGACATCCTGAAAACTTCTGAAATGACTTTGAGGCCTTCCCCATTGTTTTGGATATTAGCCCTTGGCAACCTTTTAGTCATGCTCATCTCTCTAGCATGCAATTATTCCATAGCTTACTCCATAGCCGGCTTGAATTCCTCTCCTGAAAATGCTTTTTCTTTCTCTACCACATGGCCGGGCTACAAATTTCCCAGAGTTTTATGTTCTGCTTTCCTTTTAAGTGTAAGTTCCAACTTTAAGTCATTTATTTGTTCCTGTATCTGATTGTTGGCTTTTAGAAGCAGCCAGACCAGTTCTGAAACCCTTTGCTGCTTAGAAATTTCTTCCGCCACATACCCTACCTAAGTCCTTACTCTTAAGTTCAACCTTCCACAGATCCCTAGAACATGGACACAAATGCAGCCAAGTTCTTTGCTAGTTTGTAACAAGGGCGACCTTTGTTTCAGTTCCCATTCATTTCCTCATTTCCATCTGAGACCGTGTCAGCCTGACCTTCACTGTCCATATTCCTATCTGTATTTTGGTCACAACCATTTAACCAGTCTCTGAGAAGTTTCAAACTTTCCCTTGTCTTCCTGGTCTCTTCTGAGTCCCCCAAACTCTTCCAGCTTCTGCCTGTTACCCTGTTCCAAAGCTGCTTCCATGTCTTTACGTATATCCATAATAAAATGCCCTACTCCCTGGTGCCAATTTTATGTCTTAGTCTGTTTTTGTTTTGCTATAAAGAAATTCCTGAGGCTGCGTAATTTACAATGGAAAGAGGCTTAGTTGGCTCATGGTTCTGCAGGCTGTACAGGAAGCAAGGCACCAGCATCTGCTTGGTTTCTGGTAAGCCTCAGGGAGCTTTTACTATGGCAGAAAGTGAGTGGGAGCAGGTGTATCCCATGGCAAGAGACAGAGCAAGAGAGAGAAAGGGAAGTTCCCAGACCCTTTTAAACAACCAGAGCTTGAGTGAACAGATTGTGAACTCATTTATCACCAAGGGGATGGTGCTGAGTCATGAGGGATCTACCCCCATGATCCAATCACCTCCTACCGGGCCTCCACCTTCAACGTTGGGAATCACATTTCAACATGACATATGGAGAGGACAGAACATCCAAACTATATCACTGTCCAGTGTATTACTGGGGGGATGTTTCCAATGGTGGGTAGTAGGACTGCGATCTTGCCTTGTCTATAACAGTTTTCTTAATTTCTTCTTTATTTCAGAAATCATTTTCAGAAGCTTCTTAAAAATGGTCCGTTTAATTAAATCAACTCTCTAGTAGGGGCACTGTAGTCTAGCTTCATTCAAGGCTGGTGTTGGGGTATTGAGAGTAGAGGTGGCAAATACACAGCACTCCTGTGCTTTCCTTTGCCTCTGCACACATCACGAAAGTGTCATGGCATCACAGCACTTCCTCCCAATAAGTTTGGGTTACACTTCTTATCACAGTGAAGCCTGTTAGAGAAAGCATTGACTAACAAAACCTTCTGGATCCACTGTAAATACTGTTCATCAGCTGAGTGTTGAATAATTGTTGAGTGGAATGCAAGGTTACTCCAGCTATTTTAAGTTCTAGTTAAGTGTTGTACAGTAGGCTTTAAAATTTAGGTGATGTAAGAATAGGAAAACATCTTTTTAGGAATGTTGAGTTGCTCAATGAGGAAACTTCTCTAAAGAGAATGAAACCACACCTCTGTAAAGGAGGATTAAACTAGGAATATGTAGGGGCAGGGCTAAGAGTCTTCTAAAGAAATAATTTACAGTCAGATACAATACCAAAGGATGAGACCATCCAATTACAAAACGGTGATTTTAATTTTTTTTTTTAAGCATGGACTCTTTTACTCCGTAAAATGTAGTTTGAAAATCATTGTTCTAAAAATCATGCAACTTAATTATAATAATTTTTACATAGAAAAATTTTAAAGCGGGTATAACAACACTTTAGTAAAAAGAAAACATAGACTCAGAAAAGTTTCATAATCCTTTACTTCAAACAATATGATTTGGTTATATCCCTTCACTGTGTGTTTTACATTTCTTGCAAAATATGCATATTGATAAATTAAGGAGGCTATAATTAATTCACTTACCAAAATGACTTTAGTTCTAAAATAGCTGATATGATTATATTTTAATAATTATATGGAAGAATTGTCTCTGAAGGCTACTTGTGCATCATAGAAATAAAATTATGCCATTGTCTTATTGAAGAATACTTACTCTATTCTTCCCTCTCTATAAGAGAAGGAGTGAGGCGATTAGGAAAGAGAAGGAAGGATGTGTAACTCCAATTCTGTCTTGTGACTATATTGAAATTCAGATTAAGTATTGATAGTGTGCATTTTGTTTTGCACTCTGGCAGTTTACCCTGTAATTGATTCTTGTTCATGGATTTAGATATGGAGGACAGGTCAATAAAAGTTACAGATTAGGATGGTAAAATTGGTTTCTGCTATCATTTTTAATTTTTTGAGTTACTTTTCTTTTGGTTCAGATGATGATGATGATGATGATGATGATTTTGAGACGGAGTCTCGCTCTTGTTGCCTAGGCTGGAGTGCAGTGGCGCGATCTTGGCTCACTGCAACCTCTACTTCCCAGGTTCAAGCAATTCTCCTGCCTCAGCCTCCCGAGTAGCTGGGATTATAGGCGCCCGCCACCACGCCTGGCTAATTTTTGTACTTTTAGTAGAGAGGTGGTTTCACCATGTTGACCAGGCTGGTCTCGAACTCCTGACCTCAGGCAAACCGCCCGCCTTGGCCTCCCGAAGTGCTGGGATTACAGGTGTGAGCCGCTGCGCCTGGCCTATTATTTTTTTTTGATGAGCATCTCTTCTGGTGTTATGAATATAACTTCTTCTTTGTAGGGATATTAATTGTAGCCTTTTGACCTTTTCTTCTGTTCTCTGCATTGTGTTTAGTCCTTCAAGTTGCATTCTTCCTGCTTGCTTTGGCTTTGTTCTTTCATCCTAGAGGCTGTGATCTTGGGCTGTTCATTCATATTTAAATGTGAAGCATTTAATTCTGTGTCACTGGGAATGGGCTATTTCAGTTGAGTTTCACTGTGGGATGATGTTGTAGAGACCTGGCTTTTTCTCTGAGGCTGTTTAGTTTTTTCCAAAACTAATGTACCAGACTCCTGCCTGGAGTGATATATGGATGAAGCTGGAAACCATAATTCTCAGCAAACTAGTGTTCATCTATTCCATGTTTTGCATAGTCATCCTCTCTTCACACTACAATCCTGCTCTCCACTGTGCCTGATACCTAGTGTGCAGCCTCTTGTTCCACTTTTTTTTAAATAGAAAAACCACATGCCAGAGTGCAGTATGGTTAACCCATCAGGAAAAGAATTGGGGGCTACTGCCCTCATTCACTTTTAACCACCCTCATGCTTTACAAACCCTGTCCTCTTGGTACCTGATACTGCAATTTCTTTTTTTTTTTTTTTTAATTATACTTTAAGTTCTGGAGTACATGTGCAGAACGTGCAGGTTTGTTACATAGGTATACACGTGCCATGGTGGTTTGCTGCACCCATCAACACATCATCTACATTAGGTATTTCTCCTAATGCTATCCCTCCTCTAGCTCCCCACCCCGCCAACAGGTCCCCGTGTGTGATGTTCACCTCCCTGTGTCCATGTGTTCTCATTGTTCAGCTCCCACTTATGAGCGAGAACATGGCGGTGCTTGGTTTTCTGTTCTTGTGTTTGCTGAGAATGATGGTTTCCAGCTTCATCCATGTCGCTGCAAAGGACATGAATTCATCCTTTTTTACGGCTGCATAGTATTCCATGGTGTATATGTGCCACATTTTCTTTATCCAGTCTATCATTGATGGGCATTTGGGTTGGTTCCAAGTCTTTGCTATTGTGAACAGTGCCGCATTAAACATATGTGTGCCTGTTTCTTTGTAGCAGAATGATTTATAATCCTTTGGGTATATACCCAGTAATGGGATGGCTTGGTCAAATGGTATTTCTAGTTCTAGATCCTTGAGGAATCGCCACACTGTCTTCCACAATGGTTGAACTAATTTACACTCCCACCAGCAGTGTAAAAGCATTCCTATTTCTCCACATCGTCTCTAGCACTTGATCCTGCAATTTCTGAACTTTTTGGAAGTCCGGTGACTTGAACTGGTTTTCTCCTGAGTGGTGCCTTCTCTGGAGGCATCTGAAATTCTGATTTCTGAGCACTGCTTATTCCCCCGGTCTGCTTTCCATTTCTCACAGATTTGTTCATGTCTCTTCTCTGCTTTAATATCTCTCCAATTTGCTTTAGCCTGTGGGTTTTACCATTTAAAAATAGTTTTATTCACATTGTAGTGGTGTTTCAAGAGGCAGTGAAATAAACATATATGTGTAATCTGCCATGTTTAATGTAAATTTCTTCCTCCAACACACTGGAACTTAAGGCCCATCTCAAGTCCCACACTTTTCATGAAAGCTTTTGCCTGTAACTCATTGATGTTTCCTGGTCCTTATCACAAAACAAAACAAAAAAATGCCTGTTTTCACTTCTTTGTCATGTATTTGTTGCTGTAGCCATACAACAAAATTAATAATTTTTCTTAATGACTTCTCTTGTTTTTAAAAGTTTAAATGACTTTCAACTTTAAAAAGAACTATATTTCAATCCCATTCAGTTTGGTTTACTCATTTTACTTATTAAACACCCATTGTGTAGACAGCATGGGCTGGTTATCACAAGGGAATATCTAAAGATCTGTTGGCTGGGCCGGTGGCTCATGCTTGTAATCCCAGCACTTTGGGAGGCCGAGGTGGGTGGATTACGTGAGGTTGGGAGTTCGAGACCAGCCTTACCAACATGGAGAAACCCTGTCTCTACTAAAAATACAAAATTAGCCAGGCATGGTGGTGCATGCCTGTAATCCCAGCTACTTGGGAGGCTGAGGCAGGAGAATTACTTGAACCCGGGAGGTGGAGGTTACTTGAGCTGAGACTGCGCCATTTTACTCCAGGCTGGGCAACAAGAGTGAAACTCCGTCCCAAAAAAAAAAAAAAAGATCTGTCCCTAGAGGCATGTGTTCTTGTGGGAGTAACTCAGATAACCATGAGGCAGATGTTGGGGGCAGGGAGGTATGACAGGGAAGAGGTGGGGAAGCCTAGCATTGTTCAGTCAGGGGAAACAAATGCTCAAAATTCCCTAAGTAGGAAAGCGCTGAGCTTTGTTCAGATAAGGATAAGTTTAACTTCACAAAATTCAGGGTTTCTGTAAAAGAGTAGTACATCCACCTGGTGAGTGATTTTATTTTTGACATAGTAGTTATTTGGACACAAGGCAAGCCCAGCTATGTACTTCCCGCCACTGGGTAGAGAGGACTGCCTGGCATGATATACATGCTTCATAAATGTTTGTTAAATTCAAGAATGGAAAAGCTTTTTGGGATCAGACGTTTTAAATATATTGCCTTCTTATACTTACTAAAAAATAAACTGAAAGTTGTTTTTTCGCCCCAAATCCAGATTTTCCTTGCTGCTGCTTAACTTGGAGGAGTACTACTTTGAACAGCATAGAGCCAATCACATTTTGCACAAGGGCAGTCACCATGAAAGGTAAGGAAGCTTCGGTATCTCCTTGGACAAACAAACCTTTCTGATATCTGAACTTTTAAAGTTAAATGTGTGATCATATAGGTGTTAACTAAAGAAAAAATTAGGCTTTAAAAAAAATTAAAGTAAATTTTATTTAGACTTTTATTGAGGATTATAACCTAGGAGAGTCTTTTGGAGAGTTTTTGCTATGTTTATTATTTTATCTCCCATGAAGTTTTTTTCATCTTTTCTCTTATTAGGGAAGTAATGAGAAGAGTGTATTTAAAAGTTATAATTGTAACTTGAAACCTTTTTCAAAGCTAAAAAGCATTTGTTCCAATTCTGGGGTTGTAGATATCTTAAGCTTGATAGGACTCCAGTCCATCCCATCATTTTTTTGTTGCATCCCTCTTGTAGTTATGCAGTATCCTCTGCTCTCAATTATTCGGGTGACAATGTTATAAAGTAATGATTATAAACCACAAGAGTGGTATAAAATCAGTACTTTCAAAATGAGTCATGCGATTTGAACTAGAAGCAAGATCTGATTTCTCAGTATCTTAATAACTATTACTCACTACTATAAAAACAGATTGTTTCTTTGACTTTACCTTTTGAAAGCTATGTACAGAAGCATGTAATGAAGCTTTTTGTTTGCTTAAAATGGCAACTTAGAATTAACTAAGATGAAAATTGTTCCACCAAAAAGGTATCTGCTAATGATTTCCTTTTGGGAGGTTACTTAACAACTGTAAGCCATAACTTAGGAAATTCTTTGACAGTAGATAAATCCACTTATTTTTATTATTCTTCAGGTTTATCCTTAACGGATCAAAAACATGTGGTATTTGTTTAAATACAAGCTAAAGTAAAACTCACTTGGTTTTTTTGTTTAGTAGCTTATGACATATCTATTTTCTTGGCATTCAATCAAATTAGACAATTATTCATCCCTGAACACAGCACCTTGCTTTCTTATCTCTGGAATTTTGCTCATATTCTTTTCCCTAATTCCATATCTTTTTTCCTTCCAACATTCTTCTATCGTATATCATCATAGTGCCTTGCTTAAAATTAAATGTACTTGTTTATTATTAAAATACAACTACAGGTAGCAAACTGAAACCTGTTTTTATAATTTTAAAGTAACTATTAGGGCAAAATGGTACAGCCCCATGTAGGTGTATTTGGTAATATCTGGTAAGATGACATGTGCATTAACCTATTGATCTAGCAATGCTACTTCTAGGATACCATTTCAAAGAGAACTGGCAGTTATATAAATGGACATATGCACAAGGTTATTATAGCACTACTTGTACTAGTAAAAGACTAGGAACAATCCTACAGGAGACTGACTGAACTGACTGATAAGAAATGGCCACATGATGGAGTACTATGCAGGTTCAACAAGGAATGAAGTTCTTTGTAATGCTATGAAGTGATCTCTACATGTATTAAGTGTAAAAAGCAAGGGACAGGATACTGTGTGTCATAAGCTACTTTTGTCAGAAGGGGGCAGATTTATCACTATGTTTTTAAAAATCGGAGGCATAAACTAAAAGCTAGTGGAGACAGTTATCTACACAGAAGAGGGGAAGGATCAGAAGAACAATATAGAGATGGAATGAGGACTTCTCCAAATGTACCTTATTTTGTAACTTTCGTTTTGGAACCATATAAACATTTTATAGATTTTTACTACACTTTATCTTAGCTAAGAGGCTGAGAGGGCATCTTTTGTAGATTTTTAATATAGAATTAAATTTAAAAAGAAACAGTAAGGCCAGGTGTGGTGGCTCATGCCTGTAATCCCAGTACTTTGGGAGGCCGAGGCTGGTGGATCACTTGAGGCTAGGAGTTTGAGACCAGCCTGGCCAACACGGTGAAACCTCGTCTCTGCTAAAATACAAAAATTAGCCAGGCGTGGTGGTGCACCCTTGTAATCCCAGCTACTTGGGAGACTGAGGCAGGAGAATTGCTTGAACTTGGGAGGCGGAGGTTGCAGTGAGCCAGGATCATGCCACTGCACTCCAGCCTGGGTGACAAAGCAAGACTCTGTCTCAAAAATAAATCAATCAATAAATAAAAATAAAAAAGAAACAGTAAACCCTAAAAATCAAAGAGAAAATGAAACAGTTCAGGTGTGGTGGTTCACACTCGTAATCCCAGCACTTTAGTAAGCCAAGGCAGTACAGTACGATCTCTTGTGGCCAGGAGTTTGAGACCAGCCTGATCAACATAGCGAAACTCTGTTTCTATTTATTACAATTATATATTAAAAAAAGAAAAGACAAGAAACAAATGAATTTAATTATAAAGTTGGAGTTAGCCACAGAAAATTATTTTAATCAACTTTACAATATAATAATTTGACTGTGTATCTCTGGTAAGATGAAAAAGTATTGCAAAGAAGTTGAAAAAGAATGTAAAGTAATTGTAAACTTTTCCAGTTGCAATATTGTTGTTATTAGTATACTATTAGTATTATTATTTTGAAACTATTTTATACATGCATGTATATGTATTTATATAATTGGATAAAACAATTTAATAAGTATGGCCAAGACTCAGATTTTCCAGTATAAAAGAAAAGAGACATACATGTAATATTAAAGAAATAAAGCCTTTTTCATGCACTTTCCTCCTTTTTTCCAGCTTTATTGAGATATAATTGATGAATAAAAATTGTATATATTTAGGGTATACAATTTGATGTTTTGATATACATACACATTGTGAAATGCTGACCACAATCAAAGTAATTATCATATCCATCACCTCACAGTTACCTTCTTTTGTGTGTGTGGGAATAAGAACATATAAGATCTACTCTCTGAGCCAATTTCAAGTGTATGATGTGGTATGGACTGTAGTCAATAACTCTACATTAAATCTGCAGAACTTATCCTGGATAATGGACAACTTGTGCACTTTGCCCAGCATCTCCCCATTTCTTCCACCCCCTTTAATTTCGTGAAGTTTAACTTACTCTTGCCTGAACAAAGCTCTGAGCTTTCCCACCTAAAAAATTTTCGTAAGTTCCATTCTTGTCTCTTCTTTGAATTAAACTCTTTTAGAGTCTACGTGAAATCATGTAGTATTTGTCCTTCTGTGGCTGGCTTATTTTACTTAGCATAATGTCCTCCAAGTCCATCCACATGGCCACAAGTAGCAGGATTTCCTTTTTTGAGGCTGAATAATATTCCATTGTGTGTATGTATGTATGTCTATTTTTATATGTTTTATATTCATATATATATCATATTTTCTTTATTCATTAATCTATCAATGGACACTTAGATTGATCCCAAATCTTGGCTACTGTAAATAATACTGTAATGAACATGGGAGTACAGATACATCTTCAACATACTGGCTCCATTTGCTTTGGATGTATACCCAGAAGTGGGATTGCTGGATAGTATGGTAGTTCTATTTTTAGTTTTTTGAGAAACCTCTGTACTGTTTTCTTTAATGGCTAAACCAATTCATATTCCCACCAGCAGTATATAAGGGTTCTCTTTTCTCCACGCTCTTGCCAACAACTGTTATCTTTTGTTTTTTGATAATAGCCATCCTAACAGGTGTGAAGCAATAGCTTAATGTGGTTTTGATTTGCTTTTCTCTGATGATTAAGGCTGCTGAGGATCTTTTCATATGCTTGTTGGCCATTTGTATGTCTTCTTCTTCTTCTTCTTCTTCTTTTTTTTTTTTTATTGAGACGGAGTCTCACTCTGTCACCTAGGCTGAAGTGCAGTGGCGTGATCTCTGCTCACTGCAACCTCTGCCTTCCGGGTTCAAGCGATTCTCCTGCCTTAGTCTCCCAAGTAGCTGGGCGTACAGCACGTGCCACCATTTCTGGCTAATTTTTTTGTATTTTTATTAGAGACGGGGTTTCACCGTGTTAGCCAGGATGGTGTCGATCTCCTGATCTTGTGAACCACCCGCCTCGGCCTCCGAAAGTGCTGGGATTACAGGCGTGAGCCACCACACCCACCCATTTGTATGTCTTCTTTTGAGATATGTCTATTCAGGTCCTCTGCCTGTCTTTTAATAGGCTATTTGTTTTCTTATTATACTATCAAGTTGTTCGAGTTTTTTATGTATTTTGGATATTAGCCCCTTATCAGAAGTATGGTTTTCAACTATTTTCTCCCATTCCGTAGGTTGTCTTTTGACTTTGTTAATTATTTTTCTTGATGCACAGAAGCTTTTTGTTTTATGTAATCCCATTTGTCTATTTTTGCTTATATTGCCTGTGCTTTTGGAGTCATCCAAAATACTGCCCAGACCAATGCCGAGAAGCTTTTCTGTATTTTTTCTTTCAGCAGTTTTACAATTTCAGGACTTACATTTAAGTCTTCAGTTCATTTCAAGTAGATTTTTATGTATGGGATGAGGTAAGGGTTCACTTTTTTTTTTCCACGGGGATATCTAGTTTTCCCAACACCATTTATTAAATAAACTATCCTTTCTTCATTGTGTGTTTTTGGCACCTTTGTGGATGATTAGTTGACTGCATATATGTGGATGTATTGTGTTCCATTGGTCTGTACAGCTGTATCATGCTGTTTTGATTAATGTAGCTTTGTAGTATATTTTGAAACCAGGTAGTTTGATGCCACCAGTTTTGTTCTTCTTGTTCAAGATTACTCTGGACCAGGCATGGTGGCTTGCACCTGTAATGCCAGCTACTCAGGAGGCTGAGGAGGGAGGATCACTTGAGACCAGGAGTTGGAGACCAGCCTGAGCAACCTAGCAAGACCCCATCTCTAAAAAAACTAAAAATTAGCTGGGCATGGTGGTGCACACCTGGAGTCACAGCTACTTGGAAAGCTGAAGCAGGAGGATTGATTGAGCCCATTTTGAGGCTGCAGTGAGCTATAATCATGCTACTGAACTCTAGCCTGGGTGACATAGTGAGATCCCATTTCTTAAAATGAAACAAAACAGATTGTTTTGGGTGTTTTGTTTATTTTGTGGGTCAATATCAATGTTAATTTCTTTTTTTCTGTTTCTGTTAAAAATGCCATTGGGATTTTAATAGGGTTTGCTTTTAATTTGTAGATTGCTTTGGAAAATATGGACATTTTAGCAGTATTAATTCTTCCAGTCTGTGAACACCAGATATCTTTCTATTTATTTGTGTCTACTTCAGTTTCTTTCATCAGTGTTTTGTAGTTTTCAGTGTACAGACTTTTTACCTCCTTGGTTAAATTTATTCCTAAGTGTTTTGTTTTTCCTTTGGTGCTTTTATAAATTGAATTGTTTCTGTAATTTCTTTTTTGGATAGATCATTGTTAGCATATAGAAATGCAACGCTGTTTTTTGTATATTGATTTTGTATTCTTCAGTTTTACTGAATTTGTTTATTGGTTTGAATAGTTTTTTTGATAGAATCCTTAGGGTTTTTGTATACATATAAAATCATGTTATTTGCTAACAGAGACAGTTTAACTTTTCCAATTTGGATGCCTGTTCTTTCTTTTACTTGCCAAATTGCTCTGGCTAGGATTTCCAGTACTATGTTGAATAGTAGTGGTAAGAGTGGGCACCTTTGTGTTGCTTTTCTCTTTAAATGACAGTATTTCTTACCTCTATCTTTTGAAAAGGCCTAGAAATAACTCAGTTGCAATCAGCACCAAGAATCTGGTCTCTTAATACCACTTCCCACTGAAAGGATGGGGGTTCTTTGGAGAAATTGCTGATTCTAAGTCAGAGGCAGGAAATCTGTGAGATGAACCTGGGACATCCTGTCATACTGGCAAGTAAGGAAGGTATCAAAGACTACTGTAAATGAATTAAAAGGATGCAGGGGCAAGTAGACGATGCTGACATTGGGCCAAAAATGCGACAATGTAAGCATCAGAAAAGAATAACTTCTGCAATGGATTGAAATGTTTCATAAATGTTAAAATTCATGAGTACGTAATTTTATAAATATGTGTGTTTGTGTGTGGGTGTGTGTGTGTGTGTGTGTGTGTATAATCTTAATCAGTTATCCTCGAAGGATAGGAAGACAACAACTCATTTTTGTAACACTTGATAAATAAAGGTAAAGAATCAAGCATTTTTGTTATTTTCCTTGTACAAATTGTACTTCAGGGTAGCCAAATTGCTGATAAGTAAAGTTGTTCTTTTTTGTCAAATTCTAGCTCATAACATAGAAGGAATGATAAAATTTCAATGCCTAATGGAAGAATGGATTCACAGCAGGGCTTGGCAAACTACAGCCCTTGGGCCATATCTGAGCTGCCACTTGTTCTTGTAAAGTTTTACTGGAACACAGGCATTCCCATTTGTGTACATACTGTGTGTGGCTGCTTTCCCTATAACAGCAAAGTTGAATGGTTGTGACTGAGACCATATGGCCCACAAAGCAAAGATATTTACTATCTGGCTCTTTACAGAAAGTTTACCAGCCCTTGATCTAGATAGTAATTTTCAATAGCTGCTAAAACCTTTAGGTGAGAGAAGCTGCTGGGAAATTTTGTAATGGCTATATGGAGATTGACATCACCTGATCCTCTGGGTGCCTCTGGATGTGAAGGCAGTACCCGTGTACTACCTCTGAAAGTATTCTTTGAACACTGGCTGTATACATGATGACATTAAAGAATTATTAATTTCTTAGAGTGTGTTAATGATTGGTCACTTATTAAGAGAGGCTGTCTTCAGAGATTTTTGCTAAAATATTTGTGGATAAAGTATATGATGTCAATAATTTTCTGTGTTATTCAGCAGGGTCCCAGGGGGTTATACACAAGACAAGAGTGACCACATATTGACAATTGTAGAGCTAGGCCATTGGTACATGGGAGTTTTCTATTCTATTTGTATATGTTTAGAAATTTCATAAAAGTTTTTATGTTACTATTGGGTAATTTTGGGTATTAGAAAAGTAAATGCAGTTAACAACTTGGAAAAATGATATGAAATGGTATAAAATTTCAAAAACCCTTTGAGAAAGAATTGCAAACTAAATCATAACCTTCAGTAGAATGGGCCTTCTCATCTATTCAGTACATGTATATTGAGCACTGAGAATAGAAAGCCAAAGTAAATATTTACTGCTCACAAAAGAACAGGCAGTGTTACTCTGGGGTGGGATGAGTGTAGGCATTCTCAGTCTGTAAGACTATTTCTCAGTGTGATGTTTCTGGATTCATTAAGTTTCTAGCCAATAGATGCTGTAAACTATATGGAGATACACATATAAACCAAAGAAGTTTAATTAAAAACTTTCTAACATTTGAATTGTAAATGCCAATATGAACCACTATTCTGTGTTTTGTTTTACCAGTTAATTTAAAAATAGAGACGTTCTCTTTATATGCATTATTGATCTTTTATTATGTGATGCTTTAGTAACCTGCTTTCTAGTTAAAATGTACTATGATTATCTTGTGATTTTTGTTATGCTCATCAAACAATCTGTTGTACTTGGATCCCTAGGAAAATCAGAGGCTCCTTAAAAATATGTTCAAAATCGGTGATTTTTGAACCAGATTCAATATCCCAGCCCATCATCAAGGTAAATACATTTTAAATATGAACAGAAACATTCCTATTTTTTGTGTATGTCTTACCTTTCTTGATTTTTATAATATTTCTCTCAATTTTATCCAGATTCCTTTGAGAGACTGTATAAAAATAGGAAAGCATGGAGAAAATGGAGCCAATAGACACTTCACAAAGTATGTCATTTTCACCACTGTTTAATTTTACTTCAACCAAAAAGCTGTATATATTTAATGACTTTTATCTGTATTTTAGGGCAAAATCTGGGGGTATTTCACTCATTTTCAGTCAGGTAAGCACATAATAAATATTTTTTCCTAATCTGAATGAACATTCTTATATATGTGCATGAATGAAATTACTTGTAGAGATATCAGATGAAGACCATGGAATAGAAATCAAATGCTTTTAGAATTCAGTCATTGAGAAATATAGTTTTAAAAAGATGTGATCCCTAATGAGCTTCTTCATGTTTATTAAGTGTGTGATATCTGTGGGCTTGCGGTTTTGTCCTTGGAGCTCTCACGATTTATGATTTACGAGGCTTGAAATGAAGGGATGCAGCTCTTCCCGTAGCTTCCTAGCTATTTAGAAGGTGAGAGTCCATTGCCATGCCACTTAAATGATCTCAGGGACTTAGGACAACCAAGGCAATGACTTGGGATTGGTGGTCTTGTATCATTATGACCCTTGTGGTAATAACCTTTTGTTCATTCCAGATTTATTCCCTTTATATTTATGCACCCACCACTGCACTCAATATAGGCATGACAGCATTGGCAATAAAAGGTCAATTAAAACATGCTTTTTCTCCTGTCATATTATTAATTAGTATGTAGATTTAAAAAATTGTAAATAAGAAGGGACTACTTTCTTTTGGCTCTGGGTTTCATCTGCTTCATCTTTAAAGCGAAAGGGTTAGCAGATGTTGCCTTGACAGCTCTCGTTCCTTGGGGTGTTGAAGTGTTCAGAGAAGAATTGTTCTGGGATGAATAAGGGATAAGAAAAGCTGTGGGAACAAAGATGCACGGACTTGCTGACTTCAAAACTTGACTTAAATCCTCTCATGCAACAGACCAGAGTGTCCCTAGGAGGCAGATGGGGAGGGGAAGAGCATGCTCCCAGCACTTTTTCTATCACTGAAGCCTTTTGTTCACAGAACACTTTTAACATGTGTTGAAAGTTATTTTATGAAAGCTGAGAGGTAGCAGATGATTTGATTTTCTACATCTACCTTCCATGATTCTATTAATTTTAAGGAAGAAAACATTTCACAGGCTTCCTCAACTTCATGTTGTTTTAACTGGTATATGTGAAGACAGTGACAACCATCTACTGCTCTGGGGACCAAACATCGTTATTAATAATTCTGGTCCACCTCCATACTCTCATGTCTATCGTGTCATTTTACTTCATGACCTGGTTCCACAAAGCCCATATCTTGAAAGGAAGAGGTACTTTTTGACTTGAAGATAGGGTTTTCATTATAAAACTATACATTTTAGTTATTTTAGTAAAAATTTAATAACTTTGAGCTTAGGAATAAAGCCCCCAAATTCCTCCACCTACTTTTTTAATAGTTTATAGAAGAGGTCTTGTATGAAACCAGCTCAAAACCAGCCCGACACAAGCTACTCTTTCAAGCATTATTTAAAGCTTCCTGTGTCAAGTATACAACCAGGCAACTTTTGGGTTTTTTGAATATATACTAGGTCACAAGATCTCAGAAATATAGTACGGTGCTTTATATTTAGAGAGCTTTGCTTCCAATTTTTTTGTTGCTGCTAAAGAAGGGTGTGTGCATGTTTATATGAATAACAGATTCGACTCATGGATTCAATAAGTATTATATTCAGGGCTCTGGCAATCTAGGGAAGAACAAGATATCTGAAGCCTTTTGCTCCATGGACTTTACTTTTCAGTGGGGGAGACAGACAATAAACAAATGTCTCCTCTAATGTCAGGTGGTAACAAATGCTATGAAGAAAATGAAAGCAAGACAGAAGGATAGAAAATGATAAGGAATGTTCTCATGCTGCTTTAGAAAGAGTAGTCAGGGATGCCTCACTGAGAAGAGGCCACTTACCAAGAGACTCAGAAGGCTTAAGGCATTGAGCTGTGCAATTATCACAAACACTGGTATTCCAGGTACAGAGAGTGGTGGGGGAGAAGCCTGAAGGTGGGCATGTCCTTGACAGGTGGGAGGCACAGGAGTGTGAGTGCTCCTGGGGTGCGTGAGTCAAGGAGAACACTCAAGGGAGGCTGGAATAGGGGCAGGGACCGTGTCATGCGGGGCCTTGTGGGCCAAGGTAAGGACTTAGAATAAAGCGCAGAGAGAAATGCCACTGGAGAGCTGAAAGAGAAGGGGTGTGTCTGATTTGTATGTAAGTCTCTCTGGGGGCTGGGTAGAGAACACGCTGTACAAACCAGGGCAAGAGTGGAAGCAAGGAGACCTATTGGGGTGTTCCAGGAATCCAAGTGTATTGAACCACGATGGTGAGAGGTGGTCATTGTCTAGGTATATTCTGAAGAAAACCCAACAGATGTGCTGACGGATTGGTCGCAGGGTATAAAAGGGAACAGTCAAGAATGACTCCAATGAGATAGACAGTAGTGCCCTTTATAGTGATAAAGAGAGTTGGGAAGGAGCAGGCTTCAAGTAGGATGTGAGATTTAAGATGGCCATGAGAACTCCAAGGGGAGACGTCCAGCAGGCATTTGGATGCATCCATCTGGGTTTCAGAGAGGAGGCAGAGGCTAGCAAGACATACTGGGGAGCTGGAAGTTTCTAGAGACTTTTTAAAGCCCTGTGGCTGGATAAGATTTCCTGGGGACTGAGAGTGGACAGAGTGGTGTGAGAACTAAGGCCCTGCACCTCTCTAATTTAAGAGATTGGGAACAAAGCAAGGTCCAAAAGTAGACGGAAGGAGTAGCCAGTGAGGTTGGAGAGAAGCAGGAGCAGGTGTCCAGGAAGCCATGTGGAAAACTGCTTCAGGAAGAGCCATCAGCTCTGTCACATGCTCTGAGAAGGAGAGTCAAGGAAGACTTAAGAATTGATTGTATGGTGACGTGGAGATCTTATGCACTTCATGTGACCATCTAAAAGTGATTTCAATAATATGGTAGGGATGAAAACCTGTCATGGGCCCAAGGGAAGGTACAGACAGCCCTTGCAATGAATTTTGCCACAAAAGGGAACAGAAATGGCAAAAGGAGGATGTGAGATTAAGGGGAAGTATGTTTGTGGGGGTGTGTGTGTGTAAAAGGGAGAGAGTGCAGTATATAATCCTAAGAGCAAAGCTTTTGAATATCTGACAGGTTTGGGGAGGTGTTCACATTCTGTGCCCTAGTAGAGGGGCTGGACTTTGAGAGCTCAGGTAACTTCCATTGTTGCAGGAGGAAAAGCAGTGAGGAAAGTACAGGTACAAGGAGATTGATGGCTCTGGTAGATGGTGTCACTTATTCCACATAGTTATTAATATACTATGTAAGGACCAGTGGCCCAGTGCATGTGAAAACACCATGTGCCCAGATGACCTCTAAGTTTTCTTTATGTTAGTGAAC
Organism: Homo sapiens; assembly: GCF_000001405.40. Taxonomy (NCBI): domain Eukaryota; kingdom Metazoa; phylum Chordata; class Mammalia; order Primates; family Hominidae; genus Homo; species Homo sapiens. The sequence goes on along the minus strand of NC_000008.11, from coordinate 58,631,916 downwards.
ATATTTCCTACCACAGTAACTTTGTTTTACCCGTTTCTTAAAAAATCAGCACTTGGATTAGCCTCCTTCCCTGTCTGCTTGGTTACTTGGTGCAAGTGATGGCATTCATAAAATGTCTTCTGTATTTATTTATCTTGTAATTGTTGCTATCTTGTTGCCTGGATGATTCTCTTTTTAATTTGATATTTGTTATTTTAACACCAGTACTTTAAAGCCATACTAGTACTAATACTAAAGCAAATACTTCTGGAAATAGAGATTATATAACAATGATTTAAAACTTTTGATTGATAATGTTCTGATTTGTAGTTACTCTTTACAATGAAACATTTTGGTTATTATTTTACAAGTATTGCTTTTTCTTGCTCAGGTATATTTCATTAAAGAACATAATGTTGTTGCACCATATAAAATAGAAAGGGTAAGTAAAGCTTTTCATGTATTTCCAGCAATTTATATAGTCATTTTGAACAATAAAATTTTGTGACTCTATTAACATCTTTAATCAAATATAATAATAATGAGTATTTAAAAGCTTCTTACCTGGAAGTTATAACAAAATTACCCAAGGGAGCCACAGATTTTATTTCAAGAGAATTCAATTAACTTTTTGACTTAAAAAAAAAAGTGCCTAAAAAAAAAACACCCAAATGATTAGGTTAGAAATTAAAATCAGAATATGCATTATTTATAAGATTATTTACTGGGTGTTACTGAGAATTTATTTACCAGTACGTTACTAAAAAATTTAGTTTTAAAAATATTCTAGAAATATTTACTGGTTATAACATACTCTTATTTGAGAACTCAATAATAATTTGTAAGTACTCTTAATTAGGTAGAAACTATGAGTAGACTTGGATACAATGTCTGGTTCCCTGGGACCTTTCACTTAAGCATAGACATTTCATTTAACTATTCTGTAATTTAATTCTTTATGCTTCAGCTTAATACATAGTAGAGGGATAACTCCTACTAAAAGAGAGTTTTTACAGGACCTAAGGACAGGGCTAGTGCTCCTTATAATGACATCCGAGTGAATTAGGAAAAGCCACCATTTGTGGGCAAACATAGTCCCACAGGCTGAATCTGAATTTCAGTTTCAGGCCAGTCTGCAATCTCTTAGGCGGCACAAATTGTATACTCAGTGGCCTCTGGGTTTTACGGACAAGAAATACTTGCATGTGCTGATTAGTCAGAAAGTATAAATACTGAGATTTAATTATTCTCAAGTGGTGCTTTTGGCATTTTGGGCAGGATGGTTCTTTATTGTGTGGGGCTGTCACTTATATTACAGCTCTTTCCCCTAACAAATGCCTCTCGTACACTGCTCCCCTTGTTTTTGTTACAGCACCTCCACACATTGACAAAAGCCTTTGGGGGCAGTAGGAAACCCTACCCCCAAGTTGAGAACCACTCACCTGGGGTGCCCTTCCTCTAAAGGCTCTCGTGAGAGCCAGCTGAATTGCATACCTGCACATGGTTCATTGAAAGATTATGTGAAAGGAAATAAAAGTGAGGTTGTCTGAGTAAAGAAAAGCTCTTTTGTTCCAATGTGAATTATAATACCAAAGCATTCTCAGATTAAAAAAAAAAAAAGGGTGAGGTGGAATGACAGCAGCAAGATGGCAGAATAGGAAGTTCTAGCCCCTCCTTCCTCCTGTGAAGACACTGATTCAGCAACACATGGACAAATTCCCTTTGTGAGAAATCTGGAAACCAGTTAAGAGGATCCTGCACCCCCGGTGAGCATGAAACTAACCACATCAAAGCCGGTATAAAAATTTGTGTCACTATCTGGCCATCCTCTGTCCCACACAGCACCACATGATTGGGAAGAAATTTCCCAGCCTCTAGCTTCTCCCTGGAGAGGGAAAGAGAAAATTGGACTATACATCCAGAGTTCTGACTTTTCAGGGGAGCTGCCCAAGGGACTGGCTTCTGTCTCTTCTGTCTCAGAGTACAGATGGAACCCTGCATACTCTAGATGCCTGGAGCCACTGATAACAAAAGAGAGCTGGGTAGCACGCTACTGCTTCAAAGGACCTGTGGTACAGCAGACATCTAGACACGAGAGACAGCAAAGGAGTCCAAGCTTCTGAAAAAAATGAAACCAATAAATTTCTCTAATTAGGAATCTACATGCATAAGTCCAGAGAAGACACTTCCATAGAAAAGGTTTGAGAGGCCTCCAGCATCTCTAGCCAGGCTGATTAATGAAGGTCTCTTTCTCTGTATGAAGCCAGTCCTTAGAGACTGGAGAGGTAATTGTTTTTGTTGTTGTTGTTGTTGTTTTTAATGTGTGGATATTAGCACAAAATTAGAGGGAGCACAAAGAATCAGAGAAAAATAGTCCAATCAGAGGTACAAAATAAATTTTCAGAAACCAACCCTAAAGAAAAGGGGCTATATTAATTACCTGACAAGGAATTCAAAACTATTGTCATAAAGATGCTTAATGAGCTCAGGAAAATTATGCATGAAGAAAATGAGAATTTTAACAAAGAGAATATTAACAAAGAGAAAATATAAAGAAGAACTGAACAGAAATTTTGGAGAAGAATGTAGTAACTTAACTAAAAAGTTCACTAGAGGAGTTCAGCACAGACTATAAATCAGAAGAAAAAATCAGCAAACTGGAACACAGGTCTTTTGAAATTATCCAGTCAGGGGAGCTAAGAGAAAAAAGAATGAAAAAGAGTTAAGAAAGCCTAAAGTACTAATGACACACCGTCAAGTGGACCAAATACATAATATGCGAGTCCAAGAAAGAGAAGAGAGAGAGAAAGAAACAGAAAGTGTATTTAAAGAGATAATGGCCCCAAACTTGCCAAAACAGAGGAAGGAGATGGACATCCAGATTTAAGAAGTCTTCCACATAGGAGGACTTCAGAGATGTCCTTACCAAGACACATGATAATCAGATTATCAGAAGTAAGAGTTAATTTTGAAAGCAGCAAGAGAAAAGTGTCTGGTCACAGAAGAAAGCCCCCACAAAATGATCAGATTTTTCACCAGAAAGCTTGCAGGTCAGAAAATTGGATGATAAATTCAGAATGGTAAAAACAAAACCAAATAAAACAAACAAATAAAAATGCCTGCCAACAAAGAACACTGTATCTGGCAAATTGTCCTTGAAAAAAATGGAGAGATAAGGACTTTCCCAGATAAACAAAAGCTCAGAGTTTACCACCATTAGATCTGCTTTATAGGAAATGCTAAAGTGAGTCCTTCAATTTGAAACAAAAAGATACTAAACACCAACATGAAAGTGTAGGAATTATAAATCTTGCTGATAAAGGCAAATACAGAATACTGTAGTGCTGTAATGGTGGTGTGTAAATCAGTTTAATTCTGGTATACAAATTAAAAGACAAAAGTATAAAAACCCCATAACTAGAAATCTGTGTTAATGAATACACAATATAAATGGATGTAATTTGAGATATCATTAACATAAAAGGAGACAGGTATCTGAAGGAATAGTTTTTGTATGTGACTGAAGTTAAGTTGTTAACAGATTAAAAGAGATTATTATAACTGTAAGATGTTTTATATAAGACCCATGGTAACCACAGAGAAAATACCTATAGAAGATACACTAAAGAAGAGTTTTTCCAATATTATCATGTAGAATTTTTATGGTTTCAGGTTTTAGGTTTAAGTCTTTGATCCATCTTGTGTTGATTTTTGTATAAAGTAAGAGATAAGGATCCAGTTTCATTCTTCTACATGTGGCTTGCCAGTTTTCCTAGCACCATTTATTGAATAGGGTGTCCTTTCCCCACTGTATGTTTTTGTATGCTTTGTCAAAGATCAGTTGGCTATAAGTATTTGGCTTTATTTCTGGGTTGTCTGTTCTGTTCCATTGGTCTATGTACCTGTTGTTATACTAGCCCCATGCTATTTTGGTAACTATAGCATTGTAGTATATTTTGAAGTTGAATAATGTGATGCCCCCAGATTTGTTCTTTTTGCTTAGTACTGCTTTGGCTATTTGGGCTCTTTTTTGGTGCCATATGGATTTTAGGATTGTTTCTGATTGACAAAGGTATTTTGATGGGAGTTCTGTGAAGAGTGATGGTGGTATCTTGATAAGAACTGCATTGAATCTGTAGCTTGCTTTAGGCAGTATGGTCATTTTCACAATATTGATTCTACCCATCCATGAGCATGGGATATGTTTCCATTTGTTTGTGTCATCTATGATTTCTTTCAATAGTGTTTTATAGTTTTTCTTGTAGAGCTATTTTACCTCCTTGGTTAAGTATAACCATAAGTATTTTATTTTATTTTTTTTGCAGCTGTTATAAAAGGAATGGAATTGTTGATTTGATTCTTAGCTTGGCCGTTGTTGGTGTATAGCAGTGCTACTGATTTGTGTACATTGATTTTCTATCTGGAGAATTTACTGAATTCATTTATTAGATCTAAGAGCTTTTTGGATGAGTCTTTAGAGTTTTCTAGGTAAATGGTCATATCATTGGTGGACAGTGACAGTTTGACCTCCTTTTTTCCAATTTGGATGCCCTTTCTTTTCTGTCTGATTGCTGTGGCTAGGACTTCCATTACTATGTTGAATAGAAGTGGTGAAAGTGGGTAACCTTGTCTTGTTCCAGTTTTCAGGGGCGTAGGCAAAGAATTCATGACTAAGAACCCAAAAGCAAATGCAACAAAAACAAAAATAAATAAACGGGACCTAATTAAACTAAAAAGCTTCTGCACAGCAAAAGAAATAACCAGCAGAGTAAACAGACAACCCACAGAGTGGGAGAAAATTTTCGCAAACCACACATCCGGCAAAGGACTAACATCCAGAATCTACGAGGAACCTCAAACAAATCAGCAAGCAAAAAACAAATAATCCCATCAAGAAGTAGGCAAAGAACATGAATAGACAATTCTCAAAAGAAGACATACAAACAACTAGCAAACATATGAAAAAATGCTCACCATTATTAATTATCAAGGACATGCAAATTAAAACCACAATGAGGTATCACCTTACTTAGTGAGAATGGCCATAATTAAAAAGTCAAAAAATAATAGACGTTGGCATGGATTTGGTGAAAAGGGAGCACTTTTACACTGCTGGTAGGAATGTAAACTAATACAACCACTGTAGAAACAGTATAGAGATTCCTTAAAGAATTAAAAGTAGAACTACCTTTCAATCCAGCAATCCCACTGTCAGGTATCTACCCAAAGAAAAAGAAGCCATTATGTGAACAAGACACATGCACACACATAGTTATAGTAACACAATTTGCAATTGCAAAAATATGAAACCAACATAAATGCCCATCAACCAACAAGTGGAAAAAGTCCTATATATATACACCATGGAATACTACTGAGCCATAAAACAAAATGAAATAATGGCCTTTGAGCAACTTGGATGGAGCTAAAGGCCATTACTCTAAGTTAAATAACTCAGGAATGGAAAACCAGATTATTGTATGTTCTCACTTATAAGTGGGAGCTAAGATATGAGAATGCAAAGACATAAGAATTATATAATGGGGCCGGGTGCAGTGGCTCATGCCTGTAATCCCAGCACTTTGGGAGGCCAAGGTGGGCAGATCACGAGGTCAGGAGATCGAGACCATCCTGGTTAACACTGTGAAACCTGTCTCTACTAAAAATACAAAAAATTAGCCGGGCGAGGCAAGTGCCTGTAGTCCCAGCTACTTGGGAGGCTGAGACAGGAGAATGGTGTGAACCCAGGAGGCAGAGCTTGCAGAGAGCCAAGATCGCGCCACTGCACTCCATCCAGCCTGGGTGACACAGTGAGACTCCATCTCAAAAAAAAAAAAAAAAAAAAAGAATTATATAATGGACTTTGGGGGCTTAGGGGGAAGGATGGGGGTGGTGATGACGGATAAAAAAACTACATATTGGGTACGTACACTGCTTAGGTGACAGGTAAACCAAAACCTCAGAGAACTTATTTATGTAACCAAAAACCACCTGTACCACAAAAACTATCAAAATAAATTTTAAAAAAAATGAGGAGGAAATCAAACTATGTCATGATAAAATGTCAACACAAAGGAAGATAGAGGACAAAAGAGGACAAATGAGCTACAAGACAGAAAACAGTTAAAATGGCAACAGTAAGTCCTTCCCTATCAATAATTAAGTATATCAAACTCCCCAATCAAAAAATATGGAGTGCCTGAATGGATTAAAACAAATAAGATCTAAAACTATATGCCATCTGCAAGAGACTCATTTTCGGTTTAAGGACACAGATAGGCTGAAAGTGAAAGGATGGGAAAAAATATTCCATGCTTGGTAATCAAACAACAGAGCTAGCCATACTTATATCAGACAAGATAGGCTTTAAATAAAAAACTTTCACAAGAGACGAAGGATATTATGTAATGATAAAAGGGTCAATTTATCAGAAAGATAAATAATTACAAATGCATTAGTCAGGGTTCTCCAGAGAAACAGAACCAATAGGATGTGTGTGTACATACATTCACACATATATATACATACATACATACATACATATGCATATACATATATACAGACATATACACCCATCTAGGGGTATATTGCTGTATATATGTATATATACAGAGAGAGAAATTGATTTATTATAAGGTATTGAATCATGTGATTATAGAGGCCAAGAATTCCAGACCCAGGAGAGAGGCAATGGTATAGCGTTTAGTCTGAGTCTGAATGCAAGTCTGAAGGCAGGAGAAAACCAATATCCCAGCTTGAAGACAGGAAGAAAGAGTGTTTTTCCCATTTAGACTTTTATTCGATTTAGGCCCTCAATGGATCCGATGAGGCCCACCCACATTGGGGAGGGCAATCTGTTTTACTCAGTCTCCTAATTCAAATGCTAATCTCATCCAGAAACATCCTCACAGATACACCCAGGGATAATGTTTAACTAAATATTTGGTCACTCTATGGCCCAGTCAAGCTGACATATAAAATTAATCATCACCATATGTATGTACCCAACCTCAGAACATCTAAATATATGAAGCGAACATTGATAGAACTGAAGGGAGAAATAGATAGCAACACAATAATGGTAGGAGATTTCAATACCACACTTTCGACAATGGGTAGAACGTTCAGATAGGACATCAGTAAGGAAACAGAGGACTTGCACAACACTGTAGACCCAATGGACCTAACAGATATGCAGAGCTTTCTACCCAACAGCAGCAGAATACACTTTCCTCTCAAGCACATGGAATATTCTCCAGGACAGATCACATGTGAGGTCACAAAACAAGTCCTAACAAATTTAAGAGGATTAAAATAATATTGTGTATATTTTTCCAATCATAATGGAATGAAACTAGAAATCAACATCAGAAGGAAAACTGAGAATATGTGAAAATTAAACAACATTCTCTCAAAAAACCAATGGGTCAAAGAAAAAAAAAAAGAGAAAATTTAAAATCTTGAGATAAATGAAAACATGATATACCAAAACTTAGGTGATGCAGCAAAAGCAGTATAAACAGGGAAGTTTATAGAATTAAATGTCTACGTTAAAAAAGAAGAAATACCTCAAATAAAAATCCTAACTCTAGGCCAGGTGTGGTGGTTCACACCTGTAATCCCAGCACTGTGGGAGGCCGAGGCGGGTGGATCACCTGAGGTCAGGAGTTTGAGATCAGCCTGGCCAACATGGTGAAACCCCGCCCTGTCTCTACTAAAAATACAAAAATTAGCCGGGTGCGGTGGTGCACACCTCTAGCCCCAGCTACTCGGGAGGCTGAGGCAGGAGAATCACTTGAACCCAGGAGACGGAGGTTGCAGTGAGCCGAGATCGTGCCACTGCACGCCAGCCTGGGCGACAGAACAAGACTCTGTCTCAAAAAAAAAAAAAAAAAAAAAAAATCCTAACTCTATACCTTAAGGGTTTGGAACAAGAAGGGCAAACTAAACCCAAAGTTAGAAGAAGGAAGGAAATAATAAATAGAGCAGCAAATTATGTAGACTTGCTCCCCTAGAACTCTCATTCCAGTGGGGAAGTTACACTAGGTAAAACATGCAGATTTTATCATAGCAGGTTCTGTACACATGTTCTTAAAGTAGCATAGTTTGGCACACTTCTTCTCTTCCTGTATTTTGATATCTTCCCCTTTTTGTTAGGGCAAAATGGAATATGTTTTTGAATTGGATGTTCCCGGGAAAGTGGAAGATGTTGTGGAGACGTTGCTTCAGGTAAGCACTTGCTGGGTAGAAAATTCAAAGCAAACTGAGGCAAAAACTGTTTTTATAAATTTCGTATTTATATACCTTACCCAAATCATCATCTGTTTTCTAAATATGTAGCAGATTGACTTAAAATGTTGAGTTTAAAAACTATATATTAGGAAGAAGCCATAGGTATATCAGAAGTAATCTTGACTGTTAACAGAATGATTGCTGTTTCTCATTGCTTCTAAAGAAATACTTCATATCATCTGAGAGAAAAAATAAATTCATGTCTGTTTATGATACTGTAGCTTCACAGAGCATCCTGCCTTGACAAATTGGGTGACCAAACCGCCATGGTAAGTATTCTTAACAATGTCTGTCTTTGATTGTCAATTAACTTGTATTGATATTTTACTTATAAATACTTATAAATACTTTTTTTCTGGTTCTGTTTTAATAGATAACAGCTATTTTGCAGTCTCGTTTAGCTAGAACATCATTTGACAAAAACAGGTAAGTTTCTAATGATCTTTCCTAATTAGAAAAGTGGTGGACATTTTCATCTGTATGCCTCATTCAGCAAATCCAAGCCTGCTGTCATCATTGGTCTCACCCAAAACCTGCTTGTCTTAGAGAATGGCTCAGCCTCAGTGCAGGAGAACTCTCTAGCGCTTCCTCAACTCTTCTCCATCCTGATGTCTGTCAGTCAGAAAGGTCTGTTAGATGCTTCGGTTTCTGCTTCTGTGTTTTCACATTGTGTTGCCTCAGTTCAGGCCACCGTCACCTCCCACCCAGAACACTAGCACAGCTTTTAGTTCACCTACCTGACTCCATCTTCCCTTCTCTACTTTTCTTCTCCTCCCTCTACCTGACATTGTTTTAAAATATGTTCTTTCTAAGGGCCAGGTGCAGTGGCTCAGGCCTATAATCCCAGCACTTTAGGAAGCCAAGGTGGGAGAATCACTTGAGCTCAGAGTTTGAGACCAGCCTGGGCAACATAGTGAGATCCTGTCTCTGCAAAATTAAAAATTAAAAAATTAGGCTGGGCACGGTGGCTCATGCCTGTAATCCCAGCACTTCGGGAGGCTGAGGTGGGCAGATCACGAGGTCAGGAGTTCAAGACCAGCCTGGCCAAAATAGTGAAACCCTGTTTCTACTAAAAATATAAAAAATTACCCAGGCATGGTGGCGGGCACCTGTAATCCTAGCTACTCAGGAGGCTGAGGCAGAAGAATCGCTTGAACCTGGGAAGCGGAGGTTGCAGTGAGCTAAGATCATGCCACTGCACTCCAGCTCGGGTGACAGTGCGAGACTCCATCTAAAAAAAAAAAAATTAGTTGGGCATGGTGGTGCACACCTGAAGTTCCAGCTACTTGAGAGGCAAGGTGGGAGGATCCCTTGAGCCCAGGAGGTCGAGGCTGCAGTGAGCCATGATTATGCCTCTGTACTCCAGACAGAGTGAGACCCCATCTCAAAAAATAAAAATAATAAATTTTAAAATGTCCTTTCTAAACAACTTATTTGATCATATCACCTGCCCGTTTAAAATTCTTCAAGATTGAAACTAGACTCCTTCCTTACACCATATACAAAAATTAACTCAAGATGGATTAAAGACTTAAATGTAAAACCTAAAACTATAAAAACTGTTGAAGAAAACCTAGGAAATACCATTCTGGACATAGGCCCCAGCAAAGATTTCATGACGAAGTCACAAAAGCAATTACAGCAAAAACAAAAATTGACAAATGAGAACTAATTAAACTAAAGAGCTTTTAAACAGCAAAATAAACTATCAACAGAGTAAACAGACAGCCCACGGAATGAGAGAAAATATTTGCAAACTTTGCATCTGCCAAAGGTCTAATATCCAGAATCTAGAAGAAAGAAGCAAAAAATGAACAACCCCATTAAAAAGTAGGCCAAGGTCATGAACAGACACTTTTCAAAAAAAGACATACATGCAACCAAAAAAATCTGAAAAAATGCTCAATGCCACTAATCATTAGAAAAATGTAAATCAAAAGCACGGTGAGATACCATCTTATACCAGTTAGAATGGCTATTATTTTAAAAATTTAGTAAATTTTGAATGGCTATTACTCAAAAAATAACATGCTGGTGAGGTTGCAGAGAAAAGGGAATGCTTGTACCCTGTTGGTGGCAGTGTAAATTAGTTCAGCTACTGTAGAAAGCAGTTTGGTGATTTCTCAAAGAACTTAAAACAGAGCTACCATTTGACCCAGCAGTCCCATGATTGCGTATATACCCAATGGAAAATAAATTGTTCTACCATAAAGATACATGCACACGTAGGCTTATCACAGCACTATTCAAAATATTAATAGCAAAGACATAGAATCAACCTAAATACCCATCAGTGGTAGACTGGATAAAAGAAAATGTGGTACCTATACACCATGGAATACTTTGCAGCCATAAAAAAAGAGATCATGCCCTTTGCAGCAACACTGGATGGAGCTGGAGGCCACGGATGGCGCTGGAGCAAATTAATGTGGGAATAGAAAACTAACACTGCATGTTCTCACTTATAAGTAGGAACTGAACATTGAGTACAAATGGACGCAAAGAAGGGAACAATAGACACTGAGCCTGCTTGAGGGTGGAGGATGGGAGGGAGGAGGGTGAGGATCGAAAAACTGCCTATCAGATACCAATTACCTGGGTGACAAAATAATCTGTACACCAAACCCCCAAGACATATATTTTATCTATGTAACAAACCTGCATATGTACCCTGAAACTAAAATAAAAGTTAAAAGATAATAAAAAAAATTAAGTCTTTGAGAGTAGGAACTTGTCTGGTCTCTTGCATCCACAGAGTATGGTATATTACAGTGAATGAAATTAATGGATTCTCTCCATTTTACTGCCATTGCATTTTCCCAGACCCCCATTAGCTCTCCTCGGTCTAACTGGAATTATTTCTCCTCCAGCCTCTTCATATGGTCCACAAAGTTATCTTCCTAAAACAAACATGATTATTGCCCACCAACCAGCTCCTAGAACAGTAACAAGCAAAAGAGTTTTCAATAACAGTTAATTTAAATGCCTGTCTTTCATTGACAATATCAAAGGTTACTATACCAAGACACAAATAGTCTTTTACAGCCATACACCTTAAAATTCCCTGGATTATTTCATATTGCCAAGAGAAAGTGATACAATAAAAGGCCATTAAAAATATAAATAAAATAAAAATTTTCAAGACGCCCCCATCCCCAGTGCCTTCAGGATAAAGCCTAAACACCTTAACATGGCCCCAAGACTCTTAGGTGCTAGCTCTTATTTACTACTAGTCGTTGATGATGCATCTTGAATTCTGTGCCCTAGTTATTTGCATTGCCTGCAGTTTCTGTTGTGCCACATTGTCTCTTACCTCTGAGCCTTTGTTCTTGTTCCCTCTGCTTAGAAAACTCATCCTCCTTCTCTGCACCTGGCTGTTGCTTATTCTTCTTATTTCAGCTGTGCTCTCAGTTCTTCTAGAAGGTCTTTCCTGAGACTTCAAGTTGCAATAAGTACCTACCTATGGTGCTCTATAGGGTCCAAGAGAGTACACTTCTCCTGTTCTAATGGTTTTTTCATTGACTTTCTTGGCTTTTCTTAAGTATACATTTTGTGCAAAGATGACATTTCTGTATTATCCCATTCTCTTACTTGTTTATTGCCTTATATCAAGGAGATTTAGGCGATTCGTCTGTATCTTTGTCTCTGGTACCACTAAGCTAATTATTATACCTTTATGGTAACTATTGATATCTGGTAGTGCAGGGCCCCAGACCTTATTTTCCTTTTTCACTTATGTCTTCAATATTCTTGGTCTTAGGCACTGCCATCTGAATTTAGAATCAGCTTGTCAATTTCCATAAAAGCAATTGTGCTGGGATTTTGATTGTAATTGCAGTGAATCTATAGTCTTCTCTCTATTTATTTAGGTCCCCTTTAATATATTCCTTATGATTTTCTTCATAAAGGTCTTTCCTGTCTTATGTTATTTATTCCTAGTACTTCATATTTGTGATGGTATTATAAATGGTATGTTATTAAAATTTTATTTTCTGTTTATTGTTGATATATAGAATGCAATAGGTTTTAGTGTACTCATTTTGTTTTCAGCAACCCTATTAAACTCTATGACCAATTCCATTAACTGTATATTTAGATTCTTTATATTTACAAAATCTTATCTATGAATTATTTGCAGTCTCTATTCACTAGCATTTTTATTTTTGATTTTTGCATCTGTAATCATTCATCCTTAGGACAAAGCAGAAAGTATTGGTTAAATAGGTTCATTTATTTATGGATTATTATGTGCTACGCTTTTGCTAGAAGCTTATGTTTATAAATGAGAGTAGTTTGTAATATTCTATTTTATTGCTACCTTTGTGAGATTTGGGAATCAGTCATCTTGACCCTTACCCTACATTTTAATGTGTTAAAGAACTTGCCAGTAAGGCCATCTGGCCAGTAATGTGTTTTTTGTGTTTATGTTTGTTTGATTCTTTCTCTGCTTCACTATATAGCGTTAATTTTATTTCCATTTTTATACTGGCAGGATATATTAGGTAAGTGAATTGCTTAGGGAAGAATAGTTTCCATTTTAGAAAGGAAAGGGAATAATAATAAGAAGAATTAGCTTCTTCTGACCTACTTAGAATGTGTCATTTTTCCAAGTAGCAATTTAGACTTCAATTCTGGGCTTCAGCATGACATTCATTTAAAAAATAGTTCACTGTGAACGTTTTAATGTATCCAGTTGCTGAAATGTTAGGCTAAAGAATTTGGGGGAAGGGATTTTTGCCATATGAAATGAAATATTACAGTGTTGTATACTTTCTCTAGAAGAAAAAAAGGTAAACTTCCGCTAAGATAAGCTTTCATCGTATTTCTGAGGAGATAATTTTTTGTTAAAGGAATATAAGGAAAACTATTTTTAATACTTTTTATTTTGAAAAATTTTAAACTGTCACAAGTTGAAACGCTAATACAATGAAGGCAGATCCCCTATGATTCACCAGATGTTAATTTAACATTTTGCCAAATTTTCTTTAAGTCATGCCTGCTCCTACTCACATTGTTGCTCTGTGTGTGTGTGTGTTATTTGTATGTATAAATGTGTATGTTTGTATTATATATATATGTGTATATATTTTTTCTGAACCATCTGAAACTAAATTCTGAGGTATCATAACACTTCTCCCATAAGTACTTCAGCAGGTACTTGTTAGAAGGATATCCTCCATTCCTTGATACCATTATCATATTCCATTAGCAATAATTCCATAATATATCTCATATATAATAAAATAAAATCATAATAAAATATAAAATCATTAAAAATATAAAATCATAATATCATCTTATAGCTTCATATTAAATTTTCCCCTTCTTTTAAAAAAATTATACTTTAAGTTCTAGGGTACATGTGCAGAAGTGCAGGTTTGATACATAGGTATACATGTGCCATGTTGGATTGCTGCACCCGTCAACTCATCATTTACATTAGATATTTCTCCTAATGCTATCCCTCCCCCGGCTCCCCACCCCACGACAGGCCCCAGTGTGTGATGTTCCTCGCCCTGTGTCCAAGTGATCTCATTGTTCAGTTCCCACCTATGAGTGAGGACATGTGGTGTTTGGCTTGCTGTCCTTGCGATAGTTTGCTGAGAATGATGGTTTCCAGCTTCGTCCATGTCCCTGCAAAGGACATGAACTCATCCCTTTTTATGGCTGCATAGTATCCCATGAAGTATATGTGCCAGATTTTCTTAATCCAGTCTATCATTGATGGACATTTGGGTTGGTTCCAAGTCTTTGCTATTGTGAATAGTGCCACAATAAACGTACATGTGCATGTGTCTTTATAGTAGCATGATTTATAATCCTTTGGGTATATACCCAGTAATGGGATTGCTGGGTGAAATGGTAATTCTAGTTCTAGATCCTTGAGGAATCGCCACACTGTCTTCCACAATGGTTGAACTAATTTACACTCCCACCAACAGTGTAAAAGTGTTCCTATTTCTCCACATCCTCTCCAGTATCTGTTGTTTCCTGACTTTTTAATGATTGCCATTCTAACTGGCATGAGATGGTATCTTGTTGTGGTTTTGATTTGCATTTCTCTGATGACCAGTGATGATGAGCATTTTTTCATGTGTCTGTTGGCTGCATAGATGTCTTCTTTTGATAAGTGTCTGTTCATATCCTTTGCTCACTTTTTGATGGGTTTGTTTGTTTTTTTCTTGTAAATTTGTTTGAGTTCTTTGTAGATTCTGGATATTAGCCTTTTGTCAGATGGGTAGATTGCAGAAATTTTCTCCCATTCTGTAGGTTGCCTGTTCACTCTGATGGTAGTTTCTTTTGCTGTGCAGAAGTTCTTTAGTTTAATTAGATCCCATTTGTCTATTTTGGCTATTGTTGCCATTGCTTTTCGTGTTTTAGTCATGAAGTCCTTGCCCATGCCTATGTCCTGAATGATATTGCTTAGGTTTTCTTCTAGGGTTTTTATGGTTTTAGGTCTAACATTTAAGTCTTTAATCCATCCTGAATTAAAAATTTACCCTTTTCTACCCCAAAAGTCTTCCTTAAATTACTTTATTTTGTAATGATTGTAGATTTAAGAAGAACAGACCAAAAGATAGTACAGATTTCTCTTTCATGCCCCACTCAGAATCCCTGTTCTGTTTAGTATGTAGATGCTGCCATCTTTTGTTGGACATATTCCTAGATATTTGATTGTTTGATACTATTGAAAATTTATTTTCCAACTATTTGTTACTGGTACATAGAAATACAGTTCTTTTTTTAATTGGCCTTGTATACTATGACTCTTCTAAATTCACTCATTAGTCTTAGAGTGTTTTTTGCTAGATTCCATGGAGTTTTCATGTACATAATCATTTAATCTGTGAATAATGACAGTTTCACAGAAATCCGTATGGCTTTTATTTTCTATTTCTTGCCTCATTGCACAGTTTTATTAATAGATGTGGTGGAAATGAACATTATTGCCTCATTCTTGATCTTACAGGAAAAGGGCTTAAGGTTTCATCATTCAAAGATGATGTTAGCTGTAGGTTTTTCATAGCTGCCCTTTAACAGAATGAAAATATTCCTTTCTGTTCCTAGTTTACTGAGAGTTTTTTCAATAATGGGTGTAGAATTTTGTCAAATATTTTTTCTGCATTCATTGACATGATCATATTTTTTTCTTTATTCTGTTAATGTTTTGAATTACATTGATTGATTTTTTTCAATGTTAAACCAACCTTGTATTCATGGGCTAAATCTAATTTGGGAACATGATATCTTATCTTTTTTACATATTACTGGATTTGCTTTGCTAGTATTTTTATATCTATATTGATGAGGGATATTGCTCTGTAATTCTCTTGTAAGGTATTTGTCAGGTATGGTACAGGTTATGCTGACCTCATAATAGTATGGAGGTTTTCTTTATCTCCGGTTTTCAGAAAAAGTTTGTGTAGGATTGTTGTTATTTCTTCCTTACATTTTTAATAGAATTTATTGATGAAGCCATCTAGGTCTAAAGTGTCCTTTGGGATTCCATTTATTTACTAGACATAGGACTGTTGCATTTGTCTGTTTCTTCTGTTCCTGTTTTGGTAACTTGTGTTTTTCAAATAAATTGTCCATTTCATCTAAATTGTCAGACGTATTGATATGAAGTTGCTAATGTCCTTTTAATGCCAGCAGCATCTGTAGTATCTACCCTTCTTTCATTCATTATGCTGATACTTTGTGTTTTCTCTTTTTAAAAAAAATCAGTATTGCCAGGGCTTACCAATTTTATTAATCTTTCAAATGACCACATTTTGACTTTGTTGATATTTTTCTGCTTTTTCACTTTACTTATAGTTGATGTCTACTTTTATGATTTCCTTCCTTCAGCTTGCTTTGGGTTTAAACTTATTCTTGTAACTTTCTAAGAAGAAAGTCTAGGTCACCAGTTTTATTCCTTCCTTTGTAATAGAAGTACTTAAACTTATAATTTTCTCTTTAAGCACTGCTTTTGCAACATTCTGCAGATTTTGATATGTTTTTTGTTACCATTAATGTAAAAATATTTTGTAATTTTCTTCATCATTTCTCCTTTGGCCCATAGGTAATTTAGAAGTATGTTTAACTTCCACATATTTGGAAATTTTTAGTAGATATTTTATAGGTACTGATTTATAATTTAATATCTGATCAGAGAATATGTTCTATGTGATTTCAGTCTTTTGATATTTGTTCAGATTTGTTTTATGGCCCAGCATATGGCCTATCTTGGTGAACATTTCACATGCCATTGAAAGGAATGTGAGCTCTGCAGCTGTTGAAAATAGTATTCCATAAGTGCCGTATGGGTCCAACTGGTTGATGGTCATTTGGATCAAATATATTTCATTAATTTTTTTTGTTGACTTGTGCTATCAGTCACTGAGAGAAGGATGTTAAAATTGTCAGTGGTGATTTATTTCTTTTCTTATTTCTGTCAATTTATGCATTTTGTGTTGTGAAGCTCTGTTATTAGATTCATATACATTAAGATGCGTAATGTCTTCTTAATTAATTGATTCTTTCATCATTAGGAAATGTCCCTCTTCATTTGTGATAGTCTTTTTCTTGAAGCCTGCTTTGTCTTCCTTTAAAGTAACCACATCAGTTTTCTTATGTGTTGTGATTGCATGATACATCTTTTTTTGCCCTTTTACTACTAACCTGTGTATTTATTCTGTTTTAAAAAATATATATACTTTAAATATATAGTTGAGTCTTGCTTTTTATGCATTCTGACAATCTCTGCTTTTCAATAAGAACGTTTAGATAATTTATAATTATATAATTATACACTAGCTGGTTTTAAGCCTAGTATCTTAGGATAGTCATGCATCACTTAATGACAGGGATATGTGTTGTGGGATTCAGGAGGACGAGAGAGGGACCTTGGGTTAAAACAGGAGAATCTTTTATTGAATGCACCAGGCCCAGCTGACTCAGCGTCCAAATGACTGGGCCTGGAACAAAGACAGCACTTGACTTTTATACACACTTCTCCAAAGGGGTGGGCCAGCTTGAAGCAAGCTTACAGTGGTGTGAAAGCAGGGATACAGAGGCAGGACAACGACCGATAATCAAATTGTAACAGGTTCATAACTCAGGATTGCACATAACCATTGCTATGCAACCCAGATGTCCATTATCTAGGTTTGCCTAGGCACAGGCTTATCCTATAACCTTCACTATGGCACCCAGGTGGCCGTAACTCAGGCCTGCTCAGAGGCTCATGACCGTCACTCTACTGCTTAGATAAAACAATACTTGAAGTCACTAGTTACAGAGAAGAGGAATCTGTAAACTCATTCCATAAAACAAAGGAAAATTTGTTTTTCTTCTCCCTATGTTAAAGGAGTGCTGGGAGAGTCTTCAGAGCACATTAGATAATATTATCAAGACTTTTCCTAGGTCTGGGCTGTGCTTGTTGCTGCCTCTGAGACAAGTCAGCCTAATACAGGAAAACTTATTTCTCTTTCTTTTTAATTTTATTTTTCTTTAATTTCCCGCCTCATATGTTGTGAGAAACGTGTTGTTAGGCAATGGTCATTGTGAGGACATCATAGGGTGCACTTACACAAACCTGAATGGTACAGCTGACTACACACTTAGACTATACAGTATAGCCTATTGCTCCTAGGTTACAAACCTGCACAGCATTTTGCTGTACCACTTGAGTGTCCCTAATTCAAACATTTTAAGTCCGAAATGCTCCAAAAGTCCGAAATGCACTCAAAAATTTTTGAGTGCCAACATGATGGTCAAAGGAAATGCTCATTGGAGCAGTTCAGATTTCAGATTTTGTGATTAGGGAGGCACACCGATATGATACAAACATTCAAAAATCCAAAATCCGAAACACTTTTGCTCCCAAGTGTTTTGAATAAGGAATACTCAACTTGTACTAAATGCTATAGGCAATTATAATATAATAGTATTTATGTATCTACTTATAGAAAAGGTAGAGTAAAAATAAGGTATTATAATTTTATGAGACCACTATTATATACAGTGTCATTGACCAAAACATCATTATGTGGCACACATTGTTTCTGTATTTATTTCTTGGTGTCTCATTTTTTTTTTGTTCCTCTGCTCCTCCTTTTCTCCCTTCTTTTCGGTAATTCTCGTATTTTTCAGTACTCCATTTTATCTACTCTATTGACTTTTTAGCTGTAGCACTTTGTGTTATTTTTAGTGGTCATTCTAGAGATTACAATATGTACCTCGTGCCAGAGTGTACCTTCAGATAATATCATTTCATGCTACTTTACACCAATACAAGAACCTTACTCCAATGTATTTCCATTTAGCCTCTCCTGCCTGTTATGATCTTATCTTGTGGCTAATTTATGCATAATCCATAAAACCCACAATACAGTATTCTTATTTGTGCTTTAAAAATCAATAGCTTTTTAAAGAATTTAGATACATATATGTGTTTGCATAGAAATTAAAAATACTAAAAAATATTTTTAATACTTAGATATTTAGATGTTTATAATTTCTAGTCTTGTTTCCTTTCTGCAAATCTAGTATTTCATCTGGTATCATTTTTCCTTAGTCTAAAACACTTTTTGTGGCATTCATTACAAGCTGATCCATTAGAGATTAATTCTCTCAGCTTTGTCTAAGAAGAAGATATTTATTTTACCTTCATTTTCGAAGGGTGTTTTTGGATATAGAATTCTAGGTTGACAGGTTTCTTACCCCTTTAAAGATTGTCATTCCATTGTTTCCGGTGAAGAGCCCCATGATTTGAATTGCTGTTCCCTATATACGATGTGGTTTTCTTGTGCTCATCCTGCTTGAGGGTTTCAGAGTGTATGATGGGGAAATTCCTACTATGCTGTCAACACAGAACACCTCAGTGATCAGCTGTGGGGCTTTTTCCTATACCAAAGGGTTCTCTGACACCAGTTGGGTATTCTACAATTCGATTCATTGTCTGCCTGGAGTTAGCACAGACCCCAGAGGTTAAGAGCTCAGTCCAACAAGGCTGCCCCCCTCACCTCCGATGCCAATCACAAATCCAAGTTGTCACCTGTGCTCTGACCAACTAGCTATAAATCAGAGATTCCCACAACACATTCCTTAGGTTTGATCACTAGAATGGCTCACAGAACTTGGAAATATTTACTTATGTTTACCAGTTTATTATGATAATAAAGGACATGATAAAGGGTACAGATGAACAGCCAGATGAGAAGATGCATAGGGTGATATCTGGAAGGAAGGGTCCTGAGTGCAGGAGCTTCTGTCCCTGTGGAGTGAGGGTACATCACCCTCCTGGCACATAGATGTCTTCAGCAACCCAGAAGCTCTCCCAGCCTCATAGTTTAGGGGTATTTATGGAGGTTTCGTCACATAGGCATAGTCAAATATTAACTCAGTCTCCAGCCTCTCTACCTTATGCTGAAAAGGGCGAGTGTGGCCAAAAGCTCTAAGCCTCTCATCAGGGCTTGGTCCTTCTGGTGACCAGCACCCATCCAGGATCCCATACACAGTTGCCTCATTAGAGCAAAAGATGCTTCTGTAACTCAGGAAA
This sequence comes from Homo sapiens, assembly GCF_000001405.40. Taxonomy (NCBI): domain Eukaryota; kingdom Metazoa; phylum Chordata; class Mammalia; order Primates; family Hominidae; genus Homo; species Homo sapiens. Next base: position 58,612,100 of record NC_000008.11, on the reverse strand, counting down.
TTCCAAGAGATTAGGAGGTCTATGTCAGGAATCAGGACCAAAGACCAAATATTAGAACAAAAGATGGACCTAACACCTCTGTCACTCGGGAAATTACACAAGTTTCAGGAGCTCTGTGCCACAAACTGGGAGCAGAGACCAAATGATATATTTTTTTATTATGTCACATAGAGTTTCAGAATAACATGCATCTATGAACTGATATCTTTCATCAGTTCTCAGCCATTCTCTTCTCCATTTCCTCTGTCCTATTTTCTGTCTTTTCTTTTATAATCAGTTATACTTAAGTTAGTATGTTTAATATATTCCTTCAGATCTCAGATACACACTCCTATATATTTTTTTCATTCTTTTTTCTCCTTTGGTTTTGTTTTAGTTAGGACACTTTTTATTGACCTGTTTTCAGCCTTACTGGACCTTTCCTCCACTGCATCCAGTCTGTTGTTAAGATTGTTTAGTTAGTTCTTTGTGATATCAACATTTTTATTCCTATATTTCCGTTTGGTTCTTTTTCATAGTTTCTATTTCTCTGCTGAAACTCTGTCTTTTCACATGTGTTGTCCATCTTTTGTTCTTGTTGACCCACTGCACCCAGGCTGGAGTGCAGTGGCATAATCATGGCTGACTGAAGCCCCATCCTCCCGGGCTCAAGTGATCCTCAGCGTCCTGAGTAGCTGGGACCACAGGCACATGCCACCATGCCTGGCTAATTTTTTATTTTTTGTAGAGATGGTATCTCAGTATGTTACCCAGCTGGTCTCAAACTCTTGGGCTTAAGTGATCCTCTTGCTTTGGCCTCTCAAAGTGCTGGGATTACAGGTGTGAGCCAACATGCCTAGACTGTTCTTGATCCTTTATCATATTTACTATAGTTATCTTAAAGTCTTCCTCTGATTGATCCAATGTCTGACACACCTTCTATAGAGTCTTTTCTCTCTTGAGCATGAGTCATATTTTCTTGCTTCTTTGTTATGCATTATAATTTTATTGTATTGTAATTTTTTTATTGAGCAGTTTGTTAAAAAGGAAGTGTTGAGACCGAACTAAATAATATTTACCTCCAGAAGTGGTCAAGCCACCTCTTATTCTGTCAGGCTACTTGTACAGGGAGGCTCTGTCAATCAAATCTGTCACTGAGCTGCATTAAGACTTTGTTGCACCTGTGGTTAAATTTAAGCCAACACTGCCTACAACTCTATTGAGGGAGTGATAAAGACTTTCTCTTCCACAGGACTTGGGATCTCAGCACTTGAAGGATTCTAGAGATATCTTTGTGCTTTATAACTGAGCCATCGGGTTTCTGAACTGTGGGAGATTTCCCTTGTTTTGCACCTCAGTCGACAGCATTTTTGGATCTCTGGGGAGCTTTCTTTGCTCTCCAGTCTCAACTCTGGCTTTCCATTTCCCTGAAGATCTCTCTTCATTCTGCAGCCCTTACTCACTTCTATCATAGGTTGCTCCTCCTCCTGCCACTCACCTGTTGATCTCTTCTTTCCTTTTTGCAATCATGTTCATTTAGGTTGCTTTACATGCTCAACATTCCAGTCGGTTTTAAAAAGCTATGAAGATTGTTCAGTATATCCAGCTCATTTTGGTTGTTAGGGTGAAAGCTTCAACAGTCTCTTACAGCTTTCCCATCCTAACTTGAGGTGGAGATCTTCCTCTGTATCTTTTTGTCCTGTCACTTATAAAGAGATTTATTTTTAACCCAGTTATTTCAGTAATTGCCTTAAAATGTTGATGATTTGGTTGTTTTCCCTTATTTTTTCTTAAATCAGTTAAAGCAGAATGAGAAGGGACTTTGTTGATTAAATATTTTAGGAGTGAGTAGTGAAGAGATCATTTTTCAGAGGTTTTCTGCAGTAAATTCACAGAGGGATATACTCAAAAATATACAAAGGAATATACAGTTACTCAAATGTATTATAATTCAAGTAATTATAATTATGTAGTCAGAGCCTTATAAAGTGTAGTGTGAAATAAATGCCACTTGTGTCAAAATGGTTTATAGGATGATAAAAATAATGACAGAAAAATAGGAAATAATTTAAATGTAAGAATAGTTTCAAGGCCTATTTATTTTGGGGGGAATGAGTTTAGCTAAGGGTTATTTGGTATTATTTACTTGTCTGTCATGGCTTCTGTGGTAGATAATCTCACCTATTTCTTTGAAAAATGAGTTTTTATCATGCCATTTCTAAAGAGTCAGTTTTATCTAAGCAATCAATTTATATTACCATTTTTCTTATATTAAATGTAGTGTTTAGACAAATGTCATAGAAAGTCACACTGTAGCTCCCTTAGATAAACCTAGAAAGTAGATCAATTTCTGATTTTTCTTACTTTTGCTGAAAAACCTATTTTCAGGTTCCAAAACATTTCTGAAAAGCTGCACATGGAATGCAAAGCAGAAATGGTGACGCCTCTGGTGACTAATCCTGGACACGTGTGCATCACGGACACAAACCTGTATTTTCAGCCCCTCAACGGCTACCCGGTGTGTAGACCACAGGGTCAGGTGGGGAGCTGCCCATGTTTAAGCTGTTTCCAGACCATGGCCTCACAATGCCAGGGACCTCACTTTTTGATGAGGATCAAGTCATGTCCCTGCCCACCCCCTTCACAGGCAGCATCTGTGTATTTTACAAACACCGTGTGTAATCGTGATGTGTAGTCTCTGAAGTTTGAGTTCTTCTGATCTGTTTTCAGTCATGTCAGGGGCACTTGCTCTCAGTGTGGTGAAAAGAAACCCTGCTCCTCCCTATTTTAGTAAAGGGTCGCTAGAGATTTAGACCTTTCTTCTAGGAGGCATTTCCTAGAGACCAGTGAAATATACTATGATTAATAAGAAATAGATTTTGAAATATATTTGCTTATATATACACAGATGTTGGTATTTCTTGCTTCTTCTTAATGATGAACAACCTCAGTAGATCTGAATTTTTCCTGAAGGAGCACTATGAGCAGGTCCTCCCAGCTAGTGCAGAGGTGTGTGTGGAGATCCTGCCGTCTGGCAGTTATGGGCTCCTGCTAGGATGTTGGAAACAATCTTCTCTTTCACAATGACACAGACTTACAAGGCCAGAAAATAAATATAAACTTAGATATCCATGCTGAAACTTGTAAAGATTTGTTGCTTATCTAGATCTGGCCACTTTTTAGCATGATCCATTAAAAGAACAGAAATCCTAACACACCCTGGTAGTGCTGTGGGGCCATTTGGCAGGGCCCAAGAATTCTGCCAGAGAAAGTTCCACCTTGGAAATTCTCCAGGCTGGTCATTACAGGGCACTAAAACATCTCAAACTCTCCTGAGTGAAAGATTATGCTATAGTGATTGTGTCCACTAGGTGGTGGGGCTCACTTTCCTAGTTCTCCAGTAGACACTGCATGCTGCTAGCACAGCATTCTCAGGGAGTGTAAAAAATTGGCTTGGCTGCTACTATTGCTTGGGTCAGAAATTTTGAGAAAAAATGTCTGTGTACCCTAGCTTCACAATCCATGGTATGGGCCTTTACCCCTTCCCAATACTGGCCAGGATCCTTGACCAGTCATTTCCAAGACCTGACTCTGGGACTCCGGGGCAGTTTCCACTGTTGGACAGACTGACCTCTGCACACCCATCTTCCCTCCTACTTGGGAGGAGGACCACGGAAGCATAGCCATTAGCCAATCTCTGCCTTTTTAAACCTCCTTTCTCTCTTACTAGTGTTTTAAAATTATAGAAAAGCAAGACAATTTTCTTCTTCATTAACAAAGAAAAAATTCAGAGGCCTTGCTTTATACTTTAGTAATCTGTGAGCCTTAATACACTGTAATTTTTAATGAGATAAAAGACAGGATTCTTTAAAAAAGATGTGTGTCAGTACTAAGCAAACTATTTGTCTAAAAAAAGATAGCAAGATTCCTGAGAGGTTATTTATGCCAGTTCTTTATATTTCTTATCACCCCACAATCTAACCTGAAAGATATCACCCCACCCCAAACTAACCTGAAATATCCCTGAAAGATAGATGATTGCATTATCATTTGCAGGGTGCCACATGGCGGGGAGGAAGACTTGCCCAAGGTCATAAAGCTAGTGAAAGATGGCAGAGCAGAATGGGAAACCAGATATCACCTTGTTCCAAGATTTCCTTTTCCAATGGTTTATTAGGAAAGCAAGATTTGGTGATTTTTTTTTCCCCTTTCTGATACTATAGAACAACTTCTAATTGTGTCAGAACAATAATGTTTGAGATTGTCTTTCTACTTTTAAAGAAACCTGTGGTCCAGATAACACTCCAAGATGTCCGCCGCATCTACAAAAGGAGGCACGGCCTCATGCCTCTGGTGAGTCCTTGGGAGGCTGTGCTGGGGCATGATTGTCACACTTTCAGTTTAGCCAGCAGTTTATTGACGGTAAACACTTATGGGATGTCTGAAAGTACAAGTACACTGTCCTGTAAGAAAATAGACTCTGATTTTGCTGTTCTTTCTTTTGGAGAAGGTAGAAATTCATAAAGGAATAACTCTTTCATGTAGAGAAGAGGTTCTATTATGAAGTATTTTTGGCTCCAAGAGCAAGAGGGCTAGAGTGCCCTTGAGTTTCTCATTCGTGCATTCTCAGTTTCTGGGCTCAGGCTAGAATGATCTGTGTAAAACCAACCCTGTGCTGTACTTGCCTCCACCATTCATAGCAGCTAGGTCTCAAAGCAAAATCTGGAAGATGTTACAAAATTACTTCTTTAGTGGAACTAGTATATTCACAGTTAACTTACATTAATTCAACCTTTGGGCTGAATGACAAAATAACCATGTAAAATCATATAGGCAGTTCCTTCCACCATTCCCTGAATAAGTGTATTTCTATACTTAGGTCCTATTTCCGACACATGTCTTACTTTAGTAACCAATCCCTACAGAAGGTATGATTCCAAGTGTTTTAATTCGACACCAATAGAAATTCATTTTTTCTCCTTTGAAGATTAACCAGTAACTTGGTGACATTACAAAAGCATTGTGGAATTTTAATTCTTATTTTTGTGCTTTTAATTTGTGAAATTCTACTGTTTTGCTTCCTATTTTACTTAAAAGGCCATTCCTCCATTTCCAGCACTAATAGCAGATCAGGGAAACAGATACTATTAAAAATCTCCTCTTTTGGGTATAGAGCTGCAGTCAGAAAAAGAGAAGAAATTAACATTGATTAAGTGCTTTCTATGTAACAGGCAATTTATATATAATGTTTCATTTATTCGCCATTATAAGCCTTGTGAAGTAGATAGTATTGTATTTTACAGGTGAAGAAATTGAGACTCCGGGGGTTAACTTCCTAAGCTCCCAGCTAGTACATGGTGAAAGCCTGTATTTGAACCAAGGGTAGCTCTGGGCTTTCATCCTGGCTTTGTCTGTTCCTTTGCTAGCTCAGCCTTACTAACACTATGGTCACAAAGCTCATAGGTTTTTATAAGATAATAATAATGTATTAATTGAATGGGTTATTCAATTATCAATTTGTTAGGTGTGCATAATTTTTATTTATTAGCTGGGCATGGTGCGCCTGTAGCCTTAGCTACTCGAGAGGCTGAGGTGGGAGGATCAATTGAGCCTGGGAGTTTGAGGCTGCAGTGAGCGGTGATCACACCATTGCACTCTAGCCTGGGCAACAGAGCAGGACCTGGTCTCAAAATATATATATGTTATTTAACTTATGAAAGAAAGCTAGACATTTATGTTTGAAGAAGAGATGTGAAGACATGGATCAGCTATTTTTGAATTTCAAAATAACAAGTTCACAAAAGCTATTATTAATGAAAATATTCAACACTCAAGGTGATTTACAAAGTTTAGCTGAGATACTATCTTGTTCTCAAAACATTTATAAATACAACATATATATATATACGCAAACGTATATGTGTATATATATCACTGAGTTAAATTTATAGATTGAAAATAGGAATATAAGTTATAAAAATAAACACAAATGTTTAACTGAATGTTTTTGTAATTATATACTTATATTGGGATTGCAAGATGAATACAATGCTATTTATTTTATTATTTTCTTTTTGAATTTATAGGGCTTGGAAGTATTTTGCACAGAAGATGATCTGTGTTCCGACATCTACCTAAAGTTCTATGAACCTCAAGATAGAGATGATCTCTATTTTTACATTGCCACATACCTAGGTTTGGCGCTCACCCTTCATTGTTTCTTTCTTTTTTTTTTTTTTTTGGAGGCTGAGTCTCGCTCTGTCACCCAGGCTGGAGTGCAGTGGCGTGATCTCGGCTCACTGCAACCTCCGCCTCCTGGGTTCAAGTGATTCTTGTGCCTCAGCCTCCCGAGTAGCTGGGACTACAGGTGCCCGCTACCACGCCAGGCTAATTTTTTTTGTATTTTTAGTAGAGACAGGGTTTCTTTTCATATGAAGGTAGTTCAACTCCTAAGGATCTGGGATAGGAAATAAGAGAAGAAAAATGCTATTTGTAGAATCGCCTCTTTGTGGGTCTAATTTCTTCTCATCAGTAACTATAATTGCCAAAATAATATTTTTAAAATTCTGGGAAATATAAATTCACTTTGATAATAGTTCATTCTGAATGTATGTTTTAAAAACTCTAGATAAATATATTTAAATGCTCTTATATTTTAACGTCCTCCAAATTGAATGGATTTTGAAGAATCCACTCAAATATTTTTATGTTCAGTCAGGTCTTATATTAGTTTATGAGAACCAAGACTCAGTTTTGTACTGCGAGGCAGTGAGTTATTCATATGTTTGTGATCATTGATTGTGGTCAGAACCACAAAGCTGAAAGACTGCAAAAGGAACATGTGAACCTTCTATGCTCAATATACTGACTTTGGAGTGGAATTTGCTTTTAATTAATGATATTTCCTCAGTTTTCCATGGAAAATGTGAATTTTCCCACCTTTGCCAGAGAAAATACTTATATTATGATGTTCAAGCCCAAAGTTTTTTTATTACATTGCAAGGCTAAATTAAATTATTCTAGTTTACAAAGTTGCTAGATAACTGGAAAGGAATTATCTTTAAAAATGGATTTTGGGGCTAGGCATGGTGGCTCATGACTGTAATCCCAGCACTTTCGGAGGCCGAGGAGGGAGAATCTCTTGAGCCCAGGAGTTCGAGACCAGCCTGGGCAACATGGCTTGACCTCATCTCTACAAAAACAATTAAAAATTAGCTGGGACTGGTGGCGTGTGCCTGTAGTCCCAGCTACTCGAGAGGCTGAAGTGGGAGGATCGCTTGAGCCTGGGAGGTCAAGGCTGCAGTGGGCAGTGATCACACCACTGCAATTCAGCCTGGGTGACAGAGTGAGACCCTGTCTCAAAAAAACAAACAAACAAAAAAGGATATTGGGATTTTATTAATATCATCTTAATGTGTTTGTTATTTTAGTGTACCACAAAACTATTTGTGAAATTTGTAGTAAAGTACATCTTCCCTTAGAAATGAAATTTTACTTCAAGGAGGAATACTTGGCTTTCAGTAGGGAACATATTTTATTTTAAAGTAGGTTTATATATATATATTATATATATCTATGTAGTTATATATAGTTTATATATAGTTATATATAGCTAGTATTTTATTCATACATTAAGCTATTGAAGGTAACTTTATGTATAAGTATAGCTTTGTTACAAGTTTACTTTAATTTCCTGTCTCATGATCTAGGTTTTTAAATTTTATTTTTTTTAACTATAACAAGATTACAATAAAAAGATCAACTTTCATGGTGAGTCCTAAAATCTCAAGCCAAAAACTTTGCCATGATCTAAAATATCCATTTTCTAAGAAACTGTCAGTTCTCACTGAGTTTATTCCTAAGATTGTTCATACTTTTTCTGAGGGGTTTCAAAAGTAGAAAACGAGGGGGAAGTGTGTTTTGATTTTTGAAGCCCTTTCCTAGTAGCTGATTAAAGAAGAAACTTGGTAAAAGTAGATGAGAATAAATATTAAGAGTTAAGATGCTTAATGCATCAGGAAAGGTTGAAAGCAGAATTTTCTGAACAAAATGGAAAATCCACTTGTAGGACAGTTAATTCATTTTACACTCTGAAAGGGAAGTTCTCATTGCTGCATTTATCTAAGATCTCATTTTTCCTGAGGTATTTCAGGGGGCAGGTCTGGTTCTTTTAGTTTGAGAATTGGTCCTCCTGCCAAACGCCTGTTTTCTTCTTTAACAATTTCTTTTCTTTTCCTTAGTCTTCACATGCATAAATAATATGTAGTCATTGACAAATTAGCAGTAGTACATCTCTTCCAAGCCTAAAAGAAAACTAAAAGATTGCTTTAATTTCATAAATAATAAAAGAAATAAGCTTTCCCAGATGGCCATGGGTTTTTAAATGCATGGAGACAGCACATTTGGAGGGATTCTTTGTTACTGTATAAATATTACCTATTAACATGTAATATTTATATATTTGCGCTACACTTTTGTATTTGTTTAGGTTATGTCATATTGTGGAGGGTAGTGTAATAGCTCAGTGTATTTAATAATTTCCCCTCCTTGATCTTGGAACTGTTTATACATAGCTGAACAAATACTTTATGAAAACAAGTCAGCAGCCTACTTTTCTTTTTCTTACAATGCATTTTTCAAGAATGCACAGGGATGGTCTACACGTTAAGCCCCTAGCTTTTGCATACTAAGTTTGCGAAGTTAAGTGGCAGACCTCGTGGGTCCTCTTCCCCCAGAGCACCATGTGGCGGAGCACACTGCTGAGAGCTACATGCTGCAGTGGCAGCGTGGACACCTTTCCAACTATCAGTACCTCCTTCACCTCAACAACCTGGCCGACCGCAGCTGCAACGACCTCTCCCAGTACCCTGTGTTTCCATGGATAATACATGATTATTCCAGCTCAGAACTAGGTAACTGCCACACGTGGAATTCTGACCAAGTTGAGTGGGGAGTAGTCATCTGTATTGTTTTTAAAGGACAGAATAAATTCTATTTTATAATTGTGATGTGACATGTGAACAAATTACAACTCATTTCAGTTGTATTGCTAAGGACTGCCAATTTCCATTCCAGGATACTATATAAGTGTTACGTAAGTGTTTCATGTATGTTTTTTCCACCATACTTCTTGAAGGACACACACAGAAAAAATGGGCATGATTTTAACCCAGGGTTATCATTATTACCTATAAGTACCACGTTTTGAAATATTTGCTTCTCACTTTGAAAATTTCACTCACCTTATATTATTTTTAAAAATCACATTAAAAACTGTGATTATTTGTTATAGAACACTTGGAAAGTCCTGAAATAATCAAAGAAGAAAATTAAAATCATCCATAATTATATTACAGAGATAACCACTTTACCTTTGGGGTATATCTACTCTTCTCTTGCTACCACAGATTATTTTAAGAAAAATGTAATTGTATTGTAACTTTATTTTGTAATATTTAAAAATTATATATTGTGAACAGTTAGTTCCTCTTGACACATTATCTTGAACCTTTGTCCTTGAAAGAGATAATAGATTTTCTAGAAATATGATAAAGTATTTCTCTGAAAATATTTAGCTCACTAGTTCTCAAATAGGCTAATATTGAAGAATAATAATATTCACTAGAATTCGAATGTAGAAAGTAAATCTTGGTAGAAGAATAATGGCTTTTAAAATTTTGTTGTTGTTGTTGTTTTACTTGGAATATATATATGTTCCTTAATCAGAAACTTTTTTAAAAAAATTAATGTTCAGGGCATTGTCAAATTAGAGATATTGCTCTTAAGTGGTTGTGTCTAACTTAAAACTCAAAATTGCTAACCTTTTCTTTACATCTACATAAATAACTAACAAAAATAACTCTCATGGATTGCTCTCAATTTTTAAAAAAACTTTTGTGGAAGTAAATGTGTATATTTGAATTAATTCAGGAGGTTAATGGTACTAAGTATAAGCTGAAGTTATTTATTGATTTATGTTTATAGATTTGTCAAATCCAGGAACCTTCCGGGATCTCAGTAAGCCAGTAGGGGCCCTAAATAAGGAACGGCTGGAGAGACTACTGGTATGTGGACTTAGAGATTCTTGGTTTCTAAGCAACACGAGAAGCCATGGCCTGTGTTTTTATGGAAGGAAATTCGTTTCTCCAAGGCTTAGGGGAATTATACCAGTGACTCTACGTAGAGTTTTTTCTTACTTTTCTCCTGACCGTGAATTAGCTGCTCACCATTTGCATTTCTTGTCTGCAGTTTAGGAAGGAGGAGGGCAACCTGTTTACAGGTTCACTGAATTATTTTCATGAAGGCATTCTGTGGTAAATCGCATAAGAGACACATAAAATCAGTTCTATTTAATCTAGTGCCAACATTTTGTTACCATTAAGCCAGGGAAACCAAAATACTTGTCTCAGGAATGCTGTTTAGCCACAGATTTTCTTTCCCTCTTATCTTCTCCTTTTCTTATCTAACAGAGAAATTAAGGAATATGGTATATCTATGTTATGATTTCTTTTAGGCTTTTTCTACTTGTCAGTTATTATTTCATAGCCAACACTTAGCTCTATTTTTTTTTTTTTTCTGTATTCTAGACACGCTACCAGGAAATGCCTGAACCAAAGTTCATGTATGGGAGTCACTACTCTTCCCCGGGTTATGTACTTTTTTATCTTGTTAGGATTGGTAAGATTCTTTATCATTACCCCCAATTAAATTTTATTTCACTGTATTCTTCAATGATTCTGTGACCTGACTTACCTCTGACTTTTTCCCCTCTAGCACCAGAGTATATGCTGTGCCTGCAGAATGGAAGATTTGATAATGCAGATAGAATGTTCAACAGGTTTGATACAAATGCCTTGCTTATCATTTTTAACACTTTCTGATTGTATATATACAACATACTTGTTTCAAAGCACTGGATATAATAAAAAAGTAAAGAAATGTAAAAAATCACTAATTGTTCTATCTATTCCTCTCAGGCTTTTTCTAGACATGTATATGTGTGTGTAAATGTGAGAACATATTTTATGTACAGCTTTTTGTCCTACCTTTTGTAGCCTAATATTAAATCTTAAAGTTTTTCCCATATTATTAGATATTCTTCAAAACAATGATTCTTTTTTAAAATTATTGTATCACATTCTAACATATGCCATATTTTATGTCAACTTCTTTTCTCCATTGTTGGGCATTTAGATTGTTTCCCACACTTTATTATTCTTGATAATTTTGCTGTGAATTGAATACAGCTCCCTGTGTGTATTTAGATGGCTTTACTTTTTAAATTATAAAAGTAATATTTTCTTGCCAAAAAAATCAGCAACTATAAAAAAGGAAATAAGTTTACTTGGTATCCCACCACACTGAGATAATAATTGTTGTAAATTTTTTGGTATGTCCTTTTCATTTTTTTTGAACTCTACACATATCTAATAATAATTCCTTTTGCAATGAGCCATTCAGATAGTGGTGCTAATCTTTTTTTTTTTTTTTTTTTTTTTTTGAGACAGAGTCTTGCTCTGTCGCCCAGGCTGGAGTACAGTGAGCAGAATCTCAGCTCACTGCAACCTCCGCCTCGGGTTCAAGCGATTCTCCTGCTTCAGTCTCCTGAGTAGCTGGGACTACAGGCGCATGCCACCACGCCCAGCTAATTTTTGTATTTTTAGTAGAGATGAGGTTTCACCATGTTGGCCAGGATGGTCTTGATCTCCTGACTTCGTGATCCACCCGCCTTGGCCTCCCAAAGTACTGAGATTACAGGTGTGAGCCACCGCGCCCTACCAGTGGTGCTAATCTTTCAGTGTGGAGGCACCCTGCTCCATTTGGCCCTTGGATGAGGCAATGTGTATATGGTAGCTAATGGTGTGGACTCGGACTCTATGCCCACTCCCGCCATGTGACCCTGGAGAAGTTACATAAACTCTCTGGGCCCCAGTGTTCCCTTTTGTTAAAGTGGGACACTCAGAGAGATGGTTAGAACTATGTGGAAATGACAAACAGAAGTTAATACAGGTAAAGTGTAGAACAGCCCCCAAGTGCATAGGAAATGCTGCTATTGCTATTTCCTTAGCTGAAAATAGGTGAATTTTTTTTTCATATGTAGTATTGCAGAAACTTGGAAAAACTGTCTGGATGGTGCAACGGATTTTAAAGAGGTAAGCAGTTAATAAAGCTGATGAGTAACTGGACTTGGGGTTTCTAACTGCTTTAAAACATGTTTGTTGTTCTTTTTTATTTTTCCCCGAAACTTTCAGTTAATTCCAGAATTCTATGGTGATGATGTGAGCTTTCTAGTCAATAGCCTGAAGTTGGATTTGGGAAAGAGACAAGGAGGACAGATGGTTGACGACGTGGAGCTTCCCCCTTGGGCTTCCAGTGAGTCCCCCCTTGGAGGTGTTGTATTATAGACATGCTTTACCAAGTAGTGCAATTTCAGTAATTATTTTATTGCTTAGATTTTTAAAAATCACAATATAATTCTCTAAATAAGGATATATGAGCCCTATTCCATATCAGAAGTATTCTATGAGTCTGTGATGTAAAAACATTAATATATATTTGAGAGACCTTAATGTGAAAATGATTCTTGCCACTTTTTTCCCCAAAAAACTTACATTTCATATGATAGAAAAAGAAAACTGCATTAAGAAATATGGACCTCTTGCCTGTCCTAGAAGCTTTATATACATATAGATAGACAAGAGAAATGGGAGGAAAAAAATGAAGACTCCATGATTTTTCGATTGAGTCTAATCTAATAGGTCCCGAGGACTTTCTCCAGAAGAGCAAAGATGCATTGGAAAGCAATTATGTGTCTGAACACCTTCACGAGTGGATTGATCTAATATTTGGCTACAAACAAAAAGGGAGTGATGCAGTTGGGGCCCATAATGGTATGTAATATTCATTGAAATTTTATTTAGCATTGGGTGAATATTTAGCATTATTCATTTTCATTGGAAAATGAAAGCAAACAATACCAACAAAAAAATGAGGCCAAAGCAATTAGTCTTATTTCTTCAGTGGAAGCATGTTCTGTCAGACTCCAGCGTCCACTGGCTGCATGACCCTGGATCAGATATTTTTTTGGTTTTCTTTTTGAGATGGAGTCTTGCTCTGTCACCAGGCTGGAGTGCAGTGACACAATCTTGGCTTACTGCAACCTCCGACTCCCTGGTTCGAGTGATTCTACTGCCTCAGCCTCCCGAGTAGCTGGGATTACAGGCACCTGCCATCATGCCCAGCTAATTTTTTTGTATTTTTTTTGGTCGTGACGGTTTCACCATGTTGGCCAGGTTGGTCTCAAACTCCTGACCTCAGGTGATCTGCCCACCTCGGCCTCCCAAAGTGCTGGGATTACAGGTGTGAGCCACTGCGCCCAGCCCCTGGATTAGATATTGAGTAACTGACAAGGAGGGAGGACTTTTGCCCAAATAATACCAAATTCATCCTGGCCCCAAGAGGTCTTTTTATAAAGTCTTCTAATTTTAGCATATACTCTACATCCCACTGAATAATTTCAATTAAAACTCTATTACAGTGTGATAGAACAGTGGCCTCAATTCCTATGGAAGACCCAGAGTTTCTTTTCCTTTTCTTTTCTTTTTTTTTTCTTTTTTTTTTTTTTTTTTTTTGTTTGAGACAGAGTCTTGCTCTGTCACCCAGGCTGGAGTGCAGTGGTGCAGTCTTGGCTCACTGCAACCTCTGGCTCCTGGGTTCAAGCAATCCTCCTGCCTCAGCCTCCCAAGTAGCTGCCAGAGTTTTTTTTTTTAATTTAACAGAAAATAGCAGCAATATACCTTCTCTTCAGTTTCAATGCTTATCTTCTTCCACGTTTCTCATGTGTGTTTTCTTTTTTTAATAAATGAACTCACATATAATCCATATCGCCCATGTTCATAACAAGGAGCTGTAGCTGGAAATTCAGACCTAATTTTTTACATGGAAATTCCGTCTTATTAATTCTATAAGTCATGCTTCCTCTCAGGAGAAAACAATGCTGACTGAGATGACAGGTCCTCTACCTGACAAGTAGATTTTTGTTCATCTGAAGATAATATTCAAGTTGGTATTTACTGCAGTTGGATATTAGTCTGTTTTGCAAAGTGAATAGCAATTTCTTTGAACATGAGTTTTAAGTTGTTGCATTGTTTAGGTTCTAAACAGTGTATATTACATTGAAATAGCACATCTTTCAATAGTGTTTTGTATGTCTTTTTCAGTATTTCATCCCCTGACCTATGAAGGAGGTGTAGACTTGAACAGGTACTTATATGTCAATAAGGAGTTTCTACTTGAGTTATAAGATATGTCTTTATCTAAATTATTAATGTATTTATTTGAAGGTTGAGGTATGGAAATTTTAAAATGAATTCTATCTTGCTTTCACTGTTGTGTTACTGAGCATCAGAAAATATTCTGAAGGTCTATAATGAGGTTTAGACAATCCTGGTACATAGTTGCTGTCATTATTTGAGGGTTAGTCCCTCCTATTGATCAGTACTATTTGAAATGCGTGCTTTCAAGGAACTCGAACCTAGTGGTTCACTGCATTATTTGTGTTCTGTCCCAAAGCATCCAGGATCCTGATGAGAAGGTAGCCATGCTTACGCAAATCTTGGAATTTGGGCAGACACCAAAACAACTATTTGTGACACCACATCCTCGAAGGATCACCCCAAAGTTTAAAAGTTTGTCCCAGACCTCCAGTTATAATGCTTCTATGGCAGATTCCCCAGGTAAATTTTGTAAAGAGAATAAACGTGAGCACCTTTTGTTTCTCTTCTGTGATGAAAATGTTTCTGAAGAGGAGATAAGACGTATACTGTTGTGCTACTTAGAGATGATTGTGTTCTCCTGCCTTATTGCAGTTCTCCTGAAAACAGATACCTGTTTTTGCTGATGTTGTTTGTTTTCAGCTATAGACTGTAAGGGAAATCAAATCGCTTTTATTTTCTGGCAATTGAATATGAGTGAAAGTTGGCCATATATGTTTTGATGTGGTTCTCTTTCTCTTCTGTGGTTTTGAAGCTGGTGTTTGATCCTTAGCTATTTGCCTTTTCATTCTTACAGTCCTAGCTGTCCAGTCTGCCTTCCCAGTCACTGTCAGCCCTGCTGTCTTCCAGAAGGGACTTTCTCTGGCCCTAATTATGCTCTTCTATACCCACATACAGATCTTTTTTTTTTTTTTTTTTGAGACGGAGTCTTGCTTTGTCCCCCACGCTGGAGTGCAGTGGCGCCATCTCGGCTCACTGCAAGCTCCGCCTCCCGGGTTCACGCCGCCGTTCTCCTGCCTCAGCCTCCTGAGTAGCTGGGACTACAGGCGCCCGCCACCACGCCCGGCTAATTTTTGTATTTTTAGTAGAGACAGGGTTTCACTGTGTTAGCCAGGATGGTCTCGATCTCCTGACCTCGTGATCCACCCTCCTCGGCCTCCCAAAGTGCTGGGATTACAGGCCTGAGCCACCGCGCTCGGCCCCACATACATCTTGAATTCAAAGTGCTCTCTCTTCTTCATTGGATTTCACTTATTTAACATTTGACAAACATTTACAGGGTATCTGTTCTGCGCTGGGCATGTGCTAGGCACTAAATTGAACTTGACCCAGTTCTCACATCTAATATTTGGAAAGGTAGGAAAGAACACTCACCTTTCTCCAGTTACCCAGGTTTTAGATTTTACCTAAGACAACTTCAAACCTACAGGCTTCCAGAAGGAGGTTGACACTCTGTGGAGCTTTGGGAGCAAAATCACTTTTTATCTCCTATCCTCCTGTCTGTTCCAAGGACATCCAGACATTTTAGGCATACATAGATGAGCATTCTCTCAAGCATGGAGAAATAGCTTCCTGGAGTTACATGACCCAGGGGTAGCTTCTTTAAGAGAGAATACTCTAGAGGGTTAAATCATGAAGATCACAGGATTATCTTGTGATGCTGTTTCAAACTGCACTCTGCTTAGTCACCAGGCTGTAACCACTGTCATGTGATTGTTTTAAGATGGTAATTGTTTCAGCCCTTCTTAAAGCAGAAGTAAAAGGATTACTCCTGCCAGAAGCCCTTGCGGTAATTGATTTCATCTCTGCTTTCCCCACCCCACACCAGAACAAAATTGTTGCATTCTTAGGCAACTGTCAGGTTTTTGAAACAATGTTGACAAGGAAATGATGACTCAGTCTTGTATTTCCCCAAATTCATAAGTTAGAGGCCGAGTGAAAACTTTGCAAACATTGTTAAAGTATAAAAAGATTCTAGTATTATTCAAAGATACTTTTTATCTTTCTCTATACAATTTTTTCCTTGACTAACGTGGAACCATCTAACAGGTACATTTCAAAGCAGTTATATTGTGACAGGGTGTTTCATTTCTTAGTTGTTTGATTTTAATAGAAAATATTGTTAATCTGATGCTGTTGTCTGTTGGTAACTTAGTTGACTTAGCAAAAATTTAATGTCGTCTCTCCAGGTGAAGAGTCTTTTGAAGACCTGACCGAAGAAAGCAAAACACTGGCCTGGAATAACATCACCAAACTGCAGTTACACGAGCACTATAAAATCCACAAAGAGTAAGAATATCTCTGCTTCTTCTCAGCAGCTGATAGTCCTGGTAAAAGTTAGGGTCTTGGCATGGGATTAAACTGTTTTAAGCTGAGTCAGAGGGAAAATTCCCTTTCAATGTTGTCTTTATTTTTAAAAATCTCCCCAAAATGTCTATAGTGATCTCCACCTGAGGTTGATGTAGTAGGGAAAGTTTGGCACGAAATGATTTGTGGTGGCTACCGTGCTGTCATTTCTGCAGTCTGTCACTTCACAGTACAAGATGTGGTCGGCAGAGAGCAGCCAGTTTTGTGCCTCTCAAATTGGAGTACACAGCTCCTTGAATCTTTGATGGGAGAAGTGTGATGTATACCCCACGAGTGTTGGATTTACACATAATGTAGGTGAAAAGGCACCTTTTAAAAAAATTAGCTCTCCCAGAGAACATTGCAAAGTTCACATGAATTTTAAAAATAATTATGCTTCTAAGAAATTGGGCTTGCTGTTGGACCCAGAGATGATATGTGTGTTCTCTGCCCTCTCTCATTAAGACCTTCATGTTCTCTGGTAGAAAGGCTCGAGAAGCACTGACCTAGCCTGTTCATCCTGCTACAGAGAGGAAACCCAGGTCCAGAGACTAGGCCCCACCTAGCTCCATGACGACAGACAGCCCCTCCGGCATACAGGTCATGGGTGGAGCTGGGCATACTGCTGTGCATTAGATGGATGGCTTCACATCACAGTCCAGCCTCCCGAAGAGAAACAAGGAGTTTTGGCTGATTCATGATGACAATGGCTGTCTTTTCTCAACTTCTCTAAATGGCACATAGGAAGGGACCTTGTAATCCAAGGTAGTGAAGACTGAATGATCCTTTAAGAGGACAGGCTGGAACCAATTTTCTCATCATTGAATAGTCACTGAGTAAATTAGCTTCAGTAATCAGCAAGTGAAGTGACTGTGAAGAAGAGTTTGTCCTTTTGGTGATGGTCAAACGAGGGGGAATAGAAGGAGAAGAGTTTTCCAATTGCCAGAAATTGTCAGGAATATGTAAAGCATTGCATGTGGAACACAGGGAAGCAAAGAGTGGGGATGTTTTCTAGCCACAGGCGTTGCCAGAACGTTAGAAGGTGCCAAGCAGTGATTTGGTAATGGCAGGTTTATGCTGGGACAGATCCGGCAGACATGCTGTGAAGAAAAAAATTAAGGAAACTTGGTAAAATTAAATCAAGGATATGAAACAAAGAGGGTATCCTAACACATGATGAGTAGTAATTTGTGAAACTTTGTTTTTGAGCAGAGCAGTTACTGGAATCACGGTCTCTCGCAATGGATCTTCAGTATTCACAACATCCCAAGGTCAGTGTTCCTCCCCGAAAGGCGGCTTAACCAAAATCCTAGAATGTCTGAGTTCTTTATTATTTAGCTCGTGGTCAAGGACTGCACTTGCATGTGCTGCCTCCACATAAAGTAAACTTAGAGCAGTTCCTTTGTGGTACATTACATAGAGTTTCATGGTAATTTGCCAAAAATAATAATGAAACATCTTTCTGTTGCTGATGAGGTTTCCCAGAGTTGAGGATAGAGGACAGAAACAGCCTCCTTTCCACACCCTTGCTGGGTCAGGCACTTCCTGCCTGCCCATGAGAGGTGCGCTGTCCACTTGTTGGGGTTGGCTGTGAGTAGCAAGTGCTGTATCAGAAATTGATGTGTGCCTGTCAGCACGTGGAAATGCAGATTTGCTGTTACGGTTTGCAGTTTTGTCATTCAGTGTATATTTCTTCGGGATATTTGATTTAGCTCAAAATCAAATTCATGTATTATTTAATATGCTTATACATTATCAAAATTATAAAAACCCTTGCAGTGTGTCATTGATATGACTTATAGCTGTAAAGCAGAAAGCATCCCTTACTATATACACCATTGTTCTCTCCCTGGTAGTCTGCATTATATATTATTCATTAAAGTATGTCTTGGCCTTGTCATGTTGAGAGCACTGTGTTGGCACTCTGGAAGATGCAGAGATGGAAGGGTAGTATCTTTGCTTCCTGCTTCCATGAGAAAACAACTTGTTCTGACAAAGTTTGTAACTTTATAAAGTAAGGCTACTCGTTATTTAGTCTTTATCATAGGAGATTATATTTTTCATTCATTAAGACAAAGTGCTATCCAACTAAACACTTTCAGGAAAATCAGAATTACTACTCTCAGATTCTGTTATCATTGTTTATGATCTGTAGCATTTCATTCTGTTCTTTTTCAAATACTGTCTTGGATTGTATATAAAAAAATTTTCCACAAAGCATAGAAGTGATTCTACACAGTAGATCAAAAGGAAGTTCATGTGCAGTTCCCAAACTGGGCCATGCCAGGGTCACCGAGGCACTTCTCTGATAGAAGGAAGCAATCTGTATTTTGCCAGGATTTCTACCTGTGGAGTTTGCCAAAAATTATAGCCTCAGACAAAGTGCTTTATCTTTAAGCAAAACCTGTGTTCTTAGCAGGATTTGTCTGGGATGGCTTGTTAAATCGTTCAGCACAGTTGTACTTGTATGACCTTGTTAACCATGAATTTGATGAGCGTTGTGGCTTCAAACCACTGAGGCTTATTAAGCATTATGTCACTCCTCTGTGGATTTTCACAATAAAGGAGAGAGAGGTTTTTTTTTTGTTGTTGTTGTTTTTGTTTTTGTTTTTTTTTGAGACAGAGTCTTGCTCCGTCGCCCAGGCTGGAGGGCAATGGCACGATCTTGGCTCACTGCAACCTCCGCCTCCTGGGTTCAAGCGATTCTCCCGCCTCAGCCTCCTGAGTAGCTGGGTTCACAGGCACCCACCATCGTGCCTGGCTAATTTTTGTATATTTGTAGAGATGGGGTTTTACCATGTTGGCCAGGTTGGTCTTGAACTCCTGACCTCAGGTGTTCCACCTGCCTCGGCCTCCCAACGTGCTGGGATTACAGGCATGGGCCACCACGCCCGGCCGAGAGAGTTTAAAAATAAAGTCAAAAGCTTTTGTTTTTTTCTGTTTGTTTTTCTCATATTTAGATTTTCATAATTCATATTACTGATTTATATGTATCCTGATGGTCACCCCAAAATTACATATCTTCTTCTAGTATACAGTATGTTTAGGTATGTGGGCAGGCACAGAACCCACCACTTATGAGCTTAGCTTTTACTGCAGTCTTTAACATGATGACCTCTAGTACAGGGGATCCTTGATTTCAAGAAAAACGTCTTTTTTTTTCTTTTATTATTTTCTTTTTCCATTTTTTTGGTTCCCTGACTGAGAAATGAACCCAGGCTGCTGCAGTGAGAGCACCAAATCCTAACCACTAGACATCAAGGAGAGAAAAACATCTTTATAGAACCGACTGGTTTCTGGTTTTTTTTGTAGGATGTCTCAAATTAATCATCTTAAATAGATTTTGTGGTGAATGCTCAGAATTGCCTAAGAGAATCAAAAGCAAGGTTGGGAAGACTATCAGATCTAATTATACTGCTCAGGGGAAAGTTCAAGTGATACTGTGTTCATTCTTCTGTTTTCGTTTTCAAATTAATGCTGAAGAATATCTTATTGAGGCTCATGTTTATAAATTGTCAGGAATTCTGTGTGTTGGGGTTGCAAAAATTGGGTTGAATTATTAAGTTATACTGTGCAGAAGAAATTATTTAAAGATCATTCCGACATCACGTTGTGTAAGTTAGAAAATAGATTGTTACATATCTCAAATATAGGATGTCTGAAGCACATTAGAGCCTTGTAATTTGTGAGTCTTGGGTTTTAAGAGGTTGTTTTGAGGCCGGGCACAGTTACTCACACCTGTAATCCCAGTATTTTGGGAGGCCGAAGGGGGCGGATCACTTGAAGCCAGGAGTTCGAGACCAACCTGGCCAACATTGTGAAACCCAGTCTCTACTAAAAATACAAAACTTAGCCAGCCGTGGTGTGCACGTCAAAAAATCCCAGCTATTCGGGAGGCTGAGGCACAAGAATTGCTTGAATCTAGGAGATGGAAGTTGCAGTGAGCCAAGATCACACCAATGCACTCCAGCCTGGGCAACAGAGTGATACTGTGTCAAAAAAAAAAAAAAAAAAAAAAAAAGGAAGGTTTCTGTTACACAAGAAAATTAAATGCTTGGATTTTTAATTTCTACTTTATTATTATTTAGAAAGTCAGTGGTTCCCTTCTATAACTAATGTTCAGTGCAAGGGTATCACACTTAACTATATATAATTGGGCAGTTTTTTTAAAGAAAACATATTGCCAAGATCTTTTTGTCTTATTTAGTATTAAAATTACTGTTTCATTGTTACTATTAAAATTGCTATTTTCCTCCCTGTAACTTTCTGCATATACCAGCTACCACATTTCTGCCTGCAGTCATGCTGAAATGTCAACAGTATACCTACCATGTCTGTGCTGGATTTTTAAATTGATGTTTTTGTCATGGGGTTACAGGTCATAGAATCTTAATGTTGGATGAGGCCTTAGGTCATCTAGCTCTGTTTACATTCGGTTTTCCATAAGATTATACTTTGGAGTATAAAGTGTACTGTTGGCCACCAGGAACAAGAAGAGCAGCTGTTCTTTGACGTCTGTAATGGTTAGGAAATCTTTCTTATATATCTACTTCTCATTATTAAATTAGATTCCACCTTGAAGATGTTTTCTAAAGAATCAAAAATGCTACAAAGAAGTATATCATTTTCAAATATGGTGAGTTCATTTTAATAGTATTATGATAGAAATCCGTGTAGTAGTTTGTTTTATACACACCCATACAATAATACTTTATTTCTCCCAAAACAATTGAGTTTATTCCTGTGTAGTAAATCTACCAGATACCTTAGTTAGATTACTTCTAATTTCAATGTAAAATTTTTTTCAGGTTACCACTTTCTCTTACTGTTGTGATTTCATTTTTAGCTTAAAATACTTGGAGAGCTACCCAGTAGAATTCTACTTAAATAAACCTCTCCCTTTTTTAGCTGTCAGACTAAATGTTATGTGCTACTTAATTTATGCATCTCTGAGTTGGTAGGATATCTAATATGACAAAACCAATTCTTCTGAAAGAACACATTTTATTTTTAATGTAAATCATGCAAAAGATCTGGAAATTCTCTGAAGAATTTTGGAAGGTTTTCTTACCCACACAAGTCTGTAGTCCAGAGGGGGTATTTTCTTTCTTGAGGATCATCCCCAGTCTGCCCCCAACTGGAGATTTACTCCAGAGTGTGAGTGGGCTTCTTCCAGCCCAGGGCAGGACCCTGGAGAGTCATCAGGCTAGGTCGTAAATACCCTTGACATACATGGACATTCCTTCCTGCATTTGGGAAAAAACCCTACAGCTGGAATTAGCCAGTTGAGAAAATCTGCGTAAATAGGAGGAGAGCCACATAAAGACGATTTGAGCATTAATTTTTCGGAAATGTATAAGATAGCTTTACTGTGTTAGAGACTTACTAATTATTATAGATTGTTAACGTCAAATCATTTGTATTTCAGGCTTTATCGTCTTGTTTACTTTTACCAGGAGATGCCACTGTCATAACTTCTTCATGGGATAATAATGTGTATGTATCTGTGCACCCTGCTCTGTGATTCGACGTGCAGAATAGCTGCCTCTGTGGACATGAGGTGTGAAAAGCCAGAAGCTTTCCCTGCCAGGACACAGCACTGTTTTCTAAAGGGAACAGATATTAGAGATGAGGACAGTATGGTTGGATTTGAATATGATTGCTTAGATTGAATAATTTCTCCAATTGGAGTCTGTTTTTCTCTAAGTTTTAAATTGAGGAGAAAACAGATGAGCCAGACATGGAAATTTCTAATTTTAAATTCAAATTTTGAATATTTTGATTTAGTAATTTGAGAACAAGCAATTTGTAATTCTAGTGAGCCTTAGTAAGTATAGAATGAAACAACATAATGTTTCTTTAATATATGTTTAGGAGCCTTAAAATTAAGCCAGACTACTGTTTTAATGCTTCTCATTATCTTTTAGCTATTTTTATTCCATAGCATTTGGAAGACGCCAGGACACGTTAATGGGACATGATGATGCTGTTAGTAAGATCTGTTGGCATGACAACAGGCTATATTCTGCATCGTGGGACTCTACAGTGAAGGTTCATATATAATTTAAAAAGTTTTTTTAACTTGGTGTGCTATATGGCATATGTATAATTTTTAGCTTAAAATGTACATACAGATATTATAAGCCACTCAACTACCTATTGCTAATGTGTTCAGTCACTCCACTCTTTTTCACAAAGCGTGTGAGTGTAAGGATATTGAATGTTATTGCCTGTGTTTAAAAAATACATATAAAATATATCTATAATATATATTTATATATTATTTATATTTAAAATATAATATCTGTTATATATTACATATATTTATATATTTTTATTTATATAATACATATTATATATTTTTTAAACACAGGCAATAACATTCAATATCCTTACGTATCACATACTTTGTGATATGTACATTCTTTTTATTTTTTGTTTAAAAAAAACACTTCCTTATTTACTTATTTTTTTTAGAGACAGTGTCTTGCTCTGTTACCTAGGCTGGGGCTAGAGTGCAGTAGTGGGAATTATAGCCACTTCTTAATATAATAAGTTTATCATGATTTCTGTACTGTGTATTCCATTGTGGGATGAATGGTCTAGCATTCATTCAATAGCAGAGTTAGAAAGAAATGTATAGTAGCAGCCCCTTTCATCTGCCATGATCAGAAATATTAGTTGATTATAGTTAATTAGAAAATGTCAAGTTAGCTCTCTCCGGTCCGTGCCTCCAAGATGACAAAGAAAAGAAGGAACAATGGTCGTGCCAAAAAGGGCCGCGGCCACGTGCAGCCTATTCGCTGCACTAACTGTGCCCGATGCATGCCCAAGGACAAGGCCATTAAGAAATTCGTCATTCGAAACATAGTGGAGGCCGCAGCAGTCAGGGACATTTCTGAAGCGAGCATCTTTGATGCCTATTTGCTTCCCAAGCTGTATGTGAAGCTACATTACTGTGTGAGTTGTGCAATTCACAGCAAAGTAGTCAGGAATCGATCTCGTGAAGCCTGCAAGGACCGAACACCCCCACCCCAATTTAGACCTGCGGGTGCTGCCCCACGTCCCCCACCAAAGCCCATGTAAGGAGCTGAGTTCTTAAAGACTGAAGACAGGCTATTCTCTGGAGAAAAATTAAATGGAAACTGTACTTAAAAAAAAAAAAAAAGAAAATGTCAAGTTAAAGTGAGGAATCATTAAAAGACACATTTTATTTAAACTGAAAATATCTGAATGCTCATTCATTCACCATTCTTTCGATGTAGGAATATGTTCAGTCTTTTCTTTGAAATCTTACACAAACCACGCCAGCTTTCATTATTTTCAGTTTCTATTTTGTGTTGGTGTAAAAGAAAGCAAGAACCTAAAATTGTTAGAATTCCTCCAGGAGTTTTTCAGAATTTTTCTTCCATTCTTTTAGATAAGTTTATTTGCCTGTACCTATTTTTAGTTATTTTGGGGGTAACATCCTTTTTGGTCTTCCCAAAACATTAATAGTGTTCTCAAGACACTGTAATACTTCTACACTCATATTTCCTTAGTTCACATACTAAAGTCACACGATTACAGCAGCAAGTGCAGGTGATAGAAACACACAGGTACAAGCAAGGGACAGTAAGCAAGCACATGCTGGTGGGAGAAAGTGCAGGCATAGGGAGGAGGAGCTGGAGCACTGTGCAGCTTAACTTTATTGGCAAGTCTGTTAAATGGAAATTGAGCATAGGAGTTTTTCTTGAATGCACTAGAAAATGACTTTTTGTTAAATGTTTGAAAATACCTTCTGCAATATGTTCCATCCTAGGTGTGGTCTGGTGTTCCTGCAGAGATGCCAGGCACCAAAAGACACCACTTTGACTTGCTGGCCGAGCTGGAACATGATGTCAGTGTGAGTACCAGCAACAAACTGTACAGAAAACTGACCTTAAAAGTCTAGGGGTTCGGCTGGAAGAAGGTTTTTGGTTTTGTTCATGTTGTTTTGCTTTATTTGGTTAATGGAAGATTATAGGCTAAATCTCAGTTCTTTTCTTTGTGTTGACTCTTTAGGTTTCCAAGTCTACTTTGTTTTGTTTTATTTTTTCTCCAAGTTACTTCTTTGCACATTTCCCTGAGAATTAGCTACCATCCAACTAGAATTCCAAAATAGTAGTTTCTGAGCAGGACGTTGAATATTTGGTACCCTCAAACTCTTTGGGGCAACAAGATAGGGCCTATGATCCTTCATGTTTTCTGATCCAGAAGCTGGAAGGGAACCATCTGTCCAGGAGACACCCATCCAACAGTGGGGGACAGTGACCAGCTGTCTGGGATGGTCAAGTACATGCAGCCTGTTGGCTCAGTTCTCACTTGCTCTGTTTTCTCTGGGTCACGCTGCTGCATCTTATGCTGTAGTTGACAGTACTGCCTTTTCTCTAAGGTTGTGAACTGATGCCTAATTTCCATGGTCTTCAGATTAGCTGAGTTTGAGAAATATTTAGTATGTAATTCATGATGATGTGCAAGTATAGCCTCGAGAGATTCCGCCACTCCCACAAATCCCTCAAATAATCATGGACTGGCTGTGCTTCAGGCACTTTGGCGGCTCACTATAATTTATTATTCATAGAGTTATCTTTCTGAGACTGTCAGTTTTAAGCTATTTTAAAACAGCATTACCTTTACTTTAGCAATACTTCATTTCTTCTTGTATTCCCTAGCTTATAAAGAATTTAATTTCATTTTTAAAATAAGTTATTCCGTAGGATGATGTTGAAATACATCTGCATTAGCAACACCGGCATACTGCACAATAGAGTTTAATTTATATCATGATGACTACATATTTGAACCAGACTAGAGAAACATAGCTAATGACCATAAATCTAATGGAATATGTATCAATGTGTTTTCTTCCTTAGGTAGATACAATCAGTTTAAATGCTGCAAGCACACTGTTAGTTTCCGGCACCAAAGAAGGCACAGTGAATATTTGGGACCTCACAACGGCCACCTTAATGCACCAGATTCCATGCCATTCAGGGATTGTATGTGACACTGCTTTTAGCCCAGGTAGATATTATCCTTTTTAAAACAGATAATACTAGGTAAATTGGAATTTTGAAATAAACAATATTGTTAATTTTGAAATAAACAATAAAACTTACAAAGAAAAACACTATTTGCTGATAAAAGAGGTTTTGCCAATGGCTAACACTGCTTTATGCCAGGGTACAGTATACTTGTGGCATTTGTATCAGGTAGAAAAGCCGGACTGGGTATTTTTAATTCCTCATTAGAGAAATTAATTTAAGATAAAAATGAACTCATAATCAAAGGGTCATCTCATCCTTACATCTTGGAAAGGGCTAGAACCATTTCAAGGAGAGGATAGTCATTGCTTAAGTACAAGGATTTTGAAGAAAACGAATGTGGAGATTAGGCCACTGGACTCAGAAATAAAATCCAGAATAATGTAAACCACATTCTGAAGCTGTCACTCATATCTGAGTCTCACCTTGTGTTGCAGATAGTCGCCATGTCCTCAGCACAGGAACAGATGGCTGTCTTAATGTCATTGATGTGCAGACAGGAATGCTCATCTCCTCCATGACATCAGATGAGCCCCAGAGGTATAGTTTGTGAGTTACTGGGGGCGAAGACATTTACAGACATGTTCATGATCACTTCATTTGGGCTTACATTGGCCAGTTCAACATATCCTTCCTTCATGATGAAGAAAGGACTATTTCTAAATCATTCTTGCAGGTGCTTTGTCTGGGATGGAAATTCCGTTTTATCTGGCAGTCAGTCTGGTGAACTGCTCGTTTGGGACCTCCTTGGAGCAAAAATCAGTGAGAGAATACAGGGCCACACAGGTAAGCAGCTACTGCAGTTGCCTTGATCTTTGTTCTCAAGATAATGAACTCAAGCCTGCCTTTTCCATCAGGGAACATACTCTTTTTGGGCAAAAAACACCCATGGTTTTTCCATGTCGTAAACATGTCCCTGGAGCCTCTTGATTGGCCAGGTGATCTGCATCTCGTAGGTTACTCAGGATTTAGATTTATGTTAACAGCCATTGGACTCCAAAAAGGAAGTCTTTAACTTTCATATGGAGAATTAAAAACCATCGTAAAGCTATTATTTTTCTTAAAGGTAATAGCATGATCTTAAATTTTTAGAATAGTAAAAAAAGAGAAAAAAAAAAAACCCAGAAACAATACAATAGGAACTACAATGAAAATTAAGGCTTCTTTCTACCGCTGACTCCTACCTCCCAGTCCTCCTTACAGTACTTTACCAGTGTGTGTCCTGTGAATAAGAGAGGGTATATGTGTATTAAATTGTTTATGTGAAGTATAATAAACTGTTCTGCCCATGTTTTTCATTTGGTAATATTTCTTGGAGATTCACTAGATTGTTTGCTTACAAATTCTTGCTTGCTTTCTGATCATTTGGAGGACTTGGTTTTTAATTCTTCTAGTGTCTCTTGTTATCCCTTGAGTTCCCACTGTAAGCAGTAACTTCCTACCTTCATTCTCTTCCCTGTGTCACTCGACTTCATATGGTTCTTCTTAAATGTATACCTTAAAAAGTCTGGGCCAGGCTCAGTGGCTCAGGCCTGTAATGCCAGCACTTTGGGAAGCCAGAGTGGGAGGTCAAGAGTTTGAGACCAGCCTTGGCAACATAGCGAAACCTCATCTCTTACTAAAAACCAGAAATATTAGAAAAGTGTGGTGACACACGCCTGTGGTCCCAGCTACTTAAGAGGCTAAGATGGGAGGCTAGCTTGAGCCCAGGAGACAGAGGCTACAGTGAGCTTCATCATGCCACTGTACTCCAGCCTGGGTAAGAGCAAGAGCGAGACTATTTCAAAAAAAATGAAATTCTTTGTGACTTTTGTTCTCAACTTAGTAACTTTAATGTGATTTGACCCCTTCCAGTGGAAAAGGAAATAAACCAATAACCTTACACCAATAACCCCACCTTTTCCTTCACATCTGTCTCCCAACTTTTGTCATGTTATACCTGTATTGTACTTACTTCGCCAAGGTATTTATTTGCATTGTTCTATATCCATAATTCCCAGTTGTTTTAGCTTTAGATTTACACTTAAATGGTTTAGTATTCCTCACAAGATCTTTGTACCAAGCAATTATTTTTAATTTATTCAAGGGTTTTATTATAGGAAGCAGACAAGAAAAAATAGAACTTACTTCACTTGTTTAGTAAATGAATAGCAAAGCAAGAGTAAGCATCAGAGTAAAGTTTATCTTTGGGTGCCTCCTGGTCAACTTCCTAACTAACCAAAATGTCTTTCTCTCAGGTGCTGTGACATGTATATGGATGAATGAACAGTGTAGCAGTATCATCACAGGAGGGGAAGACAGACAAATTATATTCTGGAAATTGCAGTATTAAGTGCCTTTTCCTCTCCTGAATATTAAATTGAACTCTATTTAATGCATTTTTAAACCAAACTTTTAAACGGACTGGTGAATGTGCAATGTTAGTAATTAGAAGTTTTACCACATGGAAAATTTGTGGTTTTAAACTTTCTAAATCATGGTGACTTCATTGAAAGCCATTAGTTGCTATTCTCTTAGGGCAGATAAAATGCGGCTGTGTTAGGAAAAACATGTTACACTGTAAGGCAGATGATCGTCCCCGTATGATGATTGTCAGAAGACAGGACTAAGTAGCAGAGAATAGCTAAGAGATAAATTGGGCTGGGGAAACTTGTCAGAAAGCACTGAACAATTAAGAAATTTTCCAAGAAAATGTGCAGTATTCTCTGCTACTTCTGAATCTGTTTTGTCTTCCTAATCTATCACAATTGCCACCCATCGGGTTTTGGGTGTGTGTTTTCATAGCGTGGTTACTTTCTATAATGCTGTACCCAGATTCTAAGAACCTGGAGAAGGATTAGCAGTTCTTAGTAAGTTTACTGTGTATAGGAACGGTTTGTATTTCATTACAGCTATTCATCTTTTCTACATTAAAAATATTTTTCTCTAAAGAAAGCTGTTTTCACTTTATTTAAGTAACTTAAAAGACTAGTGTTTTTAAGACCACAAGTCTAGAATCATCTTCTAGAAAACCATATTTAGTGATATGAATGTAATTCCATTATTTTGAAATTATCTTCAGACTCAGGTAGATAATCAAATATTTTTTTCTCTTCTAAA
Organism: Homo sapiens; assembly: GCF_000001405.40. Taxonomy (NCBI): domain Eukaryota; kingdom Metazoa; phylum Chordata; class Mammalia; order Primates; family Hominidae; genus Homo; species Homo sapiens. Next base: position 58,583,338 of record NC_000008.11, on the reverse strand, counting down.
TTTCAAACAAGGTAAGCTGTATAGCAGTAGCAGATTTCCTTTTATATTCAACCTCTGAACCATGGTAAGTGTGTGACTTATTATTTTTTCTATACTCTTTAAAAACATTGTTGTATCTTGCAGGTAGTATGACATAGGAGAAAAAACTTGAGTCAGACCACACTAATAGAATTTCCAAAGTCAGTTTCAGTGTTATTAAATATTACCTGGTCTCAGGTATTGCTAGGGACAATCAGTAGCCTCAATGAGTTCCTGCTGCATGGCAGGTGTGAACCAGCTCTTCTTTTGGCCCTGGTAATCTGGGGTTCCCAGCTGGAAGCAATTTTCCTGACACTCAGTCTCAGCACTGAGAGCTGTTCTTAGGGCCCCTGAATGTCAGCTTGTTCTGGGAGATGATGTCTCCCACAGCTGAAAGTGAATTTCACCTGCCTGTCTTCTAGATCATGCATAAGTTTGGTGAAAGCAAATGATGCAGTAATAGACAGACTAAAATGTAACTTTATTTATACATATTTAATTAGAATAGACATAAACCAAAAAGAAGAAAAAAATCAGGATAAAGTGTCAACTATCATTTTGTTTGCAAGGAGGAGTCAGGAAAAGGAACAAGTTATCAGAAAAATATTCTAAGACCATCCCAAAGTAGCTAGGTTACATAATCTTAAGAGTCAAATGCCAAAATTAAGTATTATACCACTTAATCCACAAATGAACAAAAGGGGAGTCAAAAGTTTATCCTGTTTAGTGTAATAACTTTTACATCACATATAGTGATTCACTTCTTAAAAGTGGCACTGGCAACTTTTAGAAGAAAGAAGTTTCCATTATGTGTTGACTAAAAAATCTCAAAAACAACTAAGCAGCTATGCTATAGCTCAGTAAGTACCATTAAACTGTTCTGGGCTAGTGTACATTTCAGGTTAATAGAGAACTACATTTTGGGTTTTTAGAAAGGCAGCAATAATTATATTTTGGCTTTTAGTCTAGATGCTTAACATAGTTAAGGCGACAGTTCAAGCATATTAAGTGAAGGTAGTTAAAATTTAAGAATCATCACAATCTCTTGAAACCTACATACACTGTTTAATGCTTACATGGAATGAAACCAGTGTTCTTAATTGGCATTTTACACACACACACACAGAATTTAAAAAAAAAATCAAAGGCAATCATTCTAAATGTACTATGATAGCATGTTAAAGATGCAAGTATGCTATAGAACTAAAGTAATATGAACAGCACTACTCATTACCTAGGAGAAAGGTGACTGGTTTTCACACAAAGCTAAGCCTGTAACAGTCATCCTAATCACAATGGCTTATAAAAGCATCAGGTTTCCAGTAGAGAAACTATTCTAGGAAAGTCAGTAAATCTCTTGAAAGTTTCACATCTGTAAAACCAGGATAAGGCTACAACTATTTTGAAATCTGAACAAGGTATCAGATGAAAGAGTAAGATTCCCAGCCATAATGTAAGATAGAAAGGTCCTCATGCAGCATATGCTCGCTGGCTCCGGGAAGGCTTCACGTGCATAATACAGAAGTTGCCAAAGAAGGAAACTGGAGACGTTCAGCTACATTTCCATGGTGCCGTGAATTTTAAACCTCAGGAATGGTGTGGTCCATTAGGCTTTTCATAATGCTTGGTGCCATCCTACAAGAGAGGTACTTTTATTATATACCGAGATTCTGGTTTTTGTTTTTCAAAATGCTACATTAATCCAAGAAAATTCCCAATTCCAATTTAGCACCTGTTAGCATCAAATATGAATGGAGAGAAGGGAAAGATCTTTTAAATGAGTCCAGAAGCATCTCTGGTAATCTAGTTGTTGACAGACACTCAGTGGGAAAGACTATCTGTATTTGGCTAGAGAAGTTAGGATACAAATGAATTCCTGTGCATTAAACATGGTGATTTTTAAAAAACAGAAAGAAAATGACAAGGCTGTGATGAGTTGGGGTAGAGGGATCCATCAGTGATTTAAGAAAAGAGAACCCTAGAAAAATTAGTCATGACAATAACTCCTTTTTACCCCCTCCAAGGGTAGCTAGGTGCATTCTATCCAGAAGCCAACACAAAAATTTCATTACAATGGTTATGTTTATGAATCTTTTAAATCTCATTTTCACATGCATAATAGAGCTTCTGAAAGGATTCCAAGCTGGCTTGACAAAAACAGCTATGGTAGATGCTAGGATATGAAAAGCTCTATAGAAGGAACCTTGTTGCCTCTTTTCAGTTCTGATCACTTGGCTTTCTAATCCTCAGTTCCTGAGCACAGATAGCACCAACACACCACACTTGTCTATCTGCCTCTTGAGATTCTGGAGAGAAGGGAAACTTACTCTTAGCATTCCACCAGCAAGAATTCTCCATTACGAACCACCACAACTATATTTATACTGAGCAGAGGGGTGGTAGGCAGTGCAACTGCAGTCAATTGCACTGCAAATTGAAAGCTGAAAGCATGCCCACTTCTCCTTGCATACCTTTTTTCTACCAGGCATTATAAAAACTGAGGAAAGTATATGTGAATTTTATTCCGTACTTGGGAAGTTGTAAGAGCTCATCCTTACCAACCCTCTGATTTAAATAACTTACTTCAAATTTCTAGATAAAACACCAGTATCCATTCCTTGGGTAAAAGAACCAAAGGGCTGAGAATTAAAGTATAGTGCTTATATTAAGTCACATGACCATATGCATTAAGTTGAGGAATTGTTTACTTACCGCTTAATAATATGTTCAAAGATAAAAGCAGGCATGATTGTAATAGTAACTACAGTCCCAGATGTTGACAGTATGTCTGCAATTTGAGAGTCCTGATAAAAACACATATTAAAAATTAATTCCACAGAGGCTTTATTTAATAAATACAAAACTATGCCAGTCTTGGTAAAGAAATACAAAATATATGTCTTGGTATTTCTAATTTTTTCTAGTATTTCTTACCAAGTTTAATTGTACACTATTTTACAGCTAGTAACCAAATTGCTTAAGTAAACTGAGTTGAATATTTTAACCAAAAAAAAACTTTTCCTTTCTGAATATTAGATAATTTTCCCCATATACAATATTACCATCTCCTCTTATTAACTGTGTATTCTAAATCAAATTCTATGAAATGAGGAGGTCATGCTTAAAACTTTTTGACCTTAAGACAGACTTATTTAGGAATTTGTGGAGGAGAAAAACTATAAAAATAAAGTATTAATATGAACCAAAACTATTATTCATTTCCTTATATTCCTGGATTGAGAAATGCTGGGCCACTATTCATATTCTAAATCTTTGTTGCCCATATTTCCACAGAATTCTAGTGTGAGGTACTTCTGAGATCATTTATTCCAGCCCACTTGTTATAGGAACTGTAGTTCTAGATGACAGCCCAAATAATTCCGGTGACTGGCCAGACCAAGAGTTCAGGCCCCACGTTCCCCATCTCCCACCTAAGTCAATATGAAAACAGCGCCACCTAAATACAGTCAAAAGACAGACATTTTCTAAAACTGCAGCAGAACATGGCACAAAGTCTGTTCCTTACCTTCAATCCAATGACATTCTGTCCATTGATTTCACAGATGTTATGTTCCGTGAGAAGACCATTTCTGGCTGCAGAGCTATCTTTCACTATGGATGTTATTTTTCCATTTTTAAAGATAAAACCAACATGTCCAGTGCTATCCTTATGCATGGTAATCGTCCGTTCAAAGGGCCTACAAACATAATTGGTTCAATTAAAAACTTAATTCTAAGCTAAACATTTTAATGGATTTCATATAGCATAAATGTTGCCATATTGGATACTTTTATAATAAACACTGTTTCTAATAAGAGCAACTTATGGCTCTGATTTTATACATTCACGGAACATCTTTGTGTAAAAGTTTTTTTTAAGTTTATTCATTATGGTTTGACTGATTTACTAATCAACATTTCCTTCTTTAAGTATAAAAGACAACTGCTTTATATGGTTTTATCAATATGTTTTTCTTTTATAATTAGACTTTACAGCATTAAGAATGACATAGGCTTTTTAACTAAATCACAGTGGTAAAGATAATTTTTATTTTTTATTAACTTTTGGTATTTTCTAGAGCCAAATCATTTTTAGGACTATTTCTTTTATTTAAAACCTTTAAAATATTTCTCACATCTTGATTTTGAAAATTTTATACATTGCTATCTTTGAAAAGAAAAACTAGAGCAGCAGTAAGACTTAAGTTCCTCAAGCCCCTTTGGAAAGGGAGGCATGCAGCTATTATTAAAAGGCATCCAGCTGTCCCTCTAGAGTTGTTATAGCAGTCACATTTGCTTGATTCTCTATAAACTCTGTTATCATGTTATCATAAGGGTTTTAGGATCAACTTGTGTTTACATTATTAAATTCAGAAGAGGCATTTCTTCCTGTTAGTACAACTTACTCTTTGAAACTCTGCTTAGATAGAAAGTAAAAAGGACATTCATCTGAAACATTTACGAAATACCTAAACTGAATGAGAAACTGGAAACACAAAGATAAAACAGAAGTTTCACTGAGAAGGAACAAAAACTCAAAGCTTACTGTAACAATGCAATATACGTCTACCCTTAATTGGGTATGGAGTAGACAAGAAAATAAATGGAGGCCCCTATTTCATGTGCTAAATGTTTAAGTTCTAAATGAATGAGCTGCTAAATAGAATATTCCATGTTCTTGAAAACTACTGCTTCATAACTACCCAAAAGTCTTGATACGGTTTTCAGAACTCCCATACTACTTGGAAGTCTGCATGGGCTCTGACCCTCACAATGAGGGACCACTGTGTGTGAACACCCTAGGCTGGATGTATCTAAGCAGTAAGTTGGAAAGTGAGCCCAGAGATGCCCTGCAACTCAGTTACTTCTCCAACATACGTTTTCTATTTTCTAGAGAGATTTGTCCTATAAACTCTGAAATAAGGTATCGTATCAGAATGCTTTAAAAACAATGTAAGAAAAATCTGCACCACACAACTGCAAGACTATAAGGCTCATCAATAACATTTGATCATTTTCTGCAACAAAATAATATACTCACAAACTCTGAAAGCCCAAAAAAATGGAAAACTAGTATTGAATTTTCATTTGAGCTGTTTAGTAACAGCTTACCTGTCACGAATGGTCATGGTAATCTTCTCTCCAAAAGCCTGTTTGAGCACCTTGTGCGCTTTATCAGAGCTCCATCCTGCACAGTTTTCACCATTGATCTGAAGTACTTGGTCCCCAAATCTCAGACCAACCAATGAGGCTGGAGAATTAGCCTGGACTAGCTGAACAAATATACCCTAGATAATAAGAAAATAATTTTTGTCATTTACCACTACTATGATACGGTTTTAAACGCTGGAAAATTAGGAAACAACTGTTTATGTTGAAAACTCTACCCCAGTGACAAAAAAGAAAGAAAAAGAAAAAAAGGAAAAACTATATGAGTATATTAAGTTATCACCTCAAAAGAAACTGAAAAATTTATCAAGACAGCAACTCCAAAGAATAAGGCAAAAAAGTGAGATTTCAATGGCAATTTCTATACCAAATCATGACCCACCTGACCAACCACAATCCCCCCCTTCAACTTGGAATACAAAACTAAGGAAAATACAGTAGGACAACTTTAATAAATGCAAGCGTCTGAGTCTGATAGAATACCAAATTATCAGTACATAATCATATTTAGGGGAAAAGCGAGTCACATGTTAGAAAGTTTGATGAGTTCTTTTACAGCTTAATAAATGACAGTTTAAGGTCATAATTCTACCTTTTGAGCTGAAGCATTCCTTTACCCATTTGCTAAATTGTGTATAATCAAGTAAGATTAAAGTTTATTTGTTAGACTAAAAAGATGGGCATATTAAATCCACATGCACAGGCTTATAAAGAACACACAATGAAATAAATACAGAAAACTCAAATACTGTTAACCAATAACTACACTCACATGGATATTTTTACTTATGTAAAATCTCAATCAGAAGTTGAACAAAATATAAATAGGTAAGTATAAAAGAAGAATAAGCCTGGTAAAATATAAGTGCATCTACTTCTACAATCCTAAGCTAGGTCACATATTTCTATCACACATCTGTTACATTGTAGAATGATAAGCAAGAACTAGGTAGCACCCCATAAATGAACAAATGCCCTTTGGCCAAGTGAACAAATCCACTGCAACTATTACCTACAGTGGGGCCAAGGGGCCTATGAAAAGTATCTTTTCTCTTTAGGACAGAGGAAAGAACACAAGAGCAATCCTGGCGGAAGGAGCAGCAGTATACTCTATTCCCTGAAGATTCTGGAGAAAGGGCAGCAAAGTCAGAGCATCCCAACTAAGCACGCAGATGTATTTTGAGTGACATACAAGTGAGCAAGGCCATCATCGATGGCCTCAGCCCCCTGGGTGGGCAGGCAGGGCGGGGGCCTCCTGCCAAGATCAGCCTCCTCCATTTACAGCAGTGCACCACACTTATAATTTTCTATGTGGAAAGGCTGGATGCACTAAGCTAGAGATGTATGACTGAAACCGAATCCAATAAGGTAATGGCTAAAACTATAAATTGGGGTAAAGACTCAACATGTCCTTCACAATTATAAATGGTTCCTCAGAGAGTAACCCTGTTTCATATCTTCAGTATGTTAAGGTGAGAGGTAATTATAAAGTAAAGGCTGCCCTAATTAGAAAGAATATTCCATCTTTTTTTACTCAGAAAATGACATATTAAATTCAAATGTGAAGGATGTTAATAACAAATCTGCAAAAACCATCTCACCAGTTAAATACTGATCATTTGGTTTAAAAATGCACACACATCCGGGAGGCAGAGGTTGCAGTGAGTCAAGATCACACCACTGCACTGCAGCCTGGCGACAGAACGAGACTCCGTCTCAAAAAAAAAAAAAAAAAGGCACACTGACATTGACTCTCATTGGAAAGTTTTTTCTTAACCTTCACATCTGCTCTATTTAATTGCCACAATTCTATTATACAAACTATAATATATGTAGGCCAGTGAAATGTATTCCAGTTAGAATATTCAGAAAAGAAACATCTTTCAAAGTAATGTGGTCAGAAGTCCCAACTATGCCTCTGCAAAATAGAACATCCCCAATTGAAAACATTTAAGTTAGTAGATTTAAAATATTCTCAACTACAGATGCACTATTATAATTAAAGCATTTCCATTTCAAATTATTTTAACATTAATCACTTATTATGTAAGAGATTTAGACAAATTCAAATAGGTATTTAAAATACTTACATTATCTATTGATTTAAGCCTGAGTCCAATTTTTCCATCTTGATCCTTACACAAAATGACTTCACGAATCCCTTGCTTAATTTCTGCTCTACGAATTCCAACATCATTACCAGTTACAGGAGCCACCATATAGTTTATACTGGAAGGTCTTGCTACCAACTGCTGACAAAACCATATACAATGTGTCAATATCTAGAAACACTCTCCTTGAAAAAAACAATGATAATTAACTGGAACTTACTCAGTTTTGGCTTTCCAAAAAGCAATCCACAAATAATTTCCTTCCGATAAAGTTTGATGTCTATGAAAATGGCACTGGCTCTACTACTAATTCTTCACTAACTTATTCCCACACATATCATCTCTAATAGATTCAATGACTCTCTGTTGCCCTTTGAATTCACTGGCATTTGTTTCACCGGTATACTGGCTTGTCTTCATCTCAAATTTATTATCTTTGAACTTAAAGGCCATATACTTTTGAAACATTTTCCAGACGGTTCATGATGTCACGATCTTTGACAATCTACTTATCCTTTCAGAATTTCCATAAAAGGGGCAAATTTCTTACCTCACTGTTACTGACAGGATTAAATGAAAAGTGCATGTTGTATGGGCACTGGCACACATAAGACAGTCAACTATTATGTCTCTTCCCCTCTAGTAACCATCTATGGATTAACAAATCATATGCACAAACCAGAATGCCCCAGAATACCTACATTAGGGACCTGTGTCATATACCATGTTTCAAGTTTCTAATTCTTTCCAGTTTTCCTAATCAAAACTGGTTTATTTTAAGTGGAACCTTTCCCCAACCAAAAAGAAAATGGAATAATATTAGGCCACTAAAAAAAGGAAATCCTGCCATTTGGACAACATGAATAAATGTAGAGAATATTATTCCAAGTGAAATAAACCAGACACAGAAAGACAAGTACTGTCTGGGTCCCACTTATATGTGGAATCTGAAAAGAGTCAAACTCACAGAAATAGAGAGTAGAAGGAAGGTTGTCAGGGGCTGGGGTTGGGCAGGGCAAAGAATGAGAAAAATGTTGGTCAAAGTGTACAAACTTTCTCAGTTATCATATGAGTACGTTCTGGAGATCTAATGTACAGCATAGTAACTATAATTAATAATACTGTACGGTATACTTGAAAGTTGCTAAGAGTACATCTTAAGTGTTCTCACCACACACCAAAAGAAATGTAACCATGTGAGATGACAGATACGTTAATAACCCTGACTGTGGTAATCATTTCACAATGTGTGTTTGTGTGTGTTTATCAATACATCAAGTTGTATTGATATATACAGTTGAATATATACAATTTATATTTGTTAATTATACCTCAATAAAGCTGGGGAGAGGAAGATCCAGATGGAACATCAAGAGAAGAAGAATAAAATATGTGAAATGAAAAATTCACTAGATATGAAGAGATAACAGAAATCTCCAGCAACAAATTAATTTAAAATAGAACAGAAGAAAAATAAAAGGCGGCGCACTGAAGAACCCTGGAGATGCAGACACAAAAATGAAGGTTATATCACCCTTCTAGGTATTTGGGCAAAGGGATCTAAGCATCCATGTAGTGAACAAAGGAAGTTCTAAATTTTAACTACAGCCTCATGATCAGTTACTAAAATAAGAATCAGAGCAGCTATGACTCTGTTCTTCTTTGTATTTGTATATTTTCTGTAAATACAGCAATTAATCTTTCTGTTCCTCTATACCTCTTTTTACCTTTATGTATGAATTGTTGGTAGTGGTTAACTTTACACTTTTGCCTTTAAATTAAAAATATTCTGTTGGGAATGTGAATACTTAGAAGGGTAATTAGTATCATATAGTAATCAATACCATGATGACTGCCCAGAGATGGCCACATTAACTGGTATCATCCCTTTCTAGAGAAAGGGTGAGAGCAACTTCATTTATATTGAAGGGTACATGGCTTCATTTTGTACACCCCTGAGTTAAAAATGATTTTTATATTTTTAAAGATTGTAAATAAACAAATAACAATAAGAATATGTGATAAAGATCATAAGTGACCATGAAAGCCTAAGGTATTTATTATGGAGCCCTTTATAAAGTTTGAACTTTGATTTTATGAAGAAATTCATCTTTCAAGGAGAAACTATAAAGTTGTTGTTGTTGTCACATGAAATTCAAATGTTTGTACAAGTGTGTGGATATACTGAGTAGTCAAAGGAGTAGGTGGTAACAGATATTAAACTACTGTTTGTCAGCTCCAAATCCACCCTTCTAGACTCTACTTGGTGATGCTGGGCCTAACTGTGCAAATTATAATTTCGTTTGTCAGTGACTGGAATGACAAGCACCTCATTCCTTCCTGTGTGCCTCCTGCTCCTGTCAGTACTGTGTAAGCCTGGCCCTTTACACTGGCAGCAGCAGTTGGTTCCAGTCTGCAACTTTTACTGACACTCCCAGAACCAGCCTCATTACAACCCCTCAGAGGCACTAGTAGTGTCCCCTCATCCAAGGTCTGAGTCCCAGCTCCGTGGGGCTCTTCCTCAAGCTTCTAGGTTCTGCTAACTCCAATCTCTCTCCTGTGTTATCCCAGTCCTAGGAGAAGCAGCTAGCTATCTGCAATTACATCTATGTCCATTTATGTTTTTTTCAATTTTTCAACCTCTTAAAATACCTACTATTATTTGTTTTCCCAACTGCATCACCACTAACACAAGCAAGTTTTCAATAAATATTTGGTAAATACATAAATGCCAGGTACTGTATATGCATTGGGATATGGCAACAAGACAGACACAGATTTAACTACAATTATAATAAGTGGTACAAAGTGCTATGGTCATAGCAATAACCTTAATAAAAGGTTATCAGACCCATTATAATTAAGCTAGACTCTGGAGTCTAATTACATGGAGCTTTGAATTTCAAAAAGAATGTTAAAAGATTAAGAGCAAAGGCCAGGCACAGTGGCTCATGCCTGTAATCCCAGCACTCTGGGAGGTCGAGGCAGGTGGATCACCTGAGGTCAGGTGTTCGAGACCAGCGTGGCCAACATGGTGAAACCCGGTCTCTACTAAAAATACAAAAAATTAGCCAGGCATGGTGGCGCGCGCTTGTAGTCTCAGCTACTTGGGAGGCTGAGGCAGGAGAATTGCTTGAACCCAAGAGGCGGAGGTTGCAGTGGGCCGAGATCACGCCATTGCACTCCAGCCTGGGTGACAAAGTGAGACTATGCCTCAAAAAAAAAAAAAAAAAAAAAAAAGATTATGAGCAACAAAGATATGATAGACCTATATGTGTATTTCAGAATGATTAACTTAGCAGCGGCTTAGTACTGTCTGAAATAAGTTACTAGAGGAAATTTAAGAGAGTACTATAATAATGAAGGCTAGAAGTATAGAAACCCTGAATATGGTTATAGTAGGACTAGAATGGATAAAAAACAGATAAAATGAATACAAGAAACAGAAACAGAATCAATAGGACTTAGTAACTGACTAAATGCAGAAGACAAAGGAGAACGAACTAGTAAAAGGTATCTGAATCTAAGTCCTAATAAACTCAAAACAGTGTAGCACAAAATGAAGTAGACTATATAAGAAATGATATCCAAAAGGAAGTCTAAAATTTCTGAGAAGTGAGGTTCAATGCTAGTAGTATATCTGTGAGTTAGCCACAAAGAGGAAAGCTTATACTAACATGTAAAGTATGATTTTATATAAATCAAAATTAATTACACTATACATACCCCCTGAAGTGGTGCACCAGAAACCACGGCCACATTTGCACGTATTTCTTCTTCATTTAAACTCAGCCCCATGTATTGAGAGAGCTCTGGATACAGTCTGGGATAGAGATCTAAAAAGTAAATGAATAAATTAAAAAGCACTTACAGAATACACAAAATGAAAACTTCTCTCATTATGGGCTTCTGCGTATTAACAAAATTACACTTAAGTTATAAAATCTAGAATGAATTTAAAGTAGCAATTTGGAAAGGCATCTCCCCATCTCTGTAATAATGAGAAATGGAAAATACAGAAAATGTTTAAAATTCGTAAAATATGAAGACATCTGAACTGAAACAACCAGAGATTCCTAAACACTCAAAAGTAGAAATAACTTTTCCAAATAAACTATCTTGCCTTTCCTGTTTCTTAAAATAAACTTACTTGATTAGGAATTTAGTAAGAATGCCACTGATTCTCCAATTCAGAACAACTGACCAAAATATCTATTTGTCAAGTCAGCTACTTTATAACTCATTCTGTAAACAGGGATATGGAATGATTCTTATGAACAATTTTTTTTGGAAGCTTGTAAATTTATTTAGTGTCTTATCATTTTAATAATTTTAACCACATTCCAATGAAATCCTGGAAATGGTATTTTTAAATATTAACATTATTTCACTTATTAGTAGTTATATACTATTTCCAAAAGCTCTTTTTTACATGAGACTTAAATTATCTGTGACTTAAAATGAATTTTCTATGAGGCACAATGTTATAAACTGTTGTAAGACAAAATGACAGGCCACAAAAACTTATTTAACACTTATTTTGTATCTTAAGTCATAGTATTTAGGAGCTCTGTCCTGAATCCCTCTGAACCTTGAAGAAAAAGGGACCAAAGACAGGATACAGAGAATGAATAAAGGCCTTAAGATTTAGGAGGCTTCCCAAAGAGGAGGTGGTTGGAAATTTCAGAAGCTCCCATAGGAAAGACAGAAGACAATTCAGAAAGTTCAACAGCAGCAGCATGATAGTTCTTAAATGTGAATTCATATAGTTCTCATATGTGAATTCATATATATAATTCATTCATAAATGAATCAGCCACGTTAGGGATTTACAAGTCAGTCTAAAATTAATTTTCATTAAGCCATGAAATACATCCCCATATCCACAGTTCACTATCTTAATTAGAAAAAGGGTTATTTTTTGAAGTAAACTTTTTTTTCTTATTCATAACTATTTGAGCTTAACTACCAATTTTATGCAGCCTGTCCAAAAAAAAATCTTGGATTCCTTATATGAGCAAAAGAAGATAACAATATTTCTGTTCACAGAGAATGAACTCAAAGTATAAACCTACTTCCATCGTGAGGGATAGGAGCAGAAGCTTCTGACAAAATTGCTGGATTGGCAGGGTTTGCAGAAAAAGCAGTTTGAGCCTGAAAAAGAAAAGAAGAAAATTCTAACAATATGCTATACTTACTTTATATTCTTATATAATTTATAAGCTAAATCCAGTACTTCCAAAAAGAAACTAAAACAATGAAGATTTATGTAAGAAAGTTTAATTTCAAACACATCAGCAATACATTTTCCAAAGGAAATCTGCAAATCAAAACTATATTTGATATTCTAAATACTTTTAAGGCTATCACAAAAAAATTGTAGAAGTACCATTCTACATGTCTTATAACCAGCACTTCATAGTGCTGCCACAATAAATTAATATTTTCAAAGTGCATTCTAAAATGAATAAATTTTACATTTTCATTATTCTTTTACTAATTAGTCCAAGTAAAAATATTTTATTTGCATAAGAAAAAACCTTACCCATATTCATATAAAAGTCACATATCAGAAAAACACCTAAAAAATTAATACTAAGCATGTCCCACTGAAATCATCTTTATCTTCATTGCAGCAAGTATAGGAAGGGGTTTATGCTAAATACTTTTAAAATATCAGAAATTATGAAAATAGCACAGTTTATCACTGACATAAATCGATGATGACAAGGTAATGTAATTTGTAACTGTTAAACAAACTTGCCAAAATCACTCTGACACACTCTGACACTCTAGCATTTATCAATGCTACTCATGCTCAAGTATCCTCTTCTCAGGGCTGTCTTGATGGCCTACATCATATGAAGTATCTCACTGATGGAAATACTTTATCCTTTACAATTAGATCTGACTTTCTGAAATAGCTATATGTCATTAGAGACAAGTTTGGTAATAAGTTGTATGACCAATCTCTACCAACTTTTTACTTTATTGGAAATGTATCATTTTAAAAATGAAGTTCATAGTAGTATCTCAACCTAGCCCTAAAATCAATGTCAAGAGTATTCCCAAAGATGCTTGGAGATATGAAAGCTTAGTTTAAATAAGTAAAGCCTATGAAAGCTTTGAATGGTACTAAAATTATATGTTCTGATATACTTGTTGAGTCATCCTTTAATATTTATTATTTCATAATTTGTTAAACATTCTAGATTTAAACAAAATACAGCATGAAAATCTTTATAATTATAAATAACAATCCACAAATTGAACATGTGTTGAACTTTGAAAGTTCTTTCACCACCGATTAGCTAAAAGGAGCTAGTGGCTTGTTATATTACTTCTTGAATCATGTCTAACAAAAAAAATACTGTGCGGCACTGGGAAAAAAAAAAGAACTATAAAGACATGAAAAGACATGGAGGAAACTTAAGTGGATATTACTAAGTGAAAGAAGCCAATCTCAAAAGGCTACATACTTTATGATTCCAACTATACGACATTTTGAAAAATGCAAAATTGTGGAGATAATAAAATATTAGGCCAGGCACAGTGGCTGAGGCCTTTAATCCCAGCACTTTGGGAAGCTGAAGCTGGAGAGTTGCTTGAGGCCTGGAGTTCAAGACCAGCCTGGGCAACATAGGAAAACCCTGCCTATGCAAAAAATTGTTTTGGCCAGGCACAGTGGCTCATGCCTGTAATCCCAGCACTTTGGTAGGCTGAGGTGGGCAGATCACCTGAAGTCAGGAGTTCAACTGACCAACATGGCATGTTGTCATGTTTGTCATGGCCAACATGGCAAAACCCTGTCTCTAGTAAACATACAAAAATTAGCCGGGCATGGTGGTGGATGCCTGTTAATTCCAGCTACCCGGGAGGCTGAGGCAGGGAGAATTGCTTGAACCCAGGAGGAGGAGGTTGCAGTGAGCCAAGATCGCACCACTGCACTCCAGCCTGGTGACAGAGCCAGACTCCGTTTTGGGGGAAAAAAAAATTTTCTTTTTAAACTAGCTAGGTGTGGTGGTGCATGCCTGTAGTCCCAGCTACTTAGAAGGCTGTGGCAGGAGGATGGACGCTGCAGTGAACCATGACTGTGCCACTGTACTCCAGCCTGGGCAACAGAGCGACATCCTGACGCTAAAGAAAACACAAAAGCAAAAGCAAATTATTGGTTGCCAGGAGTTTCTAGAAGGGAAGGAAGAACAGGCATTAAAGAATTTTTCGAGCAGTGAACCTATTCTGTCTAATGCTACAATGGTATACAGTCATGTGCTGCCTGTTCTGGTCAATGATGAACCACATATACAATAGTGGTCCCATGAGATTATAAAAGAGCTAAAAAATTCCTACTGTCTAGTGACATCATAGCTGCCGTCACACAGAACAACTCATTACTTTGTGGTGATGGTGGTGTAAATAAGCTTACTGCACTGCCAGTCATATATAAAAAAGTATAGCATCTACAATTATGCATGGTACATAATACTTGATAATAATAAATGACTATGTTACTCATTTATGTATTTCCTGTGTTATACCCTTTAGAGTATATCCTTCTACTTACAAAAAAAGTTAACTGTAAAACAGTCTCAGGCAGGTCCTTCAGGAGGTATTCCAGAAGGCACTATTACCATTGGAAATGACAACTCCATGCATGTTACTGCCTCTGAAGACCTTTCAGTGGGATGATGTGGAGGTGGAAGACAGTGATATTGATGATCCTGACCCTGTGCAGGCCTAGGCTAATGTGAGTGTGTGTCTCAGTTTTTAACAAACTTACAAGCGATTTTTAAAAACTAAAAATTTAAAAAATAGGAAAAAAGCTTATAGAATCAGGATATAAAGAAAGAAAATATTTTATACAGCTGTACAATGTTTGTGTTTTAAACTATGTTATTACAAGAGTCAGAAAGTTAAAAAATTAAAGTTACAGGAAGCTAAGGTTAATTTATAATTCGAGAAAGAAAAATTTTTAAATAAATTTAGTGCAGCCCAAGTATAGAGTATTGATAAAGTCTACAGCAGTATACAATAATGTCCTAGGCCTCACATTCACTCACCGCTCACTCACTGACTTACCCAGCGCAACTTCTAGTCCTGGAAGCTCCATTCATGGTAAGTGCCTTATACAGATGTACCATTTTAAATCTTTTACATTGTATTTTTACCATACCTTTTCTGTGTTTAGATACACAAATACTATTGTGTAACAATTGCCTACAGTATTCAGTACAGTAACATGCAGTATTACTGTATCATACAGGTGGGATCATACAGGTTTGTAGCATAGGAACAACAGACTATACCATACTGCCTAGATGTGTAGTAGGCTATGCCATCTACATTTGTGGAAGTACACTCTATAATGTTTGCACGACAAAACTGTCTAATGAGGCATTTCTCAGAACATATCCGTCTTTAAGCAACACATGACTATATACACGTCACTATACATTTGTCAAAATCCACAGAACATATAACACCAACAGTGAACCCTAATGTGATGTAATGTAAATATGTAGACTTCAGGTGATATTAATGAGCCAGATGTACTGCTCTGGTGCAGATGCTGATACTGGGGGAGGTTGTGCATGTGTGAGGACAGAAGGTATACTGTACTTTCTGATCAATTTTGTTGTGAATCTAAAATTGCTCTAAAACACAGCTTATTAATTTAAAATACTTCTCCTTTGTATGTAGTTATGAATTTCTGTTCTTTCATTGCTATTGTTTTTAATCCAAGGAATACTGAAGAATACATATAGAAAGCTCCCTGCAAAGTTAAATTTAATTATGTTATTTGCAGTAAAAATGAAACAAAAGGATGTAACCCAATTTTAAGTACTGTAAACCATTAAATGTAGCTACTTATTTCAAACTTACTTTGAAATGTGACACTACTAAAAAAAGGGGTTGGGGTGCCCCAAGGAGCATGCCAGGGCCTATTGTTTCTGCCATTAACAGAAAGGATGTGGAAAAAACATGCTTGTAGCGTCACTGCTGCCAAATTCTGCCCACCATATTAGGAAACTGATAAGCTCTGGTTCTGTATATCATTATTTATTAAAAGCTTACTTTGCATAAGTAGAGGAAACCACAGGCTCTTGTCAGGATTTGGAATGGAGAGAAAAAGGTCTAGGGACTGTATGATGCTAAAAGCCACAGCCTAGTGGCTACTGCAGAATAGTTTACAAAATATGAATGGTTGGTTCATTGCTGTAATTTAGCTTTGCTGTGGTGTTAAAGGCCAGCAGATGAGAAAATGAATACTACCTTCCTTCATAATACCGTTTCAGGAGAATCTTAAGAATAAAAACAAACATGAGTATCATCCACCTTAGAAAATGATGCAAAAAAACAAAACAAAACAAAACAAAAACAGCCAAAGAGTTTAATGGCTAAATTAGGAATATTTTTAAATTCAGGGGTAATAAAAGAACCATGTTTCCCACTCCTTATTCACTGTTCTATCTCCCAGCTGCTTTCTGCTCTGAACATAAAACGTTCTTTAATGTAAATATCTATGTAATTCACTTCTGCTTAAAGAGGGCAGCATGATACAGATTGTAGCCCTCTTTATTTTTCATTCCAATATTTGTCAATATCAACTCTTCTGCTGCTGCTGTTTTCAAAACCAAAAGCCTCAGC
Source organism: Homo sapiens (assembly GCF_000001405.40). Lineage (NCBI taxonomy): Eukaryota > Metazoa > Chordata > Mammalia > Primates > Hominidae > Homo > Homo sapiens. Next base: position 58,566,392 of record NC_000008.11, on the reverse strand, counting down.
TCATATCTGACTATGGTGAATTTACATTCAATTCCATAAAAAGCTAACAAAAAAAGGATGAAAACAAAGAACAGATTAGTCATTCTTACAGGTCCATCTAAAAATCCTTATCAGTTAATGTATTGATGTCATATTAATGGCTAAGCAGTTATTCTGGAAAGCTAAATATTTCAGATAAAGGCCTTTTAAAAAGAAAAGTGCTTGTTTAGATGAACTATGTGGAAATAAAAACCACATGAAGAAAATACTGACAAAATACTAAAGAAGTGATAGGAACATGTAAAAGATGACTGAATAGGCCACTTGAAACTTTGAGGCATCAAAGCCTTGGCAGCTGAACTGTAGATTTTAGAGATTTTACAAACCTCATTTTAATATCCATACTGGATCTATGATAGAAAATAATTGTTCATAATTCAATTATCAGTAAGTAAATTGAATATCTCACTTTCTAGTAAATTGAAGACAGGGACCCAATAAAATGATCTTCAGGGTAAGGAGTTTTCGTTTATCTTGTCAAATTAAAACAATAAACAACGGCTGAAGAAATTCTAAATTGATAAGAGATCAAGTTGAAAGCTAACCGTAAACAAATTCATCATATACTACAAATTACCCCCAATTAAAATAATTACCAAAAATTTCCCAATTAGCCAGAATTGGTCCCAATTCCTCACTTTGTTCTTAAGCAGAAGCATTTGTCTTCAAAGCTAATACTTATACAAAGGAGTATAAAAATTTTCAACTCAATGCAATTAGAAATACTGCAATCTCTACACAGTCATTTAGAGAATGAACAAGTGAAATGTCTGCTGCTCATCTCTCAAAGGAAAGAAATCACTACACTTTCCCTGTGCTCTTACATGACTGCTCTTCTAAAAGCAGCATGTACGCCACTATTTCTGTAATTTTAACTTCAGTTAAGAGACATAGAATTAAAGAGTGGTCATACCTAAAGATCCAAAAGAAAAATATACCAATTTTATACAAAACTATGAATATCTACAAAATTGGAGTATATTTTGTCAACTCAAATATGTTACATATAATTAAATTTTAACCAGAAATGTAAAAAGTGTAAGTCGAATTAAAAAAATCTCATGCCTATTAATTCACAGTGAAATGAAAAAAAAAATTGCTAATTTTTCTGTAAACTTTTCAGTCTGCAATTAATAAAACTAAAAAAAGGTTTATGAAGTGTAAAAATGAACAAATATATCTGCTATTTAGCTATCTTGCTTTATTTCACCTATAAGTAGAATGCATGTTACTGTGTTTGTTTTGACAAAAGTATTTAAACTATCATACCTGAATTACTTTGTCTACCTTCAAGTCTTCGAGAGATGGATAGAGAGACATTTTTGCAGGATTCTTCTAAAGAAAAAAAGAAAGTTTTATTACTCTAATGTCATAGAAATTGAAATAGTATACACAGCTAACCACAGACACATAAACAAGTAGAACTATTTAACTCAATAAAAAACATTTAAATTGCAAAACATATTAAAAAATAAGAATATATAGGCCATACTAAAAGTTAGCTGATACTTAAGAATTACCAAACTACCTCTCCTTCCCCTAATAGTATTATTGAACTATATCCATCACCGATTTTTAAAATTCAAGTAAAAGTCCCTTCATTTTACAAATTTAGAAAATCAAATAGAATAGTTATGTGACTTACTCCTAACTTACACAAGTACTTGCAACTTAGCCAGGACTAGGAAACTACCCTTAGTACAATGCCCTTGGGCATTACACAGCTACATTTCCTTCTAACAATAAAAGCCTAAAAGCAGATCATATGCAGTATCAATACATGAACCTCTATTACTAAGAAAAATATATACACACATATATGTATACAGAAGAAACTATATCAACTGCTAACAGATTTTTCTTCAGAAGACAGATGGTAAAGGAGTGAGGAATAAGAGGGAAATTTTTACTTTTCATTTAAAATACTTCTGTATTAAGTAGAAGTATGTTTTTTAGTTATAAATTGCTTTTTGTAATAATTTAAAACACAATTCTCTAAATGTATTATATGAATGCATATTTTAAATTTTATTTAGCTGTTTTGAGATGAATACCTGATACTTTCACTCAACCCAATAAAACAGAATATATGCTAAACTGGTATGTGGTTTAACGTAAGATTCTTGATTCAGGTATCAATTTATTACCTCCCATTTCCAAATCCACTTCTTATTGCTTTCTCTCCCAAAATGGAGCTGAGCTCTTTCAACATTGCTCTGTTACCAGCTGGCATGATGTTAAGCCTTGTCAGTAGAGGCAACTGGAGGTACACTGTAGGAGGAAGAGCTTTTCTCTTCATGGTTCCAACGTACTACTCTAGCCAGACTCCTGCCAGGAGTAGTTTCACAAGCATGCAGAAGCTCACCCCAGCACTCTATTGAGTAACTCTGCAGCAGAATGCCACCACCAAGGAATCTCCCTGAGCAGCTTTCTCAACCCCTTCACGTGGCTTCTGCAGCAAATTCCAAGGTTCAGAATGCCAGAGGGAGAATAAGTTCCAGAAGCATGGTATCCGGCAACTTCAGCATCTGCCAGTGACATCTGTCCCCTCTTCAACCAGACCTGAATCTCAGCCCCAGTATGGGAACAGCCCTAGAGTTAGTGGCTACTTATTAAGTCTGCTCTTACAGTATTCTTAAAAGTTGTCTTTACTTCTTACAAGTCAATTTCTATTTCTTCAATCATGTTATAACTAGTAATTCTGTGTATTAAACCTCCACTGTTAAAATCACTATATGGTCTCTGTCTCCTAGTTGGACAGTATGAGATAGTTTTTTTTTTAAATTTAATTCACACACTCTAAAATTCAGCCTTTCAAAGTATATAATGCAATGGTTTTTAGTATATTCACAGACTTCTACAATCATCTCCACTACCTATCTTTGAATATTTCCATCCTCCCCAAAAGAAAACTCATGCCTCCCCATTCTACCCTCCTTCCAGCTCCAGGCAACATACACTTTCCCGCCTCTGTTTTTACCTGCTCTGGATACTTAATCTAGAATCTTAGAATATGTGGCCTTCTGCATCTGGCTTCTTTCACATAGCATATGTTCAAGGTTCATCTGTGTTGGAGCATGTATCAGTATTTCATTCATTTTCATAGCAGAATAATATTCCATTGTATGTATACCACATTATATTTATGCTGTCATCAGCTGATGACATTTGGGTTATTTGCACTTTTGGCTATTATAAATAATGCTGTTAAAAATGCCAATGAGCATTTGCATTGTTAGCAAATAATATGTAAGTTTATATACTTTTTTAATAAATGCATCTTTAATTCTCTTGGAATATAGCTAAGCATGCAACTGCTGGGTCATATGGTAACTCTAATACCATCCCCTTGATGATTACAGGATTCAACATATGAATGGAGGGACACAGTCACAAACATTCAGACCATATCATAGACCACTATCATATATGATTTACAAATACTTTTCTTATTCTGTAGATTGTCTTTTCATTTTTTCTCACAGTGCATTTTGCAATATGAGGTTTTTAATTCTGACAAATTTGAATCTATATTTCTTCTTGGTTGCTTATGCTTTAGATATAACATCTAAGAAACTACTGCCCAACTCAAGGTTATGAAGACTTACCCTTATGTTTTCTTCAAAAAATGTTATGTCTTTAATTCCTGCATTTATATCTTTGATCTATTTTATGTTAATTTTGTACACGGTGTGTGGTATAGATCCATATTCATTATTATCCATGTGGAAACCCAGTTATTTCAGCACCATTTTTTGAAAATAACATTTTTGAATTGTCTTCGCATCGTTATTGAAAAGTGATCATAACTGTATGCACTTATTTCTGCAATCTCAATTCTATTTCACTGATCTATATGTCTATCCTTATACCAGTACCACACATTCTTGAGTACTGTACATTTGTATTAAGTTTTAAAATCAGTTAATGTGAATCCTCCCACTTTGTTCTTTTTCGAAATTGTTTTGGCTATTCTAAATCCCTATCAATTCAGTATCAGTTTTAGAATCAGTATATCCATTTCTGTAAAAAAATAAAAAGTATCCTTAAATCTGAAGTGAGTCTCTTATAAACTGGGTATAGCTGGCTCTTGGTTTTATTTTTTTAATCCATTCATCCCCTCTATGTCTTTTGATTGGAGAGTTTAGTACATTTAAAGTTATTACTGATAGGGAAGGACTTACAATGACATTTTGTTAATGATTTTCTATCTTGAAACTTTTTTGTCCTTCCTTTCCTCTCTTGCCATCATGCTTTTTGTTTCACTGTTTTTTTTTTTAATAGATATGCTTTGATTCCTTATTTGTGTGTGTGTATTTTCTATAGGTATTTTCTTTGTGGTTACCATGGAGTTTACATAAAACATCTTCTAATAAACCTATTTTAAGCTGATAATTTCAACTGCATACAATACTGCTTCTTCTCATCCATCCCCATACTGCATTACTGATGCTACAAATTTCATCTTTTATGTTGTGCATCTATTAATATTTTTATAGTTACAGGCACTTAAACTTTTGTCTTAGACTTATATATCAGAAATAAGTGATTTACTCACCACCATTACAATAATATGCAGGTCTCTATTTGTCCATAGCTTTATCATTTAATTTTATACTTTCATGTTGAACATACTTTTGTTTCCATTTAACAGACTCCCATTGGCGTTTAAGTCAGATATAGTGGTGATGAACTCTCTCAGATTTTGAGAATCTTATTTCTCTTTTACTTTTAAAGAAAAGTTTTGCCACATACAGTACTTTGCTGGCAGTTTTTCTTCCAGCAGTTTGACTATATCATCCCACTTCTTTCTGACCTGCAAGGTTTCTGCTAAGAAATCCACTTAGAGTCCCACAGAATCTCCTTTGTATATGACAAGTTGTTCTTATCCTGCTGCTTTCAAAATTCTTTGACAATTTGATTACAGTGTGTTTCCATGTAGATGTCTTCGGATTGTTCTACTCTGGAGTCCATTTGGCTTCTTGAATCTGGATGTCCACTGCCTTCCTTCAGTTTGGGAAGTTTTGGCCAGTATTTCTTCAAATAAGCTTTTTGCTCCTTTCTCTTTCCAACATATGGAACTTCCATACAATCTACATTGATAAAATTGATGCTGTCCCATTAGTACTCTAGGCTGTCTTCATTCTTTTTTTATTTTTTTTCTTTTTGCTTCTCTGACTGGATAATTTCAAATGACCTGGCTTCAAGTTCACTAATTCTTCTCCTTGAAAAACACTGCTGCTAAACTCCTCTAGTAAATCTTTCAATTTGGTCAAAGAAGCATATTGCATCTGTTACAATGTTTGTTTGGTTCCTTTTTACGTTTTCAATCTCTATGTTGATACCATTTTGTTCATGCAGCATTTTCCTTGGGTCACTGAACATGTTTATGGTGGTTAGTCTGAATTCCTTCTGAGATAATGAAGATATCTGTGTTTCCTTAAAGTAGGTTCCTGGATATTTTGACTCTTTGATTGTGCCATGTTTCCCTATTTCTTTGTGTGTCTTTTAACATCATGTTGGGATCCAAGCATTTGAAAAAATATCACCCCTCCCAGTCTTTGTGGTCTGGCTCTGTACAGAGAAAGATCCTCACTGATCGGCCTGACTAGAGATTCTGCATGCCTTTTGAACCTTTCCTGAGGATGCTTCTTCTCGACCAGTGTGTATAAATTCTCAAGATGAACTTGTTCGTTTCCTTTTTCAGGATCTCATAATCTTTTGCTCCCTGTGCTATCTGTCTGTGGTACTTCAGGTTCTCTGGAGCTGCTGCAAGCCACCCAGCTCTCTTGTTTTCAGAGGCCTCCAACCTGGTGCCCTTTCCCATCAGTGGGCTTTTAGAGTATGTCCACTCCTGCCTGTGCTCCAAGTCAGGTGAAACAGAAGCCAGTCCCTTGGGGGTAGCTCTCTGAAGTGCTGGAATGTTGGACACATACTCCACTATTCTCTCTCCAACACCTTTCATGCCACACGTAGGGACAAGCTGCTGAGCTGTATCATCCTCTGTCTGCCCTACCATAGGTCCTCTAGAGCAGCAACAAGTCTTCTGTTCTCAGTGGCTCCTGGGCACCTGGAATACACCAGCCCCTGTCAGCTTTCCAAGACAAGCAAGACAGAAGCCAGTCCCTCAGCCCACTGAAAAGGTGAAACACTGGACACACATTCCAACTCTTTTGTCTCCCCAAGGAGAAGCCAAGAGTTGAGGATTTTCTCCTGCTGGTTTCATGCTGAGGGAGGGGGAGGGACCATGGTGAGTGCCTGCTAATCTAAACTGTCAACTTTGTTTTCAATGACCCCGCAACCTGGTGCCCTTTCCTGTCAGAACTTATATTCAAGCAAAATAAAAACCAGACCCTTGGGCAGACCTCTGAAAAATCTGAATGTCACACAGATGTTTCAGTCTTCTCTTTCCCCGCCCAGGGAAAAACCAGGAGCCTGGAGTTTCCTCTTGCTCATGCCATGCTGAGCCAGGGGAATGAACTATGGTGAGCAAGTAGGATGAATTTTCCTACCATCTTCACTGCAGCTGGTTTACTGCTCACCTAGAATGCAGGAGCCTCTTAACTAGTTTCCGGATTTCTCACAAAGAGGTCTGGTGTGTGTATTGTTATTGAATCAGTATTTCTGTGGGGAGAAGAAGCATATGAGCTTTCTATTGCACCTTCTTGCTGCTATTACACATCTTTTGTTTCTTTTCTAATTTCTCTGGCTATAATCTCCAGTACAATGGTGAATAGTAGTGGCCTGGTACAGTCCTTAAGGGAAAAACAGAATCTGGGTTTGTGAGAAAAAAAAAAAAATTCACATTCTTGAGAGAGCACTATCAAATATGATTTAATTGTATTAATCCAGGAGAACAAAGTGAATTATCTTCTTTGGGTTCAAAGGATCAATTTCCTAGCAGCCTTTCCCTAAACACAATTTTTTGCCTTATTTAAACTTTCAGCCATTCTATCAATATAAACAAAATGCATATGATATATAATATACAAAATGCAAAGCAAGTTGCAATATCAACAACCAAAATGCACTGAAAAGAATGTTACCTGGCCATCTAATATTATTTCTATTTTTGATTTCTTTTTTTGATTCTGTCATTGGCTAACTTCAAAATCCCACTGTTCTCATGAAAAATGAAGTGGTTTCCTAACTTTTCTCTCCATAGAAGTTTCTCTTCAAATAAATATTAACTGAAGTTGTCTGAACAACTCTTGAGTTAATTCACACACCAGCAACTCAAGCCTAGAAGAAAAATGGACTTTCAAAATTTTTTTTAAATAACAAATATTACCGTAATTTACACTTCTGAAAAAGTAAGTTTCAGGTTTGCTTTAAGTGTACTGATCTTAATTAACTCTCACTGTTTTTTAAATCACAAAGCATTCCTCAATTTTACTTTCTTGACCCATTTCATTAAATTTCTTTCCACGTATTAAAATGTTGTAGCTGCAAACCACTGACTATTTGCCACCCAGGTCACATGCTTCCATGCCTGCATATTTTTGTAAAAGGTGCATTCTCTTCCAGGAATGTCCTTCCAGGACTTCTCCACCAATCAAAATCCTAGTTAGCCTTGAGGCATAGGTCAAGTGTCACTTCTTAAAAGAGGGTGACTTTGAAGGCTTCAGTTGGATATTATTTGCTCCTCCCAACTCCTCTCAACTCTGCCTCAGATTATAGCTAGTACATGTTTATCTCCACTACTTGAAGGCAGGACTCAATTTAGTTTATTTACACAGCATAAACACTTTTTCCTCATCCTCAAAGATATCAAATGTAGCTGGGCGCAGTGCCTGTAATCCCAACAGTTTGGGAGAAAAAGGTAGGTGGATCACTTGAGCCCAGGAGTTTGCGACCAGCTTGGGCAACATGGAGAAACCCCATCTCTACAAAAAATATAAAAAACTAGCCAGGGACAGCAGCACATGCCTGTAGTCCTAGCTACTTGGGAGGCTGAGGTAGGAGGACCACTTGAGCAAAGGAGGTTGAGGCTGCAGTGAGCTGTGGTCACACCACCACATTCTAACCTGGGTGGACAGACTGAGACCCTGTCTCACCAATAAAAAAAACTTTTTAAAAAGAAGATACCAAATGTTAGTATTTTGACAAATGTCATCAAAACAACAGTAAATAAGATATCTTTAAACACTTATTGAAAAGATCAAAATATTCTTAGGGCAAGTCCGTACTTTTGAACCTAACAGTGTAAAAAGCCTTCCAGGAAAATGATAAATGCTTTATTTTTCTGAAGGGCTCCATTAAGTCACTTGTACATTATATTTAAATCTTTGACCTAATGGGAACTGTTAGAAACACAGCCCTTTTTCAAGAACCACAAAGCTAACTCTGGGAAATCCTTCTAATTGTGGCTGGAATTTTATAATGACCAATAATGAGGTTTAAGAGGATTCTGAAAGTAACTATTACATCAGTGGAAGAATCTCATTTTACCTCACTTGCAACTCTTATCAAACATTATTATTGTACGAACTAAACTAAAGAATTTTGTTTCTAGGCTTTCCTTCGAGCTGAGTAATCACTAAGAAGATAAAACTCCCACTACTCTTTAAGGGTTTGATCAAACCTTCCTGACCACTACAGCTTTTTTCCACTGGCCTAATTCCTTGGAAAGAAATGGTACTGCCCACATACCCTTTGACCAGGTTTGGCCCACACTACATTATTTGCAATCTCTGTGACTCACTTCATGCATTATGAAAGGCCCCTACACCCAATGTATCTCAGGCCTCAGAAGTAACTCACAAATAGTTTCTATTAAGAGATCTTTCAGTGGGTGGGATAGTTTCGGACTTTTTCAGAACACCAAAAGGCTATATATATATTATATATGTGTGTGTGTGCATATGTATTATATATAACATATATAATATGTATTATATAATATGTATTATATGTATTATATATAATATATATTATATTACATTATATTATTATATTTTAAATATAAATATTTTTATATTTATATATTTTTATATATCTATATATTTTATATATTTATATTTATATATTTTATATTTATATATAATTAAATATAAATATCTAAATATAAATATTTTAAATATAAATATTTAAATATAAATATTGATTAAAATTAATATCATTTTCCTGGAATATATAAATAATATAATATTAATATATAATAATACTATATTATATTATAATATACATTATAATTATATATTATAATATTGTATATAATATATACTATATTGTATATAATAGTATAATATATAATATATGGTATAAATTATACTATACTATACTATATAATATAGTATATAATAAGTATATCTTATATACTTATAATATAGTATATAAGATATAGTATAATAGTATGATATACAATATATATTATGTTATATATAATATATAAATCATTATATATTATTCATAAATAATATATATTATATATAATTAGAATATATTATAATACGTATTATACGTATTATAATATATATGTATTATATATGTTATATATAATACATACATTTTATATATATATGTATTTATATATTGTCTGCCTCAGTACCAAGTTTCCCATTTGTCCCTCAACCCCCTCAGGGCAATATAAGAGTAACCTCCTTGAAGTCTTTAAATATGTGTACAGAACGAAGGCCCTCAACTTAAATACTTATGTGATATTTTGGAATTCTAGTTTATTCGCTCTCTGGACACAATATTCTGATTAATGAAGTAGGAAACACTGGCAAAGTTTTCCAAATAATATCACCTAGAATGGCAATACTCATCATTTTCTGAGTTATTAACCTCACCCCTTCTCAAACCACCAACTACAACTGGCCTCCCTTAAAAATGACATGTGACTGTTTAAGGTGAAATAATGTTTATTTGCTTCTTTTAATCTAAGCTATTAAAACAGGAGTTCCCAACCCCCGGGCCATGGACCAGTACCAGTCGGTGGCCCATTGGGAACCAGGCCACCCACAGCAGGTGAGTGGCAGGTGAGCCAGCATTACCACCTGAGCTCCAGCTCCTGTCAGATCAGTGGCAGCATTAGATTCTCACAGGAGCAGGAACCCTATTGTGAATTGTGCATGCAAGGGATCTAGGTTAAACGCTCCTCGTGATATAGTTTCATCCTGAAGCCATCCACCTATCCCGTCCGTGGAAAAACTGTCTTCCATGAAACCAGTCCCTGGTGCCAAAAATGTCGGGAACCGCTGTATTAAAAACATCTTGGGATAATAAAAATTTAGGACGGCAGAATCATTGATTTTTTTAAAAAATTATATGACAGTTGATAAGCAATTAGTTGAATTCGAAGATGTTGCCTATTTCAACTACTGATATCTTCAAAACCAGGAAAATTTGGAGTGATAATTTGTTGAAGCAGTTATTAAAATTTCTAGTAAAGTTGTGTTTCATTATGTCTTTAATTTCACTTCTGCAAACTATTCATAAAATGAATGAAAAATGTAAAAAATAAAATTATCAGGCCAGGAACCGTATGGCTCATGCCTGTAATCCTAGCACTTTCAGAGGCTGAGACAGGAGGACTGCTTCAGCCCAGGAGTTCAAGACCAGCCTGAGCAAGATTCCATCTCTAAAAAAAAAAAAAACTAAAAAATGAAAAAATAAAGTGTCCATTGGACCCAGATAGTAAGCATTCCAGATGGCTCATACATGAGGTCTAGAAACACAATTTAATATATCCTAAGCAGTCTTCCAGAGCAATGTTTCTCAATCTGGCTAATCATCAGAGCCAAATTACCCGAGGCTCTAGTTATTATAAAAACAGCTTCCTGGGCAGACACAGATTTCACGGAAGGACTTAGGAACTCTTCTTTTTAATAAGTATCCTGGGGGTTTCTGATGATCAGCCATTAAGAAGTATGTCCATATGAAGTCCACTGTAATAGAATAATTAATCCTTACCCATAGGATTCCATTTCTCACCTGGCAAAAATCCAAAGTTTGACATTCTCTGACAGCAAGCCTTTGAGAAACACTCACATACTACTAATGGGAGCGTAAACTAGTACAATTACCATACAGAGTGGGTTTGCAGTTATCTTACCGAAATTCTAAATTCAGATACCCTCCAACTCTGCAGTATCACTTCAGGTCTCAAAACCTGAAGTGTAAAAATATATGTGCACAAAGGAAGCAACATATGTAAAAGTTGATTCACTGCAGCACTGAGTGTAACAGCAAAAGACTTGAAAGCTATATATGCTGATATTAGAAAAGCTCCAAAATATGATCACTAACTGGAAAAATAAGAGCAAAATGTGAAGCAGTATATAAAATGTTAACGTTTGTGTTAAAAGCAAGGAGGCAAATACAGCTTATATGTTTGCCTGTGTAGATATAAAATTTGCCTAGAATACCTAAGAAATGTAAAAAAGTTGCCTGCCTGCCAGAAGACTTGTTACTTTATACCTTTTTATGCTGCTTAAATTTTGAGACAAGTGACTGTTTACCTACTCAAAAACAATACATTTACAAAACATGTTGGCAGCACTTGAAAAGAAATTAATAAATGCTAACGTAACTATTGCTAAAAGTAGAAAGTATTTCAAAGTTATTTGGGGGCGCTTTTCTTTTTTAGAATCTCTTGGCATTTAATACCTATAAAAAGTTCCCAAATCTGGCAAAAACAGGGAAAATAGTTGTCACGCTCATTTTAAGAAACTCTTTAATTAAACAGTACATTTAACCGGCAACCATTAGCAAATTCTTCCCCTTTTGTTCATCTTTTTCCCCTTTTTACATCTTTTCCTATAATGCCCAAAACTAAAAGTTAATGTCTCCAAAGTTAAATTTAATTTATAATGGAGTGACTATTTACTGACCATTTTAAAAGTCATTCTACTTCTTTTTATTCTGTGCCACAAACCACTAGATTTATAATATTTATGTACCATTTAAGGCACAAATTTTATAGAATTAAGTTGGTAACACAGAAGACAAAAGGACGTATTTTCTACCGTTATCCCTCAATCTTAAACAGGAAAATAAAAAGACTGAACAAATTTGAGTTTTAACTAATCACATACACATTTAGAAATCAATTTAATTTAAAAGGCCCGCAGTTGTTTTTCAAGGTAAATTTCCTGCTTTAATCAACGATTTCTTTTTGAAACAAGCGGATGTTAAGAGTTTGGTAAGCCGAGCGTACTTTCTAAGCAATGTACGTAATGGAAAAGATAACAGTAAATGTGTATGTGGTTATACAGACTAGATAATCTACAAACTCCTTTCAAAAATGGACACATTAGAAGACTCCATGACTCAATAATCACCACTTTGGTAAAAGTGAAAACTTTCCACATCCATATGCCTTCCCTTTCCCATTATTACAAGGAAATCCTGAAAGGAAGGCTCTGAGTCATCATATCTCAGGGGTCAGATCTCAGGGGTATTTCCTTCTAAACACACCCTACTGGAAACGTTTCTCCCTCAGGTCCAACTTCTCCAGGAAAAAGCTCAAAGCGAACAACCTCTCCCCACCCCCTTCCAAAAAAGTCAAGGCTTCGCCCAATAAACAAACACTTCCTTCCTCCTTTCAAATCCAGGACTTTCCGAATAACCCAAAAGAAGGGCGATTAAGCACAGCCCTAGAAACGCCGAGCACTGGGAGGAACCGTGGCCAGAGGCTCTTTCTTATGTCGAGATCTTATCGAGGAGAAAACAAGGATCGAGAGACGGTCCCAGGAAGAACCCCAGAGCTGGGGCGGGGGCTGAAGGCGTTCACCCAGCCGGGCCTCCGGGCTCTGCCAGCCCCAGCCCCAGCCCCAGCCCCAGCCCCAGCCCGGGCAGGAACCCGAAACGCGCGGGGTCGCGGCAGGAAGAGCGCGCTGCTCCCGCAAACTTGCCCCCCCAGCCAGCAGGGCGCAGGGAGGGGCGCGGAGCCCCCTGAGGAGAGGGCGTCGCCGCTGCCTCGCGAAAACGGCTGCGACCAGGATGCAGTCTGTGAAGTGGCCCAGGGACCGTCACACCTCTGCCCCAAGTCCCCGCGCCCGGGACCTGGCACCGGCGTCCCTCCTTGCCCCCTTGGCCTCTCACCTAGCCCACAAGGAACCGCTCGCCGCCGCCGCCTCCGGTCACTGGCACGGACTTCTGAGGCCCGAGTGTAAGAGAGCGGTGCGCGCCCGAGGACCGCCCCCGAGGCGCGTCATGGCACCGCCCCCGCCTTCAGCCCGCGCAGTCGCACGGCGCCGGGTCGGGTGATCCCGTCCCCAAGGTAACGGGGCGGTAGGGGTAAAGAGGCCTGGGTGTGGGTCGTTCCTGCAGCTCCAGGTATCCGGCAAAGTGGGGCGGTTCATGCCGCCCGCTGTCCGCTGCCCGCTGCCCAGCGGTTATGCTCCCAGTCTTCTCCGCTCTTCGGCTGTTCGTGCCCGCGGGCCCCGTGCCACCCACTCACTACTGTGTGCATCGCAGCTCACGGTCGCTTGGTTCTCGTCGCCTCCAATTCAAAGAGGTCTCGGGAGCCCCTGTTCCCTCTTGGGATGCCTTCGACTTCCACCACTTGCTGCCCTAGTCTCACTCTCCGCTTGCTGTACCTCTCCACTATAGGCTCAGAAACGTTCCTCTCACGACCCCTTCTCAACTCCTGCTTTATTTTTCTGTTGGAAATTTGGATGTTGGGGGTGGGGGGCGTATTACTCTGTCCGCCTAAGCTAATATTCCTTCGCTATTGAGAGTTAGGTGTGGTGCTGCGCAAAAGTAATTGCTTCCCAGTAAAAAAACATAACGATCATTTCTTGAGGGCTGATTTTGTGCCAGCCATAGCTCTACGAACTTAATGTATAGTCTTATTTGGTCTTCACATCAGTCTATAAAGACATCCCATTACAGACAAAGAAACTGAGGCACAGTTTACCCAAGAGTAATCATAGTTACCACGGAATACTGTAGAGTCCTTGACAAAATAGCATTTACAAGCAGTTTATTTCTAGCTAAATTAGTGCCAGAATAATTTAATATATGGCAAAACTAATAAAAATCTGAGTGTAAAAGAGGTGACAACTAAAGATGAAAACTTTGCTCTCAGTAAGGTTATAGTTAGGCTGATGAAATGGACATTTAAAAATAATTACAAGGTAGATTGGGAAGGAAGAAATAAAACTTTTTGCTTTCAGATGAGATGGTTATCTAACATAGAAAATCCGGAAAAAATTGACACTCCTCGCCTAAAAAAACAGAATGAAAAGCAATTATAGCAAGTTTGCATGAGCAAGTTTAAAACAGGCTCATTCTAAGCCAAAATGCTTGGGACCAGAAATGTTTCCAATTTTGGATTTTTTTTTTTTTTGCTTTTGTAATATTTGCATTATATACTTATGGGTTTACCATCCCTACTCCAAAACTCAAAATGTTCCAGTGAACATTTCCCTTGGTCCTCATGTCAGCACTCAAAAAGTTTCATATTTTAGAGTAGTTCATATTTTGGATTTCTGTACTAGGAATAGTCGACCTGCATACATGGTCTGTTGTTTTCTTATATACCATCAATAAACAATTGGTATTTGAAATTAAAAACAATAACCACTGACATTAGCACCAAAATAAAATGAAATATTTAGGTATAAATCTAACAAAATATGTAAAAGGTTTATACAAGAAAAACTACAAAATTCTAAATAAAAAAAACTTCCAATGAGAAAAACTACAAAGTTCAAAGGAGATCTAAATAAATTTAAAGATATTCCATTTTCATGGATAGGAGTACTTGATATTTAACTGTCAGTTCTGCCCAACTTAATCTATAGATTTGATACAATCAAATCAAATCAATCAAAATCCCAGCAAGTTATTTTGTGGATATTAACTGATTCTCAAGTTTATATGGAAAAATGAAAGACCAGAAGAGCCAAACCAATACCAAAGGAGAGGAACAAAGTCAGAGGCCTAACAGTACCTTAGTTCAGGCTGTTGTAACAAATTGCCATAGATTGGGTGGCTTAAACGACAGAAATTTATTTCTCACATCTCTGAAGTCTGAGAAGCCCAAAATCAAGTTGCTGGCACATCTGGAAATCTGGTGAGGGCTCACTTTTGAGTGTGCAGATGGCATTCTTCCCATTGTATCCCCACATGGCAGAAAACAAGACAGATAAAGCACATTCTCTTCTATCTATTCTTATTAGGGCATTCATTTCATTACGAGGGCTCAACTCTCATGAGCTAATTATCTCTCAAAAACCTTGGGTCTAAATACCATCACATTGGAGATTAAGCCTCAACATATAAATTTTGGGGGGACACAAACATTCAGTCCATAGAAGTACTCAACTTCAAAATTTACTATAAAGCTATAGTAATCAAGAGAGCATGGTATTGACAAAAGAATAAACAAATAGATCAATGGAACAGAATACAAAGCACAGAACTTGACCCAAACAGATACATTTAACAGATCTTTGGCAAAGTAGCAAAGGACAGTCTTCTCAATAAATGGTGCTGGAACAACTGGACTTCCACATGTAAAAAAAAAAAATTGAATCTAGACATAGACTTAACACCCTTCACAAAAGTTAAATAAAAATGGATCATAGACTTAAATTTAAAAGCTAAACTATAAAACTGCCAGAAGATAACACAGGAGAAAATATAGGTGACCTCAGATTTGGCAAAAAGATTTCAGATGAAACAACAAATGCACAATGGAAGAAAAAGTTGACAAGTTGGGCTTTACTAAAATGAAAAACTTTTGCTTTGTAAAAGACAGTGTCAAGAGAATGAGAAGACAAGCTACAGACTGGGAGAAAATATTTGTAAAAAATATGTCTGATAAAGAATTTTGGCCAAGTGCAGTGGCTCACACCTGTAATCCCAGCACTTCGGAAGGCTTAGGTGGGAGGATTGCTTGAGCCAAGGAGTTTGAAACCAGCCTACGCAACATAGCAAGACCCTATTTCTAAACAAAAAATAAAATTAGCTGGATGTGGTGGCAGACACCTGTAGTCCCAGCTGCTTGGGAGGCTGAGGTGGGAAGATCACTTGAGCCCAGGAGTTTGAGGCCAGCCTGGGCAACATAGTGGGACCCTATCTCTATTTTATTTAAAAAAAATTGTGTTCAAAATGCGCAAAGAACAGTTAAACCTCAACAATAATAAAACAAGCCAATTAAAAATTGGACAAAAGATCTGAACAGACATTTCACCAAAGAAGATGGATATGGCAAATAACTATGTAAAAAGAAGCTCAACATCACGTAACATTAAGGAACTGCAAATTAAAACATCAATGAGATACCACTATACACCTATTAGAATGGCTAAAATCCAAAATACTGACAGTACCAAATGCAAACTAGAGTGAGAAACTCTCATTGCTGGTGGGAATGCAAAATGGTACAGCCACTTTGGAAGACAATTCAGAAGTTTCTTACAAAGCTAAACATAGTCTTGCCATATGAACCATGAATCATGTTCCTAGGTATTTACTCAAATTGGTTGAAAACTTATGTACACACAAAAGCTACACGTGAATATTTAAGGAGGCTTTATTCATAATTGCCAAAAATTGGAAACAAACAAGATGTCTTTCAATAGGTTAATGGAGAAACAAACTGTGGTACATCCATGCAACTGAATATTATTCAACAATAAAAAATGAGCTATCAAGCCTTAATAAGACACGGGAAAGTCAGTCACCTGTAGTCCCAGCTGCTAGAGAGGCTGAGGCAGGAGGGTCACTTGAGCTTCAGAGTTCAAGGCTGCAGTCTATGAATAGACACTCCACTCCAGCCTGGACAGCATAGTGAGACCTCATTTCTAAATTTAAAAAAAAAGGAGATTGATAAATGTATTTTTCTAAGTGAATAAGCCAGTCTAAAAAGACTACATATTGTATGGCTCCAACATTGTGACATTCTGGAAAAGGCAAAATTATAGTGACAATAAAAAGATGAATGATTGCCAGGGGTTTAGGGGAGATGCAGATGGGTGAGTAGGGGAAGCACAGGGGATTTGTATGGTAGTGAAGCTATTCTGTATGATACTATAATGATTGATACATAACATTATGCATTTGTCAAAAACCATAGGACTGTATGTGGTATAATAAATTATATACATAATATATAATATATAAAATTATATATATATACACACGTGTGTGTGTGTGTGTGTGTGTATATATATATAAAGTCTTTGTCTCTGGTTCCTAGTACAGAGATTCAAAAACCCATGGAATACCCTTAGTGATAGGGATGTCTTTGTTATGCTAATGAGGTAATTCGTGTCAGGGGAATGAGGAAGAGATGCCTTAAAAAGCTTCCGGATGGAGGCTTGTCACCAGAATCACTGAGCATGTGATTAGGATTAGAACTACTGAAAAGAGTAACATGATTAGATTTGCATTTGAAATGATTACTCTGGTTACTGCTTGGAGGATAAATTGGATGTGGGAATAAGTCTGGGATGTGGGGAGTTCTACTAGGAGACTGCCACAGTCGTCCTGATGTGACAATTATATTGAAGATGGAAAAAATAAAAAATTTAAAAAAGATTAGGTTAAAGAATCAGGAAGACTTCGTGGTTGGTGGGATGTGGATTAATTACAGGGACATGTCTAAAATGAGGACCAGGATTCTGGGATGAGGAACTATGTGGATGTTGGCACATTTGCTGAGATGGGGTTCACTAAGATGAGCAGATTTCGGAGATGGGAAGATTAGAAGATTGTCTTGGGATTTATTAAATTTGGAATAGCCTGTGAGTTACCAGTTGTGCTAGGCTGAATGATGCCCCCAGCAAAGATGTTCACATCCTAATCTGCAAAACTGTAAATATGTTACCTTATAGAGTAAAAGAAACTTTGCAGATGTGATTAAATTAAGCATTTTGATATGAGGAAATAGTCCTGGATTATCAAGGTAGGCCTGATGTAATCATGAGAGTCCTTATAAGAGGGAAAGGTTGAAGTTTCAAAGTTGGTAGAATTGGATATAAGGAAGAAAGCAGAGATTGAAATGATGTGACCACGAGTCAAAGGACATCAGCAACCTCTAGAAGCTGGAAAAGATAAGCAACAGATTCTCCCCTAGAGCCTCCAAAAGAAACCAGCCCTGTCTACACCTTGACAGAATCATCTTGAACTGTTGATCACCTATGTCTGCAGAAGAATGAAGACTTACTCCCCTGTGAAAGAAGGAAAAGGATGTGAAAATCTGTATATTGAATGATGAAAGCACGGACCATTTGTTTTTCATCTGTCTGTTGGCTTCAAGGACACTAATGGTCAGGTTTATACCCATCCCTTGCCCCTGCTCAGGCAGAATATTGAAAGATGTCTCTCTGGAAAAACTAAGCAACTCAAGAAAAAAGACTTAAAGATACTGACAGGTGGCCTCATCCCCCTATAATGAAGTCCCATCCTTGCCCTAAGTTATCTTTTTGTCCCCTCTTAAAAGTGAGCAGATACCCCAAGATTCCCCAAAATTTGAAAAAGCCTCTAGCATGAAAGGCAGAAGATAAAAGAAACAAAAGAAGAAGAAACAATGACACAGATGGTTAAAAATCTATTATGAATCTTTTTCAGAAAGATAAAGAAGATATTTAATTCATAAAAGAGGAACAGAATAATATTTTAAAGGAACAGTCAAAATATTATGTTTAAAAAAGATGTTTGAAATGAAAAAGTATTATGACAAAAATTTAAAACATTTATATACTCTAGCTCTCTTCTGATTAAAAGAAAAAATTTATCGAAGGTGTGGGAGATAAAGTCAAATAAATCTTCCAGAAATGAGAACTAAAAAGATAATAAATGTAAGAGAAAAAAATAAGATAATGGATCGATCCAGGAAGTTCAGTGTCCAAATACTAGAAATACCTGAAAGAGCATATGGACAGGAAGAAATTATCAAACGAATGCACAAACAGTACCAGAGCTGGATAACAGGTGTCTCCAGGTTAATAGGATGCACTAATTGCCCAGAACAATTAACCGTAAGAAAGACTCACGGCCGGGCGCGGTGGCTCACGCTTGTAATCCCAGCACTTTGGGAGGCCGAGGCAGGCGGATCACGAGGTCAGCGGATCGAGATCACGGTGAAACCCCGTCTCTACTAAAAATACAAAAAAAAAAAAATTAGCCGGTAGTGGTGGCGGGCGCCTGTAGTCCCAGCTACTCGGAGAGGCTGAGGCAGGAGAATGGCGTGAACCCGGAAGGCGGAGCTTGCAGTGAGCCGAGATCGCGCCACTGCACTCCAGCCTGGGCCACAGAGCGAGAATCCGTAAAAAAAAAAAAAAAGAAAGAAAAGAAAAGAAAGGCTCACACAATAACACATCATTGTGATATTTTAGAATATGAGAGAAAAGAGAGAACCCTAAAAGTTCCCAGATAGAAGAAACAGGTACATACCCATGACTGGAAATCTTAATGGCATTGGGCTTCTCAACAGAAATTCTTGAAGCTAGTGGATAATGGAGCAATGCCTTCTGAATTATAAGAGAAAGTTATTTCTAACCTAGAAGTCTAAACTGAGCCACATATGTCATTCAAGTGTGATAGAATAAAGACATTTAATCCATATAAGGAATCAAAGTTTACCTCTCATGCTCCCTTTGTTAAGAAATTAAAGCTGCACTTGCTCCAAAACATAAGATTACAACAACAAAAAGGAAAAGGAGGTGAGAGCGTTCCTACAACACCAGGGTACAAGAAAGAGGCAAACAGAGTTACAGAATGTTGTTGAAAGGAGGGCCTGGGATGACAGTTATGTAGAAGGCCCAGAAAGCAGAAATCCATGTTGGAATTGGATGATAGAGGGTGCTAGAAGGAATGTCTCAGAGAAAAGTTGTGTGTTTGGACATAGTGAGGGATTCCTGCTTCTGGAGAAAATGGGGAAGGGAGGAAAGAGGTAAATTGACCAAAATGTAATCACATTACTCTACGTGACTCATGTTTGAATAATATTTATGAAAACATGGTAAGATCAACATATTATTAGTGTAGGCCCAAACCATGATCATAGGTTAACTATGGATGCTAATTTAGTTATTTTCCAGAACATGTTGCTTTCTTTAGGACTTTCAGTAGTCTGATGCAAAAATAAATCCACAAATATAAATACACTGTTACCAAAGATATTATTACATAAAAAATCTCTTTAATATTCCGTGCTATGCCTAAAGTACAGCATTCTTTATTCAAAATGATACTTCTTAGGTCTCTTCCTGTTTTATAATGTTGCTTATGCGTAGGAGTAAAGATAAGAATAATTGCCATACATTTTTATTAGATTTTCAGAACTGATAATTTAATTTTTTTGAAATATCAACATAATACTATGATCATAATTAGCACTATTGCTCTTTCTGAAGATTTTATTTCACAGTAAATGATTTTTTAAAAGTTGATCATTTGCAGGTCACTTGCTCTGTTGAATTATGGAACTTCCTCTTCCTTTTAAAAATCTCAGCCACATGACAAATAAATCAGCCTGCCCTAAACTCCTTATAATATCAGCCTTTGTTCCAGAACACATTTCCCCTCTCAGGGTTTTATGTTCCATCGGCAAGATTATGAACAATGTTTTGTTGACCAGTGAAACCACCACTTAAAACACTCTTCAGCTGACTTTCCTGGAACAAATTTATTTATGTACAATTAGAGGATCTCACTCGAAAGAAAATATATTCCTAAGAATAAATATGTAAATCATATTTTGTCAATGTAGTCACCTTCTAAATGTGCTTCCAAGGGTGCTGTCTATTTGAAAAGAACATTGAAACAAATCATTTTGTAAAGCCTAGACACTTTTGAAAGGTGAATAATTATTCCTTATTTAACATGATTTTTAAGTTTAGATTTAGTATAGCTGGGCATTTTAAAATAGAATATTTTTAAATTTTTGCATAAATTATAATAGTCTCTATTGCTAATTTTTTTTTTTTTTTTTTTTTTTTTTGAGACGGAGTCTCACTCTGTCGCCCAGGCTGGAATGCAGTGACACAGTATCGGCTCACTGCAACCTCCGCCTCCCGGGTCCACGCCATTCTCCTGCCTCAGCCTCCCGAGTAGCTGGGACTACAGGCACCCGCCACCACACCCGGCTAATTTTTTGTATTTTTAGTAGAGACGGGGTTTCACCGTGTTGGGCAGGATAGTCTCGATCTCCTGACCTCGTGATCCGCCCGCCTCAGCCTCCCAAAGTGCTGGGATTACAGGCGTGAGCCACCGTGCCCGGCCTCTATTGCTAAATTGAACATTTCTCCAGGTAGTTATAATTCTACAAAGCTTTTTTTTTTCTTTCTTTTTGAGACTGAGTCTTGCTCTGTTGCCCAGGCTAGAATGCAGTGGTGCTATCGCGGCTCACTGCAACCTCCGCCTCCTGGGTTCAAGCAATTCTCCTGCCTCAGCCTCCTGAGTAGCTGAGATTACAGGTGCACACCACCATGCCCAGCTAATTTTTGTATTTTTAGTAGAGACAGGGTTTCACCATGTTGGTCAGGCTGGTCTCGAACTCTTGACCTCGTGATCCGCCCACCTCGGCCTCTCAAAATGTTGGGAATACAGACGTGAGCCCCTGCACCTGGCCTGTAAAGCTTTTCTTAAAGTTCTTCCATCATCGAATATTTTGCCATAGTGAAGAAATTATTTGTAGTAAAGATTCTATCACATTCATGGCCCATACCTTTTACAGGTGGTAAAAATATTGTTGGTTGACATACCAATAAGTTAAACCTAACTTGTAAATATAAGTTAAATTAACTTATAATACAGCATTTGGATTTTCTTTCAAAGATGTGTTGAATTCTGCTTTCCTAAAGAATTAAAACAAATTTTACATATTTAGAAATGTCTCCCCTTCACAAAATAAGACCATTTTATGGGGCTACCAAAAACCATTAAAGCAAAGGTAAATTGACTTGTGACTTTTTTTTTTAAAGGAGATTTAGTTGTTGACTGGGTCATTTGTTTTATTTCAAGGTCCCATTTTCTACTTTCTTGGACAGGACATTATGAATATTTATGTGGAGAGAAATTAACAAATATATTAGCATACTTTATAGGATGTTTATAACAGAAAATATAAAGAGGTGATCAATAATATACAAGAATATACTATCACAAGTTTGAAATAGCCATGTTGGGAAAAAGGATACAGCTCTTTCTACATCAGTGTTCAAAACAATTTTTATAGAAACCCTAACTACAATATTTTCTGGCTACTTATATTGTTTAATTTATAATAATATCTGTAATATTTAAGAGCATCTGGATTCTGTTGAGAGAGTAAAATCATTTAAGTCTCTGAATGCCTCCACATTCCATAGGAAACGTGCCACACTGGCATTTGAGCTGCCCGGGGATCCATCATTTATTGGCTGATCTCTCTCAACCAGACAGGAGTGTACTCTTTCAGTGTGTTAAAACTTGTTTTTGCTTTTAACTATGGAATTCAATTTGGGATTCTTCCCTAAGTTGTGAATACACACACCCTTAAAAAGAATGCCATATCCTCGGTTCCAAGTTACACATCCAGAAGTGTTCCAGATGTTCAGAGTCAACTATAGCAGTTGTATTTGTGCGGCCAGGGTAATGCATAATTTCTCAACTATATTTATATGGAAAATTACTATTGCTTCTTTCATTCATTTAGTTTCTTGTATGTGGATAATTAGGAATTAAATTTATTTGACTTTTGGATATCAGCCTTATCCTTCAGCTATTAATATAGTTCGTAACTGTATAATTTTACATGGAATCAGAAGTGATCTTTTTTTCACTTTTCTTCCCTGTGGTTTCTTTGGTATCAATCATTCTTTCCTCTGACCAGAACTTCTTGAGGGCTGGGGCTATACTTTAAATGGTCTTTGATGCCTGGCACAGTGCCTGAGGAACTGAAAAGGGTTGCTTCTAGAATTACCGTATTTTCTTGTTTCTAAGAGCAACATTTTTAAAAACCATTTTAACAATTCAGAACTTAAGATGTCTGAAATTATCAATGTCAAAAGAATATTCCCACTGTCGGGCCGAAAAGCAAGTTGAGACTGTTTCCTTCACCCACCCACATGCGACCTTCAGCCAGACTCCAAAGGTATCCCTTCAGCAGATTGTCACCTCAGTTCCATTGTTTGCATTTATAGTGCTCAACAGTGAAATTTCTAACATAAACGAGGGATTCCTAATTTTTGCTGAAATTCATGCCTTCAAAAAGATTACACAATGAAGTAACTCAAAACCATGAGGTAAGAGGCAGCTTTCAATTAAAGGCAATAAAACGAGGCCAGAAACGGATGGGATTTCCCTATCTCATCCTGCACATATTTTAGTTCTAGTTTCCTCTCTGAGGATTAACCCCATCAATGATTGCCCCTATGAAGTCCCAACCTTGACAAGAGAAGCCTGCTCACCAATAAACCTAACATCTGCATACAAGGTGTATCAAATGAGCAGGAGAATTTTTCAGGATCAAGATCTAAGTTGGGCATAAGGAATTAGGAGAAATAAGTGTTTTGTCATTGTGTAAAACCAAAGGTTTGCATAGAGGACACACAACTTGAGAAGAGCCACATGCACAATCAAAATCATAGCGCTCTTACTGTGTTTTGCACCTGTGAGGGAGGTGCAGCAATAAGGCTTCCTGACCATGCTTTGGGGAGATAGAACAACCCCCTGGAGTGAGGCCACTGGCACAAAAGCAGGATGGTGTTCCATGTGTTTACTGCAAGTAAATCTATTAAAACTACCGGGTTTTTACTGGGACTTTTGTTATTATTATTATTACTATTTTGAGACTGAGTCTTGCTCCATCCCCCAGGCTGGAGTGCAGTGATGCAATCTTGGCTCACTGCAACCTCCACCTCCCAGGTTCAAGCAATTCTCGTACCTCAGCCTCCTGAGTAGATGGAATTACAGGTGCCGAATACCACGCCCAGCTAATTTTTGTATTTTTAGTAGATACGGGGTTTCACCACGTTGGCTAGGCTGATCTTGAATTCCCAAACTCAGGTGATCCACCCGCCTCGGCCGCCCAAAGTGTTGGGATTACCGGCGTGAGCCACCGTGCCTGGCCAGGACTTTTGAAAAGTAACAGGATGACATCCATTTTTGCTTAAACCCAAAGAGCCAACCTAGGACACATGATCCATTCTACCTAGTGGGAAATAAAAGTACCATCAGCTCTCCATATTTTCACAGCTAATTCTTCTTGGCATTCCCAATATATCTGTGAAAAACACCTTTAGACATTACTTTTTAAATATCAGATAGTCCCTCAGTTCTAGTCGCCCCCAGAAGCTCCCTTTCCAGAGCCCAGTCTGAGCAGTTTGTGCTTCAGTTGTCCACACAGCTATTTTCCTGGGACTTAGTTCACCATCATCTTGGTCTTTATTCCACGCTCTCCTATGCTGAGTCCCTGATTCCTGCGGTCCCTTGTTCACTGCCTCATTTTGGATGAGCATGTCCTCTAGTGACTTTCTGAGAAAGGAAGCATGAAAGGTAAAATGCTTAAGGCATTGCATTTTTCAAGATTTGATTCTAGTTGTTAAATAAAATTATGGATGGAAGCAGGTTAAAAAGCCAACCCTGACTGAAGAATTGATGTTAAGATGTGAAAAAAGAGTATCAGTTATAGTTTGCTCT
Organism: Homo sapiens; assembly: GCF_000001405.40. Lineage (NCBI taxonomy): Eukaryota > Metazoa > Chordata > Mammalia > Primates > Hominidae > Homo > Homo sapiens. The sequence continues at coordinate 58,541,768 of NC_000008.11, read as the reverse complement.
GAAGCCAGTCTTCTTGCTTTCTTACATACAGCCATGTCTTTGTAAAACCACATGTGCATTCACACCCAGCTTTGCATTCTACAAAAGCATACACTGGAAATAACTGGGCATATGGCACAAATAGGGCTATGGACAGACCATACCACCCAATTTTATAACAAGAACACCAACAAAAACAATAAGCCTCTATTTATAAAATACTGGCTCAGTCAATCTCCACTAGCAGCCTACCCTGAGTAGCTTTTAAACTCAGGGGCTTGCTCTTTTGAGATGTAGGGGTATTTACTTTCAAAATGCCAGTTTTATCAGTGTTAAAAATTTGCTTCAGGGGCCTTCCTAATGTTTTCAAACAAACATCTTTTTTTCTTTTTGCAGCTTCTTTATCTGTCTTCACACTTCACCAGATAGCTTAATATCATGAAATACATAGCAGTTCCTGAAACCACTAACCCAGCCTTTGTTTCAATAAAGAAAGGTGCCACTGTAGAAGTTTTTTCCTTAAGGTGTTTGCATATTGCTAAGGCTTGCTTTTTAATTGTTTAGAAAGTTTCCCCCCTGATTTCTTGGAAATCACATACTGGGATACATGCATATCAACCAAAACAATTTCAACATTATTAGATAAATATCACTCTCCCATTTACCAGTTTTGTATGAGCTAATTCACATTACCAAAACATATGTGGTAGCAGAACAAACTGGATGTTTTGTTCTTTGAAATACTTTAGGGAATACACCACCCCTAGATTTTGGATTGCATTTTTTTTAATGTTTCCTGATTCCTCTGCTTCCACTCTCCATGATTCCTTTTTTTATTTTTCTCTATGCTCAAGGGAAACGTTGTTTGATTTAATTAGGATGATGTTCAGGTGTACACAGAAACCTAAAATAAAGTCACTTAAACAAGATAGACATTAATTGCTCTCACATAAAGGAAATCTAGACATAAAATCATCTTGCGATGTAAAAATTCCTGTTTTGCTCCAACCGTCACATCTATGTTCCAGACAGCAGAAAGGAGGAAGAGCAGATGGGCCACAGGCCACAGGCTTTCTCCTTTTATGAAGGCTTCCCAGAAGCTTCAGAACACATATATCTCACTGGCCATATATAGCTGCAAAAGGGGCTAAGAAATATCATCTTTTATCCAAGCACATTTTTTTAGGGTTCTGTTACTAAACAAAAAGAAAGAATGAATATTATGAGCCAATCAGCATTCTCTGCCCCAAAGTATTGTTTCAAACTATTTAATATGTATGAGCATTTATAATATGCCAGAAACTGTGTTAAGTGATGAGAAATTCAAAGATGTGTAAAACTTGGCTCCTGTCTTTAAAGATACATTACAATATGATGCATAACTTTAGTCAGGATAATTCATGGGAAATAAGAGGACAGGGATTCAAGCTTGCTGGTGGCAGAGTGCCTTACCCAAAGAGGACACTGCCAAAAATTACATGTGTCTAATTTTTCTCTTTATATAAAGAGACTGCCACCTGCTTCACAGTCACAGCCAGGGACAGAAGAGTCACCTTGAAGCAGAATTTTCTCATTTGAGAGGACCAAGTACCAATTTAGTTAAAGAGCTCAGAGACTTCTTGAAGGAAAAGAATCTATGCCCTAATCTTTATTCTCTAAGATTTGAAGTTATGGAAATCTTCCAGAATCAGCAAGGATGACCCAGATAAAATTTCAAGGTGGACATAGGAAATAGGGTGCCTGAAACAAGTTACCATAAGGTTGGAGGGGGAGCCAGCTCATGTTGAATCAGGGAGAGAGTAAGTGAAGCATGGAGCTTCTGAGTCCTGTGAGGTTGGGTCCTGGCTGGACCAGCCCCAGCCTATAGAAGTCAACTTGGGCTTCACAAGTTCTTGCACATCTCAAAGAGCAGGTTGCTTCCAGATGTAAAATTTGGACTTAAGAACTTAAAGACATAGTCCTGGGAGATTTCTTTCCCTCAGAGATTCACAGCCAAGAGACTCTGGAAAGCAGCCAGAGCAGAGAACTTAGCCAGGTGGTCCATGCCTTGGACCCGGTAACCCGTGATAGTTTCATCAGGGCGAGCAGCCCTTCATTTGCTCACATCTTTGCCCCACTTTCCTAAACCATGCTTCGTCCTTCACCTCCTAATTGCATTCCTGAGTCATTTTGCCTTTCCAGCAGCCAAAAGACCCAACAGCATGCTTCCACTGAAGTGCAAACTGCCACGGCTCCCCATTTGCGAGGTAGATAGCACAGCACCTGTCCGTTCCTTTGACTCTGGCAGGGAGGGAGAAAACTAAGGTTTATCCAAAGAGCTTTGCTTGGTTGACTTGGACTGCCCTTTGTTAAAGATAGCATGGGGAATATGTATCCCATACCCAGAGAATTGCTATTGCTGGAGAAAGATGCCACCTGTAGTAGTTTCCTATTGTGTCTGTAACAAATTGGCACATATTTATTGGCTTAGGACAACATACATCTATTATCTTACAGTACTGGAAGTCAGAAGATTGAAATGAATATTCTAGGCAGAAAGCAAGATGTTGGCAGAGCTGTGTTCTTTCTAGAGTCTCTAAGGGAGAATCATTTCTTTGCCTTTTCCAGTTCTAAAAGCTCTCTGTGTTTCTTGGCTCATGGCCCCTTCCCCATCTTCGAAGTGCATCATTCAAAATTCTGCTTTTATGATCACATCTATTTTTCTGACTCTAAACTCTTGCCTTTCTCTTATAAAAACCTTTGTGATTACGTTGGGCCACCTTGATAATCTAGGATAATATTTCTGTCTCATGATCCTTAAGTTAATGACACCTACCAAGTCATTTTTGCCATGTAAGTTAACATATTCTCAAGTTATGCAGATTAGTACATGGACATCTTTGGAAGACCATTATTCTCTCTACCACCCTAGTACACAGGACCACTATGAAAAGAAGAGACTGTTTAGCTTTGGACACAACCCATCAAAGCCCTATCCTACCTGAACAGTAGCCCTCTGCTGCTGTGAGCACACTGAGGTACCGCTTAAGCAGACGCCTCCTTGACGACCCTCAGAAGCACTCACGTGATGGGTAGGTTTCTGAGATGGCTCTTATTTACCCCCAGCAGAGAAACAAAACTCAGAAAAATTTTAGCCCAAAATATATGCAAAAGAACTCTGACTTGAAGACATGTATATTTCACAGCAACTCCAAGCCCAAATAACTAAATCCAAGAGGCAACAGAGAGTCATCAGGATATTTGGCAGAATTATTTAGGAAGAACTGGATGCAGAGCAGGTACACTTACTCCCCCTTCTCCCTCTCTGTCTCCCATGTGGACAAAGGGCAGCAGCAACCACCTCACAGGTAAAACACTAAGTGAGGAAACTGGAACTGGATGAGCCAGAAATTATTCCAGGTGACTGATTTCTGGAAAAACTGAAGAGCTCTCAAAGTCAAGCAAGCTAAAGAAATATCCACATGCCCTTTTGAACGAATTATTTGAGGGTGTATTCTAGTAAATTAAACAATGATTGTAAGAAAGGGGATATATATGTGGGATAAAAGAAGTAGTGGTGAGTAATACTAGCAAAACTTACAGTTAAGTCTAATTGTTGATATATAATGTGAAAAGACCCAGTGGCTTAAAATAACAATCTGGAATTTAAATTGTAAATTACATAGTTTCTGGGATATAGAAAGGAAGAAAATCAAATCATGCTAAATTTTTCTCACGATTGAGAAGACAAAAGGATACAGAATATCTCTGTTGTTAGAAAAAATACAAGATAAATACATGTATTAAAATATGAGTGTAACTACTATAAAAATTAAAATAAGACATATAACTCCTTTACCACAAGAGAAGATGAAAATAAAATATAGGAGGAAAAATCCTCAATCCAACAAAGGTACGAAGGGGATAAAGAAAAAAGAAAGAGTGATAATTGGGAAACAAAAATAGGATAATCAGACATGAGAAACCAAAATAAACACAAAAGGGTAATTTCATTCTATTAAAAGACAGAAGCTCTCACAGTGAGTTAAAAACAAATTTCAGCTGTTTGCCATTTAAAAACTATACTTAAAAAGTTTTTAATGACCAGAAGGAATTGAAAAGATATTCAAGGCAAACACTAATTTAAAAATGCAGGTATAACAATATAAAAATAAAACTAATTAGACTGTATGGCAAGAAACTTTAAAAAGAGGGCCATTTCTTAATCATAAACCAATAGGTACCTATTAACACAGCTTCAAATATAGAGAGAGCAAAAACTGACAAAATGACAAAGAAAAATTGACAAATCCTTAACCATTTTAGGAAAGTTCATTACAACTCAGAAATCAAAATATCAAACTAAGAATATTAAGGATATCAAAAATTTAAACACAAATAATAATTATTATATAATAAAAGGATATAGAATTTTATACTTAACATGTAGAAATATATGCTTTATTTTGAAATCACGTGGAACATTCACCAAAACTGGTGATATATTAGGCCACATTGAAAAAAATCTCAGAGTTTAAAAATCTGAATTTACATAAGATTACATTCTCTAACCACAATATAGTAAATTTGGAAATTCACAATAAAATAACAGAAGTCAAAACAAAACAAAATCCTTCCATTTGGAACTTATAATCACCCTTTAAAATAACTCTTGGATGAAGAGCTGGGTGTCGTGGCTCACACCTGTAATCCTAGCACTTTGGAAGGCCAAGGTGGGAGGATTGCCTGAGCTCAGGAGTTTGGGTCCAGCCTGGGCAACATGGTAAAACCCTGTCTCTACTTAAATACAAAAATTTAGCCGGGTGTGGAGACACAGGCACTTGTAGTCCAGCTTCTCAGGAGGCTGAGACACGAGAATTGCTTGAACCTAGAAGGTGGAGATTGCTGTAAGTCAATTGCGCCACTGCACTCTAGCCTAGGTGACAAAGCAAGACCCTGTCCCTCCCCAAGAAAACCCCAAAAAACCCACAAAATAACTCTTGGATAAAGAGGAAGTAGGAACAAGAATTCTAAATTAACTATCTTATTTTTCCTATATCATATTAAATATTAAAACAAGATATATACCGAATATTGATGGTTACAAATCATTTTTAACAAAATCAATGAACTTGATTTTTCTCATTTATTATTTGAATTAGAATCAAACTTTTTATTCATTTGCTTAGTCCTTATAAGTTTTTATTTACATAAACTGAGGGAACAACTTGGTAATAATCTACTGAATAAGCCAGAATAAGAACTTACAACTTTATTGTGTGCCAAAAAGATTTAGGTAAAAAAAGAAAATACACTTTGTCCAAATGAACTATCTAGGAACTGAGCCCAAAATTGAAAACCTAATGGCTGAGTAATACTGAATATGTAGACTAAAGGATGTGTGGCAAATATAATTTAAGATTCTGTAATCATTTAAAGTTGATCCTTTAATATGATTTTCTTTTTCCAGTATGTTTGTCCTTGGTGATAGTAACTACTCTTCACGGCTGGAGTTCCATGTGTAGTATTTAGAATGGGAGACTCTCCCCTCTATTGATAAGTGGCATGACTTACACCTATCTAAGAAACCCTTATACAGTAGTGCCCCTCTTATCTGCTGTTTCCTTTTTGTGGTTTCAGTTACCTGCAGTCAACTGCAGTCTAAAAATATTACATAGAAAGTTCCAAAAATAAAGAGCTCATAAGTTTTTAATTGCCAGTGTTCTGAGCAGCATGACAAAATCTCCAGGCATTGCATCTAGCCCAATCGTCTCTGTCCAGTGTATCTACACTGTACGGACTACGCTCCTATCGGTCAGTAGCCATCTTGGTTGTATCAAAAAAAATCATAGTATATCTAGGGCTCAGTTCCTTAGGGGAACTATCCATGATATCAGGCATCCATTGGGAGTCTTGGGATGTCCCCTGGAGTTAAGGGGAAACTAGCCTGTTTGCGAAAGACTTAATGTGTATCATACGGTGGCCTCTATGTGGTGAACCAGCCAAGGACTCTAATTATTAAAAATGCCCAATAACATGCTTGGAAGGTATCTGTGGGAAGAGACTGAGGTGTTTTAGGGTAAACACACCTGATAGTAATAATTTAGATATACTCTTAGAATGACCCTGTATGGCATATGCACCTGAATGTGTATTCCAAACTAGGAAATCTGGGAGTGGCCGACCCAGAGAGTCATTCCTTATCTATGATAAACATCTGAGCCCCAGCCTGTCCTGTAGAAGATGAGCTGTACGGGGGATTGAGGCCTGAGTTTTGAGGTAAATGAAGGTTGCCAGGTGGAGGACATTAAGGAGAGGGTGTTCATTGAAAATGCTGTAAAAACTACATGGTGTTTGTAGGCGGTTGCAGTTCTCCTGTCCAGCCCACCGCCACTGGACTCTCTCTAATATGTAAGCTCCTGATAAAAGCCCATGTGTCTTTTGTGGGCCTTGGTTCTCTTTTCTGGCCTCTTGAACCTGGTGCCTTCCTTCCTGAGGTTAAGATGGGTTTGTCACAGCAATTGGCGAGGCAGCCAGAAGGTCAGAGAAAATCCCTGAGCACTAAGACAATGGGATTGGGGAAGGGGAAATCCTCAGGGGAAATCCAGGCTGGCCAGCCGTCCACTTCAGTGTGGAGCCCGATAGCCACTCTCCTTGATGGATGGGGTCGCCCTGAAAACGCTGAGGAGTCTGGAAGAGTTGTGGCAGGGGGTGCATCTGACTGAGCAAGGCTCAGATGCCCGAGGGTCGCAGCCCCAGTGGCTGGCGTTTCTCACTGTACTCCTAGCAGCAACGAGGTGGAGCCACAGCGCAGGCGAGGGGTCATCAGCTGCAGGGCAAACTGTGATTAGAGGTGCCAGACAGAATGGAGATGGAGACCCTGGTTTGTCGGGTAGCTGGTTTGAAGGGCCGTTGACTGCCCTGCGCCTGCAGGGAGCACACCCGCAAAACTTGTCCCTGCCTGGAGGGTGACAGCACAGCACAATGAGGACAGCACTGCTGTGGAATTGAAAGAGCTGAGAAATAGGCCCAGGCAGAAGGTGACAGAGTTGGTCTTGGGTGTCTTCCTCTATGAACTCAAGGGCGGAGGATATTATACTCCCTGAACTTGAGTAAAATGGCATGCACCACAAACCCCCCAATCCCTGAGGCAGCTCCTCTGCGGTGCTGGTAATGGAGATCGAGCCATCCCCTTCAGCTGGTGGTTGCAGGCTGCAGGGCACCCTGGCCAAATGAGGGAGATGTCCCCATGTCTCCTTTGCAGTGGCAGACTGTGGAGGAATTGCGGGACATCCATGGGGAATTAGGGATGAAGCATGCTATTATGCTGAGCATTACCCATGTCCTACAATGAGCTTCTCACTGCCGGCATGAAAGATGCCATCTTAGAGTTGGCAACCTACCAATGGTAGGGCATGCCAGTGTCTATCCTGAGAGACCTGGTAGGACAGGCAGAGTCTCAGTCAGCCCAAACAGCCTCTGCCTTAGGGGAACCAGAGAAACTGCACGGGCAGCTGTGTGGATAGCCAAGATGAAAGACAAGGGAGCCAAAGGGAAGGAGACAGTGAAGGGGCCCATTAAGGTGGTCTGTGGACAAATGTGGCATGAGTGGCAGGGACACCTACCATGCAAATAGATGAGCAACCTAATGCTGTTCTGGTTAGACTGGGATGAAAGCTCAAGCCACAACAACAGTTCACTCAGGAACCTCAGATTCAGCCCACTGTCCCTCCCACAGAGGGATGGCAGACACCAACCCCTTTAACTTAGCTGGTATGAAGGTCAAGGCCTCAGAATCCCAATAAGAGTAATGGTGGCCAAGGTGTCCAGGGACTGGAGGTCACATGTAGAGCTAACTATATATTGGTCACCTAATAATAAACAGACTGTGTTTGCCCTAGTGGATACTGGAGCTGAATGCACCCTGGTGTATGGCAACACTCATTGGTTCCAAGTGCCTATAACAGCAATAGATAGCTATGGAGTGGGAGCTGTGAAAGTCAGGCAGGTTGAACTAGCATTAAAAGTTGGGAAACAGCCGCCCAAACTCTTTTTAGTATACATAGCTCCCATCCCAGAACACATCTTGGGAATGGTTCTCTTATCAGGCAGGACCCCACATGAAACAGCTGCTGGGGAATTCCAAATGAAGCATGTGATTGGGGTGGAGGGAATGTGGAATGGACATTGGTACAGTTACCAGCCCCACAGTGAGTAGTAGTGCTGAAGCAATACCACCTGCCAGATTTCTGGATCTGCCCTGGGCCAGAGGGGAGCCCACTGCTCTGAAAAGTGAGTTGCAAGCCTGGCAGTATGTACCACAGCTGACTGAGGAGTTTTGGGGCCTTAAGTGAACATCTACAGTGGACTGGCAGTATTCCCCATGGGACTATGGTGGTGGTAGTCATAGAGTGGGGCTTCTCTACCTGTGGAAAGGGGAGAGTCTTCCCACTCTTCTCTCCCCTTTAATTTGAGTCCTTGAGTGGGAAGAGTCCTTGCCACTCTTCTCTCCCCTTTCCACAGGCAGAGAAGCCTCACTCTATGGCCACGACCACCACAGGCCCATGGGAGTACTTTCCCATGAAAGTGCCCCATGGTTTGAGGAGAAACTTGGCCATAGTAGAATAGAACACCAGATAGACTTCCTAGATTTTTGATTCCAGTCCCTGGCTCTTAGATAGCATCTCTGGACCTGCCAGAGGCCTGGGAGAACTCACTGCCCTGAAGGGAAGGACACAAGCCTGGCTGGCTTTACCACTTGCTGATTGTAGAGCTCTAGGGCCTTGAGTGAACATAGGTGGTACCCAGGTAGTGGTTATGGCAGGCCATGGGCAAGACCCAGTGCTGTGCTGGCTTCAGGTCTGACCCAGTGCAGTCCCAGTATTGGTGGCCACAGGGGTGCTTGTGTCCACCCCCAACTCCACTCCCCACCCAGGCAGCTCAGCACACACACACACACACACACACACACACACACACACACAGAGAGAGAGAGACTGACTCTGTTTGAGAGAAAGTAAGGAAAGAGAACAAGAGACTCTGCCTGGTAATCCAGAGAATTCTTCTGCATCTTACCTAAGACCACCAAGGCAATACCTCTATGATTCTGCAAGAACCACAGCATTACTGGGCTTGTGGTTCCCCCTAATGCAAATATGTGTTAGATCGCAACACCCAAGTCCTTTCAAATGGTGTGATCTTGACTCACTGCAACCTCTGCCTTCCAGGTTCAAGGGATGCTCCTGTGTCAGCCTCCCAAGTAGCTGGGACTACAAGCAGGCACCACCATGCCTGGCAAATTTTTGTATTTTTTTTTTTTAGTAGAGATGAGGTTTCACCATGTTGGCCAGGCTGGTCTTGAACTCCTGACCTCAGGTGATCCACCTGCCTCGGCCTCCCAAAGTGCTGGGATTACAGTCACAGGCCTAGAGCGCCTGGCCTAGAGTCTCTTAATAGCAGGATTAAGATCTGCTTAAAAGCAGAATTGATCAAGCAGAAGAAATTAGTGAGCTTGAAAACAATCAAGCATGCCTACAAGATCTAGAAAATTGCCACAAAAGGGCAAATCTAAAATTAGCTGGGAGTGGTGTTGGGCACCTGTAATCCCACAAAATAACTAGAAAACAAATAACAAAATGGTAGGTGTAAGTCCTCACTTACTAAAAATAACAATGAATGTGAATGTACTGAACTCTCCAATCAAAAGACATAGAGTAGCTGAATAGATGAAAAACAAAACCCAATGATCTGTTGCCTACAAGAAATACACTTCACCTATAAAGATACAAATAGACTGAAAATAAAGGAGTGATAAAGGATATTCCATGCCAATGGAAACCAAAAAAGAGCAGGAGTCACTATACTTGTATCAGTCAAAATAGATTTCAAGACAAAAACTATAAGAGACAAAGAAAGTCATTATATATTGTTAAAGGGGTCAATTCAGCAAGAGGATATAACAATTTTTTTAAGTTCTGGGATACATGTGCAGAACGTGCAGCTTTGTTACATAGGTATACATGTGCCATGGTGGTTTGCTGCAGCTATCAACCTGTCATCTAGGTTTTAAGCCCCGCGTGCATTTGGTATTTGTCCTAATGCTCTCCCTCCCCTTGCCCCTCACCCACCAACAGGCCCATGTGTGTGATGTTCCCCTCCCTGTGTCGATGTGTTCTCATTGTCCAACTCCCACTTATGAGTGAGAACATGTGGTGTTTGGTTTTCTGTTCCTGTGTTAGTTTGCTGAGAATGATGGTTTCCAGCTTCATCTGTGTCCCTGCAAAGGACATGAACTCATTCCTTTTCATGGCTGCATAGTATTCCATGGTGTATATGTGCCACATTTTCTTCATCCAGTCTATCATTAATGGCCATTTGCGTAGGTTCCAAGCCTTTGCTATTGTAAATAGTGCTGCAGTAAACATATATGTGCATGTGTCTTTATAGTAGAATGATTTATAATCCTTTGGGTATATGCCCAGTAATGGGATTGCTGGGTCAAATGGTATTTCTGGTTCTACATCCTTGAGAAATCGCCACACTGTCTTCCACAATGGTTGAACTAATTTACACTCCCACCAACAGTGTAAAAGCGTTCCTATTCCTCCTCAGCCTCACCAGCATCTGTTGTTTTCTGACTTTTTAATGATTGCCTTTCTAACTGGCATGAGATGGTATCTCATTGTGGTTTTTATATGTTTGTTGGCCACATAAATGTCTTCTTTTGAGAAGTGTCTGTTCATATCCTTCACTCACTTTTTGATGGGGTTGTTTGTTTTTTTCTTGTAAATTTGTTTAAGTTCCTTATAAATTCTGGATATTAGACCTTTCTCAGATGGATAGACTGCAAAAATTTTCTCCCATTCTGTAGGTCGTTTTAAAAGGATATAACAATTTTAAATATACATGCACCCAAAAATGGAGCACCCAGATGCATAAAGCAAATATTATTAGACCTAATGAGAGAAATAGATCCTGGTACAATAATAGCTGGAGACCTTAACACCCCACTTTCAATAATGGGCAGATCTCCCAGACAGAAAATCACAAACCTCAGACTTAATCTGCAGTATGGTACAAATGGACCTAATAGATATTTACAGACCATTTCATCCAGTGACTTCAGAATACACATTATTTTCCTCAGCACATGGATCATTCTCAAGGATTGATCATATGTTAGGTTCAAAACAAGTCTTAAAATATTCAAAATAATTGAAATAATATCAAGCATCTCCTCTGATCACAATGGAATAAAACTAGACATCAATACAGGAATTTTGGAAACTACACAAACACATGGAAATTAAACAATATGCTCTTGAATGACCAGTGGGTCAATGAAGAAATTAAGAAGGAAATTAAAAAATTTCTTGAAACAAATAATAGTGGTCCTTCCTCACATAGGGAGACAATCATCCTCTCATTGTGGTGCTGCCAGTGTCTTGCTCTGGCCTCCCGCCACATGTCACAGAGGGGACCAATCTATTTGGTATTGTAAACTAGGTACCAAGCTGTTGCCAGGGGGTGGTGATACAACTTCTTGTGTCTTGCTAAATGTCATGGCTTGTCCTTTCTTATACCCACTAAACATCTCACCTTCCACCCATAGATAGTGTGCAGAAAACCTCGTTGCTGACTGGGCATAGATAGTGGCCTTCCTCCAGTGCAAAATAGACTGTTGGGCCTGAGGAGAACTGCCACTCTCCTCCACCATGGGCCTGCCATGGTTCATCCAAGGTCAACTCCCAAGCGACTGGAAGAACTTCGTGATCGTTACTGTATTAGTTGTTCTTTTGTTACTATAGTAACTGCTCCGGCATCTGGCTGCAATGCTACTCCACATACTTGGCCCCAGGGAAACTGCAGAAGAATGTTGTGATAAGAATGTAAGGGCCATTCAAGGGTATGCTGGGTGGACTGTAGGGTACACACACTTGAAAACAATAACTTAGGCATACCCTTCCCTGTATGGCAGACACAGCTGAATGTGTGTTCCAAGCTGGAGAATCCAGGAATGGCCAACCCAGAGATTCGTTTCTTATCTATGGTAAACATCAAACCCCAGCCTGTCCTGTGGCACACAGGCTGTACAGGAGATTGAGGGCCTGAGTTCTGGGTTAAATATAGGTTGCCAGGTGGAGGTCATTAAGGAGAGGATGTTAAGTGAAAATGCTGTATAAACTGCATGATGTTTGCAGGTGGTTGAGGTTTTTCTGCCCAGCCCACCGCCACTGGATCATGCAGTTTTCCTGCCTAGCTCTCCATCACTGGACCATTCCTGTAATTAAGGCCATCCTCTTGTCCAGCCTAATACCACTGGACTCTCTCCCCTGTATATAAGCCCTTAATGAAACCCCATGTCTCATTTTGCTGGCTCTGGATCTCTTCTTTGGCCTCTTGAACATGGTGCCCTCCCTATTAAAATTACTAGGGGTTTGGCACAACAGCTGTAAGAGAGCAAACCCCACTGTAGATGTGCTCAAATTCTTTTTTGAAGTAATTTAATAGCAATTAATATATTGAAACAAATAACATTGATAATTGGTGTCTATCCATTGGACTTTAAGACAATGTCTAGATGACTGTCATGTGGACAGGGTGAGGTCCAACATTTGAGTATAAATATTTTTATCAACAAGGCAAAATATTAAGTATTCGCTGCCACTATTTCAAGAGATGGAGACTTTAAAAGAAATTCTTCTTTTTCAACTTTGTATTTGGCTGTATAATAGGAATACCATACATGGACATTTTACCACAGTCAAATAATCATTAAAAATTCTGTGGACTAGAATTTCTTATTAGAAAATATAGAAGACAATAAACTCTGACCTGGCTGTGAGAATGGAAGCAGGATGGGGAAAGACTGGGACTGGGAAAGAATGGGGGGTAAAAATTTTTCAGCACAGCCCCAAATACAGCTCACAATGCAATAAATGTATTGAAGTCTTCAATACTTAGCTATTGTTGTGGGTTGAGTTATCCAATGTAACACCTGTACCCAATCAATAGACATCACGGACCCAGTACAGACAACCAGAGGAAGAAGGAAGTGTGTTCATACTGGTTGAAAAGTACTGTTTTTAGGCTGGGCGTGGTGGCTCACACTGGTAATCCCAGCATTTTGGGAGGCCGCAGAGGGTGGATCATGAGTTCAGGAGATTGAGACCTTCCTGGCCAACATGGTGAAACCCCGTCTCTACTAAATACACAAAAAATTAGCCAGGCATGGTGGCACTCACCTGTAGTCCCAGCTACTCGGGAGGCTGAGGCAGGGGAATCACTTGAACCTGGGAGGCAGAGGTTGCAGTGGGCCAAGATCACGCCACTGCACTCCAGCTTGGGTGACAGAGAGACACTCTGTCTCAGAAAAAAAAAAAAAAGAAAAAAAGAAAGAAAGAAAAAGTACTATTTTATAACAAGTTGTGATATGCTAACTATGTATGTCACATAGAAAACAGAATTGATCAAAGCAAGATACTCTAGAGTATGATATTAAAGTCCTGTAGTATGTAAAGATGTGAGATCTGCCTAGTTTTTAAATCCACAGAAGTATCCATTTCTGTTTCTCTTTGAACAAGATGTTCACTTTTTAACTTCTTCCAGTGATTTACATTCTCTGTTTCTACTCAGATAACCCTACAGGAGATTTTTACCAGCTCAGTTTGGGAGCCCTGGTATTCTGTCACTGCAGCTTCTGGAACATTTTTGCCTTTGCTCTAAACCTAGGGAACAGTGGGGGACATATCATACCACTATTGCTTGGGAAAATACCAAGCAATTCTTACATTGGTTCAAAGAACAATGTCAATTTAATTAAACCAATTAATGTCATTATCTATACTGCTATGAAGCCCACATGGGCTGAGGGATAATAAAGAATCTCAGAAGGAGAATTTGATGTTTGGAACAAAACTTATGAGAGCCAGAAATAACATCCTTGGGTCCAAGGATTTAAACATAGATCATCTTTATCAGTTTAAAGCCAAAATAAAACAATGTTATCTAATGCTATATCAAAGGCTAATAGAATATAGAAAGCCATAGGGTTAGTCATTAAACAAACCTAACAATATGGGAGATACATTGCTTGAATTAGTAACCAGTTAAGAACTAATAAATGATGCTCTCTAGGCAACTGGGTAAAGGCACTCGTGCGTCAAAGCCCTGTCCTTGTGTGTCATTATTGTACTAATTTTATGTTGCAGCTGAGACAGACAACAGCTATTTTCTGACTTTGTTTTGGATAATGGCCAAACACAGGGATGTATTGTGCCTTATCAGTGACAATTGCTGAAAGGTGGAATGTGATGAGAGCTTTAGAAATTGTGTCTTGCAAGCAAGCTAAGGCTTTTTTCTAATTTGCTTCATCACAATACTTCTTTTATTTGGGAAAAAGAAAAAAGTAGACTACATAAATATATCAAAGGTGCACAATATGATGATTTGATACATGTATGCATTGTGTAACAATTACCACAATCAAAATTTCAAACCTTCCCAAGTTGACTCAACACCAGAGATTTTCCTTGAGGATGTGCTGAGCCCTGTCTGCTTCCAGAGGTGCAGGCTGCTGCCCATGAAGCCCTCACTTTTCTCTGTCACTCCAGTGGCTCCAGCCGGCCTCTTGGCTATGCACTCAAATGCCAGGGAGCACATAGCAAGGTCCAGGAGTAGTTACTTTAATAGTCCTCATCCTGCCAGTATCTGGGGAGCACACAGCACATTGGCAATGGTCATCAGAGCAATCCTCACTGCTGACCTCTCTTGAAGAATTTTCTTACTTTTACCTATAAATCCTCAAGGTAGGTGATGGGCTGCAGTTTAACAGTTGGTTTCACAATCTCTTGGAATGTCCTGCATGGAGAGCCTGGCATCTATATTTCTTGGTCTTAAAATGCTCTGCTGAAAATCTGAGACAACAGGAAAAGAGTCATTTAACATCTTATTACATATAAATAAATGACTAAAATCAACTCGAAAATTGCTAAAAATGAAGCAGCAAAAGATTTATCTCTGAAAAGGAAACATCTGGCTGGGCATGCTGGTTCACACCTGTAATCCCTGCATTTTGAGGGGCCAAGGCAGGAGAATCACTTGAGCCAAGAGTTCAAGACCGGTCTGGGCAACATAGCTAGCCAGGAATGGTGGTGTGCACCTGTAATCCCAGCTACTCAGGAGGCTGGGTCGGGGAGATCACTTGAGCCCCAGAGATCAAGGCTGCAATGAGCTATGATTGTGCACTGCATTCTAGCCTGGGTGACAGAGGAAGACGTCTCAAGAAAAGAAAAATAATCAACCGTGATAGTTTTAAAGTATGTTTTATAAATATTTAAAACATAATTCTGTATTCTATTAATATTTCCAAAGCATAGATAGTGCTGGAAAACTTCCTAACTCATTCTATAAGGCTAACATGTCCATATACCTGTATTGGACAAGGATACCATGAAGAAGGCTAGAAGCCAGTATTACTTATGACCATAAAATGCAAAAACTCCTAACTAAAATATTAGCAAATAAAAATCTAATAATATTGTCAAGAACAATTTACCCCAGGAATGCAGGGATGAATTAAAGCCTCTAAAATCTATTGATGTAGTTCAAACATTAATTGGTAAATTTCTTGTGATACAGTAGGCCAAAAAACCTGAAAATTACTCCCTTATAAAACACCTAAATACTAGATAAAATGTAATAATTGTCCTTTTACATGTCAAGCTGAACAATTTTTTCTTGTTTACCCTTTCTCTTAAGGCCCAGAGAGTTTTCTAAGGACAATGAGGGCCCTAACTTTATATGCCTCAGTTGCAATGCTCCACCTTGCACAAATCAAAGAACTCGATCCAGTTCCCCTCACCTTTCTGACTTTCCAGTTTTACTTTGTTCTGCCCACAAGAATGTCTCTCCTTTCACTCTTTCAACAAATATTGTGTGCCTGATATGTGCTGATACTCTTCTAGGCATTTGGAATATAGCAGTAATTAAAACAGGCAAAAATCACTGCCCCAAATGTCAAAACTTCTTAGAAAATATAGAGGAGAAATATATCTTTATGACTCTGGGATAGGATAGATTTATTTAAACATGATGCAAAAAGCACGGATTTTTTTTAAGATTTAAAAAATTTTACCACATTAAAATAAAAATATTTGTATATGGAAAAATCTCCATAAACACAACATGAAAGGATAAGTCACAAATTAAATCATATGCAATTCACATAACGTGTAGTGCATTAGTAGGCAAAATATAACATGGACTATTAAAATTCAATAAGAAAAAGGCAACCAACCTAATAAAAAATTGGATGAAGAATGTAAATAGTTTACTAAGGAGGACATTCAAATAATGGACACATATGAAAAGAATGCTAAAGCTCACAAATATTCAGTAAAATGCATACTTAAACCAAAATGAGACAGCATTTGACATTCATGAAATTTAAAAATTATACACTTGAGCACTAAAAAGTGTTGATGAGGCTATGGAACACTGGAAATACTAATATACGACAACTCTGGAGAATAATATGGCTATTCTGGTAAAGTTGAAAATGCAATATCTACAAATCAGCAATTCTTTTCCTGGCTATATATTCTGCAATAGTGTTTTACAAACTGTAGGACTTGGATATATTAGTAGGTAGAGAAATTAATTCAGTGGGACAAGGAAAGTCCTTTTTAAATGGAATGGGATGATGTCTTAGTCTGTTTTGTGTTGCTATAACAGAATATCTGAGGTTGGGTAATTTATAAAGAAAAGAAGTTAATTTGGCTCATGATTCTGGTGGCTGGAAAGTCCAAAAGCATGGTGCTGACATCTGCTTGCTTCTGGTGAGGGCTTTTTTGCTGAGTCATAACATGACAGAAAAGTGGAAATGGGAGCAGGCACATGCTAAAAGAGACCAAACACAAGGAGGAACAACCTGCTGCTGCAGGAACAAATCAATTTCCTCAACAATTAATCCAGTCTTAAGAGATTAAGAACTCATTCACTACTGTGGGACAAAGCTGCCATGAGGATCGAGCACTCATGACCCAAAAGCCTTCCATTAGGCCACCTCTTAAAGATCCCACCTCTCAACATTGCTGCACTGGAAATTAAGGGTCGAACATGAGTTTCTGCAGGGACACTCAAACCATAGCATTGGGAGTAAGATGGAAAAGAAAGAATAGAATGGATTTCAGTAGGAAAAGAGTAGTAGAGTAAATATTGTGTGAGGCTGTTTTTATGTTACTATAAAGGAATAATACATGAGGCTGGGTACTTTATAAAGAAAAGAAGTTTAATTGGCTCATAGTTCTGCAGGTTGTACAAGCATGGCACCAACATCTGCTCAGCTTCTGGTGAGGTGCTCTGGAAGCTTACAATTACGGCAAAAGGCAAAGCACGAGTAAGCATTTCACATG
Organism: Homo sapiens; assembly: GCF_000001405.40. Lineage (NCBI taxonomy): Eukaryota > Metazoa > Chordata > Mammalia > Primates > Hominidae > Homo > Homo sapiens. The sequence continues at coordinate 58,524,396 of NC_000008.11, read as the reverse complement.
GCAAGAGTGGGAACAAGAGAGCAAAGGAAGTGAGGTCTCGGACTTTTAAACAACCAGCTCTTTCATGAACAAATTGAGTGAGAACTCATTTATCACCAAGAGATGGTACTAAACCATTCATGAGGGGTCCACACTCATAATCCAATCACCTCCCACCAGGTTCCACCTCCAACATTGGGAATCACATTTCAACATGAGATTTGGAGGAGAAAGACTTTCAAACCATATCATATATCAATTAAATCAATTAATATTTTTTGAGAGCTTTATCTTTGATTACTATATGTGTGTGTGTGCTGGGTCATTTTATACAACATTTCTTATTGTGTTCTCTAAACTCTTGTAGGGTTGTATTATTTGAAACTAAAAAGATTATTCATGATTTATCTGGAATTCAGATTTAACTGGGCATCCTGTATTTTTATTTGCTAAATCTGTCAACCCTAATTTGCATATGAGACAAGGAGAAATGAAAACAACATTAAAATAGCAAAGAACATAAACAAAGTAAATGACTATCACCAGGAGGACGGATAAATAAGTTTTGTGTGTTCATTCAGTATGACTCAGGGCAGGTTCTTGGCTTCACTCAGGAAAGAATTCAAGATGAGCCAGTGGTGGAAGAAGACGGTTTTATGAAAGCGGCGGTGTTACAGCTCAGTGACTGCTCCTTGCAGAGCAGGGCTAGCCCATAGGCAGTGGGCTGAGAGCAGCAGTGTTTGGGCTGTTGGCTAGCTGTATTTATACCCACTTTTAATTATATGCGAATTAATGAGTGAGCAATTCAGAAATCTTTAGAAAATGGACAGTAACTTCTGGGTGTTGCCATGGCATAGGTAAACTGTCATGGTGTTGGTGGGAGTGTCTTATGATGATGGGCAGTGAAGTTAACTAGAGGTTGCTTTGGGCACCACTTGCTGACTCCAGTCAGTTTCCTATCCAATCTGGGAAACAAGACCTACCAGTCTCCTGCCTCAAGTGGAACACTAAATTGTGGTTAAAATAAACTAGAATCATGTCTAGCAGACAGGCTGAATCTCAAAAACAATGTGGAGTGAAGAAAAGTAATTTGTGGCAAGATACATACCACATGAAACCTAAAATAAACGTATTAAAAGCCTGAGCAATATTATATATGTTATAGAGAAATATATGTGAAGCAAAGTATATAGGTAGTATAGAAACAATAAAAATCAAACTTAGGAGAGGGATGTGGGGCAGAATATTAGATGAGAAAAGAACTGGGGAGAAATACAAGGGACTTTACTTGTATTTGTAATGTTTTATTTATTTAAGTGGGTAATTGATACAGCGCTGTTTATTGTAATGTATTTCTATGCTGGCAGTGTCAAATTTAAAATAAAAGCCCTATGTAATCATCTGAATAGATGCTAAAATAATTAATAAAATTAAATACCTATTTCTGATTTTTTTTTTTTTCGAGATGGAATTTTGTTCTTATCACCCAGGCTGGAGTGCAATGGCGCAATCTCGGCTCACTGCAACCTCTGCTTCCCTGGTTCAAGTGATTCTCTTGCCACAGCCTCCCAAGTAGCTGGGATTACAGGTGCTGGCCACCATGCCCAGCTAATTTTTGTATCTTCAGTAGAGATGGGGTTTCACCATGTTGGCCAGGCTTGTCTTGAACTCCTGACCTCAGGTGATCCACCCGCCTCGACCTCCCAAAGTGCTGGGATTACAGGCATAAGCCACCGTGCCTGGCCCTGATTTTTTAAATAATTAGTAATCTAGAAACAGAAGGAACTTCCGTAACATAAATACATGAGCATAAAATAATAATACATTTTGATATATTTGTGAATACTCAAACATATACTTTATAAAATACAAAACTTTACTGAAGATTAGAAGAAGATCTAAATAAATGAAAATTTAAAACATATTGCAAAATGAGAGGAATTACCACTGGATGGTTACCAGCATATGGAACTGCCCAATACAAAGATTAAAGGCCGACTAAGTTTTTGAAGGCATCATATTGTCAAAAAAAAAGAAAAAAAAAATCCCAAGCCAGCTCTGCAAAAATCCTGTGATTATCTGAGCCCTAAAGACACCTTCAGGACACCTAACTTCAAAAAATCTATCCAATTCCCAGGGCGGACCTTCTCCCTAATGCTCATATCAAATGTGGGCACAGAGATCAATGGTCAAGTAATATCTTGCTACAGAGGTGAAAGGACTAGGATGTTAGTCTCTGAGAACAGAACGGGGGACAACCAGACAGGCTCCTTCCGAGGAACTGACTTCACCATGAAGTCCTGCCCAGTACAATGTAATAATTGTTACAGACCTGTGTGTTTACCCATTCTTTCTTTTTCAAATAAAATGTGTGTTTTATTTCTTTTTCAAATAAAATGTGTGTTTCTTTTTAAAAAAAAAATGTGTTTACCCATTCTTTCTTTTTCAAATACAAATTTCTATTGCAGTTATCTTGGTCCTATTCAGCCACTGAATGAAGCATATTGGGAGGATATGGGGGAGAGTAGGCTAATAACTCGTATTTTGGTTGACAAATTACTAGAACCACCATGAAGAGCCATATTGGACACAACTGTGCATCACCCAGAGATGTTGGATTTTTAGCAGAATGCAGTAACTGGATGAGACTGAATTATTTCTCTTGGTAGGGAGGTGAGTGTGTTCTATGCACAGGAAGAAGGGTAACATTGTAGTGGGAAGCCTGGCAGATACCATCTGAATCATACGATCAACGTGAATGTCATCAGTGACTGGAAATTGGTATCGTGCTCCTGACAGGATGTCACGACAAAAATGCAGCATCATTCTGTGGTATTTCTGCCAGAGATGTGGAACACAAATCTAGGGGGATCTTTTAAAAAATCTAAATTAACACACAGTCTATAGAGTAGCCTATAACCTACAATACTGCCAAAGTCATAAAAGTCAAAGAAAGACTGAGGAATTATTCCAGACTGTTCCAGACCAAAGAAGACTAAATAGGTGTGAGCATCAGATACAACATGAGATTCTGAACTTCATCTTTTGGTTAAAAAAAAAAAAAACACACATTGGGGACAATTGGCAATACTTGAATAGAATCTGAGATTTGATATCAGTTTCCTGATTTTGAGGATTGGAGGATAGCTGTGTTGAGAATGTCCTTGTTTGTAGGTAATACACACTTAAGTATCTGTGGGTGATAGGGCATGAGGTCAGCAACTTACTGTCAAATGCACAGGGGAAAACGTTTTTTGTACTCTCTTTACCAATTTTCTGTAAATTTGTGATCATTTCAAAATTTAATAAAATTAAAAACTTATGAAGAGTTACATTATTGAATGAGAAGTAAACAGGTCAATACAAAAAGGTGTATGGTGGAGGCCTGGGATAAACTAAGGGGAATGAGAGATGGGGCCCATCTCAAATTTTTCTTACCTGACACTTGGTATCTCAACCATTGTCCACAGGATGATGACATTTCAAAAAAACTTTTCGTCACAAAAAGAAGTTACAAACCTCAAATTAATAAGAAGTGTACAAGAGAAAGAGCAGAAAGGTTTGGTGATAGTCAGATGCATTGAATTTTCTTCTGCAATTGTGTGTGTCTCCAGAATTTCAGAAAACCAAAGTGACTCTGTGGTGTTTGTATATGTACTAACTATACATTTGATTTTATGTTCCAATATGTGGCATCTTATCATATTTTTTAGAACTCATAAGTTGTTTCCAAGAAGTATAAAGTATGGAATTTAGGACCAGATATGAGTTCAGATTCTTGCTTAAGCATTTACTGGCTTAGTTTCCTTCATTGATTTCTTCATTTTACAGAAATGAGGTAAAATGAGGTTGTTAGTCAGAAAAATTATGGTGATGATAATGCTCCACCACCAGATTAGTTGTTATATATTTTACCATTACATGAAGATTCTGCTTCAAATTTTAAAAAATAAAGTTTGAAAATTTCCATTAATAAAATTAGACATATTTGTTAGGGAAAATTTAGAAATTACAAATAATCACGGCCTCTGCTAGGAAGTCTAGTTGAACCATAAAGAGAATTCATATACATGGTAGTTAGTACACTTTTGGTTTCCATTAACGAAACAATAAAAATTAAATTTGCTTAAACAGGCCAATGTGGTGACTCATGACTGTCATCCCAGCACTTTGGTAGGCCAAGGCAGGAGGATCACTTGAGTCTATGAGTTTAATACCATCCTGAGCAACATAGTGAGATCTCATCTCTACAAAAAAAGTCTGAAAATTAGACAGGCACAGTGGAGTGTGCCTGTAGTCCCAGCTATTCAGGAGTCTGGGTTGAGAAAATTTCTTGAGCCCAGGAGTTGGAGGCTGCAGTGAGCTGTGATCATGCCATTGCGCTCCAGCCACGGTGAGCCAAAAAAAAAAAAAAAAGGGGTTAAGCAAAATAGAGAAGGCATTGGCTTTTTAATCTGAGAGGTCCAAGGTAGATCTGGCTTTAATGATGCTATCTGATCCATTCTTACTCTATCTCTTGCTGCTGTTTTCTTAGGTAAGCTCTTCCCTCCTCCATTCTTAGGCTAGCTGGTGGTGGCATGATGACTTTCTCTTTTTCTGTGCTTATATAATACCCTCTCAGCAATGTTACAGACTGTCCTAGTTTGTATAAAGTTCCAAGTACAGTACTTCATTGAACCACCTTGAATAACAAACCCAAACCCATATCCTAACCATCCACTACAGCTGGGAGGATGGAAATGTTAACTGGCCAGAGTTGGGTCATGTTCTCAGTCCTGAAACAAATACTATGACTGGGTGGATTTACTGTTCTGATTACCTGCATATGAGTTAACAACCCACCTCTGGAACTGTTCCAGTTATCTGTGTAACAAGCTGCCCTAAAATTTAATGGTGTCAAGTTCATTATACTCATGATTTTGTGGGTCAAGAATATGGGTAGGGCATGGAAGCAATGCCTCATTTTTTGCTTTCCAATGTCTGAGTCCCAAATTGCTGGAGAGAACGGAAACATCTTGACTAGGACCACATGTCTGGGACTTTGGTCCTGGCTGATAGCTGGGTTTCCAGTCTTCCATACTGCAACTGCTAGAGTTTGTAATGACCAAGAAGGCTTCTTCACTCATACATTTAGTGCCTAAGCTGAGACATCTGGAGCTGGCCAGACGTTTCTCTCTCCTGGAAACCTTTTCACGTGGAAGCTTGGGCAGTACGGCAGTCTCAGGGTAGTCATTTTTCTTACCTAGTAGGCAGTGGTCCTCAGAATGGGTCATTCAAGAACCCTGGGTAGAAGCTGCAAACCTTCTTCAGACCTAGTTTTAAAAGTCTCGGATTCTCACTAAGGCCTCCCAGATTCATGAATAGGGAAGTTAGACCTCTTTCAACTGGAAGAGTAAGAAATAATTGTCAGGCTTTTTTTTTTTTTTTTTTTTTTTTTTTTTTTTTTTTTTTTTTTTTTTTTTTTTGGAGACGGAGTTTCACTCTTGTTGCCCAGGCTGGAGTGTAATGGCGCGATATCTGCTCACTGCAACCTCTGCCTTCCGGGTTCAAGTGATTCTCCTGCGCAGCCTCCCGAGTAGCTGGGATTACAGGCATGCGCCACCACGCCCAGTTAATTTTGTATTTTTAGTAGACATAGGGTTTCTCCATGTCGGTCAGGCTGGTCTCGGACTCCCAACCTCAGGTGATCCACCTGCCTCAGCCTCCCAAAGTGCTGGGATTACAGGCATGAGCCATACTCCAGGCTGTCAGCCATTTTTAATCAAACACAAAAGCCATGAAAGAAGTCAGCCCAACTAAACTATTCAGATTACATGGAAAAGGATAACTCCCCAAGGGAAAAAAATGGAGTTCTATTATCAGAATGAAGTGGAATGCAAAATGTGTGGTATAGATATGGCCATCAAGTTGTGTTAGGAGAGACCAGCAGGGGTTTGTTAGAATACAGGTCTGAGAGACTTCTTGGGAAGTATTCACAAGAGAGAGTAGAGGTTCACAAACTCAATTAACAACAACAACAAAAATTGTTCTCTGAATCTACTTTGAGGGTTTTATGCTGAGTTCTTGGGAGAGGAGATCCTGCTCTTTAGCTAGATAAGAAGATTCTCTATTAGACGTTGGGAACACAAGTCAGAACAGCATTATATCTTATAAATAGTGTTTGGTAAAATAAATGGGGGTAGAAGTTAACTAACCTTGCAGTCCAGATCAAAGACTGACAGGATGCCATAGCAAGAGAAGGACAAAACAGCCTGGACAGACAGCCAGACTAATCCATACTCCCACATACAGGGCAACCTGGGAAGGAGACATTCACAAAGCAAGATGGGGGTAGGAAAAGAACCAATGGCAAATGACAAGCGGTGCCCTCTATCCCTTGGGGCTTCCATAACACTACAACTGTGACATGTCCTACATTTATTTCCAAACATTTAATCAATTTTTCTTTCTCAGTGGTGGAGGCTAGTGCCTGGAATACAGAGTTGGCAGAATTGGGGGAATTTGAGGTGTATGTGTGGTGTTGGGGATGGGGTATAGTGTTGAAGGATGGAATGGGAAAGTCCGTAATTCACAGAGTGGAATATGAACCAGGGAAACACTGTTTTATCATTATTATTGTTTGTCTACTGAATTTCTAGAAAAGTGCCACCTGGAGAAAGAGGAGATTGCATTTTTAAATGTAAAAAAATGAAGAAATACTGTATACTTATTATCCCAGTACACAAAGGCGACTATTCTTAGCTTGAAATTTAAATGCCATCATTAATTTACTCAACTTGTTGGAAATGTCATTTATATTCACCTGTCTGAAGGTAGTGAACATTGTTAAGGCATTTTCCCTTCTTGTCTTTTGGAATGAATGGGAAAAAACAGAGTTTTAAATCATAGCTTTAAATTCTCTTAAAACCTTAAGTTGAGAAGCCAAATTCTAGGTGAGTCATTTATAGTAGTAAGCAGCTAACAGATGGAATTATCTTAAGACATACAAACAGGTGTACCTCAGAGATATTGCAGGTTCAGTTCCAGACCACTACAATAAAGATCACAATAAAGCAACTCACACAAAATTTTTTGTTTCCTAGTGCATATAAAAGTTATGTTTATACTATGGTCTACTAAGTGTGCAATAGCATTATGTCTAGAAAAAACATTAAATATCTTAATTTCAAAAAACCTTATTGCTAAAAAACGCTAATGATCCTCTGAGCCTTCAGTGAGTCCTAATTGTTTTGCTGGTGGTCTTGCTTTGGTATTGACAGTGGTTGCTGAAGGTTGGAGTGGCTGTGGCAATTTCTTAAAATATGACAATGAAGTTTGCCACATTGACTGACTATGTTTCACTAAAGATTTCTCTGTAGTGCATGTTGCTATTTGATAGCATTTTATACATGGTAGAACTTTCAAAATTGGAGTCAATCCTGCCACTGCTTTTTCAACTAAGTTTATGTAATATTCTAAATCCTTTGCTGTCATTTCAACAATGTTCACAGCATCTTCACTAGAAGTAGATTCCATCTCAGGAAACCACTTTCTTTGCTTATTCATAAGAAGACTTGCTCAATGCAGGATTGCCACACCTTCAATTAGTAAAAAGTGCAATATCTGAGAAGCACAATAAATTGAAGCTCAATAAAACATGGTATGCCCATACTCACTTCTTCCTGTCTCAGAGTGGAGAGAGGGTGGGAAGTGGCAGGCCAGAGGCACATAAAAGATAGTCATGGTTTCACTTGGAGTCAGTTTACTAAACCTTCAGTTTTAACTAGGTTCTTTTTTTTTTTTCCGTGATGGAGTCTTGCTCTATCGCCCAGGCTGGAGTGCAGTGGCACGATCTCAGCTCACTGAAACCTCCGCCTCCCAGGTTCAAGTGATTCTCCTGCCTCATTCTCCTGAGTAGCTGGGATTACTGGCATGTGCCAGCTAATTTTTGTATTTTTAGTAGAGACGGGGTTTCACCATGTTGGCCAGGCTGGTCTTGAACTCTTGAACTCGGGATCCGCCTGCCTCAGCCTCCCAAAGTGTTGGGATTACAGGCGTGAGCCACCGCACCCAGCCCTTAAGTAGGTTCTTAAAGGAGATCATTTTAAGTTGCTTTGTTCAAAATACCTTTCCAAGCAAGAGCCAATGTTGTATGACACATTACCTCCTTATATAGCTTAAAGTACAATTACAAAAATATTCTTATTTTTTCAATTTATTACTTAAGTACTCACCTGTTTAAATTAGAAAGATATCCAATACCCATTTGTAAACTCTTCTTATCAACAAGGCATAAGAACCCAAAGAACTTACTAAATCCAAAGATGTCAGTTCTGTTCCCAAACACCAAAAGGGAAGTCAGAACAAAATCGCATCTGTTCCCTAGTAGATTCTCATTTTAAAATATTGTTGCTGCACATTGTAGCACTGTTAAAAACTGGTTCCAGCTAATAGCACCAAATGCTGGTGAGGATGCGGAACAACAAGAACTTGCATTTATTGCTGGTGGGACTGCAAAATGGTACAGCCACTTTGGAAGACCATTTGGCAATTTATTACAGAGGTATACATAGTCTGCCATACAAGCCAATAATAGCGTTCCAAGGTTTTTTCCCAAATAAATTGAAAACTTATGTTCACACAAAAACCTGCACAGAAATTTTTGTAGCAACTTTTTTCATAATTGCTGAAAGGTGGATACAACTAAGATGTCCTTCAACAGGTACATGAATAAACAAATTATGTTAAATCCATACAGTGAAATATCATTCAATGATTAAAAAATGAACTATCATGCCATGAAAAGACATGCAAATAGTCTTCAATGAGCATTATAAGTGAAATCCAGACTTTTTAGACTAAAGCCAGGCTGAAAAAGTTACATACTGTATGATTCAACTGTATGGCATTCTGGAAAAGGCAAAGCTATAGATAGTAAAAAGGTCAGTGGCTTCTAAGGGTTTAGAGGGGAGGGAATAATGAATAGGTGGAACAAAGGAAATTTTTATGACAGTAAAACTATTTTCTGTATAGTACTGAAATAAATGGTAGATACATGACATTATGCATTTGTCAAAACCCATAGGACTATACAAGGAGTGAACTTCAATATAAATAATTGACTTATTTAATAATATTATATCAACTGTAACAAATGTTACATACCAAAGAAAAATGTTAATAATAGGAGAAACTGGGGGGAATGGGTTTATGGGAAGTCTCTATACTTCCTGCTCAATTTTTCTGTAAACCTAAAATTGTTCCAAAAAATGAAATCTATTAATTTAAAAAACCCAGCTGATTCCACACAACCAGATGGCTCTCTGCTGTGATGGTGCTGCTTGTCTGAATCCCTGTGCAAGCAGCAGGATGTGTTAGACTTGATATTTTATTATACAATAAAATTATTATATTGGCTTTTACAATTTTTATATTCACATACCCAGTTTTTTTTTTGAAGCTTGGCTGCCTAATCTGGGGGCTGGATCTCAGAAACCCTTCCTGCTTCAGTCATATACTTTGACCAGACCCTGCTCTTGAACACAAATATTCAAGCCTTCCTATTGAACCACAGTCCTCAGTAGATTCCTTTTCCTCTCATGGTGAATTTTTTTCCCTGCCAGCTGACATAAGACCATTTAAATCTCACAGAAGAGAAATTCTACAAATAGTAGGAGAAATCAATCTATCTTCAAGAGATAAAGCATTCAGCAGATCCAAACTCAGAGATGACCCAGATGTTGGAATTGACGGACAGGGAATTTAAGATAACCATGATTAGTATGTTAAAGCAGCAATTCCCAACCTTTTTGGCACCAGGGGCTGGTTTTGTGGAAAACAATTTTTCCACAGACTGGGGAAAGAGGAAGGATGGTTTTGGGATGAAACTGTTCCACCTCAGATCATCAGGCATTAGTTAGAGTCTCATAAGGAGCACACAACCTAGATCACTCACATGCGCAGTTCACAATATGGGTCATACTCCTATAAGAATCTTATGCTTCTGCTGATCTGACAGGAGGTGGAGTTCAGGTAGTAATGCTCTCTCACCCACCATTCACCTCCTGCTGTGTGGCCCAGTTCCTAAAAGGCCACAGACGGGTACCAATCTGCAGCCCAGGGGTTGGGGACTCCTTTGTTAAAGGATCTAGTGGAATAGGTGGAAAGTTGGCATTAACAGATGAGGAATTTTATTAGAAATGCAGAAACTAAACAACAGAGTTAAGTGGAAACGCTAGAAATAGAAAACATGGGTGCAGAGGTGAAGAATTCATTCAATAAGCTTACTAGCAAACTGGAAACTACAGAAGAAAGAATCACCAGACTTGAAAATAAGTAAATAGGAATCGAATTTAAACATAATAGAAAAAAGAGAGAGAGATCAGCTGTGGGATAATAACAACTGTCTAACATACATGTAATTGGAGTTCCAGAAGAAGAGAGTGAAGTAAAAGAATATTTGAAGAGATGATGGACAAGAATAATCCAAAATCAATAAAGGAAAACTAACTAAAAATTAAAAAGAAAAAACCCTAAAATATAATTGTAAAACCAATGAGAAGCAAAGTTAAAGGAAAAATCTTCAAGGCAGCCAGAGGAGAAAAAAATATTACTTATGGATCCAGCATGCACCCTGGCAAAACAATCATATGTTCAGTAGGAGTCAAGTAGCAGCCATCAATGGCAATCTGACCCGCTGCTGGGTTTGTCATATTCCTCCACATAGTATGAAAATAGGAAAACTCCTATAGGCTAGTTCTGGTATCTCTAGGTCTGAGCTTCTCCAGGATCTTGTCCCTTAACGGTGTTGACACCTTGTTTTGTACCAGAGTCGTGGCTTACAACAACAAAATAGAGTCTTTCCCAACCCCAGGTTTTGTTGGCTTTCAAATTTGGCAACTGGGATCTGGTTGTGTGAACGGGGTTTATATAGAACGTTCTAGGATTCTAGTTCATGATTCTATCACTAAGGGTTATGGCTGCCTCCTCATGTTTACTTAACTACAGAGGATGTGTCAATGTACATAATTGTCCACTAGAGGGTGATATGCACATTAGCCTCTTTAAGCATGACACTACCAAATTTCTAGCACAAACATAATTTGTACCTTAGGAAATGAACGAAATGAATGAACTCCAGAACAACAAATGTTTACCTTATTTTCATATTACTTCTGATTTGTGCTATGATTGTAATATATTTAATATTTTCTAGAAATGCTTATAATAGGGGAAAAGGCAAGCAAATGTAAGACAAAAAGCATTGCTAGAGACAAAAAAGGACATTCTATAATGATCAAACCATTAATCCATCAAGAAGTTATAACAATTATAAACATATATGTACCTAACAACAGATTCTCAAAATATGTGAAGCAAAATTGACAGAATTTCAGGGTGAAATAAGCATTTCAATAATGATAATTGGATACTTCAGTATCTCACTTTTAATAATGGATAGAACAGGCCGGGTATGGTGGCTCATGCCTGTAATCCCAGCACTTTTGGAGGCTGAGGTGGGCAGATCACATGAGCCCAGGAGTTTGATACCAGATTGCTCAACATGGTGAAACCATGTCTTTACTGAAAGTATAAAAATTAGCTGGGCATGGTGGTGCATGTCTATAATCCCAGCTACCCAGGAGGCTGAGGCACGAGAATCACTTGAACCCAGGAGGCGGGGGTTGCAATGAACTGAGATCATGCCACTGCACCCCAGCATGGGCAACACGAGACTCTGTCTCAAAAAAACAAAATAAAATAATAAAATAAAAAAGAATTTTTTTAAAAATTGGGAAGTTTATAAATATGTGGAAATTTAAAAATGTAACTCCTAAATAACCAATGAATCAAAGAAAAAATCACAAAGGAAATTGGAAAATACTTTGAGATAAATAAAATAAAAATGTAACAAATCCGAACTTATGAGATGCCACAAAAGTGGTGCTTGCAGGGAAACTTATAACTGAAATGCCTGTATTAAAATAGAAGAAAGATCTCAAATTAATAACCTAGCTTTTCACCTTGAGAACCTAGAAAAATAAGAGTGAGATAAACTCAAAGCAAGAAACGAGAAGGAATGAATAAAAATCAGAGCAGAAATAAAGAAGTAAAATAGAAGAATAATAGATATAGTCAACAAAACCAAAAGCTAATTAGTTGAAAATATCGACAACATTGACACACCTTCACCTAACCTGAAAAAGAAAGGGGAGGAGGACTCGAATTATTAAAATTAAGAATAAAAGAGGGTATATTATTACTACTGACCTTACCCAAATAAAAAGCATTATAAGGAAATGCTAAGAACAGTTGTATGCAAACAAATCAGATATCCTAGTTAGATTAAATACATTTCAGAAAGACACAAACTATCAAAATTAACTCAAAGGGAAATAAAAAAACCTCAATAGATCTATAACCAAAAAAGTTAAAATAGAATTTTAAAAAATCCTACAAAGACAACTTCAGACCAGCTTCACTGGTCAATTCACCCAAAGAGTCAAAGAAGAGAGAACAGGCCAGGCGCGGTGGCTCATGCCTGTAATCCCAACACTTTGGGAGGCCGAGGTGGGCGGATCACCTGAGGTCAGGAGTTCGAGACCAGCCTGACCAAAAAAAAAAAAAAAAAAGAGAGAGAACACTAATCCACTAATCCTTTGTAAATTCATCCAAAAATTAGAAGAGGAGGGACTACTTCTCAGCTCATTCTATCAACCCATTATTATCTGATATTCAAATGAGACAAAGATATTACAAGTAAAATTAACTACAGACTAATATCCTTTATCAACATAATGCAAAAATCTTCGACAAAATACTAGCAAACCAAATCTGGCAACATATAAAAGCATCATACACCATGACCAAATGAGATTTACCCCAAAATGCAAGGGTGTTTTAACGTACAAAAAATCAAACAATGACATACACCATGTTAAAACAGTAAGGAAAAAACCCACTTTATTATCTCAATAGATGCAGAACAAGCATTTGACAAAAAATCAACACCCTTTCCTGATAAAAACACTAAATAAACTAGAAAAAGAAGAGAATTGCCTCAATATGATTGAAGGAAATCTGTGAAAAACCCACAGCTAATAATTTAATGGTAAAAGACTGAAAGCTTTTCCTCTAAGACCAGGAATAAGACAAGGACATCTGCTCTTGCCACTTCTATTCAACATTGTACTGGAAGTTATATCTAAGGCAATCAAGCAAGAAAAAGAAATAAAAGGAAAATAAAATTATCTTTATTTTCAGAATACCTAATTTTACATATTAAAAATCCAAAGGAATCCACAAAAAAAGCTTATAGAGCTAATAAGTTCACCAAAGTTGTAGGATGTAAAATCAACGTCCAAAAATGAGTTTGTTTCTATACAGTAGCCATGAAAAATCTGTAAACAGTTAAGAAAAACAATTCCAGTCCGGCGTGGTGGCTCATGCCTGTAATCCCAGCACTTTGGGAGGCAGAGGCAGGCAGATCACAAGGTCAGGAGATCGAGACCATTCTGACTAACATGGTGAAACCCCATCTCTACTAAAAATACAAAAAATTAGCTGGGCGTGGTGGTGGGCGCCTGTAGTCCCAGCTACTCAGGAGGCTGAGGCACGGGAATGGCGTGAACCCAGGAGGTGGAGCTTGCAGCGAGCTGAGAACACGCCATTGCACTCCAGCCTGGGCGAAGAAGCGAGACTCAGTCTCAAGAAAAAAAAAAAGAAAAGAAAAACAATTCCGTGTACAATAGCACAAATAAAAATAAGATACTTAGGAATAAATTTAACAAAAGAAGTACAAGACTTGTACACTGAAAACTACAAAACATCAATGAAATAAATTACAGAAGACCTAAATAAATACAAAGGCACCCATGTTTATGGATCAGAAGACAGTATTGTTAGGATGGTAATACTCTCTTTCCAGATTGATCTAGAGATTGGGTGCAATCCCTATCAAAGCTCCAGTTTCCAGTTTTGCTGAGATTGACAAGCTGATCCTGAAATCCACATGGAAATGTAAAGTGTCCATAATCCAGAATATTCAGAACAATCTTGAAAAAGAACACATTGGGCCAGGCGCAGTGGCTCACATCTGTAATCCCAGCACTTTGGGAGGCCGAGGCAGGTGGATCATGAGGTCAGGAGTTTGAGACTAGCCTGACCAACATGGTGAAACCCAATCTCTACTAAAAATACAAAAATCAGCCGGGCATGGTGGTGTGTGCCTGTAATCCCAGCTACTCAGGAGGCTGAGGCAGGAAAATCGCTTGAACCCGGAAGGGGGAGGTTGTGGTGAGCCGAGATCATGCCACTGCACTCCAGCCTTGATGACAAAGTGAGACTCTATCTAAAAAAAAAAAATGGGAGGACTTACACTTTCTGATGTTGAAGGTTACTAACAGCTTATAGTAATGAAAACTTTGTGTTACTGGCATAAGGATAGACATATAGATCAATCGAATAGAATTGACAGTCCAGAAACAAACACATGCATTTATCAACTGATTTTCAATGAGAAAGTTAAGAGATTTCCATGGGGAAAAGAATAGGTTTCCGTGGTGCTGGGACAACTGGATATCCACATGCAAAAGAATGAAGTTGGACTACTCCCTCAGCTCATATGTAAAAATTAACACAAAATGAATCAATGAACTAAGTGTAAGAACTGAAACTATAAAACCCTTAGAAGAAAACATAAGCATACATCTTCATGACCTTGGATTAGACAATGTTTTTTAGATATGACACCAAAAGTCTAAGCAGCCAAAAAAAAATAGATAAATTGCACTTCATCAATGTTAAAAACTTTTGTGGCCAGGTATGGTGGCTCATGCTTGTAATCCCAGCACTTTAGAGGCCAAGGTGGGCTGATCACTTGAGGTCAGGAGTTCGAGACCAGCCTGGCCAACATGGCAAAACCCCATTTCTACTAAAAGTACAAAAATTAGCCAGGTATGGTGGAAGGCACCTGTAGTCCCAGCTACTCAGGAGGCTGAGACAGGAGAATCGCTTGAACCCAGGAGGCAGAGGTTGTTGTGAGCTGAGATCGCGCCACTGCACTCCAGCCTGGGTGACAGAGCAAGACTCCATCTCAAAAAATAATAATAAAAAATAAGAATAAAATAGATAAAAAGGCTGGGCACAGTGGCTCACGCCTGTAATCCCAGCACTTTGGGAGGCTGAGGTGGGTGGATCACTTGAGGTCTCAGGAGTTGGAGACCAGCCTGGCCTACATGGTGAAACCCCATCTCTACTAAAAATACAAAAATCAGCCAGGTGTGGTGTTATGTGCCTGTAATCCCAGCTACTTGGGAGGCTGAGGCAGGAGAATTGCTTGAACCGGGAGGTGGAGGTTGCAGTGAGCAAAGATTGTGCCACTACACTCCAGACTGTGTGACACAGCAAGACTCCGTCTCAAAAAAAAAACCATACATACATACATAAAAACTTTTGTGCATCCAAGGACAGTATCAAGAAAGTGCAAAGACAACCCACAGAATGGGAGAAAATATGTAAAAGTCTTATCTGATAAGGGTCTAATTGCCTGGAATAATCTTACAACCCAACAATGAAAGAGACAGAAACCCAGTTTAACAAAATAAGGAAAGGACTTTAATAGACATTTCTCTAAAGAGGATTTACAAATGGCCAATAAACACATGAAAAGATTTTTAACATCATTAGTTATTAGAGAAATGTAAATCAAAGCCACAATGGGATACAACCTATTACCCTCTAAGATGGCTATAATTTAAAAAACAGACAACAATAAGTGTTGACAAACAATATGAAGAAATTTGAACACTCCTTCCTCATTCATGGGAAAGTGAAATGGTCCAGTCATTCTGGAAACCAGTTTGGCAGTTCCTCAGAAAGTTAAATATAGTTACCATAAGACAGGCAAGTACACCCTTAACTACATAGTCAGAAAATTTAAAACATACTTTTACACAAAAACCTGTCTGCAAATGTTCACAGCAGCACTATTAATAGCAAGTAAAAAGTGAAAACGACCCAAATATCCATTAATTGATTAGTAAATAAAATGTCCTATATCCATTTAGTGAAATATTATTCAGCCGTATAAAGGAATTAAATACTGATAAATACTGCAATGTAGATGAGCCTTGAGAATATTATGCTAAATAAAAGAAGTCAGATGCAAATATTTATACATAATAGAGTCATATCATTTATATGAAATGTCTAGCACAGGCAAATCTATAGAAACAGAGAGTATATTGGTGATTGCCAGGGATTGAGGGTAGAGAGTGGCTGCAAATGGATATAGAATTTCTTTTGGGGATAATGAAAATGTTCTGGAATTGGATAGGGGTGATGGTCACACAATCTTTGAATATGCTAGAAATTTTGAATTCTACTCTTTAAAGGGGTGAATATTATGGTACTTGAATTTTATCTCAAGAAAAATGAATAAAAAGTAACTAAATCATTGAAAATATCTGATGGCATGGGGTTTGTGGGGTAACTGGCATTCCACAGTGATTTTCAAAGGGCTTGTGCTGTTTTCATTTTGCTTTGTTTTAGTTATGGAGCCCTTCCTTGAAACAAACTTCATACTACAGTCCTCTTTCATGAAGCAGAAGAGGGCAGTGGGCAGAGCCTCTCCTTTGGCTTTCTCCCCCACCACAACAGGGAGCCCTGGAGCTCTAGGAGAGAAAATCTGAAATATAAAGGGCATGCATGTGAGCTGTGGAGTCCCAGAGCCCTGGGTTTGCATCCTAGATCTGCAACTCCCGTGAATTGAGTTTTGGGAAGTTGCTGAAACTCTGACCTCCTGTTTTCTCATGGTATTGTTGTAAGGGTTAAATGAGACAATGTATGTGAAGACCCTGGCCCCACAGTAGAGGCTCTGCCACACATTTCAGCGATACTTTCCTCATGTATTTCCAAAAATGTTTTCTCATTTTCTTAAAATGTCAGAAAGAAGACAACAGAACTTACTTGCCTTTTACAACAGAACAAATGGAGCAAGTCAGAGGTCAAGGTGCTAACATTCTTCATGGTTCCTCACCACCTTTTGTTCTGTTAGCCTATAGGGAAAAGTCTTCTTTCTCATCTCATTATCTGCAGGGGAAAATAGTACTTCAGCAAGTGATCCAGTTGAAGAACATCTCCAGGGCCATTAACATACAGAGGTTTGTTCTACTCTCTCTGTGCTCCATGTCTAAGAACCTCAGCCTTCCTCCTAGGAGCTAGGGAAAGTCAGGAAAGTGAAAATAGTACCCCAGCTAATGAACTGCCCTGTGCTGGCCTGAGAAGACAAGACCAGCTTCCTCAATGGCTCAAGATTTGGTTTCCTTCAATATGTCCTTTTGGAAATATGTCCATGACATCGGAGAGATAAAAGGAGCCAGGATTGCTCACATTCAGGAAAAAAGCTCCACTATCTTTCTCTCTCTCCCTCTTTCTCTCCCTCCCCCTGACTGCCCTCTTCTCTATCTCTCTCTCTCCCTGAGCTGGCAAGGTTAATTGGTCGCAGCAAGTCTGATGAACCAGTTGGGCTTCTTGGACTAAGTTTCAGAAGGCTGAGACTGGGATGAAACTTATCACAAAAGTAAAGGAACCACTTAGCCTTCTTTGATTCCAGGCCCCCAAGCCTGTCTTTAACTTGGATGAATGGAGTTCTTCCTGTGCTACAGCACCGCATAGTAGGGGCTGCCCTGGGCCTGAAGCCAGAGCTTCACCATATTCAGTCATCTGTACATTGAGGCAACAGTGCCTGCTTCATGGTGCTACCCTGTGGATTAAATGAAGCAAGTTTTTGATGATCTTGACACTGAATATTGATGCATTGGTCAGACTTTTTCTGATAGTAAAAAATGGTGGTTTCTTGTTGTCAGAAATCAAATCAATATATTTGTTCTCCTGTTGATTAGCTATGTCCCCTAGAGGGCAGCGACTTTGCCTGTCTTATTTATCTCTGCATCTCCAGCACTTAAAAGGTGCCTTGCATAAGGTACATATTAAGTTCATATGAATGAATGAATGAAATGCATATGATTTATTCATACCCAGTTGGTGGTGTGTTTACCCTTTCCTAAACCTGTAGTCAGATGGCCTTTGAATCCCCTGTACTTCTTGTGAGGTACTGTGCTGTAAAGGTGGACTATCACACTTCAATTCAGAGCAATCTGGGCTTGAATCCTGGATTTGCCAGTTTATTAACTATAGCAAACATTTTTGAGCATACATTGTGCCAAGTGCTAGGCTAACTGTCTTACACACATTGTCTTATTTCGTCTTAATATCTATGAGTCATGCACTATAATCATCCCCATTTTACAGATAAGAAAGCAAAGACTTGGAGAGGAAAAGCATCTTGTTCAAAGGTAAATACTTAATGGCCAAGCCAACATGCAAATCTAGATTTAATTGCAGCTTCCTCTTCATCTACCATTCGAACTAATTCAAGCTATGTAATATTTCCCACTGAACCTTCTTGCCTCTACTTCCTCATCTTTAACATGGTCAAAATACCTGTCCTGCCCAAGTTAGTTATTTCATTAAAGTAGAAAAATACAAGAGAAGCTTTTAAAATGTGAAAACCTCAAAATGAATGTAAAAATTATGATGATTCCTTTAGAATTTGTCAACACCTTCTTTTTCTCTACTCCTGCTAGGCATTTACAATCTCAAAACCATGTATTTAAGATGCAAAACTATATTTGTATTTGCCATAACTGGTTTCTTTCCCTATGGCTTCATGAAAATGTGGCTCGAATGTGTTTATTATGAAAGCCCCAAATTAATCACGACAAGACTTCACCAGCCCATTCCACAATAGACTCCCATTACTTTGCCCTGACTTAGAAACCTCATATACAGTCTTGATTCAGTACAGCTCTGTGATGCTCTTGGAAAATGCAAAGTGCTTTCTTAATTGAGGCAATCTGTGTCCCACTACAGAGAGGTGGTTTAACTTGTGAATTCAGGAAAGCAACTGGTTTGACTCAATTTTTTGGCCATGTTCTCAGTTCATTTTATTTAAAGCAATCAAACTGATGTGTGTGTTCTATGTTCATTGAACCATAGTGGGTTTACATAAGCTCATAGTTTTAGTTGTTCTTTTTACATTCTACTCCTCTGGTTTGAGCTTCTATGTTTTGTATATTTCCATTCATGGGGTTGAGATATTTGATTCAGGCTTTATATTTTCTGAGGCCCGGAATAAGTATTTCTTCCACACTTTAGGAAGTGTGGTCCTCTTCACTACTCTATGTAAACAAGAGGAAACTAACAGGTTGTGGTGGGATTAGAATTTAGTTTATTATTAGAACTCAGTTTATTTTGCCAGGTTTTCTGGCAACTTTACCTCTTTTCTTTGTCAGGGCACTTACGCTTTCTCCTGACGCAGTGGAAACTCCACAGGGCCAGGGCTCAGGGCTTTCTTGCTCACATTGTCTCCACTGCTGACTCAGAGCCTGGCATGTAGTAGAGGTACAGCATGTGTGTGTGTGTGTGTGTGTGTGTGTGACACAGACAGAGAGAGACAGAGAGAGTGAGACACAGAGAGAGACAGAGAAACAAGAGAGACACACAGAGAGAAAGATGGTGAGACAGAGACATAGAGAAAGAGAATAAATAAAACTTTACCAGCCGAAAAAAAGAGAAGAGAAAAGCAGGCAAAGGACGTGCCATTGAGCTAGCATTCATTCAATAACTGATGCACCAGGCGCTGTGCTAAAAACACATCCAGTTGTCATAAAATCCATTCACTCATCAGGAAATCTTTTAGTATTTCCTTACAGTCTATTAATAGTTTTGACAGCTGTAACAAGCATATGAATTTCCACCTGTTGGATTAAAAGCAGCACATTTGGGCTGTGATAAGTACCATTTGTGGACACATGACAGCAGCAAGAAGTGACATCCTGAGAAGGAAAAACATAAACTACGTATAATAAGAAAAATGAATAAATATGAATATTTAAGACTCTGCTTTTCTGGGTGTGTATGTTTCCTGTGCTTTTGTTGTATAGAAGAGGGGTTGTAAGTGTGGGAGTAAAAATATTAGGGTAAAGGAAATCTAGATAAACACTGACCAATCTACATTTGAAAGGAGCTTGTGATGTTCTGAGAGGGGGTGAGGAGGGTTGTGAATATATTTCACAGTTTTTTTTTTTTTTGACAGTTGTTATTTAGTTTTTATTTAGCTTTATATAGTTTTATTTCATAATCATAAACTTAACTCTGCAATCCAGCTAGGTATGGAAGGGAATAGGGAATATATAACACCCAAAGGAGCTGTAGCAAGAGCACAAAGATTATAGGATAACGTGAGCAAATGGGGTGGAGGGGTGCTCTCACAAGGTCTGTGGTTAGGATAAAACACAAGTCAAATTTATTAGAGTTGTGCACAGTCAGCAATGGTGATCTTGCTGGTTTTGCCCTTCCTGGACCCAAAGCTCTCCATGGCCTTCACAATACTCATGACTTCTTTCACCTTGCCAAAGACCACATGCTTGCCATCCAGCTACTCAGCCTTGGCAGTGCAGATGAAAAACTGGAAACCGTTTGTGTTGGGTTCAGCATTTGCCATGAACAACACAGGACCTGCATGCTTCAGGATGTAGTTCTTGTCATCAAATTTCTCCCTGTAGATGGACTTACCACCAGTGCCATTATGGCATGTGAAGTCACCACCTTGACACATAAACCCTGGAATAATTCTGTAAAAACAGGAACCCTTATACCCAAATCCTTTCTCTCCAGTGCTCAGAGCATGAAAGTTTTCTGCTGTCTTTGGAACTCTGTCTGCAAACAGCTCAAAAAAGGCATGACCCAAGATGTTAGATAATACAGTGGAGTTGACCATGGCTGATAGCAGGGGGCTCCGGGTGTCATCAGCATCTGCAAAGCCATGTATTTACCATTTTTGGAAGCCTTTTAATTTCAAAATGATTTTAGATTCACAGGAAGTTGCTAAGATTGTACTGAGAGGTTCCCCCATACCCTTTCCCTTTAAAAAAAAAAAAAAAAAAAAAAGTTGGTGTCTGTCTATGTGGCCCAGGCTAGAGTGCTAAGACACAGGGCACCAAGTCCCTAGGCTGCACACAGCAGGGGGACCCTGGGCCTGGCCCAAGAAACTATACATTCCTCCTGGGAATCTGGGGCTGTGATGGGAGGGGTTGCCATGAAGACTTCTGACATGCCCTGGAGACATTTTCCCCATGGTCTTGGGGATTAACATTCAGCTCCTTGTTACTTATGCAAATTTCTGCAGCTGGCTTGAATTTCTCCTCAGAAAATGAGATTTTCTTTTCTATCGCATTGTCAGGCTGCAAATTTTCCAAACTTTTGTGCTCTGCTTCCCTTATAAAACTGAAGGCCTGGCCAGGTGTGGTGGCTCACGCCTGTAATCCCAGCACTTTGGGGAGCTGAGACGGGCGAATCACGAGGTCAGGAGTTCGAGACCAGCCTGGCCAACATGGTGAAACCCTGTCTCTACTAAAAATACAAAAAGTTAGCTGGGCATAGTCATGGGTGCCTTTAATCCCAGCTACTTGGGAGACTGAGGCAGGAGAATCGTTTGAATCCAGGAGGCGGAGGTTGCAGTGAGTCGAGATCACACCACTGCACTCCAGCCCTGGTAACAGAGTAAGACTCTGTCTCAAAAAAAAAAAAAAAAACAAAAAAAACTGAATGCCTTTAACAACACCCAAGTTGCTTCTTGAATGCTTTGCTGCTTAGAAATTTCTTCTGCCAGATACCCTAAATCATCTCTCTTAGGTTCCAAGTTCCACAAATCTCTAGGGCAGGGACAAAACGCTGCCAGTCTCTTTACTAAAACATAACAAGAGTCACCCTTGCTCTAGTTCCCAAAAAGTTCCTCATCTCCATCTGAAACCACCCCCGCCTAGATTTCGTTGTCCATATCATTATCAGCATTTTGGTCAAAGTCATTCAACAGGCCTCTAGGGAGTTCCAAACTTGCTCACATTCTCCTGTCTTCTTCTGAGCCCTCCAAACTGTTCCAATCCCTACCTGTTACCCAGTTCCAAAGTCGCTTCCACATTTTTGGTTATCTTTTCAGCCGTGCCCCACTCTACTGGTACCAGTTTACTGTATTAGTCGATTTTCATGCTGCTGATAAAGACATACCTGAAACTGGACAATTTACAAAAGAAAGAGGTTTATTGGACTTACAATTCTACATCACTTGGGAGGCCTCACAATCATGATGGAAGGAGAAAGGCACATCTCACATGGCAGCAGACAAGAAAAGAGCTTGTGCAGGGAAACTCCTCTTTTTAAAACCATCAGATCTCATGAAATTTATTCATTATCATGACAATAGCACAGGAAAGAACTGCACCCATAATTCAGTCACCTCCTACCAGGTTCCTCCCACAACACGTGAGAATTCAAGATGAGATTTGGATGGGGACACAGCCAAACCATGTCACACTACCATGCCTGACTTCCTTTCCATTTTTGTATATTTGCTTGTTCTTCATTTGCCCGAGAAGTAACTCTAAAGGGCTGTATTATTTGGATATTAGATTGGCATTTTATCTGACTGGGATATCTTGCTGTGATTGTCCATGTATAAGATCAGCTTTTCTATAAGCCATATTTTTAAAAAGATATATTAATTTTTTAAAAATCCACCTGTCTAAATAAATGCACAAAGCCCCCCAAAAACCTAGATTCTAAGAAAAATCTATGTACTGCCATACAATGATTGATATTAATATTTATGGTGATAAATTACACACAAAAAATGTGTGATCTCTGTTTAAACAGGCAAAAACAAAAAACACATGAAATAAATCTATGGCATCTATAGCCAAAACTGGAAACAACCCACATATCCATCAATAGGAAATCAGTTAAATAAATTATAGTACATTTATCCAATGGAAGATTAAGCACATATTCAATATAATTATTTATACACACATATAGATACACACATGTATAAATATAGAGAATACTGTGGGTGTATGTGTGTGTGTGTTTATATACATATATATACACACACAGTACTGTTGCCTACCTTCTTTTGTCTTAATTCTGTGAACTCTCATTCACTCTGCTTCAGTAGGATACATCCTTCTTTTTGGTTCTTAGACTCACCAAGTTGATCCTTGACTCAAGACATTGCATTTGCTGCTTCCTCTTCCTGGAATATCCTTCCTTCTGATATTCACATGAGTAGTCTCTTCTTGTCATTCAGATCTCAAATGTCACAATTTCAGAGAGCCCATCTCTGATCATCATATCTAAAGTTGTCCTCATTCCCCCATAGCTTTCTATACCATGTTTTATTTTTTTCATAACATGTATTTTATTACTCCTTTCTCCATTGGAATAGAATCTCCATTAGATTAGGAAATCTGCCTATCTTATTAATGCCTGCAACTGGAATACTTTTGAAGAGTTCTTGGCACGTAATAAATACTCAACTAATATTTTTGTGTACACAGAAATAAAGTTTGGAAGAACAGATGCCAAATTGTTACTAGTGGTTACTTCTGAGTAAAGGAGTAGCATGGTAGGTAAATTATTAATAGATGTTCACTTTCCACCAAGATATGTTTTAGTTAGTCTTAACTTACTTGAAATGAAATTTATTACTTTAATAATTAGAAACATTGATAAACATTTTAGTCACAAGAATGATAGATAAAATTTTGATGCTTCCAATAAGTTATATTTATCTAGAGGATGCACTTATGTAGAATACTCTCTTGAGGATGTTAGGTGAGTAACATGTTACTATATGTAGTAAAATATCTATGATTTTATAAAAGCACTGAAACATGAAGCAGCAGAAATGTTTTTCCCAGTTCTCTTTCCTCTGAACTTGATCACCGTCTCTCTGGCAAAGCACCTAAATTAATTCTTCTTTAAAAGTTAACAAGACCAAATTATAAGCTTGATGAATAACTCATTCTTATCTTTCTTTAAATGATTATAGTTTATGTATTTATTAGCTATGCCCATCTTAAACAGGTTTATTTGTTCTTTTTACACATACCAAACTCTTAATATTAGCTGTTGTCCCCAGGTCCGAATGTTAAGTCAACATATATTTGAGAGACCTTCAACTTATCAAGTATTGCAGGTCTCTGATTGCTTTGGAACCACTTCTGATACCTGTGGACTTAGTTCAAGGCCAGTTACTACCACTTTTTTTTTTCTAATAGAATGAACAAATGGCTAATTGTTTGCTTTGTCAACCAAGCTCAAGTTAATGGATCTGGATACTATGTATATAAAAAGCCTAGCTTGAGTCTCTTTTCAGTGGCATCCTTCCCTTTCTAATCAGAGATTTTCTTCCTCAGAGATTTTGGCCTAGATTTGCAAAATGATGACCACATCTTTGATTTGGGGGATTGCTATAGCAGCATGCTGTTGTCTATGGCTTATTCTTGGAATTAGGAGAAGGTAAGTAATGTTTTATCTTTAAATTGCTCTTTGATTCATCCATTTAATTTTTTTACCTTCATTTTTATACAGTAAATTTGGTTTTCTATACTTACACATATTAGCATTATCTTCCTTATTTTTTAAATGAAAAATTTGATTTGAATTTTTAAAGTAATATCTTTTTTACTATATCTCACAAGACATATGACAGCTTCCCTTTTTAGTATTGGCATATACCGATGGTAATATATAAATGTATATTGGTGTTAAACATAACTGACAGAAATTGTATAAGGTCTCTATGTACATTTATATGTGTATCTAAAGAGGAAGCCCAGATTAGTAAGGATACAAGTAGCAAGTGGGAATCTACAATGGAAAGGATTGCTTTCTCTCACATGGCTTCAATAGATACTCTTGTTAAATAAATGTTCTCTTTTAAGCTCATTCTTGTGCATCGCATAGACTCAGCCTAAGCCTGAACAAGAGCATAGAGCCTGAGCTGATCATTCTATTACTGTTTTTAAATAAATGTTAATCAACTGTGGTGAATTGGGAAAGTTTGCTGAGTGTATGTGACATCGATTTCATTTATTTACAACTGGTTCAAGAATGCAAGAAAAACAAATACAGTCAGATCCAGAACCATAGTTTATTTAACTTCTAATTGGCTCAAGGAGTAATTGTGGGGAGGCATATAGATATTCTCTGCTATGTCAATCTCAAAAAGAGAAAATAACCCTAACCATCTTTCAGCTTTGTAGATTGCTATGTGTTTTCTGCCTTTTGCAGTTTCTTTCAGGCCTGATAGTTTTTACTTTTAATTAAACTACTTATCTTCAAACTAAGAAAAGAAAGGTAATTACTTTATACTGTATTATTCTATCAAGAGGTACAGAAGTTTATGTTGGAAAATAAGTTTACATGTTCTAATAAAAACATTTTAAAGGAGCACTGAATTACAATAGATGATTCCGTCAGTGTTTATCTTACTCAATTTCATTTTATAATAAGCTGATTTCTCACATGAGATTCTTCTTCTCTGAAACCATCCTTATAGAATATAATATAGATATCTTTAAACTAGGAATATTTTCAAAACCTCAGTTCTGAAATCCTCCCTTATTCAGTGATCTGTGTCTTTAAAGAAAATAATCAAAAGAAACATTTTGAGATATTTAGAAAAATGATGCTTAGCAAAGTGATAAACACTAGAATGTAGTTTTGTTTCCGCACTGACAACAAGAATCTTGTTGGTCTTGTAAATCCTTTTGCCTGTATCACTGGGAAAAGTGATGAGCACATAGTAGACGGGTGCTTGTTGAATGTGTATATGGACGGATGCATGAATGGATGGATTTAGTAATCCTTTCCACCAACATATCATGTTACTAGGTTAATATAACCTATTACTGTAGTAAAAGAGCAGGGCCCATCCAACAAAAGAAATATCTATAAACTATAGGGTTTCAAAGTTTGAAGTCAGTGGGAAAAATTTTAAAACCTGATGTAAGTAAAAACCCAAAACTGTAATCATCCATGTCTATCATACACTTGTGTCTGACAGGCAAACGGGTGAACCACCTCTAGAGAATGGATTAATTCCATACCTGGGCTGTGCTCTGCAATTTGGTGCCAATCCTCTTGAGTTCCTCAGAGCAAATCAAAGGAAACATGGTCATGTTTTTACCTGCAAACTAATGGGAAAATATGTCCATTTCATCACAAATCCCTTGTCATACCATAAGGTGTTGTGCCACGGAAAATATTTTGATTGGAAAAAATTTCACTTTGCTACTTCTGCGAAGGTAAGCAGTTTTACATTTATATACCATTCTGTTTGTCTTCTACCTTTTTATGTGCTTGTCTATTTAGAAATTTTGATGTACTTAGATTTTATGATAAAGGTGTTGAAGAGAGTTATCCTTATGTGGAGATTCTTAGAAACATAAATAAATTATACGTAGCTTCTTAGTAATAATCATTTAGAAAGTCAAAATAGGTATAGATTTGTCATTTGTTGACGAGCTAATGAGGGTGAAATACAGATTAAATGCTCTACTGAGACAGGTGGCACTGTACGAATAAGATAGATAAAAATTCATCACATCAGCAATGTCTATGCAAGAATGCAAGTGACGGAAACCTAACATTCAGCAGTTGTCTCACCACACTTGTGCCACACAGTGTTTCATTTTGATAAGGAATTGGCAAGATATTTTAACATCATTTAGATGTAATAAAAGAAGATCTGTTACTGAGAAAAAAAACCAATAACTACTTACTTACTGCAAATAAATATTAGCTTTGGTCTTTGTGACTAAGTAGCTTAAAGTTTGGTTAAAATACATCTACAGCTGGACACAATGGAACACACCTGTAGTCCCTGCTATTTGAGAGGCTGAGGCAGGAGGATCGCTTGAGTCCAGGAGTTTGAGGCTGCAGTGAGCTATCATTGTGTCACTGCACTCCAGCCTGGGTGACAATGTGAGACCCCATCTCTAAAAGAAAAAGAAAAAGAAATCTACAAATAATATAAAAGATAACTAATGATTTTAAAACATTATCAATTAGTTTATGTGCAATAGCTGTAAATAAGTGCAGTAGCATAAGAAATAAGACATAGATGACTTGAGTGATCCAGGGGAGTGCCACTGAAGTTGGCTTTAAAGGAAAGGTACAGTTTGGTCATTTATTTGTAAAGTGCTATGAACTTGTACAAGGGAAAGCCAATTTCCCGTGTTTACCAAGTAAGGAACTATGAAAGTATCTAATCCGTTTTTCAGTCATTTACTATGACTAGGTCAGGTTTAACTTCTTTTTCTGCATGTTTTATTTGCTATCAGGCATTTGGGCACAGAAGCATTGACCCGATGGATGGAAATACCACTGAAAACATAAACGACACTTTCATCAAAACCCTGCAGGGCCATGCCTTGAATTCCCTCACGGAAAGCATGATGGAAAACCTCCAACGTATCATGAGACCTCCAGTCTCCTCTAACTCAAAGACCGCTGCCTGGGTGACAGAAGGGATGTATTCTTTCTGCTACCGAGTGATGTTTGAAGCTGGGTATTTAACTATCTTTGGCAGAGATCTTACAAGGCGGGACACACAGAAAGCACATATTCTAAACAATCTTGACAACTTCAAGCAATTCGACAAAGTCTTTCCAGCCCTGGTAGCAGGCCTCCCCATTCACATGTTCAGGACTGCGCACAATGCCCGGGAGAAACTGGCAGAGAGCTTGAGGCACGAGAACCTCCAAAAGAGGGAAAGCATCTCAGAACTGATCAGCCTGCGCATGTTTCTCAATGACACTTTGTCCACCTTTGATGATCTGGAGAAGGCCAAGACACACCTCGTGGTCCTCTGGGCATCGCAAGCAAACACCATTCCAGCGACTTTCTGGAGTTTATTTCAAATGATTAGGTGACTAACGCCATATCCATTTCTTTTTTTTATTTTAGTAGAAAGTAGAAATTAAACCACTTTAACTTTAAGAAAAAAAGCCTCGTAGTACTTTATCATGCCGTCAATCAAGAACGTAGCACTAATGCATGTTAGTGTTTAACATATATGAGTTCATTCAGTCCGCAGAAAAACATAGGCAGCTATGGCTGGTAAAAGTGTTTTATAGAAACAAAGACAGTCCCAGAGAAAGAGATGTCACCCCAAGCCACGGAGCTTGTATGTGCTGGTGTTGGGTCAATTCAGGCTGCCTGGCCCAGAGCCCTTGCTCTTAACCCCATACTGTTCTTCACGACGCCAACTCCACTCCATAAATGCAGTTTTCATAATCATTAAATGTATTTAAGTGATTACTGATTTATGGACAACAATCAGGGCGGTGACTATGCCTTACTTATTTGTTCATTCACAGTTTGTTTTCACTCAGTTAGGAATTGCTGTTCTTCTGTTTATTTGACCAACTATGAGAGCTATGAATCAATCATAATCTATTATTATTGATAAGAGACTTAGCTAGGTTGTGCTTTTTAAAACTGTATGTAACAGAAAAAAACTGTAATAACATATGTTTTACATAACATGATTTCTCTCCAAAGTGTTAATCTTTTGGGAATTTGAAATTAGAATGGTCTATTGAATTATTCCAATTAAATTAGATATTTAGTATCATGTAGACACAAAATTGCTCCTCCATAGGATTGGGAATGCCAAATTTCTATTGATGGCTGATGACTTTAGGTCTTATAAAATATTTTAAAACTTAATTTCAGATGTGAGAACTTATTACTAATTTGTCACAAATGTTGACTATCTTCCAAAGTTATTACTTGAAAAAGCACATCCAGAATAAATTCACATATTTACAGCAGGCATACGCATCAATTTAACATCATAAAGGAAATTGTAGCCATATTTTATGATAGTCTTACAAATACTTATCAAACATTTTGAGACTCAACTTACTGTAATTTTGTTATGTAGCTCCCTAGACATGTTTAATCCTTGTTAGAAACACTTATTTATAAAAGCCCTGACCAGGCCGGGCGCAATGGCTCACGCCTGTAATCCCAGAACTTTGGGAGGCCGAGGCGGGCGGATCACAAGGTCAGGAGATCGAGACCATCCTGGCTAACACGGTGAAACCCCGTCTCTACTAAAAAACATACAAAAAATTAGCTGGGCGTGGTGGCGGGCGCCTGTAGTCCCAGCTACTCGGGAGGCTGAGGCAGGAGAATGGCGTGAACCCGGGAGGCGGAGCTTGCGGTGAGCCAAGATTGCGCCCCTGCACTCCAGCCTGGGCGACAGAGCAAGACTCCGTCTCAAAATAAATAAATAAATAAATAAATAAAAATAAAATAAAAGCCCTCACCAAAGTTTAACTTTTATGTAGCAAAGTCCCATTTTTTAATTATTATTATTATTTTTTTTTTCGAGACAGAGTCTTGCTCTGTCACCAAGGCTGGAATGCAGTGGCACGATCATGGCTCACTGCAACCTCCACCTCCCGGGCTCAAGCAATTCTCCTGCCTCAGCCTCCCGAGTAGCTGGGATTACAGGATCCCACTGCCATGCCTGGCTGATTTTTGTATTTTTAGTAGAGACAGGGTTTCGCCATGTTGGTCAGGCTGGTCTCAAACTCCTGACCTCATGATCCGCCCGCCTCGGCCTCCCAAAGTGCTGGGATTACAGGCGTGTGCCACCACGGCCGGCCGCAAGGTCATTTTAAGGCAACAATTCTTACTAATATCCAAGGACATAAACCCAATTACAAATGGAGTAAATGCAAACAGGAATATCCCTTTCCCTCCTCCCCTGGTATCTTCACCATCTAGTTAAAAGAAGGGGGAAAGGCCTATTTGTTTGCAGATCTCAAAGTATGGAAAAAGTTTATTTTCTGTACATACATGTTTTCTCTTACCTTTTAATAGGAACCCAGAAGCAATGAAAGCAGCTACTGAAGAAGTGAAAAGAACATTAGAGAATGCTGGTCAAAAAGTCAGCTTGGAAGGCAATCCTATTTGTTTGAGTCAAGCAGAACTGAATGACCTGCCAGTATTAGGTGGGTATACTTGTTATGTTGAGTTTCATTTTCTATGTCCTACTACTTTAACAATAATGACCAACATAAATTATATACTTACCGAATTCTAGGCATTAAACTAAATATTTCATATGAGTTTTCTCGGTTAATCCTCACAACTGTCCTGTGACTTGGGACTGTTACTATTTATTTGTACCAAGTGAGGAAACTGACACCTAGAGGTTAAGCTGCAGCCAGGGTAGAATCAAATACATCATTATGTGGCATCCTATTCTCTCAACTACCACCCTGCACTGCCACACCATGTTTCTCATATTCCTCTTACCACTAATCTGATGGTTAATGGAAGCATATTAGTCATTTTCATAAAATAAAGGAGGGAAAAGAACCATTAAGAAACCACAGTTACCTGCATGGATTGAGTGATGGATTTGAAAGTGCTTTGATTTTTCTTTGTTCTGCTTTTCTATATTTTATGGAACTATAACAATATGATATTTTTATTTTTATTTATTTATTTATTTTTGACAAAGTCTTGTTCTGTTGCCCAGGCTGGAGTGCAATGGCGCGATCTTGGCTTACTGCAACCTCTGCCTCCTGGGTTCAAGCCATTCTCCTGCCTCAGCCTCCCAAGTAGCTAGGATTACAGGTGCACGCCACCACCCCTGGCTAATTTTTGTATTTTTAGTAGAGACGGGGTTTCACCATGTTGTCCAGACTGGTCTCGAACTCCTGACCTCAAGTGATCTGCCCGCCTCGGCCTCCCAAAGTGCTGGGATTACAGGCATGAGCCACCGCACCCGGCCAACAATATGATATGTTTATAGTAATAAAGTTTTCTTTTTTTGGTTATTTTCTTTAAGGAGGCAAGAAGCTTAGGTTCCATGCTGGGGCTGACTTGGGAGACTTTGGACATGTCAGTACTCTTTTGGGGGCCTTACTTTTCTTATCTGTAAAATAAAATGCTAACATTCTGGAATTTTATACACAATCATGTGATGAGCACCCTAAAACATGACAGTTAAAGGATACGGCTAAAAGGTCAGGCTGGACCTCTCGCGAGCTCTCTATATTTCAGCCATTTTCAGGTTGGTTCTTTTTGTCCCTTTATGCCTTTACCGGGCAGCGGTGATCGCCACGCAGCATCAGATAGTATATGGATAAAAATAGGTTCTTGTAAATGTTGAACTGAAGCTGCATTAAACACCTAGAAAAAACATATGTATGTGTCAGTGCTATCAGTATATTCAATCTCAGAAGTCCTCAGTATATTAAATCTCAGAAGTGATAAACTTTGAATAATTTCTATAAAAATGTATTACTGATTTTTCCAGTTTTATTACATTACTCTTCTATAAAATGATGGAATTTTGTTTCCCAATTATGACCAAGATGATTATCTCTTAATCAAAAGATTATTATTAACTCAGGATCAGATTTAAAGATACATTCAGGCCAGGCACGGTGACTCACACCTGTAATCAAAGCACTTTTGGAGGCTGAGATGGGCACATTGCTTAAGCCTAGGAGCTCAAGAGCAACCTGGGCAACATAGCAAAACCCTGTCTCTGCAAACAATAAAAAGAAGAAAATTAGCTGGGTATGGTGGCACATGCCTATAGTCGCAGCTACTCGAGAGGTTGAGGTGGGAGGATCAGTTCAGCCTGGGAGGTTGAGGCTGCAGTGAGCCAGGATCATGCCACTGCACTGCAGCATGGGCAACAGAATGAGACCCTGGCTAAAAAGAAAAACAAAAATAAAAAAATTCAGACACAGTTGAATCATTGATAACAGCATAGTGGTAACAGAAAGAAAGTTTGGGAAATTTTTATCTGATCAGCTTCCCATACCCTGTTCATCTTTGTGTTATGCACTGCCAGGCTGTCTGTAGTTCAGACTCTATATCATATGACCTTCAAACACTTGGTTTGTTCTTCTCTTCCTTCCTCCCTTCCTTCTTTCATTTTTTATCTTTTTTTCTTTTAAAATGTTTAGATAGTATAATCAAGGAATCGCTGAGGCTTTCCAGTGCCTCCCTCAACATCCGGACAGCTAAGGAGGATTTCACTTTGCACCTTGAGGACGGTTCCTACAACATCCGAAAAGATGACATCATAGCTCTTTACCCACAGTTAATGCACTTAGATCCAGAAATCTACCCAGACCCTTTGGTAAGTGCCTGCCCATTGAAATTCAATATCCAGGTGATAGCTACCTAGATCTAAATAAAGAGGAAATTTACAATGGTAGAATTGATTTTATCATTGTAGTCACAGGAATTGTCTGCTTAATTGTGTTAAATATTCATATATTTTGGAAAATTTAGATAGTGGTCTGAATTTTTCATTTTAGTCCTGATATTTGCCATCACACAGTCTTTGCTAGATTATATTTGCAGTCATGATAATAAACCTGCCACTTTTTTTTTCTTAAAAAGCACCTCCTCCCAAATCCAGGAAATTGGAGGCTAATATATTGATTATTCTAGTTTCTTCTGGGAACCCTTCTCTCTCTAGCTCTGCCTGACTAAGGAACTAATCGTTCAAGCAGGATAGGAGGTATCACAAGGCTTCCTTAGCTCATTAAGCTCCTGTTCCTTATTACTTTCTGATTCAATGTGGAGTATTTGCTAAATCACTAATGGGGTAGAATTAAAAAGAAAATTACTCTTTGGAGCTTCCAGGTTTAGAAAGAGATAAATTTCTTTAAAACTAGCTTAAAGGCGGTTTTCTTTGTATTTTTATTGCAGACTTTTAAATATGATAGGTATCTTGATGAAAACGGGAAGACAAAGACTACCTTCTATTGTAATGGACTCAAGTTAAAGTATTACTACATGCCCTTTGGATCGGGAGCTACAATATGTCCTGGAAGATTGTTCGCTATCCACGAAATCAAGCAATTTTTGATTCTGATGCTTTCTTATTTTGAATTGGAGCTTATAGAGGGCCAAGCTAAATGTCCACCTTTGGACCAGTCCCGGGCAGGCTTGGGCATTTTGCCGCCATTGAATGATATTGAATTTAAATATAAATTCAAGCATTTGTGAATACATGGCTGGAATAAGAGGACACTAGATGATATTACAGGACTGCAGAACACCCTCACCACACAGTCCCTTTGGACAAATGCATTTAGTGGTGGTAGAAATGATTCACCAGGTCCAATGTTGTTCACCAGTGCTTGCTTGTGAATCTTAACATTTTGGTGACAGTTTCCAGATGCTATCACAGACTCTGCTAGTGAAAAGAACTAGTTTCTAGGAGCACAATAATTTGTTTTCATTTGTATAAGTCCATGAATGTTCATATAGCCAGGGATTGAAGTTTATTATTTTCAAAGGAAAACACCTTTATTTTATTTTTTTTCAAAATGAAGATACACATTACAGCCAGGTGTGGTAGCAGGCACCTGTAGTCTTAGCTACTCGAGAGGCCAAAGAAGGAGGATGGCTTGAGCCCAGGAGTTCAAGACCAGCCTGGACAGCTTAGTGAGATCCCGTCTCCGAAGAAAAGATATGTATTCTAATTGGCAGATTGTTTTTTCCTAAGGAAACTGCTTTATTTTTATAAAACTGCCTGACAATTATGAAAAAATGTTCAAATTCACGTTCTAGTGAAACTGCATTATTTGTTGACTAGATGGTGGGGTTCTTCGGGTGTGATCATATATCATAAAGGATATTTCAAATGATTATGATTAGTTATGTCTTTTAATAAAAAGGAAATATTTTTCAACTTCTTCTATATCCAAAATTCAGGGCTTTAAACATGATTATCTTGATTTCCCAAAAACACTAAAGGTGGTTTTATTTTCCCTTCATGTTTTAACTTATTGTTGCTGAAAACTCTATGTCCGGCTTTAACTATCTTCTCTATATTTTTATTTCATTCACATTAATGAGAAGAGTTTTCTCAGAGATTAAAAAAGGTAGTTTTTCTGTCATTGTTAAATACACATTATCACTGAAAAAATGTAGCTTTTATGTGATATGTTTTAAAGTTAAAACTGGATGGAAATAGCCATTTGGAAGCTTTGGTTATGAAACATGTGGAGTGTATTAAGTGCAGCTTGACATTATGTTTTATTTAAATGCTTTTTATCGCTAAATGACTTGCAGATGAAAAAAACTAAGGTGACTCGAGTGTTTAAATGCTGTGTACAACAATGCTTTGATAAAATATTTTAAGTATGAGTTATCAGCTCTATGTCAATTGATATTTCTGTGTAGTATTTATATTTAAATTATATTTACCTTTTTGCTTATTTTACAAATATTAAGAAAATATTCTAACATTTGATAATTTTGAAATGATTCATCTTTCAGAAATAAAAGTATGAATCTATGTGTATTTATTTATTTATTTATTTATTTATTTAGAGAAAGAGTCTCACCCTCTCGCCAAGGCTGGAGTGCAGTGGTGCGATCTCGGCTCACTGTAACTGCCACCTCCTGAGTTCAAGTGATTCTCATGCCTCAGCCTACCGAGTAGCTGGGACTACAGGCACGTGTCACCATGCCTAGCTAATTTTCATATCCTTAGTAGAGACGGGGTTTCACCATGTTGGGCAGGCTGGTCTCAAACTCCTGACCTGGGGTGATCTGCCCGCCTCGGCCTCCCAAAGTGCTGTGATTACAGACACGGGCCACCACACCTGGCCGAATCTATGTGTTTTAAATTTTGAATTATTCAGAGTGTTTAAAACATTCACCCACTGATAAGCTAAACAACAACAATTTTATTCAGGATTCATTCAAAATACTCATATATTCAAATATTGCAAAAATATTCAATGTAATAATTTACTCAAAAATCTCCCTCATACTACATAAAATTTATTACAAGTTTTCATCTTGCTATTTAATATTACCATAGATTTATCCCTTAAGTAGGTTATCTTTTATATTAAGAAAATTAAAGTCATTTAGATGTGGTTCAAGATTAACAAACATCTATTTTATAGTGAACAGTGATAAACTAAATTTCCAATGTGGTTTCCTAATAGATTTTATGACTTTTTAAATGCATCCCACATTTTTCCATGTCTTTGTTCTTGTAGAGCAAGGGTTGGCAACTGATGGCACATGGACCAAAGGGTTCCCGCCTCTGTTTTTGTATAGCCTGAAAGTTGAGAATGGTTTTTACGTTTTTTAATGGTTAGATAAAAAAATCAAAAGAATAAGAATCTTTTATGACATGTGAGAAGTATGTGAAATTTGGACTTCCACACCCATCAGTCAAGTTTTATTAGGACGCAGCATGCCCATTGTTTGCATTCTTGTCTGCGCCTGCTGTTGTGATGCCACTGTGGAGCTGAGCAGTTGCAACAGAGACCATGTGGCCACAATTCCTGATATATTTAAAGTCTAGTTCTTTACAGAAAATGTTTGCCAATCCCTATTGTATAGCAATCCCAAAGGCTATTTTGTACTGTAATTTTATTAACTTTAAAGAATGTATACATGCATTGGTATATGAAGTATTTTGTCTTTTTTGAAAAAAGCATGCGAGGAGAATACATTTAAAAAGCCATGGATGGCCAGGCACAGTGGCTCATGCCTGTAATCTCAACACTTTGGGAGGCCAAGGCAGGCAGATCACCTGAGGTCGATAGTTCTAGACCAGCCTGACCAACACGGAGAAACCCCATCTCTACTAAAAATACAAAAAAAAAAAAAAAAAAAAAATTAGCCAGGCATGGTGGCACATGCCTGTAATCCCAGCTACTTGGGAGGCTGAGGCAGGAGAATGGCTTGAACCCAGGAGATGGAGGTCGCAGTGAGCCGAGATCACGCCATTGTACTCCAGCCTGGGCAACAAAAGCAAAACTCTGACTCAAAATAAATAAATAAATAAATAAAGCTATAGATATAATTTTATCTTAGACAACATTAAGTTAGAACTTTATTGGAGATGAAACCATTCCATTTAGAAAGATATTTTTATTTTCAAAAGCACCTAAAAGACATTACAACCTATTATAAGATCAAATAGACCTAGGAGGAGAGATTTTCATGGTTAAATCTATTCAGATTCCCATGGGCCAGGGCCAGGTCACTACTCCACATGCCATGCACCATCCCATCATATCCTCAAGAGTCCTTTGAGATTTGTGTTACTATTACCTCTATATTACAGAAGAGAAAGGCAGAACTCCAGAAAGGTTAAGTCACTGGCTCAAGGTCACAATGCTGACAGGTGAAAGAGCTGGGAGTATTGGAATCCAGGTTGCTCCAACTCCACAGCCAGCACTCTTCCCTTTGTGGCAAGTCCAGGTGACAGGCTGTCTTGACTCAGGTCATTGAAAAGATACGCCACAGTAAACAAAATCCATGATGACACTTCTGTCCCTAAATCCTCACTGTTTGGGAGGATCACTTGGTCAGAGGGTGGGGCACTGCAGCTGCCAGGCCTAGGAAGGTCAGGAAGGAGGCTGACGACTCTAGCTGAGAGCCCGTGAAGAGCCACAGTATAATCAAATACAACATTATGCTGTGCTCACCTTCAGGTAGGACAGTGTCTCTTCATCTCACCAACACCTTGGAGTTAATTGTGTAATCTCATATTGTTTCTCTTAGGCTCCGTGTTATACATTTTTGAGGCAATGGGCTTAAGGTTTTAGCCTTGGTTTTATGAGTGGATTATGGAATACAGCTTCTCATCAGCATCATCTCCACACTGCCTTGGTTGATACCAACGCAGAGGCTCGGGCCTGTGAAGTGAGGTCAAGACAGCAGCACGGATGCTTCACAGACGATTCACAGCTATTTAAAGTTCTCTAGTCTAAGCCCTCATTTTAGTTAGAAACTGATATTTGGTGAAACAGAGGTGATTTTTGTTTAAAGGGTTGCATAGCAAGTTATAAGACAGGCCCCAATCTAGAAACCTCCTATCTGCACATGAAATGCTGTATCCACTGAACTAAACTAATGCATATGTTAGGACCTACCTTCCAAATACAGGCATAGGTTTCATAGACTCCACAAAGTCCATTTCTTCATCAATAAACCTACATATGAAAAAAAATGAACAAATAAAATTAATTAATTAAAAATAAAAATACTGGCTGGGTGTGGTGGCTCACACCTGTAATCCCAGCACTCTGGGAGGCCAAAGCATGTGGATCACCTGAGGTCAGGAGTTCGAGACCAGCCTGGCCAACATGGGGAAACCCCATCTCTACTAAAAATACAAATATTAGCCAGGCGTGGTGGCTCATGCCTGTGATTCCAGCCACTCCAGAGGCTGAGGCAGGAGAATTTCTTGAATCTGGGAGGCAGAGGTTGCAGTGAGCCGAGATTGTGCCACTCACTCCAACCTGGGTGACAAAGCAAGCCCTTGTCTCAAAAAAAAGTAAAAAGTAAAAAATAAAAATATTCATAAACTTTGGATGACTATATGAAAACTCCCCATTTTTATTGAAAAAAATGTGCACCCACAATCTTTGGTAGCCTTAACTCCATTTTGAAGAACCATTTCTCATTGACAGTTATCCAACCATAGGTGGCAAAGTTAATTAGAATATAGATTCAACGCTTAACAGTTCTGGAGCAAGTCCTCATGGATTAAATCAATGACAGTTTCAAGAATTATAAGTACTTGTTTGAGAGAATTCATGAGAGAAGTGAGGGGTGACAGGAGGAGGGCTGATCACCTTCCCATTTGCTATTTTGCAGAATTTCAATCCATGAAAAACAGTTAAAGAATACATTGAATACCCATGACTTTCACCTAGATTCATCCTAATACTTTGCCACACTTGCCTTTACTCAGAAAGATGGCTTGAAAAGTAATTTCATTTAAGGCTTTCATATTTAATTTCCTTTCAAGTTTCCAATTTGAGGTTTTATTTCTGGCTCCTATAATTCTTTGGAGAAGAGCAAGGAATGGGGGGATCAGGAGGGAGCTGATGGGGTATTGATTATCTTCTTCGCCACTATCACCAACAAGACATCAAAATGGAACCTTTTTTTTCTTTTGATTTTCTGGCAAGAAGCAATGTGAAACAAACTCCACTGGAAACAGAAATTGTTATTTTAAAACACAAAAGTATGTGCATGCAGGAAAATATGTACAGGAAAATACTTCTCCTCACAGTTTTTCTTGGAGTGTGTTGGTGAGAAGATGGTTGGGGGCAGATGAAGGGACACGGGATATCATCTCGGTGAAACATTTGGTGCTCCAGGTAACAGTGTGCCAGGGCCACGGGGAGGTATTGGAGTGAGCTCAGGTGTCCCTGGGAGTGCTTTGGCCACAGACATGTGGCAATCAAACAGAGTCAGCAGTTTCTCAGAAACTTGGCTGTAAGTGCCTTTACTTCATCACTTCTCTGGAGTGATTCCAGGGAATGGCAGTTCTCCAAGGAGGGCAATTGTATTTTATTCAACTGCATAGCCCACCAAAGCTTCCAATTGACACCTTAAACATAGCGGGAGCTCAAAGAGTTGAAGACGGTGATGGAATAAGTGTGTTATTTGTGCGGAGGCGTTGGGCACTTTGGGGTCTCTGTTTTTCTTCTTAGCCTGGGCTCTAGTGAGTTGCAAACGCTGGTTGCTTTACTAGCAGGTCTTTTTGATTCTCTCTATTGATCTCTCACACTATTGAAATATTGGGAAAGAGCTACACACAGAATTGAGAACACAGCTGGCTAGTGCTCAGGCCCACGCTGCGTGACAAGGCAGGTTTACTATTTGCTGAAACAAACTGGAGGTGGAGAAGGCATCAGTTCTGTGGGCAGCTGAGCAGGTTGCTGACAGGGCTCAGAGACACAGAGAGGTGAGCCCCATTGGCACAGTCACTAGACCGGCATGGGGCAAAGGCCCAGGGGGGAAGCAGACACAGTCTTCTTTGACCCGCAATCCAGTCATTTATGTACTGAGTCTCCTATTTATTTTCTATTCTTTATTAAGTGAAATTTCAGAAATGTTCAGCCTGCTGAAGGTCTAAGCCTGCTGAAGGTCTAAGCCTGTTTCTGGTTCCAGTCAGGCCTTTGCTTTGCAGCACAATGAAGAAATCCATTCATTGTACAGTTTTCTGGGGCTGGAGGATGGCTCCATAATGCTGGCCACCTGTTTGATTTCTCCTTTTATTATAATTAGGCCAAGCAACTTGTCTCATAATAATGAAAGCTTATTTCCAAAGAAATAGTGTCAGGATGTATGACTTCTTTCAATTCAACCATGTTTAAACAGTCCCCAATGTATAAGCAGTGTGTTTCAAAGATTCACTCTTGAATAGAATATTTGGGACTCAGAACACATTTTATTGAAGAAATTATGTTATAGATGGGACTTAGGTTCCCAGAGCAACAAACAAAAGTCAGTGTAACCCATAATATCATGAGCCACTCTGTTTTGAATAATTTTACAATGCAAACGTAAAGAAAGGGAGAAAACCCACTGTTGAAATATGAATATTTTAATTTGACTAAGAAATGGTTTTAATTTGACTAAGAAATGGTTTTAATTTATCTTGAAAACAGACGTCTTAAAAGAGGACGGGAGATAAAACATGAAGATTCTGAAGGAGTCATTTAGGAATTTTCAAAGGAGGCAGTTTCACAGGAGGTGATTTAGAATCATAGAGTCTCCAGGTTATAGGTAAAAGCGAATCCCTTATTTTGTAGCTGAGTAAAACAAGAGGCAGAAGACTACTTATCATTTTACTTTAAAGCTTATCCTTTTATTTACCTTTCATTCAGCTTTGCCAGTAAAGGGAGGGAGGTGGAGGGGACAGGGCTGACGGCACCATACAGAGGAATTTGAGGAAGTGGGAAAGAGCAGTGTATTGGCCTACTAGGGCTGCCGTAGCAAAGGACCGGGGAGCAGGTGGCTTCAACAGCAGACATGCATTTTCTTTTTTTTTTTTTTTTTTTTTTTTTTTTTTAATTATTATTATACTTTAAGTTTTAGGGTACATGTGCACATTGTGCAGGTTAGTTACATATGTATACATGGTGCCATGCTGGTGCGCTGCACCCACTAACGTGTCATCTAGCATTAGGTATATCTCCCAATGCTATCCCTCCCCCATCCCCCGACCCCACCACAGTCCCCAGAGTGTGATATTCCCCTTCCTGTGTCCATGTGATCTCATTGTTCAATTCCCACCTATGAGTGAGAATATGCGGTGTTTGGTTTTTTGTTCTTGCGATAGTTTACTGAGAATGATGGTTTCCAATTTCATCCATGTCCCTACAAAGGACATGAACTCATCATTTTTTATGGCTGCATAGTATTCCATGGTGTATATGTGCCACATTTTCTTAATCCAGTCTATCATTGTTGGACATTTGGGTTGGTTCCAAGTCTTTGCTATTGTGAATAGTGCCGCAGTAAACATACGTGTGCATGTGTCTTTATAGCAGCATGATTTATAGTCATTTGGGTATATACCCAGTAATGGGATGGCTGGGTCAAATGGTATTTCTAGTTCTAGATCCCTGAGGAATCGCCACACTGACTTCCACAATGGTTGAACTAGTTTACACTCCCACCAACAGTGTAAAAGTGTTCCTATTTCTCCACATCCTCTCCAGCACCTGTTGTTTCCTGACTCTTTAATGATTGCCATTCTAACTGGTGTGAGATGATATCTCATAGTGGTTTTGATTTGCATTTCTCTGATGGCCAGTGATGATGAGCATTTTTTCATGTGTTTTTTGGCTGCATAAATGTCTTCTTTTGAGAAGTGTCTGTTCATGTCCTTCGCCCACTTTTTGATGGGGTTGTTTGTTTTTTTCTTGTAAATTTGTTTGAGTTCATTGTAGATTCTGGATATTAGCCCTTTGTCAGATGAGTAGGTTGCGAAAATTTTCTCCCATGTTGTAGGTTGCCTGTTCACTCTGATGGTAGTTTCTTTTGCTGTGCAGAAGCTCTTTAGTTTAATTAGATCCCATTTGTCAATTTTGGCTTTTGTTGCCATTGCTTTTGGTGTTTTGGACATGAAGTCCTTGCCCACGCCTATGTCCTGAATGGTAATGCCTAGGTTTTCTTCTAGGGTTTTTATGGTTTTAGGTCTAACGTTTAAATCTTTAATCCATCTTGAATTGATTTTTGTATAAGGTGTAAGGAAGGGATCCAGTTTCAGCTTTCTACATATGGCTAGCCAGTTTTCCCAGCACCATTTATTCAGACATGCATTTTCTCAGGCTTCTGGAGGCTGGAGAGTCTGAGATCAAGGTGCTGGCAGGTTTAGTTTCTCCTGAGGCCTCTCTCCTTGGTGTGCACATGGCAACCTTCTCCCTGTGCCCCCACACCGTCTTTTCTCTATGAGCAGGCATCTCGAGTGTCACTTTCTCTTCTTATAAGGACACTGGTCCTGTTAGATTAGGGCCCCACTCTTGTGACCTCACTTAACCATAATTACTCGTTAACGGCCCAGTCACATTCTGAAGTACTGGCAATTTGGGCTTCAACATATGCATTTGAGAGGAACAAAATTAAGCCTATAGCATGCAGAGAGAGTGGAAAAAAAGCAAGAAGAAAGTTAAAGAGGCTGTAGTACATTAAGGTGCCAAGTGAACAGAGCGGAGCCCACTGAGCAATAATGGCAGGGAAAAAGGGAGCTGGGGGCTTCTGCTGGTTCCTGAATCAGCCTGACCTCTGTGTGTGTGTGTGTGTGTGTGTGTGTGTGTGTGTGTGTGTCTACATGAGGGAGATGGAAGGAGGTGTGGAAAGTGACTAAAGAGCCTAAATTCTCATCCTCATGCATTTCACTTTTCCTTCAGGGCTGGAAATACCCAGTGCCATCCCACACAGACTGAATAGACCTTTCTTAAAAGAAGACATACAAATGGCCAACAAGCATAGGAAAAGAGGCTCAACAGCCCCGATAATCAGAGAAAAGCAAATCAAACCCACAATAAGGTATCACCTCCTCCCTGGTGGAATGGCTATTATCAAAAAGATAAGAGATAACAAAGGTTGGCAGAGAGGGTGTGGAGAGAAATGAACCCTTGTACACTGTTGGTGGGAAGGTAAATTAGTACAGCCATTATGAAAAACAGTATGGAAGTTCCTCAAAAAATTAAAAATAGAGCTACCGTATGATCCAGCAATCCTACTTCTGAGTATATTCCCAAAGGAAATGAAAGTGGTATCTTCAAGAGCTCCCTGCGCTCCCATGTTGCAGCATTATTCACAATAGCCAAGGTATGGAAACAACCCAAGTGTCCTTCGATGGCTGCATGGAAAAAGACAATGTGGTATGTACATACAATGGAATATTATTCAGCCACAAAAACAAGAAATACTGCCATTGGGGAAAATACGGGTGAACCTAGAGGACAACATGCTATGTGAAATAAGCCAGATGCAGAAAGACAAATACTGCATGATTTCACTTATATATGGAATCTAAAAAAGTCAAATTCGTGCAAGCAGAGAGTAGAATCATGGTTACTAGGTGGTGGGGGGGGTGGGTGGGGGTTAGAAGGACAAGGAAATATTGGTCAAAGGATATATATTGCTCTAAGGTTATACAAGGCAAATTCTGGGGATCTAAGGTATAACATGGGCAGTGTTGGATATGCTAATACAAAAAAAGAAAGATAGCATAAATATGCATTCATATCCAGGGCCCACCCCACTCCTGTTTTCCTCTGAAGTAGGCAAATGCAGAACAATGGGGATCACAGAACAAATCTTAGCCTCACTCGATACATTCTATTTCCATGCAGGCAGTGGGTCCCTTAGAAGGTAACTGATGACAATATTCTAATTACCCAGTACCTACAGCATTTGTTCAACCAGAGGACTCACATTGGACTGCTGGCCTAGTCCAACATTATTTTATTCTGACATTTGAGAACAAGGCAAAGCAAAAGTATGAAGTATGTTTTGTGTTTGGTGCTCCCTTCCTCATCTCACAGTGCCCATCGGTCATTCAGGAAAGAACTGAGGGCTGCTGAGTGCTCAGGCTGTACCAGGCTCAGTGCTGGGAGCAGTGATTTATAGAAATGGGAAGACCCTCTCCCTGCCCTCAAGGCACTCAGAGTCTAGTCCAATCATTTTAGAAGGATCTAATTCCAACTCCATACATACCAAAGGGTGGATTAAAAGTATTATTTTTTCTGAGGCGTGGGTATTTAGAGTGTAACTTCTAAGTGCAGAATGTAAAGACTTCATTCTATATTAGGGGATTTCTATCTTTCTTATTTTTTAAATAGAGACAGGGCTTTGCCATATTGCCCAGGCTGATCTCAAAACCCCTGAGTTCAAGCAATCTGCCTGCCTCAGCCTCCCAAAGAGCTGGAATTACAGGCATAAGCCAGCATGCCCCGCCAATATTAGGGGATACTGAGTGGCAGGTGGGTGATACTGTTTTAGGAAAGTGAAGA
The DNA here is from genome assembly GCF_000001405.40 of Homo sapiens. Classification (NCBI taxonomy): domain Eukaryota; kingdom Metazoa; phylum Chordata; class Mammalia; order Primates; family Hominidae; genus Homo; species Homo sapiens. The sequence goes on along the minus strand of NC_000008.11, from coordinate 58,481,182 downwards.
CATCCTTTGCTGCAGTCAGACTAGGGGGGTCATTGCTCTTTGGAGGCTGGCCATACTTCAAGGACACAACGGCTGCTTCTTCTATTTGACCACTCAGTTACAAAACACCAAGGGTTAATTTTCTTTTAAGCTCTTTTCTTTACTTATCAAAACTCTTTAGCCTGAACGGGCACGGTGGCTCATACCTGTAATCCCAGCACTTTGGGAGGCCGAGGCGGGCAGATCACAAGGTCAGGAGATCGAGACCATCCTGGCCAGCATGGTGAAACCCCATCTCTACTAAAAATACAAAAAAATTAGCCGGGCATAGTGGCACGTGCCTATAATCCCAGCTACTTGGAAGGCTGAGGCCCGAGAATCTCTTGAACCCAGGAGGCTGAAGTTGCAGTGAGCCGAGATCTTGCCACTGCACTCCAGCCTGGTGACAGAGCAAGACTCTGTCTCAAAAAAAAAAAAAAAAAAAAACACTACAACTCTTTAGCCCTTATCATCACTCACTTGGCATATGAATCCTGCAAAACCACGCTGGGGCTCAGTGCTCCAAATTAAAAACTCTCACTGGATGCCTTCCAATGCTGTCTCATGGTGTTTGAAATTTTGGCAGGTGATCTAGAGTCAATAGTGACTTACAAAGTGTTGACCTTGGTTACCTCTGGTGAAATGATGTAACCATCTCTCTATTCTTGGTAAGTCAGCAAGACATACCCTAAAGTCACTTTATGGTAGTGGCAAGGCTGATGGGTAAGAGTGCAGAAAACTGAAGTCTTTTCCATATATGGCATGGCACACACACACACACACACACACATGCAAATATAAGTAACGCTTTGCATTTATACAAAATAAAAGCAGGGAAAGACATTTTCAAATAACAACAACAAAAAATTTCCAACTCTAGACGGCAAACTAAAAGTGAGGCAGGCCAAAAGAATTTGAGAAGAAACAAAAGAACAAAAACAACATAAAGATTCAGTAGCCCCTTTGCTCTTAGAGATGTATTTCTCGGACCTACTAAATTTATAAAATACTGCTGCAATATGCAATCACCCCATAATGTATGCCTGCCATATATTACATGTATTCTGCTTATATTACATATCAATAGAATTCTGTTAAGATGCTGATGTTGGGCTGATGGTCAGGTGTCTACCTGCTAAGTGAGTGCCTCACTCATGTACACAAACCTCAGTTGGCAAAACCACAAATTCCTAAATGTTATGAGCACTGGGGGACCTTCCAGAATGGTCACAATTGTGAATGGCAAATCCTCAAGGGTGCATTCTATGGGACTCTCCATGATTATGGGACAAAGACTTCAGGAAAAAAAAGGGATGACTCACCGATTAAATACGTCCTTGGCCTGTTTCTGACTGATAAATACTTTAAAGAGTTTCTTCTGATCAAATTTTCTATAAAACAAACAAGATCATATTATTGTCCCTCAGCATTTCTAAGCTATGTTGATAAATGTTGAAAAACTACTGAACCCACATGAAAAGAATTTGATATTTTTGTTGGAATCTAGGAAAAAATTTCTGGTCAGAGTATGTCAGTTTGTGTCAGATGCTGAGAAGATCGCAAATGGACACATACAGACACACACACATGATGAAGAAGAAAGAAAAGATAAAATAGAACAAGATAAAAAAATACTGCAGGGACCAGATGGGGAAGGCAGACTGGGGTGATTACCCCTGGGTGATCCTTCCACACGTTCCAAGCTCAAAGAGCCTATACTATGGGGCACCATCACTCTTCACTAAACAAAAGTTGTCCACATAATTCCAGTAAGGTATGCATGACCAGAGGAATTCTCTGAGAGAGAAAAATCAATAAGGGTAAGCAATGAATAAGTTTAGAATTTCAGAAAGTCTTTGATAAATTAAAAAAAAAGAATTTTAATCATCATGAAATTGATACAGAAATAATCCTGCTTGAAGATGAATAAGGAACTTGCATGGAGCCAGTAATCAACACAGGCACGGGCTAAGTGCCCTCACTAACTATAGGCCTTATTAAGAAATGCTACTTTTAATTGTGAAATCTTGTGTTGTTTTAAAACAAATAAACAACAACAACAACAACAAAAACCTAGCAGCACGTTTCAGGTGTTGTGTTGTTGCTATATCACAAATTTCCCCAAAATGTAGTGGCTTAAAACAATAAACTTCAACTCATGGCTTCAGTGGGCAGCAACCCAGACCTGCTCAGCTGGGTGCCTGAGGTTCAGGCTCTTTCCGGAGGCTGCAGTCATCTGCAGGCCAGATGGGGGCTGAGGAATCTGCTTCTGGACTCATTCATGTAGGTACACATGAGTGTAACCTAAGCTCAGACGTGATATCCCATGATTTTGTTGTATTTGACTTGAAAGTCAACAATTTCAGTCCCCACACAAGGGCGTGAACAGCAGAAGTCTAGGGTCGCTGAGGACCATCTCAGAGGCTGCTGGAGCCGGCGTTCTGCACCAGGGGGCCTGCATGCACTGCTCTGCTCCTCCACTTCCTAGCCTCATGGTCTTAGCTCTCTCTATGCCTTGGTTTCCTCACCTTTAGGTTCTCAGAACCTAAAGCACTGAACTCAGAGGGTTGTTATGAGGAGTAAACGAGTGCTTTGAAATGCTAGATGGCACTGAGAAAGCCTTACAGAAGTTTCGTTTATTACAAGGGATTGCTTAACGCTCTGGGTTTCAGAATGTTATGGGCATAAAAATAAGAACTTTCTGTAGTAGTTTACACAGTAGGCAATATATTTGTTAAGTGCATTTTCCACAGAGATGTGGCACTGAAAGAGAAATAAAATGGCTTAACATCAGCAGTAGCAGAATTATAAACAGCTGGCCAGACAGAGTGTGACTGGAATTCCCCTCTCATGGCATGGAGCACGGAGAAAAGGGGACGTACGAACTAAGTCTCACCTTGAGAAGTCCTTCAAGAACCTGAAGAGCAGCAGCTTTGTCCTATTTCTGATGTCCCCATTCCTATTCCTAAGGCTAAATCTCTTAACTTTGCCCTTCAGAAATAATATATTTGATCACTGTCCATTTTAGGCCAAGGTCACAGAATTCCAATAGGACTAAAGTCAAAGTAAACATATCCCTGCAACTCAGTATTGATTTCAGGGGACAGCTATGCCTCCCTAACAGACCTGAAAACCATGCAACTGCCAGTAAAGAGAACTTAGATAGCACTCTGATGATGTGCTCGTCAGGCTGGGAATGTAAAAACAAGAGAATTCCGAGCCAAACCGCCAACTTCTTAAAGAGGATCATCATATAAGGCACAGAGGTACATCTCCCAAAATAGGTCTTCTTCATCTTGTGCAGCATGAGAAGTTTACAAAGTTCATAAGTCTTCACTCTGTCCTTCAAGCCATGTGTTCAGGACAGTGAGTACATCCATCACCTGGAAGCTGTTGTAATTAATAAAGCTTAGTGATGGGACGTGACATACGAATTCCGTTGAGATTTCCGTGGCTCAGACCTCTGGATTTATTAAATCAGATTGAAATTTCAGGTGTCTAATTCCACCCAATGTTTTGGACTGGTAGAGAATAATAGTAATCATAGCAAATTTATTGCATGCTTATTATCTATTAGACACTGTACTGAGGGCTTTCGTGAGTGTCCATTCGACCCTCTCAATCACCACAGGAAGTATGTAATGTTATTAGCTCTTTTTACATATGAGAAAACTGAGACTTATAGAAGTTAAATAATTTGTGACCAGTCCTCTGAACCCCAGAGATCTGACTTGAAAGCACGTGCTCTGCACCACAAAACTAATGACTAAAGAATAAAGAACTTAGAATTCTCAAACTGAATAACTGATGTATGTGTGTGTGTGTGTATTTCTTTTCAATGAGCAGGCTGCTGTCTTTAAAATAATAGAGTGGGCTGAACAGGGTGGTTCACACTTGTGATCCTAGCACTTTGGGAGGCCAAGGCAGGTGGATTACTTGAGCTCAGGAGTTTGAGACCAGCCTGACCAACATGGTGAAACCCTGTCTCTACCAAAAATACAAAAAAATAGCTAGGGATGGCAGTGCATGCCTGAAGTCCCAGCTACTAGGGAGGCTGAGGTGGGAGGATGGGCTGCGAGGTTGAGGCTGCAGTGAGAGCTGAGATTGCACCACGGAACTCCAGCCTGGGCAACAGAGTGAGACCCCATCTCAAATAATAATAATAATAATAATTGAGTGAGGAGGGGATAGATTACAAATTGAGTAGCACTGCCCCATCACACCCCTTTCCCAGTAGGCACCAAGGCAAAGCCCCAAAGACCTTCTGCTGTTGTTCACATGAAGGGAAAGGTAGATGTTATTTAGTAACAGTTGGTTTGGGGATAGGAAGATTTTTCTTTCAAAGCCAGAGCCATCACTGAGGACTTAATATTGATTTTGGAACATCTAGAGTCTCAGTGGGGACAGACCACTAAAGACCAACACTAACATGTTAATGATGTTGGGAATTTAAAACTTACATCTCAACTCATTAGCCTCTGACTGCGGTGAAGATGTTGACGGAATTCTTTCTGGGGAAAGAAAGATCTGAGGTATACCAGCTAGGTTTGACAAAATGGCTAAGGGGAGAAAGGGAGGAACATTGCTTTTCTTCCTTTCCTGAGCCCTCTCTGAGCAGAGGTGGGAAGAGCGAAGGACTAGAGACCAGAACAAGGGAGTCAAATACAAACAGCTGTGCTTGGAGACCCTACAGAAGATGAGGCCACAAAGTGGTTTGATGTGTTGTGTTTCAGCTGAGAACATAGTGTGCAAGGCTCAGATAAGTGTAATAAAAACTCCCATTTGCCCAACAGTGAACTATCCAAAGAAGAAATCAAGAGTACAATTCCATTTTACAAGAATAAAAGTTACTTAGAAATAAATTTAACTAACAGATGAAAGATCTGTACACTGAAAATTATAAAACATTGATGGAAAAAATTGAAGAAGATACAAATAAATGAAAAATGCTTCATGTTCATGAACTGAAAAAAATAATATTGTAAAAATGGCCATACTATTCAAAGCCATATACAGATTCAGCAGAGTCCCTATCAAAATTCTAATGACATTTTTCATAGAAATATAAAAACAATGTTAAATTTGTATGAAACCACAGGAGACCCCAAGTCGCCAAAGAAGTCTTGAGCCAAAGGAACAAAAGTGGAGGAATCACACTACTTGATTTCAAAATCTACTATAAATCTTTAGTAGCCAAAACAATATAGTACTGGCACAAACACAGACATACAGAGCAATGGAACAGAATAGAGAGCCCGGAAATAAGTCCACACATTACAGTCAACTGGTCTTTGACAAAGGTGCCAAGATCACACAACAGGGGAAAGAACAGTCTCTTCAATAAATGGTGTTGGGAAAACTGGATATCCACATGCAGAGAAATGGAATTGGACACTTATTTCACCCCATATACAAAAATCAACTCAAAATGGATTAAAGACTAAATGTAAGAACTCAATTTGTAAAATTATCAGAAGAAAAAATAGAAAAAAAAGCTTCTTGACTTTGGTTTTGGCAAATATTTTTTCGAATGTGATCCCAAAACAACAAAACCAAACATAGACAAACAGCATGGCACCAAATTAAAAAACCTTCTGCACAGCAAAGGAAAAGATAATCTATAGAATGGGAGACAATATTTGCAAACCATTCATATGATAAGGGGTTAATATACAAAATATATCAGGAACTCAAGCAACGTAATAGCAAGAAAACAACACAATTAAAAAATGAGCAAAGGACCCGAATAGATATTTCTCAAAAGAAGACATACAAAAGGCTAACAGGTATATGAAAAGGTGCTCAACATCACCAATCATCAGAGAAATGCAAATCAAAACCATATTGAGTGATATCATCTTACACCTGTTAAGATGGCTATTATCAAAAGACAAAAGCTAGCAAAGGTTGGTGAGTGTATGAAGAGAAGAGAACCCTTGTACATTGTTGGTGGCAATGTAAATTAATGCTGTTATTATAGAAAAATAGTAGGAACCTTTCTCAAAAAATTAAAAATGGAACAATTGTATGATCTAGCAATCCCACTACTAAGTGTATATCCAAAGAAAATGAAGACAGTATGATGAAAAGATATCTACACTCTTATGTTTATTGTAGCACCATTCACAATGGCCAAGACATCCAGGCAAACTTAGATGAATGGATAAATAACATATGATATGCATACACAATGGAATACTATTCAGCTTTAAGATAGAAATAAATCCTTTTATTTACAACAATATGGATATACCAGGAGAACATTATGCTTAGGGAAATAAGCCAGGCACAAAAAGCCAAATACTGCATGACCTCAATTACATGTGAAACCTTAAGAAGTCAAACTCATAGAAGTAGGGAGTAGAACAGTGGTTACCAGGGGCTGGAGGTGTGGGTGGAGATGGGGAAATGTTGGTTAAAGGGTACAGAGTTTTAATTAGGAGGAAGGAATACAATCTGGAGATCTATTGAACAGCATGGTTACTATAGCTAATAATAATGCACTGTATGCTTGAAAATTGCTAAGAGAGTAGATTTTAAATATTATTATTACAAAAATTGTAAGGATGTGAAGGTGATGGATATGTTAATTAGCTTGATTTAATCATTCCACAGTGTATACATATATCAAAACATGTACCACATTGTACACCACAAATATATGCAATTTTTCATTTGTCAATTCAAAAATAATAAATAAAAGACAAAAACAGAAAATAGAGAACAAAGAACAAAAAAACTCCCATTCAGAAAAGGAATACAATAGTCACTGCTCTGTAGCAAAGCCAGAATCTCATAGGGCAGGCGCTGCTGTGGCAGTGTAAGAGTGTGTGTGTGTGTGTCATTAAGTAGATCTTGATCCTACTCTCAATAGAGAATGCTCTGTCTGTCCTTCTCTGGGGTCTCTGGATCTACCCTCTGGGCAGTAGGTACTCATTATCTTCACAGTCACATCTGAAGTGGGTTTTGGGGAGGACCCCCTTCTCAAAGGCTATTAAAAATCCACCTGTTGACAGTTGTTAAGGCTCAGTCAGATTCTGAAGCTGTTATATTTGCTGCCCCATGGAAAAGGCCAGTATGCACAGAGGGAAGGATAGAGACAGATAGAAGTAGATAATGTAAGTGAAGATCTCAATGGTATTTGATTTCCTGCTTCCACTTGTTTTTGCATCCCCAATGAATCCTTTCCTTCCTGATCCTCAGATTCTCTTTAAATTCTGTAAGATACCCAGTAAATCACTAGCAAGCAAGAGTCTTCATCAATACAATTCTTTAATGAACTCAGCCATAAAGGACATTTCATTCAATGTCACAGACACTCAAATGCTTTAGCCCGTTTTAGAGTTCTAATAATGTTTGTCCCATTTTCATTATATAACATCCATTACACATTTCCAAGGCAAAAATGAAGTATGGTAGCTGATTTATGAGCAGATGGGTTTACTTAAGGGGATAGTTAAAAAGAAAAAAAAGGATCATACTGCAGTGACTTCTAGGTACCTGGATCTTGCTCCAGGGAGTCAAGTAAGTTTGTATCAGTAATAAAAACATGTACAAAACAAAGATAGTCTAAACAAAATGTGGTATATACATACAATTGAATATTATTCAGCCTTAGAAAAGAAAGAAATTCTGTCACATGCAACAATAAGACTGAAACTTTTGTTAAGTGAAATAAGCCAGTTACAAAAAGACACGTTCTGTATGATTTCACTTATTTATAGGAGTCAAATTCATAGAGACAGAAAGTGGAATGGTGAGTGGAGGGAGAGAGAAATGGAGAGTTGTTGTTTAATTGGTATAGGGTTTCAGTTTGGAAAAATGAAAATGTTCTGGAGGTAGATGGTGGTGATGGTTGCACAACACTATGAATATACTTAACACTACTGAAATGTCTATTTGAAATGATGTAAATGGTAAATTTTTGTTACATGTATTTTACTACAATAAGATAAAACACTGGGGGTGAGATCAACATTCTGGAACCTTGCTGTTATTAGAAAACATATATTTCTTGATAAATTGATCTAGATATTAGGTCGGAAGCTCTTCAAACCTGGATATTAAAAAATGTAATGATGATAGCTGTTACTAGGTGAGTGCATGTTAATTTTTTCTCCATCGTGGTAGAAAACCACAACACAGAATACATTCTATTTTAGTCCTTTGGGAGCAATTAGAAGATCCTGCTTGAAGCTGGTCATTGACTTGGGGCTTTAGGAGTTCCAGTGCCCAACTGGCCTGCCACGTGCTGCCTCTCTGTGCCCTGCTGTCACCTATTTATGGCACACAACCTGGGAGGCTTCCATCCACAGGGACTGTTCATATGATAGTTGCCTCAGTCAATGGCTTGATTCCAAAGCTGACAAAGTGAGTTTGTGTAAGCTGTAGAGCTAAAAAGATCAGTTTTGCTCAAGTTGTTTTTGTTGTGGGACCTGTTGATACTATCTGTAAAACCTTGAACATCACAGACAACGTGTACTTATTAGCAGCTGATTAGCTTCCATTAGCTGTTAGTTGAGAGATACTAGATGTAAAATAAAAATACATATTAGTTATATATTGAAGTAGGTAAAGCACAACTACCAGACCCTGGGAGATTATTTCTAGCATTCAGTAATACTTTTTGATACAAATATAAATATTAACTGTTTTAGAAAAAAGCATTTCTCCCTAACCAACTGCCCACAATGCCTAATGAAATGGCTTATCTTAACCTAGAGTGAGTATTTTTGAAGCTATATCACAAGAGGAATGGATCCCCAAAATAGGGTATGGCATAGTACTGACATTTGGGTATACAACTCCAAAACCAAAAAAAAAAAAAAGAAAAGAACTTCCTAGTGAGCTATCATAATGACTCTGTGTCTTAGATCTAAACCTTTATGTCATGCTTAGAATCCATCTTGGCTTTTAGAAATGTCCCTTTACGTATAAAAGTTTATTAGAGAGTAATGTTTCTGGACAATGAAATTGTGGCAGATAAAAAGTATTACTCCTCTCATTGAGAAGTGGAGTCCATTTGCCCTCTCCTTGAGTCTGGGCTGGCTTGTGGCTTGTTAGGCCAGAAATAAAGCTGCATTATAAAATCTTAGTTTAGAAGAAGCCTTGCCCTCCTTGAAATCCTGCTTTCTCAGTAAAGGTGATCAAGTCCACCTCTGAACTAAAACATATCCAGATAATACTTCTGAAGATTCAGAGTTTGTCTAGAGTTCTGAACTAAAACAGAAAGGACAAATTTCAGATATTTGCCACAATGCTAGGTAGATGGGGAGAACAGCATAGAACAACATAGAATTTAATCTACTACAATTTAACTGAAAATTTTCTTCAAGCCTCTGAAGTCATGGCATATGCTGTTTTTCTTAGTTTTTCAACTGATTTTGGACATTATGAAGTTCAGGGAAGGATTGCAAGAACTTTCTCCACACTCCAGCCTCTATTCCATCTTGAGTTCATATTTTGCTGGCCACACATGACATTTTATAAGCGCTTGAAAAATAAATCTCTAATAAAGCATGAGGACCCAAGATTGGTTCTATGGAGATATGGTAATTGAATTGAGGATACGATTTTCCTCTCTTTGTTCTGTTTGGTTTGAAATGGCACACTTTTCAAAGCTTTTACAACAATAGACTTATACAAAAAGGTAAACTCATGACTATATCTATTAGAATAAAGAAGTGTCAGAAGTGCTGTGTACATGCATGTATATTAGAAAGCTTAGAAATGCCAAGCATTTTGACACTAAATAGCTACAAAGCTTCCAAAGTCAACATATGCCAGCAGGTGATATACAGATCCTGATCAACTCTGGACCCAACAGCAAAGATCAAGGCTGCTTACTGATAAGAGTAGATCTTGAACAATATTTATCAAGGTCTTTTTTTTTACTATTTAAACTATGGACTATGGCTGTTTGAGAACATTGACACCAAACTGCACAGGCATGTAGCCTTGATCTTGTGTGTATTGTACTTATTACACTTATGTTGAGGTAGTTCTATATTCTTAGATTTATAAACTCTAATTAAGTGGCATTTTTAAAAACTGCAATGCTATAGCCACACTTTCATTAAGAACAAGATCCAAATCATTATGTAATGAATGGGGGAAATGCTATTTACTACAACTTCTAAGAAAGGAAAATCCTACTGAATGAACTCTTCCCACCCCACCTTTTCCTGCTGAGGACCTCAATTGGTTTTGCTTATGGGCTAAGTTTATGATCAGAGGCAGAAGAGACGTAATTTTCTCTATTAATACAGAGAGAGAATTTGGAGTTTGTATTAGTCCGTTCTCATGCTGCTATAAAGAACTACTTGAGACTGGGTAATTTATAAAGGAAAGAGGGTTAATTGACTCACGGTTCTGCAGGGCTGGGGAGGCCTCAGGAAACTTACAGTCATGGCAGAAGGCACCACTTCACAGGGTGGCAGGAGAGAGAATAAGAGCCCAGCAGAGGGGGATGCCCCTTACAAAACCATGGGATCTTGTGAGAACTAACTCACTATCATGAGAACAGGATGAGGGTAATTACCCCCATGATTCAATTACCTCCCACTGAGTCTCTCCCACAACATGTGGGGATTATGGGATTACAATTCAAGACGAGATTTGGGTAGGGACACAGCCAAACCATATCATTGCGCCCTTGGCCCCTCCCAAATCTCATGTTGTCACAATTCAAAACACAATCATGCTCTCCCCTTCCAACAGTCCCATAAAGTCTTAATTCATTCCAGCATTAACTCAAAAGTTCAAGTCTAAAGTCTCATCTGAGACAAGGCAAGTTCCTTCTGCCTAGGAGCCTGTAAAATCAAAAGCAGGTTAGTTAGTTCCTAGTTACAATGGGGGCACAGGCATTTAGTAAATACAACCATTTCAAATGGGAGAAATTGGCAAAAACAAAGGGGCTACAGGCCATATGCAGGTCTGAAATCCAGTGGGGCAGTCATATCTTAAAGCTCCAAAATGATCTTTGACTCCATGTTTCACATCCAGGGCATATTGATGCAAGAGGTGGGCTCCTATGGCTTTGGGCAGCTCTGCCGCTGTGGCTTTGCAGGATACAGCACCCCCTTCCAGCTGCCTTCATAGGCTGGTGTTGAATGTCTACAGCTTTTCTAGGCACATAGTGCAAGCTATCAGTGGATCTACCATTCTGGGGTCTGGAGGATAGTGGCCCTCTTCTCATAGTTCTATAGGCAGTGCCCCAGTGGGGACTCTGTTTGGGGGTTCTGATCCCACATTTCCCTTTCCACACTGCCTTAACAGAGGTTTTCCATGAGCACTCCGCCCCTGCAACAAACTGCTGCCTAGACATCCAGGTGTTTCCATTCATCCTCTGAAATCTAGACAGAGGCCCAAACCTCAATTCCTGACTTCTGTGCACCTACAGGCTCAACACCATGTGGAAGCTGCCAAGGATTGGGGCTTGCACCCTCCGAAGTAATGGCCTGAGCTGTTCCTTGGCCCCTTTTAGTCATGGATAGAGCTGAAGCAGCTGGGATGCAGGGAACCATGCCCTGAGGCTGCACAGGTGGGGTGGAAATGGAGAGGGGGCCCTTGTCCCAGTCCAGGAAACCATTTTTCCCTCCCAGGCTTCCAGGCATATGAAGGGAGAGGCTGCTGACATGCCCTGAAGACATTTTCCCCATTGTCTTGGTGATTAACGTTTGGCTCCGTGTGCAAATTTCTGCAGCCAGCTTGAATTTCTCCCCAGAAAATGTGGTTTTCTTTTTTATTGCATCGTCAGGCTGCAAAGTTTCCAAACTTTTGTGCTCTGCTTCCACTTGAACACTTTGCTGCTTAGAAATTTCTTACCCCAGATACCCTAAATTATCTCTCTCAAGTTCAAAGTTCCACAGATCTCTAGGGCAGGGGCAAAATGCCACCAGTCTCTTTGCCTAGCAAGAGTGACCTTTACTCCAGTTCTCAACAAGTTCCTCATCTCCATCTGAGACCACCTCAGCCTGGACTTCATTGTCCATATCACCATCAGCATTTTGGTCAAAGCCATTCAACAAGTCTCTAGGAAGTTCCAAACTTTCCCACATTTTCCTGTCTTCTTCTGAGCCCTCCAAACTGTCCCAACTTCTGCCTATTACCCAGTTCCAAAGTCATTTCCACATAAAGTATCCTTATAGCAGCACCCCACTCTCTGTGGTACCAATTTACTGTATTAGTCCATTCTCATACTGCTATGAAGAAATATCCAAGACTGCATAATTTATAAAGGAAAGAGGTTTAACTGATAGTTCCACATGGCTGGGGAGACCTCAGGAAACTTACAATCATGGTGGAAGGCACCTTTTTACAGGGTGGCAGGAGAGAGAATGAGTGTTCAGAAAAAGGGGAAAGTCCCTTATAAAACCATCAGAACTCATAAGAACTAACTCACTATCATGAGAACAGGATGGGGGAAACTGCCTCTATGATTCAATTATCTTCACCTGGTCCCTCCCACTACATGTGGGGATAATGGGAACTATAATTCAAGATGAGATTTGGGTGGGGACACAGAGTTTCAGGAAGCATCTTGTCTCCAAACAGAGAACATGAAATTGCTATGACAGCATAGGACTTGGAGTGTGGCATGGAAAAACGTGGCTAAAGAAAAATCCCCAAGGATGGACAGTTGGAAGGACTTGAAAATAGAAATGTTGGCCAGGCACGGTGGTTCACGCCTGTAATCCCAGCACTTTGGGAGGCCAAGGTGGGCGGATTACTTGAGGTCAGGAGTTTGAGACCAGCCTGGCCAACATGGTGAAACCCAGACTCTACTAAAAATACAAAAATTAGCCAGGCGTGGTGGTGCTCAACTGTAGTCCCAGCTACTTGGGAGGCTGAGTTGGGAGAATCACTTGAACTGGGATGCAGAGGTTGCAGTGAGTTGAGATCATACCACTGCACTCCAGCCTGTGTGACAGAGTGAGACTCTGTCTAAAAAAAAAAAATAAATGAAGAAGTGTTGAGTATTCTGTTGCAGTTGTTTGCAATGCTGTAATATTTCTTTCTCCTTCTGCAGTCTTCTTTTGTTAACATTGGCTGCCAAAATCAAGAAGGTTTTGTGTACAGAGTTTTGTGTTTTTTCTTCTAGGTTTTTCTTTTTGGGGAGGGTAGGATGGGTACAGAAACCACAGAGGTCTCTAAGTTTGACATCTGTGTCAAGGTAGTATGAATAGGAACCACATACAAGGGCACAGGGATGATCATAAATCCAACTGATTAAATAGAAACAAGGAGTTTCAGGTAAGGATGCTAATGAAAATGAAGTCTCCTGGGGATCTGGGGAAATGTGAAGAAGGGCTTTTCACTTCCACAGGATGTAGGATGGGACCTTATCTAGAAGTTAAAAGGAAGAGAAAGCATAGCTACTTTTGGTAGAATTACCTTGTCTATTTGCCTGTCTCTGTCTCTCTCTCTCTCTCTTTAGGCAGGGAGCAGTGTGGTTAACAAATATGTAAGTATCTTTAAGTAACTTTTAATGCTATTACCCTTGCAGAATATTATTAGCTTCTATTTCATTTTACAAATGGAGACATTAGAGCTCTGAGTAACTTTTTCAGAGCCACCCAGGAATGAGTAACAGAGCAAGGAATTAACTGAGGTCTGTCCAACTCCAGGGCAATATTTATTCCACCAGGCTTCACAAAAGTGACATGAACCCTTCTGGAACTGAGGAAATGCATGCTTATGGGAACGGGGAGAATGACTGGTGACATATAATCTAAAAATCTCAGTTTGCCATATATTACTGACTGTAATTATTTATTGATCTATATATTGAGATCCCTAAATAAATTAATAGGAGCTTTCAAAGGAATTAATTACCTTTGCTATATCATCATTTTTATTTTATCTTTCACCACTAGTTCTTCCCCAGAGTCCATTTTCTTGGGTGAATTTACTCCAGAAGATAGAATGTTTCTACTATTTTCACAGACATTGGAGGAATTAAAAACTAAATATATTGAAAATATGGGAAAACATTCACTATTGATAAATGAGGGGTGAGTGAGAGAGAATGTCAAGTAGGTTGCAGTCAAATGGTAGAATTAAATTACTGGGAAAATAAGAAAGCTAGTTAAATGGAAATGAATAAAGATGAGATTGGATTTTAATTACAATCCCAAGTAACTGAAACATTTGAAGATTTAAGCTAACAATGGGGATTTTGAATTTAATTAAGAAAGAAGAGGTTAAAAAAGACCTTATTATGGCTGTTTCTGACAACTAAGGGTGACAGAAGCAAGAGCCCAAATAGAACAGAGCATTGGAGAGGGGACAGCTGAGGCAATTCAAGTGATTATGCAAAGAACTTCAGAAGCAAACTTTGGCTTAGACTCTCCTCTCCACTTTGGCTTAGGTGCAAGATAAAGGAAATATGAGGATGTCAGAAGTGTAGGAATGTTCAAAGAGAAAAGCGGATTTCTCCCTTACATCCCTTAGTACAGAGAGTGAAAGGTCTATGGTTAGAGGGCGTGGGGGGGAGGAGAGAGAGAGAAAGAGAGCAGAAACAGAGACAGAGAGAGAGACAGACAGAGAAGAAGAGATTTTAGGAATGAATGGCTAAAGAAGATTATGAAGAGTCGATAAGAAAAAAAGGTATTGTCCTAAATGAAGAGCTATAAAGGACAAAGAGGCAGAGATTGTTGAACTTTTCAGAGACAAGAAGACCTAAGAGAGTGAATAATTATGTAATGGGGTACTCAGTGGCATAAACACAAATAACAAAGGATAACTTAACACTGAGGTATCATAGTGCACAAAGAGATCAAAAGAATCAAGAGTGGAAATAAGAGTGAAATCCAGTGAAAGCTTGCAACAGAGAGGAACAGAAAAGAGATCGTCTCTACTAAAAACACAAATATTAGCCATGTGCAGTGGCAGGCGCCTGTAATCACAGCTACTCAGGAGACTGAGGCATTGCGCCACTGCACTGTAGCCTGGGCAACAGAGCAAGACTACGTCTCAAAAAGAAAAAGAAGAATTAGGAATAGAAAAAAAGTAGATGGGCCAACCAGCAGTATGTTAGTGGGGAAAGAAGCGCAGTAGTTCAATGTTAGAATACATTATATGCATTATGTCATGTAATTTCCATTATCTATCAAGGGTAGGTACTGCCAGATGAGGTTACTGTCACGTGCATCCGTGTGAAGAGACCACCAAACAGGATCTGTGTGAGCAAAAAGGCTGTTTATTTCACCTGGGTGCAGGTGGGCTGAGTCCGAAAAGAGAGTTAGGGAAGGGAGATAGGTGTGGGGCCGTTTTATAGGATTTGGGTGGGTAGTGGAAAATTACAGTCAAAGGGGGCTTTTCTCTTGTGGGCAGGGGCAGGGGTCACAAGGTGCTCAGTGGGGGAGCTTCTGAGCCAGGAGAAGGAATTTCACAAGGTTAATCGCTCAGTTAAGGTGGGGCAGGAACAAATCACAATGGTGGAATGTTATCAGTTAAGGCAGGAACCAGCCATTTTCACTTGTTTTGTGATTCTTCACTTGCTTCAGGCCATCTGGATGTATACGTGCAGGTCACAGGGGATATGATGGCTTGGCTCGGGCTCAGAGGCCTGACAGTTAATAAGGCATAGAGTTTAAATGCCTTGACCAAACGTCACTAGCTGGTAAATGAAGTCAGGTGTCAAACCAGGCCTGTCTCCAAAGCCTATATGCCATCACCATTTACATTTTTGAAGACATTTTAACTTTAGTATGTATTTTAAAAGAAACATTTTCTGGATAGCCAAAATATTATCATAATTCACAAAAATTAATCATAATTTTTAAATATACCCTGTCCATATTTCACAAACCACCTTCCAAATATCATTTACATCTGGTCTATACAAACCAGGATCCTGTCCAAGCCACACTACTTACCTCTCCAATGTAGAAGAGTCTCTTTTTTTTTCTCAATGACACTGATCTGTTCTGTAAAGTGTTTCACCTTCTGAATTTGTCTAATTGTTTCGTTGTGGCAACTGTTTATTCTTCTATATGTTTCCAATAAACTGAAAGTTACATCTAAAGTCTTGATAGGTTTGGCCGGCAGTGGTGGCTCACTCCTGTAATCCCAGCACTTTGGGAGGCCCAGGCGGGCGGATCACGAGGTCAGGAGATCGAGACCATCCCGGCTAACACGGTGAAACCCCGTCTCTACTAAAAATACAAAAAATCAGCCGGGCGCAGTGGCGAGCGCCTGTAGTCCCAGCTATTCAGGAGGCTGAGGCAGGAGAATGGCGTGAACCCGGGAGGTGGAGCTTGCAGTGAGCCGAGATAGCGCCACTGCACTCTGGCCTGGGCGGAAGAGTGAGCCTCCGTCTCAAAAAATAAATAAATAAATAAATAAATAAAAAATAAAGTTCCCATGGGTTCAAATTAAGTGTTTTAGTTGAAAGTGCATCATAGTTAATGTGTATACACCATAGGCAATTCATTAGGAGATGGATAATACCTGGTTGTTCTAGCATTAGGGG
The DNA here is from genome assembly GCF_000001405.40 of Homo sapiens. Taxonomy (NCBI): domain Eukaryota; kingdom Metazoa; phylum Chordata; class Mammalia; order Primates; family Hominidae; genus Homo; species Homo sapiens. The sequence continues at coordinate 58,464,687 of NC_000008.11, read as the reverse complement.
TGCTAAGTTTGGTCAATGAATTGGGATGATGATGGCCTTATTCTCTATTGTACAATTTTAGTCTTATCCTGCCTCTGCCATTGTAAATTTATGATTTCCCCCTTGTGAAAAGAATGTGATCTTTTTTTTGATGTTCCTTAAGCAAATCACATACGAAATTCACTTCCCCACCAATTGATCACCTAACAATTTTAACATCAACTGATAATCCTTGCCTGAGTCAGTAATTTTCATCAGGGCTGCAAAATGGTGAATTTTATCTTTCTATCTATTATCATCTATATTTATTAGCTCGCATTCTTTTGTAAAGTACAGCTTTGACTCGTCAACTAGGGCTACTAGTTACTCAGAAATACCGGTCTTACTGGAAAGGCAGAATAAATGTGTAATACTTCCCTTTACTTACCAATTTTCAAAGTAAGATGTTGGTTTAATGGCCACCTCAAATGGTAACAAATAGGTTTTTATGACTTATTTGAGAGTTATGATGGACTTAACGAATTTTCCTAGACCCAGTGTGTTTCAGTTACCTACAATCTTGTTGTTCAAATGGTGGCAAATTAGTCCAGTGGGAACCCCATCTACGAGGTTTTTGTGCCCTTTTGAAATGACTCCATGTCTTTGAAAGCTTCTTTACTTTGGTCAGAAGATAAAGTGGGCTCACCTTGTGTTTCCCTGTCTTAAATCTGAAATCAGCCATTTCTTCAAGGAGTCCTGCTTACTTTTAGTGAGCAATGATACTAGAGATCAAAATTTGGGTTTGAAATGATATTTTTTAAAAAAAAACTAAACTATAGTCTTAAGGTAAATCTGTTTCTAACTTGACTTTGTTCTTATCATGAATTTCCCCCACATTATTAAATACTCTACCAGGCCTTTTTTTTTTTTTTTTTTTTTTTTTGAGAAGAAGTCTTGCTCTGTCGCCCAGACTGGAGTGCAGAGGGCAGTGGTGTGATCTCGGCTCACTGCAAGCTCTGCCTCCCGGGTTCACGCCATTCTCCTGCCTCAGCCTCCTGAGTAGCTGGGACTACAGGCGCCCGCCACCATGCCCGGCTAATTTTTTGTATTTTTAGTAGAGACGGAGTTTCACCGTGTTAGCCAGGATGGTCTTGATCTCCTGACCTTGCGCCTTGGCCTCCCGAAGTGCTGGGATTACAGGCATCGCCACCACGCCCCACCCTGTCTACTAGGCCTTTTTAAGTGACTGAATGGTGCTCTATGAAACTATTATAATTTTTGATGAATAGGCTTGTGCAGTTAAACTTTCTTCAAAAAGCTGTTAAGCATTAAGTCCAGGAAAGGTAGTGGTCCTATAAAATTTTCACTGAGTTTAACCTACTTGTTAATATTATACCCTACAAACCAGTCCATAGATCTTACTAGACTGAAAATGTTTTCAATAAGAATTCTCAAATTATCTTACCAGAGAACTAACTCAAATGGAAGGCAATAAACAACACAAGTTATAACTTCCCTAGATTTGCTCACTGTTATTCACTGATTTGTATCATTTTTCCATTTTTAACCATGTCAGGACATCTTTAAGCACTTTGTTGGTTAGTGTTTAACTTTGTGAAACAATATCAGAATTCAGAACTAAAGGAACAGTTTCTTTTTTTTCCAGCTTTACTGAAGTATGATTGACAACAATTGTGTATATTTAAAGTGTACAATGTGACATTTCGATACAAGTATTGTACCTGAGCGAGTTAGAGAAAACGCCACACTTTGAGATGAATTAAGAGTCCATTTATTTAGCTGGCGGCCAAGAGATGGCTAACGCTCAAAGTTCTCTGGGCCCTGAAGAAGGGGCTAGATTTTCTTTTATACTTTGGTTTAGAAAGGGGAGGGGGGATCTAGTTAAAACAATTTTACAGAAGTAAAGTAGGCAAAAAAGTTAAAAGGATAAATGGTTACAGGAAAGTAAACAGTTCCAGGTGCAGGGGCTTTAAGACTATTACAAGGTGCCTGTAATCCCAGCACTTTGGGAGGCCGAGGCAGGCGGATCACGAGGTCAGGAGATCCAGACCATCCTGGCTAACAAGGTGAAACCCCATCTCTACTAAAAATACAAAAATTAGCTGGGCATGGTGGCAGGTGCCTGTAGTCCCAGCCACTCGGGAGGTTGAGGCAGGAGAATGGCGTGAACTCGGGAGGCAGAGCTTGCAGTGAGCCGAGATTGTGCCACTGCACTCCAGCCTGGGTGACAGAGCAAGACTCCGTCTCAAAAAAAAAACAAAAACAAAAACAAAAACTATTACAAGGTGATAGATGTGGGGCTTTGGGCGTTATCAATCAGACGAATTCCTGGGAACTGCGGATATTGCTTGCCACAGTATCTTATCAATTAATTGCATTCTTGGATGTGCTGGGAGTCAGCTTGCACAAGTTAAGTCCTTGAGGAAGGGGCTGCAAGTGAAAGAGCCAAGATGGAGTCTGTCTGGCTCTCTTAGCTAAGGGAGAGTCAATTCAGGTGGAAACAAGGCTAGGTGATTAAAGGAAAGGGAGAGTCTAAGAACAGGGTTAGTAAAAACAAGGTTGGGCATTACAGTACACATTGTGAAATGATTATCATAATCAAGCTTCATCAACTCACATATTTTTTGTGTATGTGGTGAGAACAATAGCAATCTAGTGTCTTAGCAAATTTCAAGTATGCAATATATTATTATTAACTTTAGTCACCATGCTGTATATTAGGTCTTCAGGACTTACTCATTTTATAACTGAAAGTTCACATTCCTTGATCAATAAATCTTTTTCCCCACTCCCCAACCCTTTGTAATCACCGTTCTACTGTTAGTAGGAGTTTAAGCATTTTTTTTTTTAGATTCCACATATAAGTGCTCATGTGATATTTGTCTTTTTATCTTTCTGTGCCTGGCTTATGTCACTTGGCATATTGTCCTTCAGGTTTTTCCATGTTATCAGAAGTGGCAGAGAAAAACTAGAAAATTCCTTCTATTTTTTTTAAGAATAAGTAATATTCCATTGTATATATGCACCATGTTTTCTTTATATGTTCGTCTGTTGTAGAACACTTAGGCTGTTTCCACACCTTTGTGATTGTGAATGATGTTGCAGTGAACACGGGAGTGTAGACATCTCTCAAGACAGTGATTTTATTTCTTTTGGACATATACTCAGAAGTAGAACTGATATGCGGAAGTAGGATTTCTGGATCAAATGGTAGTTCTATTTTCAATCTTTTGAGGAACGTTCATATTGTTTTCCATAATGGCTGTACCTGAAGGACCATGTTCTAATCTCCTCATTCTGGAGATGAGAAAGTTGGGACTTGCAGAGTTGGTGGTAGAGGCATGCTTAAAAATTTGGGACATCTAATTCCTATGCTAATTCTCTCCATTTTCATTTTGCAGTTCTGCCACTTATATCTCTGTTAGCACACTTGATAATTGTAAAGTTGCAACAACATTTTGCAAGAGGGAAAGGTAAAAATCAAAGTATGCCAAGACCAGCTCGGTCGGGGAGACCCTAACCCAGCGGCGCTAGAGGAAGTAGAGACACACACACAGAAATACAGAGGTGTGGAGTGGGAAATCAGGGGTCTCACAGCATTCAGAGCTGAGAGCCTCGGACAGAGATTTACCCACGCATTTATTGACAGCAAGCCAGTGATAAGCATTGTTTCTATAGATTATAGATTAACTAGAAGTATTCCTTATGGGAAACAAAGGGATGGGCTGAAATAAAGGGATGGGTCTGGCTAGTTATCTGCAGCAGGAAACATGTCCTTAAGGCACAGATTGCTCATGCTATTGTTTGTGGCTTAGGAATGCCTTTAAGCGGTTTTCTGCCCTGGGTGGGCCAGGTGTTCCTTGCTCTCATTCCGGTAAACTCACAACCTTCCAGCATGGGTCTCATGGCCATCATGAACATGTCACAGTGCTGCAGAGGTTTTGTTTATGGTCAGTTTTGGGGCCAGTTTATGGCCAGATTTTGGGGGGCCTGTTCCCAACAAAAGTAGAAGTTGTGAGACCTTGTGACTGCAAAGGTAGAAAAGAGCTAGGAATTAAAATCTGATAAATCAGAATTTAGCCAAGGAAAACAGAAGGAAATATGGAATAGGTTTTTTTTTTTAAAAAAAAAAAAGGAAAAAGACTAAATTTTCTGGTAGTGCATTTAAATAAAGAATGCATTATTGAGAAGTCAGGGGAGCACTCAGTGGGGCATTTTAAATGCTGTCCAGGGAGCATGGTCAGTGAGCAATACACTCAAGTGATGGACATCTGGTAAATATCTGATGGGCAACATGACCCTAAAAAAAACCCAAGGTCGGCCGGGTGCGGTGGCTCACGCCTGTAATCCCAGCACTTTGGGAGGCTGAGGCGGGAGGATCACGAGGTCAGGAGTTCGAGACCAGCCTGACCAACATGGTGAAACCCCATCTCTACTAAAAATACAAAAATTAGCCAGGCATGGTGGCGCATGCCTGTAATCCCAGCTATTCAGGAGGTTGAGGCAGGAGAATCGCTTGAACCAGGGAGGCGAAGGTTGCAGTGAGCCAAGATGGCACGACTGCACTCCAGCCTGGGCGACAGAGCGAGACTCCGTCTCAAGAAAAGAAAAAGGGAAAAAAAAAAGAACACAAGGCCTACTACACTGACACCATCAATATTTTTATGTTTTGACATTAGCTATATTACATTTCTGAAAATGCCAATCATATTCAGCCAAGTATTCTTCATCTATACTGCAGGAGATCACGGAAACCATGGCTACATGATACTCATGTCTGGGTAATTTCTAATTCTTATTTGAACAGGTAACTTTGATCCTCTCCCTTCATTTTATTAACGCAGCTAAGGGAAAGATACTGGCATGGATTCTTTCCCAGGACCTATACACCCCCTGGTGGAGACAAGAACAAGTAACCAAATTCCCATACCCTGATGACCTGATGTTAACTTGTCAAAAGGTAACTACTGTATAAGATTTTGTTTTACTACAAGTAGCACCTTGATTTTGTAAAGATTAACAGGCTCTATGACCTTAAGTATTTATTGCCAGATAATGACATGTCGGGGGGGAAAAAAACATAGTTCGTCACTCATTGTTACCTGACGTGGCTCCTCGCCCATACATACCTATCAGTAGGTGGAAACCACACAGTTCCTTGTCTTACAGACTGGGTCGTTGTATCAGATCCAAGTCACTTTGTCAAAGAAGTGAAAATGTAATAAACAATAGTACTCTTGATATTTCTAATTGCTGCCAACCAGTGATATCTGATGTAGTCTTCTCTTTTCTGGCTTACAATTGAATAAGAATACCAGATTCTTGCACTAGATCAATGTAAAAAAAAAAAGAATTTGATATTCCTATCTCCAGTTAAAGAAAAACATAATACTCTTATAGAATTAGTGCCAGTGCCTTTCAAATATTCTGCTTTTTCTGCCACATCATTTTTGATGTAATAAAGTTTCTACGATAGGTTTGAAAAACAAAACAAAAACAGCAAACATTCAAGGAAAATATATCAAAACACTAAAACACATTAAAACACTCCATACAAGAAAGTTAAACAGAACCCAAACTACCAAATCTTCATACATTAACATTTCATCTGAGGATGCTTTTGGCAGTGAGGCCAAAAATTACATTTGCTGAATAGCCTTCAGAAAATTACTTAATATGCTGAATACTATTTGATATGCTGCATACTCACCATATTTGCTGAATATCCTTTAGAAAACTACTTAATCCTTTATAATAATCTACAAAATGAATATGTCAATATCTCTGTACCTACACTGCTAATTACTATTAAGAAATAAGGACAATGTTTTTTACCCAAAACTGCAGGACAATGGAAACTGAATCATACCAACCCATAAGGAGATACTGACTTCATCTCTACTCACAATGTGATTCTTCACGTCACTTAACTTTTACCCATGAAAATAATGGGGATAAGATTTATTCTGCTTATCTCCAAGGGTTCTCATGGAAGCTGTATTTTTGAAATAATGAATTTTGTATAGGAGCGAAGAGCTTCACAAACTCAAGTGCTGACATAGTAGAGATATTTCAGGATTTATGTTTATATAGGCTTTTACATTGTTGGTATTTATAGATACATCTCCATTTACAAATTAGATGACCCCAAGTGTTGAATGTAAACTGATTTTTGTAGTTAAGTCATTCAGATTGCACTTAAAGGGACTCAATAGAGAATCATCAATAAACAACTATTTTATTTTGCAGTTGAATTGGCACCAATACTAATGTTATCTTATATGTAAAGATATTCCTGATGAAAGCTGTCTGTGTTATAGGGCTTTGCTCTTCTAATCCTCTAGTAAGCCTTGTCAGAGCTGATGGTGCCCCACCTCTGCCTTGCCACTGGCAAGATTCCATTCACACTTGGTACTTCTCCTGACATGTTACTGTCAGGAGAACTCAATGTTCCAAGGAAAGGTCCCAGTGAGTCAGAAAGTTTTGAAAGTAATATTTAGAAGTATATGGAGAACAATGAGAAAAAAGAACCCAAGAAGAATGGAAGTGAAAGTTTATGGAGTGTTTGAAACTTTATGGAAAGTTTATGAAAGTTTATTGAAAGTTGGTTGGAGATTTAGAAGTATATGAATAAAACAAAAAACCGCCACCACTACCCTACCCTATTTACATATAGTATGAAGATTTAAAAAATATTTTGGGATATTTACAACTAGTAAAAGTAAATACCAACTTGCTTACAGTAGGAAGAATAATGAGGAAATAAACATGTTTTTGCATATACTTAAATGCAATTATCTAAGTAAAATCTTAGCTTTGGTGAACCATTAAAAGTGGTAAAAAGTGGAATTAGGGGATCTGTTTGCAGGTATAAAATAATAACTTGTCATAAATTTAAAAACTTTTAGAAATGCAAACATCTGTTATGATTTTATTATTTTCACTAACAGATTAAATTAAGGTAGCTCCTCCTAATTTAAAACTAATTTAGAGAGGGAAAAAAAAGAGTTTTTGAGTCATCCAGTGATTCTTTGCATCTAAGAAGGTCGGATCACGTTAATATATGCCATGCACTCACTGTGGCATGAACATGACCTGGAAACCCATCAAGGCTTCTTTTTGCTATTTTCATTACATCCAAAACAAAAGGATTGAGATGCTTGTGGGTACAGTCCTATGTTAAAAGTAATTTCTTATTTTAAGAACTAAATATAGAGAACTCCTGATCTCTTGTAAACTTCAGTGCCATTTTTAATGTCAAACATACTTAAGATTTTTATTTATAATATGTAATAAAAACCTATGGAAATTAAGTAATTACTGGTTGAATATTTTAACACTCATAAAAGGGTACTTTTAAGAACTATCCAAATTAAGAGGAATTTATAATATCATTTTTTTTTCTGAAAAATAATTCCAAAAAGAACATTGAAACTCAGGCATGTTTGCAGATATCCTTGTCTGTTTATAAAGGTTGTTTGGAAATCTGTAACTCCAGGTCATTTCTACTGCCTTTGCTTGCGTGAAAGATTGCATAAGTGAGTTAATTTAGAGAACAAAAACAATATATAATGACAAGTGAGAATTTTCTTTATAAGTTCAGCCAAACTGAGTGGATAGCCAAAGTCAACAGCTACTTGAACTTGTTTGATTTCAGAGGCATGAGTGCCACATAACTAAAGCCTCTAGTATCATCTTATTTTCTGCAGTTTTTTATTTAAAAAATTATTACATAGATTTAGAATCTCATTAACTTCTCTTTCACATTTTTTGGGTGTCAGTAGTCAGGTAACAAATAAATGATGATGAGATATTACATTCAAAGTTGAATGTAATATGAAAATGTTGGAATATGTGAAACTTAATAAAAATAAATTGAAAAATGGATATTACACAGGCTTGTATTATATAGCCTGCATTATATAAAGTTTATATATAAAAATAAAATCTATAATAATCATACTGTAAGCAATCAGATCGTATGACAAGTGACCAGGAAACTTTGGTTGTTTCAGAGTGAAAACAAAAATAGTTACTGAACAGCTTGAGGGTTTTCTACAATGTCTTCATAGCACAGTGTTCTTCCCTATCTCCAGATTTCTAGAATCACAGCAGTTACTACTACTGGAATTAAGAAAATCGTAGGTATTTCACACACTGTGGGTTCTTATGTGGGCATTCCTTCGGCTTTTTCTTCCCAGTTCTACCATGGGGAACTGCCAAGGACACTTCACTTAAAGCTATATAGATATTACCAACACTGAGAAATGAACCAACACCCCTTCTAAAATGTCTTTTTCCTCCCTTTAAAACCCAATCAAAACATATATATTTTATATGTGTGTGTGTGTGTGTGTGTGTGTGTGTGTATACACAAAGTTTTTTAAGCCAGGGTCTTGCTCTGTCACCCAGGATGGAGTGCAGTGGCATGAACATGGCACTGCAGACTCAACCTCCTGGGTTCAAGCGATCCTCCCACCCCAGCCTCCTGAATAGCTGGAACTGTAGGCGTGTGTCACCACACCCTGCTAGTTTTTAAAAATATTTTGTAGAGACAGGGTTTTGCTACATTGCCTAGGCTGGTCTTGAACTCCTGACCTCAAGCAATCCTCCTGCCTCGGCCCCCCAAACTGCTAGGATTACAGGCGTGAGCCACTGCACCCAGCCAACATATATTTTTCTATCACCAGCATCAACTTTGTTGGCACTGCTCTCTCATTTAAAAAATATTAATGTATATATTTTCTCAAGGCCCAGAGGGTTCTATTCTTCATTCACTGATTTATTACTAATTAACCATTTACCGAGTGACTCCTATATGTAAGATATTGTTCTGGGCTCTAGGGACACACAGTGGAGAGTCTGGAGGAATGGGAAAGGAGCATGTTAGTCAAACAAGTTAACAAGAAAATATCAGGTATTGCTAATGCTACGGTAAACAGTGTAAAAAGTAACTAAGAGAGAAAAGAGATGACTTTAGATTGAGGAATCAGGGAAGGCCTTTCTGAAGAAATTACATTTATTAAGCTGAGGTCAGAAGGACAAACTGTAACAGAGTGTCATTTACCCTAAGTAATGTGCTGCCTGCAAATACAGGACTGTGTTCTTGGTAGGCCCTCAATAAGTGGTAAGTCCAAGTAGTCATCTCTAAGTTATGTACTCCTGGCTGGGCGCAGTGGCTCACACCTGTAATCCTAGCACTTTGGGAGGCTAAGGTAGGTGGATCACTTGAGGTCAGGAGTTCAAGACCAGCCTGGCCAACATGGTGAAAACCCGTCTCTACTAAAATACAAAAAAAATTAGGAGGGTGTGGTGGTGCACGCTTGTAATTCCAGCTACTTGGGAGGCTGAGGCAGGAGAATCGCTTGAACCCAGGAGGCCAAGTTTGCAGTGAGCCAAGATCTTGCCACTGCACTCCAGCCTGAGCAACAGAGCAAGACTCCATCTCAAACAAAAAAGAGAAAACAAAACAAAACAAAAAAACCTCCAAAAGTCATTTACTCTATTGCAAAAGTACCATACACATGCTTAATATTAAATAATATAAAGTCAGATTAGTTTGGGTTGCCATAGAACACCAATGTACACAATATTCTAGACACTAACATCTACTCACATTACAAATACTTATAATAGGTTTTCTTTTTTTTTTTTTTTTTTGAGACGGCGTCTCGCTCTGTCGCCCAGGCTGTAGTGCAGCGGCCCAATCTCGGCTCACTGCAAGCTCCGCCTCCCGGGTTCATGCCATTCTCCTGCCTCAGCCTCCCGAGTAGCTGGGACTACAGGCGCCTGCAACCACAGCCGGCTAATTTTTTGTATTTTTAGTAGAGACAGGGTTTCACCGTGTTAGCCAGGATGGTCTCGATTTCCTGACCTCGTGATCCGCCGGCCTTGGCCTCCCAAAGTGCTGGGATTACAGGCATGAGCCACCGCGCCCGGCCTATAACAGGTTTTCAAAGGGGAAAAGAACACCCTCCTAGCCTCAATATTATGTATTTTATAAGTACATGTTTAAACATGGTATTTGCATGTAATTTTACTGTATTAATAAAAACGACCACCTCATCCCCTGGAATGTTGAATCTGTTATCAGTTTGTAGAAAGGATGAACATTTCTTTCTATAAGATATCACTTCATCCTACTACCTTCTTTCTCAAAAGCCCACATACAGTCACAAATTCCAGGCTAGGGCAAACAGGACCTCCACTTGTATCAACTAATTCATGCTTTCGCTTTCAAGTCTACTGATGCTCTGAATATCCGTAGTATTTATAGTTGCTACTTTTTAATCAACATACTTATAGAAAACTAAACATTACAGTTTTTACCGTTCCTGATAAAAATGATAAAATCTGTTAAACAAGCCTTTCCCACAAAGATAAAACTGAAGAATAAAATAGGGAAGATGTTAAATACAGAAACCATGAGGAAAGACCTTTTATAATTAAGAATGTTCTAAAAAGTACATTGAAAGGTACACTATGTAAGGAAAACACAAACCAAAAATCAATACAAAGGCATACAACAGAAAGGACATGTACTCATTTTAAATATTCTTCTATCTCCAAGGTTAAAGTGAGAAAAGGCACTGGCTCAAATATTGACACTAATTGTGAGCCATTTTCAACACTATTTCCAAGCCAGTGTAAACTGAAGGAGGTAAAGGACAGTAAAGAGAATCCTGTGAGGAAAAACCTTTCTTAGTCCTCTTTTAATGTTGCCTAATTATCATACACACCTTAATTCAACAATAATGATAAGCCATTAGAAAACATTGTATTGCTAATTATGTGTGAAGTCTTTAAGTCCATGCGAATAAGTTAGTTAACTGTTACGCCCTCCAAAGAAAGCAAGAAGTGTTGTGATACAATCAACAAAACAGTGGTTTATCAGCATTCTCTTTCCCTGTAGCTTTCCTTTGAGTAGGTGCACTTGGAATTGTGCCAGTGAAGCCATATGAAATCAAACTATAGGACTCAAAGGAAATTTTAAGGTAGCCACTGCCGAGGATGATTCTGAATGTCTCTGCTTTATATTGTAGCAGGATAAGCCGCAGACAAAACCCCTCAGACACCGAGTTAAAGAAGGAAGGGCTTTATTTGGCCGGGAGCTTCGGCAAGACTCACGTCTCCAAATACCGAGCTCCCTGTGAGCAATTTCTGTCCCTTTTAAGGGCTTACAACTCTAAGGAGGTCTGCATGAGAGGGTCATGATCGATTGAGCAAGCAGGGGGTACCTGACTGGGGGCTGCATGCACCTGTAATCAGAACGGAACAGAACAGGACGGAGATTTTCACAATGCTTTTCCATACAATGTCTGGAATCTATAGATCACATAACCAGTTAGGTCAGGGGTCGATCTTTAACCAGGCCCAGGGCGTGGCGCCAGGCTCTCTGCCTGTGGGTTTCATTTCTGCCTTTTAGTTTTTACTTCTTTGGAGGCAGAAATTGGGCATAAGACAATATGAGGGGTGGTCTCCTCTCTTAATATAGAAAGATTTATCTAAAGGAAAATGAATCATGAAGTTCAAACTTTGTAAAAGAGCATTTTCCCCTGCACAGATCCCCAGGTCATAGCTATAAATTCCAAAGAGGCAAAACTGTTAAGCTAAGTGGATTAGAGCTAATTATTAGTTCTAGGACACACATGCTATTTTCATGTGCTATAACACACACACACACACATACATATACATGGTTACACATGTGTACTAGGGCTTTTTATAAACTATTTGAGTTAGAAGATACTTTAATTAAAAACTTTACAGAGGATTATAGAAATTATTAGCCTTTATGACAATATTGGTCACATATATATTCACATCATTGATCAGGGACACTCTTAAGGGGCAAACACTAATACAGGATATAGAAATAAATTATTTAGGCAGATAGTGAGGGCAAAAGAGTCCTCAACAGAACTTCCCTTTTAACAAAAAGCAGCCCTAGAAATCATTTCTTTTCCAACAAAGAGCAGCCTGAAAGATCGAGCTGCAAACATAGGTAAGGAAGCTGGAAGATTGCACGGGAGGAGGCCTGCAGCTGTGCCAATAGAAAAGGGTTACCTGGGGGCCAGACATGTCCACCATGGAAACTCCATCTTCCCTTTTTTGTTAGCATGTGTACAGTAAGAAAGAAATGGGCAACATGGAGAAGCTCAGGCAGAGAACCCACCTGCATAATAGAAGATTGGGGTGGGGGCTGCCAGAGATTTATACCCTATGCAGATGGCACACCTGTTCCTAACTGGCTTTTTGCACCCTATGTACATCAGCACTACTCCCGCCCCACTAGCTGATCTATAAAACTCCCTACATTTCACTGCGGATCAGCAACCAATTTTTCCAGGACCCCTCTTGGTAGCAGAGATCTTCTCTTTCTTTTGCCTACTAAACTTCAGCTCTTAACCTGTGTGTCCGCATTTTTGATCTCTGTGGCTGTGAGACAACGAACCTCGGGTGTCGCCCCAGACAAGGCCGCTTCAACATGATGCACTTTTTAACAATAGACGTTGCATGAACCCCAAATACCTGAGACAGGTCTCGATTTAGGAAGTTTATTTTGCCAAGGTTAAGGATGCACAGGTGTGACACAGCCTCAGGACGTCCTGATGACATGAGCCCAAGGTGGTTGGGGCACAGCTTGGTTTTATACATTTTAGGGAGACATAAGACATCAATCAATATATGTAAGATGGACATTGGATCAATATGGAAAGGTAGGACAACTCGAAGTGTGGGAGAGGACTTCCAGGGCACAGGTAGGTAAGAGACAAATGGTTGCATTCTTTTGAGTTTCTGATGAGCCCTTCCAAAGGAGGCAATCAGACAGGCCTTTATCTCAGTGAGCAGAGATAACTGAATAGAATGAATGGGAGGCAGGTTTGCACTAAGCAGTTTCCAGCTTGACTTTTCCCTTTAGCTTAGTGATTCTGGGGTCCCAAGATTTGCTTTCCTTTCACAGTTGTGACAAGGTTTTCAGAAATCCATTGTGGCAAAAAAGAAGCACCTGAACCTTTTTATTTGGGTAGAATAAAAACAGAAACAGTAACAGGATATTCAGATAATATGCTACAACCAGTTCCTTCCCTGTCCCTGACAAAGGTGCGCCAAGGGAAATTAAACCACAGGAAATGTTATTCATGTTAAAACAATCTATTCAGGACTCAAAACTACAAATCAAAGAAAATTTGAAAAACCTTTCCAATAAGTTTCAGTGAAAACATTCTTTATTAGTAAGCAGACATTTCAAACTTTTTGATTACATACATCATGCAAAATGACTGACCTCACAGATGGTTGTCTGTTCATTGTGACATCTTTTTTGAGATGATTATAAATTTAAGATGACTGCAGTAGTAAAAATAATTCATGAAAATGACTCTCAATGAAGCAAAACACTACATAGCACACATGAAATACTGTTCATCCCTCCTGGATGTTTAATTCTCTCCTAATGTAAATCTCTATCTTGGAAGACTATTATATACAAAAATGGCAGTTGTTTTTGTATGTGCATCTATAGGCACTCAACTGATAAAAACAAGAAAATTTCAAATAATTTTACAAGGATTGGTTATTTTTCCTGTTTTGTTAATCCAAAACAGGACAATGCCCTTTGATTTACAATGTTCAATTCTTTTAAGAAATCATTTTCTTCGGAAGATGATTTTGACCCATGAAAAAGTTGTTTTACCCCTGGTAATCTTTTTGAAATGGGGCTGGCTGTTACACATTATCCAAGTTGTTTTCAGTAAGTGAAAAGGAGTAGGGCTTATTTTGAGAATTCCTCTATATTACGGCACTGAGAAAACTTCTCTGCAGTGGTGGGCTCACCACTTTCATCCTGTGGTAGTTCTGGTAGCACTCCCAGTGTGAAAACCCTAGCACAGGTAAATTCACCTCTTTGAAATAAACAGTGACCCTGGAGAAAGGTGAATTCCAAATCTAGTACCATATTCAAGTCATCTGGCAGAGAAGCAGGCATAAAAGAGTTTTCTAGGTACTTGAGGTGCTGCTGTAACAAATACCTAAAAGTAGAAAAGTGGCTCTGGAATTGGGCAGTAGGTGGAGGCTGGAAGAATTCTGAGGAGCATGCCAGAAAAGAAGCTAAACTGCCTTAAACAGACTGTTAGTAGAAATATGGAATGTTAATGCTAGGGCGGCCTTGAAGAAAGGAGCATAATAGAGAATACCTCGATTGCCATAGAATATCTAAATCATCATGAATAGACTGTTGGTAAAAAATGAGGAATATGTTACTGGAGAAGTGGAGGAAAGGAGTCCTTGTTACATAGTGGCGAAAAGCTAAGCTGAGTTGTGTCCTGCCGTTATGTGTAAAGCAGAACTTTTAAGTGATGACTTCAATATTTAGCTGAGGATATTTCCAAGCAAGCTGTGGAAGGTACAGCCTGCTGTCTTCTTGCTGATTATAGTAAAATGTGGAAAGAGGTAGATTGAGGGAAGACCTGTTAAATATAAAGAAACCAGGACTTGATGATTTGGGAAATTCGCGGCCTATTCAAATGGCAAAAGCCACTAAAACTAAGATTCACCGTCAGGACAGCCTTTACTCTAGAGAAAGTGATGAAGATATGGCTGTATAACCTTTTGCTAATACTTCAGAAACATCAAAAGGTCTGAATATCAGGTCACACACAAGACTCTTTGAAGATATTAAGGGTGTGAATCATAGATCCTCTCAGCTATTTCAGAAAAAGCCAAAAACAGAGACAGGATTTTCCAGGAAAGATACGTGAGGAGCCTCCTATCTAAATGAGTGCATCCCTGTGACATATGTAAAAGACCCACAAGTTTCTTGACAACGTTATAGCAGCAGAAGCACCACCATTTTTAACAGAAAGCTTTAGAGAATATAAAAGAAGAACAAACTGATAAGTTGATACTCAGCTGCAAACGTGTGCTACCTTTTGTGAAAAAGTAAAGATGACTCTGAGACAGTCAACAAGCCCAGAGAACAGCAGTGAGCTGAAGATTACTCCCAGGCCTTGAAACTTAAAGAAGGGTGCCTCGCTGGTTTTGTAAATTGATTGGTGCTGATGGCTCCTTTTTCCATCTGTTTCTGCTTTTTGAACAGGAACGTGTGTAACTATTATTGTCTGCCTGTCATGCCATCATACTTGGGAACAGATAACTTGTTTTCTAGGTTCACAAGTGCACAGTTGGAATTATGTCCCAGAAATCACACACAGATCCTCTCCCAAACTTAATTTAGATGGCTTCAATGTGAGATTTGAGACTTTTGAGTTGGTGAGACTCAGATAAGATTTTGGATTTAGAGTTGATGCTGTAATAATGGATTGTGACTTTTGAGCACCTATGAGTGATGTAAATTTATTTGTGATGAATCTGAATCTTTAACACAGGAGTGGAGCGGGGGGTGGGTGGGAACTGTAGTAGGCAAGAATAATGTTCCATGTAAAATGTTAATGTCCTAATCTCCAAACCTGTATGTAACCTTAGATGGTAAAAGAGATTTTGCAGATGTAATTAAGGTTACTATGGATTTCAAGACAAGGAGATAAGCCTAGATTGGATATCCGGTGGGCCTCATTTAATCATGAGTCCTGCAGAGAACCTCTCCACACTGGTGTCAGAGAGATGTGGTAACAGAAGGGTCATAGAGATGAAACAGCACTGGTTTTTAAGATGGAAGAAGGAGGTCACAAGCCAAGGAATGAGGATGTCCTGTAGAAGGTGGAATGACAAGGAAATGATTCTCCTGTAGAGCCTCCTAACAGAATGCAACCCTGCCAACAAATTGATCTTGGCACCGCGAAACTCTTAACCTGGACTCCTAACCTACAGAATTGTGAAGATAATAAATTTGTGCTATTTTAAGCCACATTTTGTAACTTGTTATGGTGGCAATGGAAAACTAACCAGAAGTAATAATTAAGGATGAAATGGTGTCTAGGAAGAAGGAAAAGCTTCTGGCTTCAGCAGAAATGCAAACATTTATGCTGGTAATTCTTTAGATCTAGTCCGTCTGACAGAATTTACATTCCTGTATTTCTACACTAGTCTTGTTCTGGAGAAGACATTCTAGGTTGAGCACACAGAATAGTGTTTAGTGTATACAGTGAGTTTCCTAGAAAAATGTGTTGAATGAATAAATGAATGTGATCAACGCAAGCTCTGGGAGGAACTGTAATTACTTGATTTTAAAATATTGTTGCTGTTTACCATATCTTCTTAAGAACTGCTGACCTTTAGGCTGGGCGTGGTGGCTCATGCCTGTAATCCCAGCACTTTGGGAGGCTGAGGTGGGTGGATCACCTGAGGTTCGGAGTTCGAGACCAGCCTGATCAACACAGAGAAACGCTGTCTCTAGCAAAAGTACAAAAATTAGCCAGGCATGGTGGCGCATGCCTGTAATCCCAGCTACTTGGGAGGCTAAGGCAGGAGAATCTTTTGAACCTGGGAGGCGGAGGTTGCGGTGAGCAGAAATTATGCCATTGCACTCCAGCCTGGGCAACAAGAGCAAAACTCCATATCAAAAAAAAAAAAAAAAAGAATTGCTGACCTTTATGTGTTTCTGTTTAAGTTCACAACAGTCATAATTCTGTAAAATACAAGGCAAAACTGTAGTTTCTGATACTAGTAATATATCTAAATCAGTAAGTAAAAAGGATGTGTAAAATCTTAATAGGAGAAATAATTATTGTATGATCAAACAATTTCAAAATCAAAAGACACGTTTCAGTATATATTATAGACAAATTTTCAACTTATTTGATCAAAAGATTTCTTAATGGCTGTTGGTCAATGCTGCATCAAGAAACTTTAGTGCAAATTTTACCAAATGCATTTATCAAAAAGGGGTTTTGTTCATTTTTCTCTGCAAACAAATGTTGTTACATTAACACTAAGCATGTAACAACTCATTTGCCTAGAAATCCAAAAACTATCAACATAAGCCAGTCCTTCAACTAAAAACTCAAACATACTTATCTCAAGGTCTATTCCTAATCCAAATTTGTCTATATTCAGATTGGAAGACAGAATAACAATAAAACCAAAATTTATCTGTAAAAATAATAAAAATAATTTGGCTGTTTTTAATGCTGAAGTATTGTCCTTATTAATACGGCACATCATCTATTCCCACATGCTACTGCATGGACAGGAACAATATTATTTTAGTTGCTGGAGTAACACAGTGTTAAGAATATCTGCTTCTAGCAGTGTCAGGCTTTCATCTGTTAGCTCTTTATTCGGAAATGAAGTCACAAGAATAAAGTCAAGAGCCGCAAATTCAGGACGAGACTGTACAATAAAGTTCCGGACATCCAGGATCCTGAAGAAATAAGACAAAAATAATTTGTAATATAAAAAATCATATTTTCATGTAAACTTAAAACTGAATCATAATAAAAATCACAAAATTTTAATCTTTATATAAAGGTGTTGTAACTTTCTTTAATATATAGTATTTCAATTGAAGGATTTATCTTAGGCTTCAGTTAAAATGTAAAGTAACTTTAGTGTGTACTTAACATTTACTTTTCCTGTAAAATGGAAACAATCTTCAGGTAAGTTATGAATAAAGTAAGTGTACTAATGTTGTTATTTTAAAAGTGCAGGTCCAGCTGGGCACGGTGGCTTACGCCTGTAATTCCAGCACTTTGGGAGGCAGAGGTGGGCAGATCACTTGAGGCCAGGAGTTCAAGATTAGCCTGGCTAACACGGTGAAAACCCCGTCTCTACTAAAACCAGAAAAAATTAGCTGGGCATGGTGGTGGCTGTCTGTAATCCCAGCTACTCAAGAGGCTGAGCATGAGAATTGCTTGAATCTGGAAGGCGGAGTTTGTAGTGGGCTGAGATTCCGCCACTGCACTCCAGCCTGGGAGACAGAGTAAGACTCTGTCTCAAAAAAAAAAAAAAAAAAAAAAAAAAAAAAAAAAAATGCAGGTTGTACTTTTTTCGGAGTATAAAATGTGTTAGCAGCATATGACCCAGAAAAAGGTAACTATGATTGGCCTGTGGCAAGGTGAGTCTAAAACTATGAAATGTGCTATCATAGGAATAATTTTAAAAAATTACTCTCACATAAACATAGTAATTCAACCAAAATCATAAATATATCTATTAGGGTCTTACTTCAATGGACAAATCAAATGTTGATGTACAAGTCAATATTAAAGAAACATTTAAAACTATCTGAAGTTCTTGACAAAAGTACAATTAAACTTGATTTACAATACACATTTATATTATGAAGTATTTGCTATACAGAAAATTAATCCCAATCAAAATTATCACAAATTTTTAAATGAATAAAGTCCCCAAAAGGTTTTACTATGTTAAATTAAATCTGATTCGACTTCATATAGTTTTAGTAACAACGTAAAACTATAGTTCTTAATTTATTTTTGTGTGATATCTGAGATCACATTAGTATTTGGATAGTTTATAGAGACTGTTTAAATACCACATATTTCATTTCTTAAACACAGCTATTGTCCTTTTAAAAATGTTTCTTCTGTCAAAAACTTACTTCAAAAGTAAACCTAAAGAATATCATATTCTTCATTACTCAAGTCACATACAGTTCTACTTAGATAAGCAATCCAGTGTATATAACAGCAAACAGGACACTGTTGGTAAAGAAGCTTACCTGTGTGTACTATTGAATCTTTGTATCAAACGACTCCCATCTGCTAACCTGATTTGAATTTTTGTTGTTGGCACTGAATCATCAATAAGAACAACTGCATTAAGTATTGATTTATCCTCCTCTTCTGGAGAGGAAGGTGTACTGACTATTTCAGGTGTAAGGCTAAAAAAGAGGAATTAAACACAAATCTGAATGTGTAAAATATATGACAAACTGAAGACAGCGATAAACACTTAGAACATGGCTTCATTTGAGTCTCCTATACTTCTTTCAACCTCTTTCATTATATTAAAGTTATTTTGGATCCTACGATTCTTATTTGGTTTATCTAATCTCTCATAAAAGCCTAACTTTGCATCCTTTCCTCATTTAACTGTTTGCAACTTCATCACTGTTTAGCAAACCAGTTTTATTTAGAAATACGAGCAACTCTGAGTTAGGGTCAAAGAATCATTAAGAGCACAGACAGACATGGTTTCACATCCCAGCCATGTCAACTGTGTAAAGTTGAGTAAGTACATCAATCATTTTGAATCCCAGTTCTATCATTTATAAAGTGAGGGAATAATACTATGTTATGAAGGTATATTATACCAGTAAGTCCTTAATATTGTGCCTAGAACACAGTGTTTCAACGGGTGCCAGCTATTGTGAACATATTATCAGCACTAAATTCATTTAATTTGGACTTGGTTAATATCATTTAAACACATCTGATTCAAGCACTGCTTTGCAAAAGAGAAATAACTTCTAAGTACCATTGAGGAATAAAATGTTATTACATGACAATAAATTCATAATGAAGCTTGATAGAATATCTTACCATTAGAACTTGGTTACTAGTGACCCTGGCATTGCTGTCTTAGCCCCTTCTAACACTAGCAGGATGATCAGCCAGTATATGCCAAAAGTGAATGTCAAAAATAGAGGAGTGCTCTTTTGGTTAAATAATTCAAATAAATTTAGCTCAATTTTCTCAGTCATCTTAAGGAATTTTTGATAGTCTTGAAGTTTTTTCTCTTGAACTCTGAGATTTAGATGGTTTCCTATAGATTATTTTCTTCTGGAAGAAAGACACGCATGTATCTACATATTACTAGTATAAAAGTTCTATGAGCATTTGGGCTTTAGTCCAATCTAAATCATCATGACTCTTACTTCCATTCAAAAAGCTTCTCTCTCAGAGTACACAGTAAAGTGATAAAATTACCTGGTACTAACTGCTGACACTTTCTCTTTCTTTAGCTATTTCCTGATGCTAATTTTAGAACTGATTTGAGGATACATAAAAATATACATAAGGTTAAAATTATGACTTACAATAAATGATCAGATATTAAGGAATTTCTTTTTAATTTGGAATTGAGGGCCTAAGTAATTGCACTGCCAATCTGGTTTACTGTGCCAAGAGTCCAGCGTTCCTTACACAAGGGAGGGGGATGAAAATCCAAGAGAAAAGACATGAGACACTGAATGCAAAGGTCCTCTTTACCTCCGCCTCACTGATAACCAGGTATACACATTATCATCGTCACTACCACCATTACCACCTCTGCCACATGCATTATTTCATTTACATCAGCCTGGGAAGCAGTGTTAACAGCATGGTTCTCAGAGCTGGATTACCTGGTTTCAATCCCAACTCTGCACTTATTCTGTAACACCAGGCAAGTCACTTACCCTTATTGTGCCTGAGAGCCAACAGCAGCAGTGCTGTAAAGATTAAATTAATTAGGACACATAAGCACTTCAAATGGTGCTTTTATATAGTTGGCACTACTAAAAGTTGGCTATTAGCATTATAATTATCCTAACAACAACTCTGGAAAAAAAAAGTTACCCCCAATATTCCTATTGGTAAGTGAGAGAGCTGAGGTTTATATTGGGCTCTTTCTACACACCAAGTTGCCTCCCTATTATTTTTGTAATCTACTGCTTTCTGTTTTAAGGCAGATTCTGACCAGGTATGCTTTTTCTCAAAACAGAAAATGGAGGATGGGGAAGCTAGGTAAGAAAATGTGTGTATGTCACAATGAAACTATTGTATATGGAATAATAACATTTGAGAACTGGAATGGATGGACTTCCAACATAATTTAGGCCAACCATATCATTTTATCTAAAAGAAACCGAGTCACAGAGAGACTAAAAGACATGCTCAGAACCACACAGACAGATAGCTGGACAAGCTGGTAGTGTGGTATTAAAAAACCAGCCTAAAAAGTTATGTTAATTAATTTATTTTATTTATTTATTTTTCTGGGATGCAGTGTTGCTCTGTTGCCCAGGCTGGAGTGCAGTGGTGTGATCTCAGCTCACTGCAACCTCTGCCTCCTGAGTTCAAGTGATTCTCCTGCCTCAGCCTCCCAAGTAGCTGGGATTACAGGTGCCTGTCACCACATGCGGCTAATTTTTTTTTTTTTTTTTTTTGGATTTTTAGTAGAGATGGGGTTTCGCCATGTTGGCCAGGCTGGTCTTGAATTCCTAATCTCAAGTCATCTGCCTGCCTCGGCCTCCCAAAGTGCTGGGATTACAGGTGTGAGCCACTGTGCCCATGCAAGTTATGTTAATTCTAATATTTAGCTGTCAAAATCACATCTGTTTGCTATTTAAAACTTTCTCCCTATCATTCAATTGATCAAGCCATAGTAAAACTTTTACATTAAAAAGAAAATTTTTTAAGAAAGAAAAGAGAAATTAATTGGTACAACAAGGTTTGTAGGCAAATGGCAGGAAAGGATGTAGGTTGTAATTCCCTCAGAGACAGGAGAAACACCCTCTTCTTCAAACTTATGGAGGGAGAGGAGGATGGAAATGACCAGCTTGAAGGCTGGAGGGAAACATAATAAGAATGTGAATTCCCGTCAGGTTCTATTTTCTCAATGAAGCTGGAAGCAAAGAAATTTGCTGAGAGTGAGGGGCAGGGGTCGAGGAGGGGGTTTAGGAAAGCAGCTCAGGCCTGTGAGACTGGCGAGGCACAGCACTGCCTGCTCAGCACAGCTGAGGCTGTCCCCAGAAGTACTGAGTCACACAGGGCTGACAACCCAGTCAGGCTTCAGTCAGCTCACAGCTGTTGAGGAGCTGAGATAAAGTAAGGCTTTGAAGTTTTAGAGAAGACAGCCCTCAGGGTCTAGGGCCCCAGATGAAGTCAAATCTCAGGTAAGTGAGAGTGGCAAGCACAATCTTTTGAAGAGAACAGTAGGACAAACAGGCAGTGACTGTTCTTCTGCAGAAACATCAGCTTCAAATCATGATTTTTATCATTATACACGCCAGCTCAAAAGCCTACCAAGAATGCCTACTCGCTAGTCCTCCCTATTAAAAATGACTCTGTGATTTTGTTAGGCACTACTCTAGCTCACCAAGCTAATTTTTACTCAATAATACAGTTTGTTCTACCATTGCAAATTTGCAGTTTTATATCTATGGTTTGCTTTCTTCTATTATGTGAGGGTACTATGTAACATTTTTACAGCATTTTGGTTTGCACCATAATTGTATATCACATGAAAAGATTTAGTTCCCATCTATGTAACATTCTGTGTGTAATTAGACTGCCATCTATGGAAGACAATAGATTATTTTCATTTCTGTTTTACTTGCTTCTTTTTATTTCCTGCTCAGTAAATAATTGTCTTGAACTCTTGAGAACCAAGCCATTTTAGAAAGTTACTTTCTAAATGAAGGTTAACTATTAAACTTTTAATATATTTCTTAATGTAAATCTTTAATATAAAATGTTCTATGTAATTCTTCACTTTAGAATATATGATATTTGCTTATTCAACATTTGGGTTTGTGAACACATAGGCTCACATCATCATGCTATCTCCTTCTACTAGAAGCTGAAAATTCTAAAGACTCCATCTCCCAGACTCTCTTGCAGCTAGGATTTCATGATTCTACCCTTCCACCAAACAAACATACACTTGTTTGGTGGAAGTAAGCACTGCAAAGTGGAAACTCTGTAGCTCTTGTGGTTACTAAGGTGGTGGAGGCATTTATTTCTTCGATGATGGAATGTTCTAGTATCTAGTCCCTAGTTTCATGGGCACCAAGCACCTGACTAGGGGACATAGTTGTTTTCTCTGGAACACTCTTCCACTGTGTTTGTTTCTCCTGGCTAAGGAAAGCTTGGTTTGCTTGCCTCTTCCAGATATTCTATAAACTACACAAGATCCTGTAAGAAACCTATTACTACCAGCAAGTAGATTCTGTTTTCCATAATCAAAATCTTGATCAATATGGCTAGTAAATTAACATGGCATTATTACCACTGATCTCTGTCACTTTCTTCCATCAGTTTCTCCTTTCTTTTCTGTTATTTTCTCTATTTGCCTTATAAGGAAAATGACTGGCCTTTGTGAATACTATCATCAGATAATATCGTTATTTTCATGAGTTTAATAATCACTGGCTCTTCTTAGCTGCCTTCCCTTTATGCTACCTTCTTCAATTCCAAGTCTAGATTTACTGTAGGTCTACTAACAAGGATGTGCGGTCCAACATTAATTCTTGGTCATACATTTAAATAATAGAGAAGGAATATGTATATATTGAAGAGATGACTAGGCATTTTATCTGCATTCTAATTAAAAATCGTAATCTCAATAAATATTAAGTAAAAATGGGAAGTGATACAAAATTAAGAACATACATACATACTATATATACACATACATACATATATATACACATACATATATATATATATATATATGTTGATCACAACAAGAGGAGTAAAAACATAATATTATACAATTTGAGAGAAGCCTGGCCAGGCATAGTGGCTCATGCCTGTAACCCAGGCACTTTGGCAGGCCAAGGCAGAAGAACAGCTTGAGGCCAGGAATTCAAGACCAGCCTGGGCAACATAGTAAGACACGTGTCTCTACAAAACCTAAAAATGAAAAAAAATGAGCTGCGCTCGGCAGTGCCTATAGTCCCAGTCAGGAGAGTGGGGTAGGAAGCTTGCCTGAGCCCAGGAGGTCAAGGCTGCAGTGAACTATGACTACACCACTGTACTCCAGTCTGGGCAACAGAGCAAGACCCCATCTCAAAAAAAAAAAAAGAGAAAGAAAGAGAAGCCTGACGTGTAAAGAGAGACGAGGGAGAAAATTTCCAAGTAAACCTGTGACCTAAAATTAAAGAGTTTGTGTCCTAAGAAAAACAGGTCAACATAAATTCCTGTATTTCCTTTATGTCCCCAGTGCCAGTCTCTATCAGGAGAAGAGAATACAGAAAGGGAGACTAGAGATAGCAAAGCATAAAGAAGCAATATTGAATTTTTTCCTATCTTGAAAAATAAGGGGAGAATAGACAACCAGTGTACACGAGGCAACTGAAGGGGGCTTGGAAGGGAAGGAATCACATGAAGAGAAGCAAAGGATGCACCAAAGAATACACTGGAAACATTGCCAATGTGGCAATTCCATATCACCTGCAACAATATGTGGACGAGTAGAGGGTAACTTTTACCAACATATTTTAAATTTCTAAGATTACATTAAGCCATGGGTATTATAAAGGAAACCACTCATACATTCTGCCATGTGCGTTGGTTTTTAAATTGTGCTCTTCAAAGTCCTAAGGTTCTTTGGAAATGTCTCAGATACAATGCCTTCTTTCACCGACAATCAGAGGAGCTCAGGTTTTACATATTGCACTTCCATGACTTGAAAAAAGGGTTTGGCTGTTTAAAAACTATTGAAAATCACAAAGCTAAGCACATTGCTCCTGCTGCAAGAGTTTGGTCATTACTGATGGCAGACATGCATGCTTAAGTTGTGATGTAAGGTATCCATTATTTTATCTCATCGACAACCCTTTACAATTCTCTCCTTTGAAACCAGGTAATCTGAAAGAGGCATATAATATAGTGGTGAAAAGCACAAACTCTGTAGTCAGAGTGCCTGGGTTTGAATCCCACATGCTAGTCATTTCTTAGCTCAACAATCTTGGGCAAATTACTGCATCTGCAAAATGAAGTAATAACAGTATCTACATCAAAGAGCTGTTGTAAAGATTAAGTGAGATAACACATGTATACGGCTTAGAGGGCCACAAACATGGTAACTGCAATCTAAGTATTAATTACAGTATTATTAATATCACAATTAATATTATGATATAATGGTATCACATGATATAATATTATGATATAATATTAACAGATGTATATATCTAATGTGCATGGTTCATATTTTTGTTTTTTACTTCATAGGTCATTTTGCTTTTCTTATTCTCAAAGAAAAATTCATGTTCAACAAAGGTATTTTTCTCATTTTAGGATTTTTACCTTCCAAGTTTTTGCCCTTCTCCACTAAAAGCCTTGAACCTCAATCTAGGTTTTATGTATTCTTGATCCTGATGATCCTCCATATCCAAATTCACTTGGCCACCATGAACAAGGCGCTGAAGCTCCAGGGGAATCTCTCTTTTAAAAAGGGGGGAAAAAAGTTATCATTAAGTTTTCCAAGAATTAAACTACACTGTTGAGATTACTGTAATTATTTCATGAGCTACACTGGAAAACAGAATTTTTTGCTTAAATTATAACACAAAAATTTCCATAATGACTGATCAGTCCTTGTAGATCTTTTTTAAAGTCACTTCACATTACTCCTTACTGGTTCTCAACATAGGGATGCTTTGGTTGTCACAATTATCTTGGAGAGCTTCTGGTATTTAGAAAGTTAAATTTTAAGACAGCAATTTATATGTAAATCAGCACTAGAAAATTCCTATGAGGATAAAAAGGTAATGTGGATATTTATTAATAAACTCCTCGGAGAAAGTTCTGAAAATTGATATGGGTGTTTTTGCTTGTTGGGTGTACTAGTCCATTTGCATTGCTATAAGGAAATATCCGAGGCTGGGTAATTTATAAAGCAAAGAGGTTTACTTTGGCTCATGGTTCTGCAGGCTGTAAAAGCAACAAGGCACCAGAATCTGCTTCTGGTGAGACCTCGGGAAACTTACAATCACAGTGGAAGGCAAAAGGGGACCCAGCATATCACATGGCAAGAGCAGAAGCAAGAGGGAGATGGGAGGTTCCAGGCTATTAAACAACCAGCTCTTGAGTGAACTACCGGGGTGAGAACTCATTACCATGGGGATGGCACCAAGTCATTCATGAGGGATCTGCCTCCATGATCCAAAACCTCCCACCAGCCCCACCTCAGTAATGGAGGTCACACTTCAACATGAGATTTGGAGGGGACAAAACATCCAAACCATATCATTCCACCACTGGCCCCCCAAATCTCATGTCCTTCTCACATCACAAAATACAATCATCCCTTCTCAATAGTCCCCCAAAGTTTTAACTCGTTCCAGCATTAACTCAAAAGTCCAAAATCTCATCTGAGATTCAAGCCATCTTCTTTCTACCTATAATCCTGTAAGATAAAAAATTAACTATTTACTTCTAAGATAGAATGGTGGTATAGGCATTGGGTAAACATTCCCATTCCAAAAGAGAGATCTGCCAAAAGAAAGAGGCAACAGGCCCCACAGAAGTCTGAAACCCGGCAGGGCAGACATTAAATCTTAAAGCTCCAAAATAATCCTTGATGCCACGTCCCATATACAGGGCATATTGGTGCAAGAGGTGGGCTTCCAAGGCTTTGGGCAGCTCTGGCCCTGTGGCTTCTCTCATGGGTTGGAGGTGAGGACCTGTGGCTTTTCCAGGCTCAGGTTGCTGGTGGCGCCACCATTCCTGGGTCTGGAGGTGGCACCTCCCTTCCAACAGCTCCACTAGGCAGTGCACCAGTGGGGACTCTGTCTGGGGGCTCCAACCTCACATTTCCCTTTGGCGTGGCCCTCTAAAATCTAGGTGCAGCCTCCCATGCCTCTTTCACTTGTGCATTCTGTGTGCCTGTAGGCTTAACACCATGCGAAAGCCACCAAGGCTTACAGTAGTGGCTTGTGCCCTTCAGAGCGAGTGGAGGCCCAAGCTATACCTGGGGCTTTTTGAGCTGCGGCTGGAGATGCAGCAGCTGGGATGCTGGGAACAGTGTCCAGAGGCTGCACAGGGCAGCTGGGCCCCAAGTTTGGCCTCCAAAACTACACTTTTCTCCTAGGACTCTGGGCCTGTGATGGGGGTTGGGGGGGGGGCTGCCTTAAAGGTCTCTGAAATGCCTTCAAGGCTTTCTTCCCATCATCTTGATTAGTAGCACTAGGCTAGGCTCTCTTCTATTCATGCAAATCTCTCTATCAAGTGGTTGCTCCACAGCCTGCTTGTATTCTTCTCCTGAAAACACTTTCTCCTTCTCTACTACATAGCCAGGATGAGAATTTTCCAAACTTCAACGGGCTCTGCTTCTCTTTTAAATATGAGTTCCAACTTTAAATCATTTATTTGCTCCTATGTCTGACCACAGGTTGTTAGAAGTTGCCACAAAGCCTCTTGAATGTTCTGCTGCTTAGAAATTTCTTCCACCAGGGCCAGGCATGGTGGCTTACGCCTGTAATCCCAGCACTTTGGGAGGCCAAGGCAGGTGGATCATAAGGTCAGGGGTTCAAGATCAGCCTGGCCAAGATGGTGAAACCCATCTCTACTAAATACAAAAATTAGCCAGGCGTGGTGGTGAGCACCTGTAATTCCACCTACTTGGGAGGCTGAGGCAGGAGAATTGCTTGAACCTGGGAGGTGGAGGTTGCAGTGAGCCTAGATCGCGCCACTGCACTCCAGCCTGGGTGACAGAGCATGAATCGTCTCCAAAAAAAAAAAAAAAAAAAAAAAAAAAGAAATTTCTTCCACCAGGTACCCTAGATCATCACTCTTTAGTTCAACCTTCCACAAAGCCTTAGGGTATGGACACAACGCAGACAAGTCCTTTGCTAGGGTGTAACAAGGCTGACCTTTACTCCAGTTCCCAATAACTTCCTCATTTCTATCTGAGAACTCATCAGCCTGGACTTCACTGTCCATATTTCTATCAATACTTTGGTCACAACCACTTGAGAAGTCTCTAAGAAGTACCAAATTTTCCTTTGTCTTCCTATCTTCTTCAAGGACGTCCAAAGTCTTCCAACCACTGCCTATTACCCAGTTCCAAAGATGCTTCCACATCTTCATGTATCTTTAGAGCAATGCCCTACTCCTTGGTACCAATTTTCTGTATTAGTCTGTTTGTACTGCTATAAAGGAATACTTGAGGCTGGGTAATTTATAAAGCAAAAAGGTTTATTTTGGCTCATGGTTCTGCAGGCTGTACAAGTAGCATGGTACCAGATTCTCCTTCTGGTGAAGCCGCAGGGAACTTACAATCATGGTAGAAGGCAAAGGGGGACCTGGTGTATGACACAGCAAGAGTGGAAGCAAGAGAGAAGGGGAGGTTCCAGGCTCTTTTAAACAATCAGCTTTCACTTGAACTGCCAGAAGAAGAACTCATTCATTACCATGGGGATGGCACCAAGCCATTTGTGAGGGATCCACCCCATGATCCAAACACCTCCCACAGGCCCACCCCCAACAGTGGAGGTCACATTTCAACATGAGATTTGAGGAGGACAAAACATCTAAACCATCTAAACATCATGGTGTGATCTGTGAGCACTGCTGTCATTCAGTGTCGAGGTAGGGGATGTCAGATGCACTGCAACAGGAGATTTGTCTTACGTGATAAAGACTCATCTTGGGTTCCAAAGAATCATCATGTGCCCTCCAGGGAGTCACGTGGATAATACTGTCTGATCCTAAAACCTAACTCTGTCTCATATACAAGCAAAACACATTTTTTAGGCTATTGTATTAATATACTTTGAAATCTCCAGGAAGTAAAGTCCACTTTACGACCATGTAAAGTGAGGGAAGATTGTACTTTGTTTTGTTTGGACCTTTACCAAGTCCTTGAATGCAATGCTACTTGTAGTAATTAAGCTGACAACCTCATATACTTCATTTTTCTGTTTTTATACCTGTCACATTTACATAGGAAGTGCTAGACTGCACAGAGGTACAAACTAACTACTTCTTAGGTGTGCTGTGTGGTCATACCAGGGCATTTATAAACTAAAACATGTATCATTTTATAATAAATTACTTTATTTCTTCAATATATTTAAGGTAGAACATATATTAATTTCTTTTGGAGAATCATGTACATAGATTATATTATCTATGAGTTCTTCTTTGAGGATAGTGTAGATGGTTTTACAAAATATTTCTTATAAAAAGGAGACAATGGGTCTTACATAGCTGAGAACCACTACCTGACATTACTCATTTTCTTTAGAGTCTTTTCTAAAACTCTTATTGATCATAATTTGTACATTATTGCAGATATGGTGTGGCTCAAATTTTAAAATTCTTTTAATATACCACATTTGTTTAAACATTAGCCTACAAAGTTTGTGGTTTATTTTCATTTAACAATAAATTAGTTTTTATCTATATAACAGAACATTCATTCTCAATATGTTCTTTGTTTCCACTATCTTGAAATTAGTATCAATTTCTACAGTTATGTTGGTTTTCGCTTAGCCAATCAAAACTTCCCCCACCTAGTTGCTCGCAGCTCTTCCCAGTGATTCTGCAGGTTTCCAAGTCCACAGGATTGACTTAAACCATTATATCCTGTATTTGCCACCCCCATATACTGCCTCCTAGGACAGCTTCCCACCTTTCCCAATGCCTTCAGCATACTTCTTAGGGCATTTGTTGCCTTTGTTTGGTATCCTGACAGTATCTGTATATAATTTAAATTCAAAATTCATGCTAATTAGTCTTCTAAAAGACGAATTTAACCTCCACTCCATGTCAGCCACTCATCCTGGACATATTTCAACATTTGGAAATGTTCCACCTTCTATTCCTTTATGGAGTATAACCCTGTATATATAACTCTGGTTATATACAGTAAAACTCTGATCCTTTCCTACAACTTAATTCCCCAGTTTATGCTCAACTTTATGTCTTTAGTTGCATATCTACTTAGAAATAACTCCACTTTCAGCTAGTTTAATCATAACACAGAAAAGCTTTTATTATCATAGCAAAATCACTTGATTCCTCATCCTTTAGCAAGAAGAGCTGGTAAGTTACAATGTTCTTTGGATGGGTGAGAGCACTGAATATCTGAGTTTACTTTCACAAATTATAACTTCAAACTAACCTTTTGAAATCTTCTGCCAGCAGTAATGCCACATTAAAAGATTTCTAACATAAGTTGCTGAATTTCAGGCATACATGCAATGAGAGTCACCCTGTCAACAGTAAGCAGGACAGTGGCTTAGTGGGTGGGCAGCTACATACTAATTAATTCACTGATTATCACATTAAGATGTTTCTTCTTGGAGCTGGGTTCATAGTTTCATCAGATTTTAAAATGGGCCAATGTCCAATGCCCCTGGCCCACAAAATTAAGAACCAGTGACTTACATACAGATAGCAGTATATCCTTTATAAACTTAAGAATACCTACACCCCCAGCAACCATTTATTTAATATATTCCAGGAACTACTTCTTGAAAACCCGTAGTGCACTAATAATGAGTAGTCTGTTAAGAAAATAAGTCCCACTCTACATAACAAATAGAATACAAATAATACATCTTACCCTCTCTTAACAGACTCCAGAAATTGAGCATTTGTTGGTTCATTGTAAGGTCTCAATTCTCCATCATCTAAACTGAAACCATTGCTCCACAGTTTAAGCAAAATCTGAACCTTTTGGGTATAGAAAAAAAAAAAATATATATATATATATATATATTCACATATACATAAGAATATATCTCCCCCAAATAATTTTAAGTTCCAAATGTGATATCCTAAAACGTATTTACTTAATTTAAAATAGGGAGTTATTTCTACTATTCTTTATTCATAGTGAAAGACATTAATGAAACCACATGTGTTTGTTTAGCTAGTTTGCATTCAGCTTAACAAACTGACAATGGCTGCAAATACCAAAGGTCCTGCAGGTGGACCCTGGCCTCGAAGTACAATTATTGGTGGATGGTTCACAAGAAAATGAAAGCAATGAGAAGAGCTGTACTCCATGATTCCCACTTCCTTCATTTTCCTTCATCTGCACCCATACTCTTCTTTGCTACAGAGCTTAAATATTCATCCTAAGGGGAACAGAATTTCCAGTGACCTTCCAAGAAACTATCAATGTCTAAAATAAAATTAAAACTCCAAAATTTCAAAAGGCAACAGAAACAAAGAATGACTTTAGGTGTTCTTCATTTACACCTCACCTCATTTTAGATTATGAAAATATACCATTTATAATAATAACTATATATTTGTTCATTTTTCTTTTTTTAATTGATTTTTTTATCTTAAAGATCCAGGGTCTTACTATGTTGCCCAGGGTGGTCTCGAACTCCTGGGCTCAAACAATCTGCCCACCTCAGTCTCCCAAAGTGCTAGGATTATAGGCGTGAGCCACTGTGCCTGGCCCAAGTTCATTTTTTTAAACACCTTTTTTTTTTTTTTTTTTTTAAAGAGATAGGGTCTGGCTATGTTTTCCGGGCTGGCCTTGAACTTCTGGGCTCAAGTGATCCTCCTACCTCAGCCTCTGGAGTAGTTGGGACTCCAGATGCATGTCACCACGCCTGGCTGCAAATTCATTTGGAAAATGAATCACACATTCTTTCAACAAATAGTTCCATATCTCTAAGTGCAAGGCATAATTGTGATACAAAACATAAAGATCGAGACTGAAAACTCACACATCATTGGTCCTTTTAACCCATGTTTTAAAAAGTAACAAAAATATATTTGTATTATCAATTCTTAATTTTAAAACCAACAGTTTTAGTAACTAGAAGCAAATATTTATACTTTTTCATTTTGATTATTGTACCTACATCTTGCAGCTGATTTTCTCCATAGATATATTCAGACCGCTTACAAAAAGAACTACCCAATCTGTATCCTCCACCTGTAAATGACTAAAATACATAGCAAGTGAGTTAAAATTCACAAAGGATTATTCAGCAAAAAGTTATTATGTGATATGTATTTTAAAACTAGATTAATTCTAATTAGCCAAAGTGGCTCATACTGGGGAGCCTTCAAGAACCAAAATTACCATAAGACTTGACTAAAAGATCATTTCAAACCATTGACGAATAATGAAATGAAAACCAAAATTTAAGTTTCATTACAGCAGTGGTTCTCAACAATGGATGTCAAAATTATCATAGAGGCTTTTTTAAAAAGACACGTTTCTAGGCATATCCCAAATTTATTGAACCATAATACCTGAAGCCATCAGGTAGTTTAGATAACCTCCCCAAATGATTCTGATGGAGAAATTCCAGGTTGAGAAATGCTACTTGTAAGAATGTATGAAATGATACCACAAAAGACACGTAACTGTTCGTCTTTAGTATATCAATATTGTGTCAGTTGGTAACAATTATAAAAGCTGTATAGAGGTGGCTCATGCTCGTAATCCCAGCACTTTGGGAGGCCGAGGCAGGCGGATCACGAGGTCAGGAGATCGAGACCACCCTGGCTAACATGGTGAAACCCCGTCTCTACTAAAAATACAAAAAATTAGCTGGGTGTGGTGGCGGGTGCCTGTAGTCCCAGCTACTCTGGAGGCTGAGGCAGGAGAATGGTGTGAACCCGGGAGGCGGAGCTTGCAGTCAGCCCAGATGGTGCCACTGCACTCCAGCCTGGGCAACAGAGCGAGACCCTGTCTCAAAAAAAAAAAAAAAAAAAAAAAAAGAAATTTAGAAAGGTACAAAAGCAATTCAATGGAGAAAGGAGTGCCTTTCAAGAAGTGATGCTGGAGCAACTGGACATCCATAAGCAAAACAATAAACTCTGGTGTCAACCTCACACCTTATATAAAAAATTCAAATAGATCATAGCTTTAAATGTAAAGCTGTAACATTTTTCCAGATAACAAAGGAGAAAATATTTGGGACCTACAGTTAAGTAAAAAGTTCTTAGACAATACAGCAAAAGCATGATCCATAAAAGAAAAAAAAGGAATAAATTGGACTTTATCCAAGTTTATAGCTTTTCCTTAGTGAAAAATCCTGCTGAGGATAAAAATATGAATGACATTCTGAGAGAAAATATTTACAAACCATGTATCTGACAAAGGACCCATACCTATTAAAATATACAAAGAATTCTCAAAACTCAACAGTAACAAAATAATCCAATTAGAGAATGGGAAAGTAATGAAGAGATATTTCCTTGAAAAGAATAATACAGATAATGGCAAGGAAGCACATGAAACGATGTTCATCACTAGCTATTAAGAAAATGCAAATTAACATCATTAGTTATTAGACAAATAAAATAAAACCATGGCATGTTATCACTATACACCCATCAAAATGGCTAAAATTAAAAATAGTGACAATACCAAGTGCTGAAAAGGATGCAGAGAAACTTGCTCTCTCATATATGTGGGAATATAAAATGGCACAACCACTCTGGAAAATAGTTTGGCTGTTTCTTAAACTAAACATACACTTAATGTATGATCTACCAATTGCACTTCTGAGCATTTATCTCAGAGAAATAAAACCATAAGTGAGTAAAAAAACCTGTACCCAATTGCTCACAGCAGCTTTATTTGTAATAGTCAAAAGCTGGCAACTAAAATATCCCTCAATAAATGAATGGTTAAACTGTGGTATATCTATATAAAATGCTACTCGGGAATTAAAAAGGAACAAAGTTGTGATACAAGCAATAACTCTGACAGATCTGAAGGGCATTATGCCAAGTGAAAAAAGCTATTCCAAAAGGTCACATATTGTATGACTCCATTTGTATAACACTGTAGTTTCACCATGTTGGCCAGGCTGGTCTTGAACTGTGATCTGCCTGCTTCGGCCTCCCAAAGTGCTAGGATTACAGGCATGAGCCACCACACCCGGCTGGTTTAACACTCTTAACATGATAAAATTATAGAGATGAAAACCCGACTGGTATTGGCTAGAGGTTAGGGATGGCATGAGAGACGGGGTGGGTGTGAGTGCAAATGGTAGGCTATGAAGGAGAGTTTCAGTTGGGTGATTACACATGTGATAAAAGGACATAGACAGAGAGAAATGCCAAATTCCTGGCTTTCATATTATACTACAATCATGTGAAACGTAACCATTGGGGGGAACCATTGGGGGAAACCATTGAAGTGAAAGGTACATGAAACCTCCCTGTATTCTTTTTGCAAATGCCTGTGACTCTACTAATTATTTTGTAATTAAAAGGTAAATTAAAAAGTTGTTCAGAAATGTAAGAAATTGTCTCAACTTTCAATCATTAATAGAAATATTATAATTTTATAAAAATGAAACAAATATTTAAAACAGAAATATACAATTAGAAAAACAATGTTTGCAAATAATAGAAAAATGAAAGAGGAGGTAAAATATAGAAACAATGTATTTAGTTTAAAATTGAGCACTGACCTTAGATTTATCATCACCTGAAGCTCTTGTGGCTTCATTCAGAGGGACAGCCCCATGTTCCCTTGCCTCTTTGAAAAGTTCATTCACAATTTTCCCAGTTGAAGGTCGAACTATATTTAATCCACTGTATTCATGTTCACTTGAGTAAAACCTTTAAACATTTTAGTTCATGAATAAAAACTTAGGATAACAGACATAAACTGAAGTAAAAAGCTACATAGTCTTATGAAAATAAAAGTATTTTATTTAAAAAGAGGCATTATTTTGACTTCTATGAGAATATTTAATTTTTAAAATGGGATTAAGGAAAAGTATAATAAATAGGAAATCATATACTTTCTCACTGAGTTTGCAAAGATTGATTCTAAGGGCAAGTTCAGCCTCCAGCACGGCAACTGGCTTGCTTGCTGATCCCTCAGCCTTCTGTAACTGCTTATCACATACATCTCATTCACTAATTCAGCACTTCTGATGTAGAAGGAAAAGCAGTGTCAACAGTCAAAAGATAGTCCCTTCTCCCTAAGAAGGCCACACTCAGTAGAGACCTAGTTAGTGACGAGATCTTTAGATTTAGACAGTATAAACAGCTAATTCTAAACTAAAGGGTTATCTAGAGAGGATTTATCTTTCAGAGATTTTTGGATTTAAGAGACCTACTCCCTTAAAAGCCCCTGCGTTTGTTAAAAGTAAATAATTTAGACAGTAATTTTTTGGCGACCAATTTCTACTTTGACTCCAACTTCATAAATGGTCCTAGGAAACATAAAAATTACCTTTACGTAAGATTAATAACCTACTTTTATCTTTCAAGATTTTTTTCTATCAAGAATATCAGAAACTATAAACAATGAAGTATCAACATGGAGACTTCCAGGGTAAGATGACAATCAAACTTCAGTTGTTAAAATACTTATAACTCTCCAATCCAATTCCAAATTCACACTGAACTGACACATAGAACAAAACAATGGGGGGAAATGATATCTGCCTTGGAGACTAGGAATGGAATTCACCTTCAAGGCTTTCTCCTAAATTAGAATATGCAAAACTGAGTAAGATAGAGGAAAGAACAGACCAGCTCTCACTTTGCAGTAAAGGAAGGAAAAGATCCATCAGGATGGAGAACAAGGAGACACCAGGAGAACCCTACTAAACCCCACAAACTGCAGAAGGTGGAGGTGGGGCTTCATCCTGCCAGTGCTCTGGAGAAGTACACTGGGCCCAAATTTATCTAGAGCAGGAGCCTATGGAAGCCCTTGTCCCAAGCTTACACTCAAGGGTCCAGAGTAGCAAGCAAGGTTGAACACTGCCCTAGTTGGCTTTTAAGACAAGCCTTAGTGTTAGAAGCAGATTATTTTAGGGAGCGACGACAAACACAGAAAAGCAAAGCAACACTTCCTGCTGCAGCTGTCTGCTGCCGTAACACTCCTCCCCTCTCTGGAGTGCCCTGGAAACGAGGAATGGAAGTCACCTTCAAGGCTTTCCACATCTCTAATCTGGCAAAGTGAATAATCATTCCTTTTTATCTCAGTCTTAGTGAGAAAGACCTTACCGCAAAAATCGGTCATAGCAAATGATTTCCTATCTCCTTTACGGTTAACGGTTTTTATTATTTGAAATCTTTGCCTACTCTAAGGTCATAAAGATATTCTATTTTCTTCCAGAAATTTGTTTTAATTTCTATATTTAGATCCACAACCCATATGGAACTGACGTTTATAGGTGGTATAAGGTAGAGGACAAGAACTATTTTTTCTCTACATAAATGTCCATTTGTCCCAGTACCACCTAATGAAATTCTGCCCCTCACTGCTCTGCACTGTCATAAATCAAGTTGCCTATGATTCTTGAGTTCTCGTATTTTGGTCCATGGTCTACTGTCAGTTCTTACTCTCTTAACCATTGCAGCTTTACAATAAGTCTTTGCATGCAGCAGTGTAAGTCCTCAACTTTAATTCTTCATGAATGTTTGGGGCAAAAATATTTATTGATTGCTGAAGTAATTCTCTATACTCATTCAAACTAACTTATTAAATATAAGTGAAAAGGAATAAAAGATAGGCATCTGTAGTACAGAATTAGTACTCAGCTGGGCCTTAAAAGGATTTAGGACATTAGGACTTAGATAAGCACAGAGGACAAGGGACAAAATTCTAGGAATGAAGAGGAACACAGGAGGAAAACATCAAAATGACCAGAGGAATCAGAAAAAGAATCAGTCTTTTACAGTTTTCTTTGTATGCAATTATGTCATTACACATAATGAGCTTTATTTATTTCCAATTTGTATACTTTTGTTTTTCTAATCTCATTGTGCTGACTAAAACCTCCAGTACAAGTTGAATGAAAATTGTGATAGGGGTTACCCACTGATAATGTTCCCAACTTCAGAAGAGTTGAGCGGTTTCAATCTTTTTAGATCCTAATGATGATTACCCAAACCTTAAACATATTATCTGCGACTGGTACCCATCTTTCCCGTGCATTTACTCCCTGTGGTAAGATTTTTGCTCCCATTGTGCTACTGAATCTCAAGGTTTGCTACTGAATACTCAAAGGTTCTGAGTTATCTTCTCATTGCCAAACACAAAAGACTTCCCTCAGTTATTAAACACTTTCTGAAACATTTGATCCTTTTGAGCCTATCCTTCTTCTCCCTTTCGCTGTTTCATAGTTGAACTCTCTCCTGGACTTTCATACCAAAATTGTTTGTTTCTTTGCCCAATGGGATCCAACATCTCCTTCTCTATTTTACTGAGTTTTCTTCCTCCTCCTCTTACATAAATATGCCCATATCCTTGACTTCAATTCCCCTCTATTTAAGCTCATGTCATCATCAAAATATTTATCCACTGCCAAAGATAACCTCTTCCTATACAGATGACTCTGAAATATGTGCTTTTACCACTCACTTATGGTCCAGTGTTGAATTTAAAAGCACCTGCTAGATAGTTCTACTTCACTCAAGTTCATCTCCAAAACTGAAGCTATTTCTACACATAAGCCCTCCCATTAACAATCACACTTTTTCCTGTATCCCAAATTTAAAACATTTAAGTCTTCCCTCTTTCCCACTGGCTTACTCCCTATATCCCATGTCATTACATTTCTACAATGAACACCTTTAAAATATCCTGCATTAATTTCACCCTTTTCTCTCCGTTCCATTGACACTACCTCAATCCAAAATTTATTTATATATTTTTTGAGACAACATATGGCTCTACTGCCCAGGCTAGAGTGCAGTGGCGTGATCTTGGCTCACTACAACTTCCACCTCTTGGACTCAAGCTATCCTGCCACTTCAGCCTCCCGAGCAGTTGGGACTACAGGCGTGCACCACCACGCTTGGCTATTTTTTTGTAGAGATGGGGTTTAAGCCCTGTTAACCAGGCTGGTCTTGA